>NC_000001.11:217559587-218184587 GCF_000001405.40 Homo sapiens | reverse complement strand
GAAGGCAGAAAATCACCAGAGGTAAATTAACATTGCAGATTTATGAGGCTGTCTCTTAGACGGTGTCTCACTCTGTTGCCCAGGCTGGATCGCCCAGTGGCACGATCTCGGCCCACTGTGACATCCGCCTCTTGGGTTCAAATGATACGCCTGCCTCAGCCTACCAAGTAGCTGGGATTACAGGCATGTGCCATCAGGCCTGACTAATTCTTGTATTTTTAGTAGAGACAGGGTTTTGCCATGTTGGCCAGGCTGGTCTCAAACTCCTGACCTCAAAGGATCTGACCACCTTGGCCTCCCAAAGTGTTGGGATTACATGCATGAGCCACCATGTCTTGCTTATGAGGCCTCTTTTAAAGTACTAATACATATATGAGTTTGATTATAAGATTAAGATTCATTTTCCTAAATGCTTAATAATAAATGAATTAATTCATTAGGTCATCTAATGAACATATAGTATGTGTTAAGCATGCTAGATATTTGGGCTACAAAGAGAAATAAGTCCCTGCCCTCAACAGTCTCTCTATTTATTTACCTAGGGAGGCAGACTTGCAAGACAAATGACTTCTCTACTAAACAAACAATTTAATCTACACATCCAGTTAACACAAATGCCAAGAAGGTTATTTGAGTCTGAAAGAATTTAGTTTTGCAATCTGAAAGGTGTTAGTTACCTACCTATATCTTCTTTCCTATGTATTTAGGTTTGAGTGGTTTAATGTCTAATAGTCCTTTTTCATCTTTACCCAATGCATGTTTATGGTAGAAACAATCTGGTTATGTTATATACATCCTGCTGGACCTGCCTAAGATGTGGACTAGGTAGATGTTAAAATGGATTGGATAAACTAAAGAAGACCACTAAATCCTTGAATACTTAGACAAAGATCAAACTGAAACATTTAGAAAGCTCATCTGTTGATATTAAACAAAGCTTGGTCTCACAATTATATTAGCTTTCAATAGGAGCCCAAATTACAGGAAAGAAAATTAATGTTTTTTTTGTTAGCAGTTTGTGCTTTCCCGGTAACATCTTCCAAATCCGTAGGTGTTGCATCTGCCAGCGTTAGGGCAGACAAGGCTGACTTTAAACCACAGTCAAAAGGGTTGCTTAAACATTATTTCTCCATGACACGGTTGGATCTGTGTCCCTGCCTGAATCTCATGTCAAATTGTAATCCTTAGTGCTGAAGGTGGGGTCTAGTGAGGGGGTGATTGGATCATGAGGGCAGTTTCTCATGAATGGTTATCACTATCCCCTTTGGTGCTGTTCTCATGAGAGTGAGTGAGTTCTCAAGAGATCTGGCTGTTTATAAGTATGTGGCACCTCCCCTATCTCTCTCTTCCTCCTGCTCCAGCCATGTGAGATGTGCCTGCTCCCGTTTTGCTTTCCTCCATGAGCAAAAGCTCCCTGAGGCCTCTCCAGAAGCAGATGCTGCCATACTTCCTGTACAGCCTGCAGACCGTGAACCAATTAAACCTTTTCTCTTTATGAATCACCCAGTATCAGGTATTTCTTTATAGAGTGTGAGAACAGACTAGTGCACTCCATTTTCTACATTACAGAAAGAATTATAAACACATTTGTATATTAAAAAAAAAACAGACTGTGCACATTCTAGTATTCCATAAGCTTTCTCTGTGGTTGTGACAACCAGTGTGACACTCCTCTAGTACTATTTTTTTCACATTCTAGTGTATTTGAAGCTTCTGGGGAACTTCTTACAAATACTGGTTGCTGGATCCTAGCAAGTGGAATTGATTCAATTGGCCTACATAGAAGTCCAGAAATCTGTGTTTTTAAAAGGTCCCAAATGAATCTGATTCCAAGTTTGGTAACCACTGCTATATTTTACATACAAAAATACCTCTGTAAAGTACCTTGTCAAATGACAAATACAGTTATAATGAGTCAGACCATGCCCTCAGAGGTCATGTTAATGTAAGTTGGGCCTTTGTCACTCTAACAAAAAAGGATTGTAACGGTTTCCTTGGCCCCTGACAATAGCATTGTTGGTACAGTTGATCAGTTGGTAGTATATTACTGGCCTAGTGCATGCTAAGGGAGAAGAGAAGGGAACATTATCATGAAACGAAATGGTTCATTATTAGAGCTCTGAAATATTTTTCTTTCCTTAAAGAGTTCAAACAATTACACGATTAAATTTTAAATTGAATAACTTCCCAATAGTAAGCATTTCAAACCTTGCAGTAACCATGAGGTAGAAAAACAGAATTTATTACTGAACATCTACTATGTGCTGTATGCAGCTCTAGATGCTTGACATTCAGCTCTAATCCTCACAACACTGTAGGAGAGGCCTCATAATCCATGTTTTGAATATATAGAAACAAGGCATGTTTAAGTGGCTGGCCCTAGGCCACACAACTAGTAATTGAGAGGAATAACTAGCATTCAAACCAGGTCTACCTGATGCCCAAGTCCATATGATCTTTTCCATTCATAAGCAAGTGGGAATGAAATGAAGTTTTGCTGGGAAAGAAAGTTAATAGTCATTTCATCTGCCTAATCATCACTCCCTAATAATAATAATAACAGTTATTATTATGAAAATAATAGTAATGGAAAGTAATTGATTATAACATCTCAAAACAATATGCAAACTGAAAATGATGGATACATTCATTAACTTGATTGTGGTGATGATTCAGGGAGTATATATATGTATATGCTTATTCATATGCATATATATGTGTGTTTGTGTCAAAACGTATCAAATTATACACTGTAAATATGCACAATTTATTGTAGTCAATTATACCTCAGTACATCTGTTAAAAATAACCTATAGCTACATACCAGTTAAGTCAGCTGGTTAGATAGTAAGGTCACAATTATGATCTAAATCCTGAATAGTCCAGTGGACTTCCGAGTTTTCTATTCCTTGCATTTGGACAAATCTGCCTTCTCTTTAATGAAGGTCATGGGTCCAAGGAGGAACGGGTGAGCATATGAACATACAAATAGATCAGAAAATAATTCAGGGACTTACCTGTGCCTGGCTGCACATCGCTCAGCCTACCTGACTTCACAGTGGCTGAAGTGATCATTCCCCACACATGACCCCCGTCTCTGCTGCAGGCTCCCTCTTCTTTTCTGCTCTAGAGTTTTCTTCTTCAAAATCTGCTGAAAGTATGTGCAAGCACAGCTTAGAAGTGCAGAAGAGTTATCACTTCCCAGGAAAACTTGCAACTTTGGGTGGACAAGAGTCTCTGGACAAATGCCCCAGATTTCCATCTTTGGGAGGCACAATTGTGGGGCACAATTCTGAGGCACATTTTGCGTGGTTCCTTAGAGGGTCCTCCGTGGGATGGAGTGAGCCCCAGTTGCCCACAGGGATTGCTAATGATGGAGCTTGATTGGCTTTTCCACTTCTCCTGACCTGCTCTCCTTGCTCCCTCGCTAATGCTTCCTAGGATCACTTCCTGCCTAAACTACCTACAACCAAGTCCTTGCCTCAGGAAAACCAAAGGCAGCACACAACTCTGATTTTTCATAACTATAAAAGTACCTATCAATTTTGTCAAACAATAGCTTATGTTTATTTACATAGTGTAATGGCCAATGGCCAATACCAATGGCTTTTTATATGGGAAGCATGTATCCTGTATTGCATGCGATTACCAACAGTACTCGATTCACACTGGTTTATGATCATATAGATTATTGTGCACGTAGTTGGTCTGTTGGCTTGCAAGTTCCTTAAGAGAAGAATTGTACCGCCAACTCCCTTTACATGTTATTTCTTATGGTGTCCCCTGTTCTGTCTTTGTTGAATTCACTATTTCTTAATTTTCTATTTACATTTAAAATTTTACTTCTAGTTTTATAAACCAGTAGTATTATGCTAAAATAGGAAGGTTTACATTATTTAGTTATTTTATGGTACTAAGGTGTGGAATCAGTATTTCTAATTTGATGAACAACTTCAGATGTTCACAGAAAGATGGAAATTGCAACTAACTCCTGACAGTTCTTCACATTAAGTGACCAGAAATGGCACCCCAATTTTCTTGACTGAAGATACCAAATGGTAAGGAGTCCAGTTTTGTGCTTATACACTTGAAAAAGTCATCTCTTTCCTACCTAGGTTCCCCACTCCGATTTTCCAGAATTTGGATACAGGTTCTCTTTTTGAGTAATTTCTTGTGTCCTCCTATAACATTATTCCACGGATTTGCTAGTGAAATGAAATATTGCAGTGACCTTTTTAATTCCCCTGACTTTTTACAATCTTGGAAATTTAGCACAACAGCGGGAGTTTAATCATATTCAATGGTGTAAAAGACAAAATAAGGCACCTTTAAATTCAGAAGGAGATGTGACCTCCAAGGTGTTAGAGCCTTCAGAGACTCCCCTGCTGTCCCTATGGACTGCTGAAACTATGTTACTTGTGTTTCTCAGGCCACGTCACTACATCTCTGGCTGACACATCCATCCCTCCCCACTGCTTACATTTTATTTTGAACCAATAGGCTACAAACTCCTGCATCTGTACCACATTAGAAAACTTACTTGCCATGCTGTTTACATTCTGTATTCACTTCTTTTTTAAGAACGTAATTTTTGGTTTATTCACCATAGTATTTATTTAAAGGTTTCAAAGACTTTCATTTCATTGTTAAAACCTATCCTGTGACACTGAATATTTGAAGTCTCTTTAATATCAAACTGTAATTCCATGATGCACGATGCCAAATACCCATTTGTTTACATGAGTATCTAACCACTGGTGAGCTGATTCTTTAAAACAAATTGAATGGTTAGTCTGATTCCTTGTGGATTTAGCAGTGCCCAATCATTTAACCAAGTGTCATTACATGTGTTTTTTAGTTTTAGGTCTCAATTGTTGTGTAGTTTGGTTGATGGATGAGATGGCCTAAAGAAAAGAAAGAAAAAAAGAACAATGTTCTTCACATAGCCCAAAGTGACAGAGTAGATCAGCTCTCTTAAATCCCCTGTCCATATAGCCATTGTGATCAAGGTGATTGATGAAGAATCCTATCAGCTCTGAGCTGCTGAGGTGTCAAACTGATAGGAAAAAGCAGTACTCACAGTATGCCTGCAAACAGTTTGAGAGGCCAACAGCTAACACATCTCTACAATTGGATATGGCTTCCCCTGCCCTTTAGATGCACACAAGTGATTATCAATTCACATTTTCCATGAGATTTTCCTCTCTGCAGCTTTGTAGGTATTCACCCTTAAAAAGCAAATCACTTGAATGTTTCTTCTTCCATAACTAGTTTTTCAAAGTCTTAAATTGAGCCCAGCTAATGAGTATAGGTGTGTTAGTGCAGCTGGAAAAGTATGCTATGTGTTTTGTTTAGGCTTTTTTTCCTTTAAAGCATTTTTACCCTTCCCACTGAGTGTACTTTGTGGATTATCTTGATTACAGTGGTAGACAGTAGGCTTTCTGCTTTTCAGCTTCATAGTTTTTCTTCCCAAAAGAACGCCTGTCTCCCAGTGACCTGTATGGTCACAATTAGCCCCTCAAACACAAGTCCCCATGAAAACTGAAACCAAAGAGTAATGAGAAAGAGAGACAAACTATATACCACTTATTTTCAGGCCTGAATTTACTAGGCTCCAGGCATATCAAAATATTGATGCTGGGACTATTCTCTATATACCATAAAACAGATTTTCTGGTAAATTATAATTAATTCAAAGATAAGAGAGTTTGGTTAATGCTTACATTAACCAAAATCAAATATAGCTGTAAGAATATATCTAGTAAATTTATCATCATCATAATGTTTGATACATATTTGAACTATAAAATATCATATATTCCTGATCATTGATCTAAAGATTCTTGGCAAGGGGGTTCTTCTTTATTTAAAAATTGCTTGTCTCTTGATTGATCTGGAAGTACTAAAAAAAAAAAACATAAAGATGTCATTGCTCTGATCTGAGACTGGGGAACTTCAGGCTCCATAAATTTGTTTTATTTGATTTGAATTAGGCAGTAGATAATGTATCTGGACACAGTTGACAAGAACTTATTTTTTATTTAAAGAATTGTTTAAGAAAAGCAAGCTCATTAAAGAAAATTTAGGGGGAAAGGAGAAAAATAGAACATGCAAATACACAAATGGTACTATTACCTAAATTATAAGAAATACATTGCTGGCATTTTGGTATTGCTGTTTTGTATTTTTGAATATGAAAAGATTTTTTAAAATATAGTTTTGATCATTTTACATAAATTTATTTTAAAATCCTGCTTATTTAACCTAGCATTACGTACCAAGACACTACTACATTATTATTAATACATACTTTTCACAAATTAAATCTTATAAGTTCTATTTGCAGACAGTGTTGATTGCCTATTGAATACCTTTCCCCATTGAATCCTTGCTAGAAAAGCCCTAGTTTGTTCAAGGGACTATCCCTCCTCTACATAACTTAGCGGGAGATTTTTTATTTATTTATTTATTTTTTAAGATCTTGGATTGGGTGTCAGTCAATCATAGTGGTCCCAGTCCTATTTCCACTGGTTGGCTACAGGGTGCTGTGTGACCCATTTATTTGAGTGAGTTGTAACAGGGAGGTCTGTCATTTTGCTCATAGCTACATTTCAAGCTTTAGAGTACTGCCTTACACTTATCAGGTGCTCAATAAATAACTGTTGAATGAGTGAATTCTAAATGCTAAAGAGTTTTCCATTCAAAGTAAGAATTTATTACAAAAGACAGTTCTTTCTGGATATTGCTGTGCCTGTATGTAATGGCTGGAAATGCTACAGTCATCTTGCTATCAGTATAAGGATGAAGCTAACCCAAAAATGAGGTGGACCCAGAGACTAAAGGAAACAAAGCCCAAACCGTCCCTGCAGATCCATTTTAGATTTTTTTTTTTTTTTTTTTTTTTAGAGGGAGTCTCGCTTTGTCACCCAGGCTGGATGGAGTGCAGTGGCACCATCTAGGCTCACTGCAACCTCCGCCCCCAGGTTCAAGAGATTCTCCTGCCTCAGCCTCCCAAGTAGCTGGGATTACAGGCACCTGTCACCATGCCTGGCTAATTTTTTTTTTTTTTTTTGAGATGGAGTCTCACTCTTGTCGCCCAGGCTGGAGTGCAATGGTGCGATCTTGGCTCACTGACACCTCCGCCTCCCGGGTTCAAGCAATTCTCCTGCCTCAGCCTCTTGAGTAGCTGGGATTACAGGTGCCCACCACCACGCCCAGCTAATTTTGCCATGTTGGCCAAGTTGGTCTCGAACTCCTGACCTCGGGTGATCTGCCCACCTTGGCCTCACAGAGTGCTGGGATTATAGGCATGAGCCACCACGCCCAGCCTCCCTTTTAGATTTTCTGAGATGATGTTTTCTTGTTTAAACCAATTTGACTTATGGGTTTCTGTCACTTGCTACTGAAGTATTCTTAACTGATGCACACTGTTTTATATCCAGAGTTTACAAATCCTCCATTTGATGATCTACTATTACAAGACATACTAATACAATCTCTTGCTAAATTTATTGAAAAGATGGATGTTGATTTTTAAGAGATTTTATGAATGTGATATATATTTTATAAAATTCAGCAATACTTAAAAAAACATGGTAAATTTACATACAGATACTGCCATAATACAAATATCAACACCTGGTGGACCTTTGGAGAAGACTAGATAATTCTGTAACTCAGCCTACACTGCTTTTAAAGCTGGGATGATCCTTCACTGCTCTCACTTCAGCACCAAATTTCTGAAAGTCATTGTTCTGGTTATCTATTGCTGCATAACAAATGTCTGCAAAATTTAGTGATTTAAAATAATATTCCTTGTATTATTTCTCGTGGCTTCTCTGGGTCAGGAACTGGGGAAGGGCTCAGCTAGGTGGTTCTGCCTATGGAACTGCAGTCAAATGGGGGCTGGAGCATGATTGAGGTTGGAGCCGCAATCAGCTGGAGACTGAGTGGGCATCTCACTCACATCATGCGGTCTCAGGACTTTCCACGTGTTCTCTGCTCATGGGCTACTTTAGATTTCCTCAATACATGGTGGTCTCAGCATAGTTTAGACATAGGTTGTTCACAGGGCAGCTGGAGGCTTCTAGAGGGATGCAAGCCAGATAGAAGCTACAGTGACTTTTGTGACCTAGCCCAGAAAACATGCAGCATCACTACTGCTTCATTTCATTGGTTGCAAGTGAGCCACAGGCCTTCCCAGAATCAAGGGGAAGGGAATTATATTCTGCTTCTTGATGAAGGAGGAGCAAGGTTGTAGAAGAACTTATGGGTAAAGGGATATTGTGGTGGCCATTTTTGGAAAATACAATCCACCACAAATATCGAAGACCTTTATGTGTGGTTTGTCACTCCATGTCTCTTTCTTTTATGTTAATTTGGCCGTTTTCCCTCTATGTCTAAAATCTGTGGAATGACCAAAGTTTTCAGTTACTCAGAATTAAAGAAGTCATTATTTCTTTCCATGCAATTCCAGGACCACTCAGATCCCATAACGCAAATCAAATTAAGTTCAGAAAGTGAAAGAACTAAAGACAATAATGATGTGTGAGAGCATGAGTTTGTGTTGAGAGAATATAAAGAGAATGATGTGTTTTAGTATAAGTGACAAGTAGTGGCGGGCATGTCTTTAAAAAATAGTAAGATTGAAGCTAAGTAACAAATTTGGGGGAAAAATGTGTTCAGAAAGTGAATGCCTATAACCATAGTTAATTTTCACCCTGCAAACTGATCGTCCAGTCAGAAGTAGATATATAGCATCTAAGCATCTCCATTAAAAATTTTATGATCAATGACTTTGTGTGATATGGCTAATGACATGCATTATTTAGTACAAGAACGTACCCATTTGGTTAATAATCTAAATATATATAAGGGAAAACTTTTGCAATGGAAAATGAAATGTACGTTTTAGACATAAGCAGCTTCCAAAAACACACAAGTTTCCCTGTAAGAATCACACATTATTTTATAAGGAAAAGTAGAAAACCAGATTTAGAAAGTCAATCCAATCTTTCAAGAGACCACACAAAAATTAGAACAAAATGAAATTCTAGCAGCTGATGGTAACATCCAATCTTTTATATAAAAGTAAACAAAATGTAAAGTGCTCTTTTTGGTTAAACTCTCTTCTTGCCTTGTGATTCTGTTGAGGCCAGACTTACTATGTTATTACATCTAGAAAAAAAAAACCCACAAATCCAATTTCAGAAGTGTTTTTCAGTAATGTACATCATGGAGCAGGGTAGTGGTGTGGAGGGATGCAGAAGGATGTTACATCGTACATCTGTTTTCCAGTCAGCACAACTTGGAGCTGTCTCCCTTTCTGGACCAAATTTTACTTTGGTTCTTTTTGATCTTGTACTTCTTATTCATGCATTGTGCTTAACATGTGTTACAAACATAATGTGTTTAATTATCTGTCTCTCCCATTTGACTGTATGGACATGAAAGTGGGGATTGTTTCTGTCTGGCACACCTAGCAGAATGAACGAACAATGTCAGTAATGTTTTATTCAAAGAGTAAAATGTGTGTGTGTGTGTGTGTGTGTGTGTGTAAACATATTGGAAGAGTACACAGAAATTCACTTGTTTCTATAGTTCCATAGGGTAAAACTAAGGCTTGCAGTAAATGAATCAGCAAGATAGGTTTCAAATCCTTACAAAAAAAGGAAGCATAAGCTAAACATGATAAAAAACACACAACATTATCTGCTAACTTTTCAACAAAAGACCTTTCCAATCACAACAGCTTTCCAACAATGGCTCAGGTTGCCTCAATATGCAATGAACCTACCGACATGAGAATATAAGCAGAGGCCACAGGAGTGTCTCTCCAAGATACTACAGTAGATTCTTGTTCTGGGTGGACAGTGAGATTAAATGAACTCTCAATGCCCTTCTAACACAATGCCCTTCTAACACTATGAAGCTAATCTTAATACAATACCAACTCTAAACGGAGTGGATAAGGGAAAATTGGCATTTTCAAAGCACCTCCTATAGACAGACATAGTTCTAGTCATTGGGGATACAGCCATGAATAATGCAGAAAAGTCCCTGTCCTCACGGAGCTTAGACTCTAGTGAAGGAGATAGGTGATAATCAAGTTAAATAATAAATAATTTTAAATAACAATTAGCACTATGAAAAAATAATGCTGACACTGACAGTGACTAGTGTCAGGACCAGACAACATTAGATAAACTGGCAAGAAGAAAACATTTTATGTTCCATATAATCTGCGTTTATATTTTAGTAGCATTTCTATAGAAACATCCAGGACATATTCAGTACTGGCACTTCAAAAGTTAACATTAACTCTGAAAACCCTGGTTCAGTGTATTATGTGAATGCCAAAGAGGGGAGACACACCCCCTGATTTGGAGACATTACAACAATCTGGGAAAGACAATTATGTCATTTGAAAAAAGTTATATAGTAAAACAGAGCTGTTGACAACAAATGAGAGGATGGGGTAAATATTGTAGTATATCATCAAAGGGGAAAAAGTAACATGATCAGGAGTGACCAGGGAAGATATGAAAATGAAGAAGAGTCTAAAAATATGTAATTTTGTAGTAAAATCATTGGAAAACCAAATGTTCAGATTATAGCTAATGTGGTAATGGAATGCCTATTACAGGCCCACATATTTGATGTTACAAATTTCTGACACGCTTCTGCATGTAAGATATATCATTGCAAGCTCAGGGCCCATTAATATGTGCAAATGTTCATGCAGCAGATGGCATCTCACTGTATAAACATTATCAATGCAGATATTAGTAGCTAAAACGTTACCTATTTCATGTACTCAGTTCTATAACATGGACCCCAAGGATTGCTTAATTGTGAAGGTTTGTGATGTATGATTCTCATTTTTTTTTCTGTCCAAAGAAAAGATCCTTTAAAGCCCTTACACATAAAGTGTCTGTGGTGTGCATGTTGTAATCATTTGTCTTACTATTTTCTCTCAAATGTGGAGAGAAGTACAATGCAATTTTATGCTTTCTTTTAGGAAAAAGTTACTGATATTGCAGGGGAAAAAAGGAAAGAATTTTTTCATTCATTCATTAATTTATTCCTTCAAAAAATAATTTTTGAAACTCTTTTGTGTGCCAGGCACTGAGAAATCAAAGGTAAGGAAAAACTGATACCGTCCTTTTTCCACAGACCTGTGTAAACAACAAGGTGCTCACATCAGGATCAGCAGGGTGTTATGAGGAAAGAATGTAGGCTCCCCATCTAAAGAGGCCTTAAAAAGTATATTCTAGAATGAAAAATATATTAATGTTTATAAGAAAGAAAAGTTGGCAATTTTGATGAGGCAAATAAACTCTAACATTTGTTAATGGATATATGGAGTTAGTTTTATTCTAAAATGCTTTGAAATTACTTTGCATTACTTATAAGTCTCTGCTAAGAAAGAATTCCTATCTTCAAAGCACTTGGAGGGACAGTTTTTAAAATAGAGTAATCACATCAATAATTATGTAATATATAAGAATTTTAAACATCTCTAAAGGGAAAGCTACAGTCCTTATTATTTGATAAGCACTCCTAAAATAACCTGGGCTGTAAGAATAGGGCAATGTAAGACTCTCTTCAATTTGTGGAAATAATCAACTTTGCATGAATAAATTAATAGAAACAGTTTTATGTCTTTGATTGCAGTTGAACACTACTGAGTGTTCCTGAGCATCTGAAATGCCTTTCTGAAAGTTCATTCAGCAAATTCACAATGAATTGTGAATTCAATCTCCGGCACTGCACAAATGGCATCAACGTAGAACACCAAAAACCAACCCAGTATGACCATCCACCCTATACACTAATTCTATTTAAAACTATAAGGAAACCAGGAACAACCAGATGTTGATCTTAAGATACTACTGCACATCTGCCACTGCAGAAGGATTTATGAAACTCTGCAATGACAGGAACCTTTTCACATATCAGCAGTATTCTTTATTCTGAGTGTTGGATGAAGACATCAAAGAGCCACAACCAGCAACAACAAATTTAGCACTAAGACTGCCTACATACACCAAGCAAAATGGGAATTTGAGGCAATAACCAGGATACGCTTTTAAAATTTCCAACTATTTTCACACTGTTTGGTCAAATCTTTTAGGGAACTTAAATTATGCAAAAGCTTCCCCCTCTGGTAGCTTCATTTCACCTTGAATATGCAGAAGAGGATACCCAATTCTGTATTAATTCCTAGTTTTGTATTTTGAAACTTAACGGTAAACAAAAAGCATCTAGTCATTCTTGTATAATGATATTTTTAAAAATTATTTGAGGAACATGTTAAAATAAGATGATGAAACACCTTAGAAAAGTCTACCTTATGAAATATTAATTTTATTTAGAAATTATTATTGGAATTTACTTACTGCATAATTTAAGCAAGATTAATTTCACTTAATATAAACAGATTCCATTGTAGTAGGCTGTCAGCCTTAGGACAGTTTGCTGTATTAACTCTACAATTCTTTTGAACTATTTTAATACAAAATAGTATGATGGGTTGAGGGTAATTACTTATCAATAGTTTGGTTCTATGAATTATCTTTTTAATATTTATCAGGAAGTAGGATTGCCTTTCAATTTGAAGGTTTAGAACCTTTTTGTTGCTATTCTTGCTCTTTGCTAAAGATGACTTTAAATTTCTTTGTGAATTTTTAATTCTTTCATTTGTTTATTGGGAAGATACAGAGAAGGTTCATTTTGATTCCAAGAGTATAATATAAAATGAATTTTCTCTGGATAAATTTGATTCATATTATACTATTTTAAAATGCATATCCATTATTATTTGAAAAATATCTGTTGACCAATAGTTTAATCCTTTTGAAAATATATCTTTAACACAAACAGTATTTAGGAAATGTAAATTTGAAAGAAGACTCATGATTAAATCATTAGAAGAAGATGTAAATGTTATATAAAGTGTCTTTTAACAGGGAAGAATTTCTTGTACGTTTTAATTTGGTTTTTATTTTATGAAAGCCAATAGAAATTTTACAATAGCCTCCTCTTCTGATGCTCCTCTTTCTGACCACCAGATGTCAGACTTTCACTGCAAATTTAAAATTCCTCATTGCGTAGTAGACACATTTTTATTTGTAAATGTTCACTATTCTGAAATCATTTCTTTTTCACCTCCAGCGCACGATTCAAAAACTTGCCTTTGAAATATGAATACACAGACAGGGATGTTAGCTGTTTCAGGCATACATTTACAGCTCCTATTTACAGTATGCCAATTTTCAATTCACTAATGAGTTTCATATTTTGAGATATCTCTTTACATTTATACATGTACATCAATAATAGAGCTCCTTCTAAAATAAAAATGCCATACATACATGCCAAAACATGGCTATATTTGAAACAACATATAATTTAAGAATACCAAAATACATTTTATTTTTGATTCTGGCAAAAACAAACAAAAAAACAGGTGAGAAAATATTTTAAGTATTTTTGTTTTTCACATAAAATCTGTTATATAGGTGTTGTTTTTGCACAAATATCTACAACACCTATGCCAGAATTCATAATCTTCTTGAGACATAAGCATAATTTAACATATTTACCTAATTTTAAATGGAAAACAGTAAACATCAGAGTATTATATTTTAAAATTTTGTATATGCTACACCCCAAATTCATAATCTTCTTGAGATTATGCCAGAATTCATAATCTTCTTGAGACATAAGCATAATTTAACATATTTACCTAATTTTAAATGGAAAACAGTAAACATCAGAGTATTATACTTTTTAAAATTTTGTATATGCTACACCCCAAATGCACAAAACTTATTATAATACAAATTCATCTTTTCACTTAGTTATATATAATGTATTATAAGACTTTAGTTCATGTTTTTAAAGAATTATACTTTTTATTTGTGTATAATCCCTGAAACGCATTAATAGAAATATAAGAAACAATATGTAAAAGTAATTGAAGAACTTTGGTGTTAAAGTTTTTATGTGTATTAAGATTTTAAGTTTTAAAAAAAGATTTTAAGTTTAATATTTATTAGTTTAATTAATATCTGATTCTAGGTAGTACAGAACCTAAATAATTTCCAGAAGTATGTAATTGGAACAGGAAAAGCCAGGAAAAAGTATATTCTTTTTGCATCACTCAACATGTTTTGTAAAAAACCACATACACCCTATCATAAGCATTAAAGTGTTAGTAAATTGGCAACAACTGGTAAACATGCTACTATTATTTACATTTCTGACTTGGCATTAACAATGGTAAATTGTAAAGCTACTAAACAACTAGTTACAGCAAATTAATGTGATACAGTTATCTTAAAGGAAAGGAAAAGAAAGAGGCAAGGAGACTGCTGGAATGTGTGCAGGAGGGAACTATCTGATTTAAGCCAAATCTCCCAAGCCTTTTAGAATCTGTCTGCCTTACAGCAGTACATCAAAAATAATACAATTGACATTTTCCTGTCTTCACTTCTGTTAAAAGTTTACATTCTATTATTCTTCCCAGTTGAGAGACATCAAATTCCAAGAATTGCTAAGACTGACTGTGGTAGTCCTGATTTCTTTTATAATAATCTTTTGATTGTTGTTGTTTAAAAAGTTTTATTAAAATAAAAATATAAAGAACTACTTTATTATTTTTCCGTTAACATAGTTATGTCTCACTCATTTCATTCAATGTGCTTTTGGCATCTTTCTCTTTTTAATATAAACTATACATATTTATCATAGATTTCTATCTTTAATGCTGCTTAGATACCCTTTTTAAAAAGCTTCATTCAATCTGGCCTCTTTTAATAGATATGCATGTATTCCTTAGTAAGGGAATAAAATTTTGCTTTCACTTAATACTAGGTACTTCATTCTCATTATTGAGACTATGTGGAAACCCTGAATACTTGTCACAGATTCATTTTATAATCCTGAGGTTGGTTTGGCATTCCATGATTTACGCAGGGGCTTTGCTTACAATAATTGATTCATTCCATACTTGAAACCCACTGATCTCATTACAGTTATAGGAAGGCATTTTAGCTGTTGCAATTTAGACTTACCTCAAAGAAAAAAAAAAGGCACGCTCTACCCACTTCGGATTTCTGCAACATGTGAAATAATTAGGTCATATCATGTATCAAAATAAAATCCTGTTACTGACCTTTCTAGACTCAAAAGGCTGCCCTGGAAATATACAATAAAACGTATTTCATTTTGAGCAATATTTGCATGGTTGAGAATGACACTGTTGTCAACTATTAACTTCATGCACCTATTTTTCCATTAATAATTTTACTGTATTAAAATAACCAAAACACAGGTTTGAACTATAAATTCTAATATTTAAGTCAGCTTCTACAAAGAAGCTCTCAGTTCTAAGAACCCAAAATATGAAATGTAGTATATTAAGGATACCTACTAAATATTATTGAAATCCTGACTCATCTTCAAAGGTATATGCCATATTTCTTTATTTCATATACTGTTCCATAAAAATTAAAGAATACATTTTTAAAACCAACTGATCATATTAAACTATGTCTTAGAACACTGCATTTTTTTGAAGGCTTTGATAAAAATGCAGTGGGTCTTAAAGAACACATAGAGAGAATTATTTTTATATGCTAATATTTTGAACATTTAAGAACGCAGAAAATATTTGGTGAAATACTGGTTATTTAAGGGAAACTGAACTAGCATTTTTATTTCGTAAATCATTTAAAGGCTATTTAAAAATAAAGGGGTGTTGCACATCGCTTCTAGTTATGTTCTTTTCATTGAACTTTCATTATTGCTGCAAAGACTTTAAAAAAAAACTATAGTTTATCACATAGTAATTTTATCCACAGCAGAAAACAAGTTTTATAAAGTTAAAAAGGACATTTTTGCAAGAAGTATTTTCAAGCACTTATGACAAACTACATGAAATAAATAAAATAAAAACTAGGTTGTGTGCACTTGAAGTTTATTGCTTAGGAAACATTCTCTTTAAGCTAATATAATCATTTCTATGACTTACCACTGTTTAGCTATGGGGGTGGGAGACATTTCTCTGGTGGGGAAAAAGAAACTTTGAGTTTTCCTGTCAATTGTGAATATTCTTGATTTGGCTGATGGGAGTCTTGATCTCCCAATCCTAATATCTTCAAGTGCAGGGAAATCTAATTCATTAACTTTTCCAAGCATTTTAAAAGTTTCTTTTCATCAGAGACCATTTTGACCTTCTTTATCCATACCACTCTAGAGATCAGAAATACAAATGACAATAACAGATACCCATTAGTAGCTCAGAAGCCCACGCTGTATGACTGTACACTCTAAAGGCAAATTATCTTTGTACAAAAATATCCATATTTTAAATGAACCGTTAGACACTGGATACCACAGTGACAAGTATCCTAAGATCAGCATAGGATCATTTTAAAATGTTCTAATCTTAAAAATGTGAGATATGAAATATTTTAAAATGTATTTACGCAAAATGTATTTTTAAAATACCCTCAGATAATTTACTCATCTCTATTCTCCCACTTATATGTTTAAATTAAATATTAAAAGTAAAGTCAAGTCCTGAGAAACGACTGATTTCAGCACAAAGGATAACTGTTGTTCTTCAAGTTACTTCAAAATTATAGGAAGAACTGTTCTTTTCAAAACTTGTATTGCTTGAGCAAAAATGTATTTAATTTACATATGTGTTCCTTTTACTGAATAACCCTTTAATAGTTAGTTTAGTGAAAACTGTGTTCTAATAATCCAAGGAATAGTATCAGATGCACGTATCAAGAATTGTTCATCCTTACCAATAACTATATTTTAGATGATTTTTTATTTCCAATATTAAAATAAAAATGTTTACAGTTCCTTTGTTTAAAATAATCATTTTATAATTAGTACCTAATATTTGTAGAAACAAAAGGGAATTTGTGTTTCAAATTTAGAATGTATTGAAGTTTTTAGGAGATAATAAATAATTTAAAGAATTTTAAAGATTAAGACAAACGACTATTTTTCAAGGTTATCTATGTTTGTAAGTGGTGGTGTTAGGTTTTCTAGACTTTAAATTTACAAATTTTAGTTTCACAAAGTTGTATTATACCCACACCAAAGGGGAGAAATGTATAAATTTGAAAGTTTTTTCGAACCTTTAAAATAGAAATATTAATATGAATGATTACTGTGACTTTCTTTAGCCAACTATAAGTAACTTCATTCAGGGAAGATAAATTAGTAAATCTCAATGCTTTAAGTTTTTTAAAATAAAAAATTTAAAATTAACCAGAAAATCAATTTTGAAGTACAATATTAGTGAGAATAACTATAAAGATCTATAAAATACTTTAAAACCGAATCCATTAGAGGTGAATATTATGAGATAAATTTTCTTTAAAATTACCTAATTTTCTATTAGTTATGCCGCTCTCTTTTGTCTCAGAGTTTCTATTTCATATACTCTATTTTATATATCTTACTGAAATTATAAAACATACACTGTCCTGAAACAAATATCAGTCAGACATTTCAAACTCCACTGATATCTAAAATGTCCTTAGAAAAAATAATAGAAAAGACTTAAAAATAAATCTGGAAAGACTGGCATTACAATAAGCTTTTCGTTAACTAAAATAATTTATTCACTACGTTTTTATTTTCAATATTTTGTTGAAACAGAAGGCATTTATATATGTACTCTTGTTACTCTTGTAGAAAAGAGATTCCCCCCTTTTTCAAGCATAATGAATGTACTGAAATCACTCTCCCGTCACTTATATAATTGCAACCATTAATAAACATTTGTGTGGCAATATTACCAAGCAGCACCTAAAGTAAATACATACTTTACGAATTCTGGATTATGTTCTCAATTTGCACTCCATTTCCTTTTTCCACTTGGTTATATTTCCCTCACTTCCCTTGTTTATTTTCATAATCACACCTTCCCCGACCTGTCCAAAGAACCATAGTGGTTACAGTAAAAAACACTGTACAGAAACATTTTCTACAGCCAGTTTATGAGAGTATTGATTCATTTTGGATACTTTTTCTTGCCACTCTACTGCTTTTCTGCCATTCTCACACGTGCTCCTTATCCAGGGCACTTACATGAACTCCCCTCCTCTCTCTGCTGATTTCATCGTCCCCCCCACCCACCATCAAACATTAAACCCCTTGAAGGACTACTCCCAAATCTCATTCTGTAACTGGATACATTAATTTTAAAAACTGGGTTTCTCGTGAAAGTTGGCTTTGTGATTAGGTGTCTTAGAAAATTCTTTGCACTGGGAAACGGACTATATGGGAATTTCCTTATGTTTTCTTTTTCTCTCCCCACAATGCCACATAAGGTGCGATTCAATATTTTTGATAACTTTAAGGGCAAATAATATTTCATGTTAATTCCTATTTCCTGAACAGAATTTTAAAGCAAAATAATATGCAGACAGTAACCCCCCAAAGATGGTTTAAAATTTTTTTCTCATTTGCATAGCAAGATTTAATTTTCATCCCTTAAATATGACGAATTGCTGAGATTTTCTCCAGTTAATGCTTTTAACAGCTCCCAATAAACTTCATTAATCAGGCAAGCTCGAGGCCCAATGTGTAGCCTGCAAGCAGCTAATTTGCTTGATGAGACCCCGACTTCAGTGAATAAACAGGTGTATAATCTGAGGGCTTTATGGCCTTAATTACAGTCTAATCAGTTCAGCGGTTGGCGGGCAAAAGAGAAAGAAAAAATGGTGGGGGTGCGGGGGGAGCTCAAAGCCACTTTTCCTAAAATAGGCGACATGTCCTCTTTCTTAATACACCTCAACGACTAATCTTCAGTTTCTTCTCCCCGTCTATTTCCTCCTTCCCGTCCTCTGGCTGTTTCTCCTCGGCCTTCCCTCCGCTTAACCTCTGCGTTCCCGCTCCTCCTTTCTCGCCGTCTTGGCGTCTCCCCGGGAAGCGCTCCGCTCCCGGGCTCGGGCTCGCACCTCCGCGATCCCGGTTTCTACCGTTCCTCGGGCGGCGGGGTCACTTTGCTCCCCCTCTTGTTGGCGTCCCCCCTTCCTCCCCTCTCTTCTAGCCCTCTCCGCTCCCCCCGGCATGTCCCGCCCCCGCTCCCCGCTGCACATCCTCCCTGTCACCCGTGGGCCGCCTGACAAATCACTTCAAGGGCAGCCGAACTTTGAAGGACAAGACAAAGCTCCGGCATATGGTCCGATCCCCAGATGTTTGTCTTTCTTCTGCCGCAGCCCCCCACCTCCCCCTGCCCGGGGTTCGTCGGCAACCCAGCTCAGCACTTCCTTCTCCTTGCGCCCCGCGCCGCTCCCCGCTCCCCCACCTCCAAGTTCCCCGCCGAGGGGGAAGTCGCTTAATTTTCCTCTACGGCTTTTGTTTCGCCGGCCTCCCTCTCTAGCCGATTAGTGGGGGGCAAGGCGAGGTTCCTTTAACCTAACGAGGTCTGTGGAACTCCGCCGTGAGAGTCTCCCGGTCGGCTCCCGGGACGTGGGGTGCGGAGAGGCCGCGACGCGGCGGGACAGGGCAAGGCCCCGGCGAGGTGCCGTCCCGAGACGCCGTTCGCGTCCCCGCTGGGGCGCGGGCTGGGGCCGCTCTGGGTCCCGGCGCCGCCCGGGACTGGAGGGCGCGCAGCGGGTCGGCGGCTCTTCGGCTTCCCTACCCGCTCACTCGGGGGCGCACTGGCACCCCCAGGCCCCGGCCGCGGAGGAGCGAGCCTCCCTCGCCCCGCAGCGCGACTCCGACTGGGAAGCCGCGGCAGGGGTGATGGAGGAGACACCCCCCGTTTGGGCGGAGGGAAGCCGCCGCACCCCGGGCAGCGGGGAGGGGTCCGGCGCTGCGCGAGCAGGGTTGGCCCTGCTCGACCTGGGACCCCTGCTGGGTAAAGTGCGGAACAGGACGGGGAGGAGGGAGCGACCCGCGCCGGGCCAGGCGAGGGCGGACTGGAAGCAGCGGGGCTCACGCGGGAGCGCCTCAAGGCTCTAGACCATAAGCCGAGCCCTACCGCCTCGGTGATGAGCCCGCACCTCTTCCCTATTTCGGACCGGCCAGACCTCCCACCCAGTCTTCTCGGTCCTGCTGATGACCCGTTGCTGACTAAAACTGTTTTGGGTCTAGAGGGTCGCGCACGTCTGGCCACCACAGCTTTGGGGCGAAGGAATTGGGTTTCACTTAGTCAAACTGCCCCGCGATTTACTTTCTTCCTTCCCCTCAACCTGCATCCCCTTAGCGGTGATTGATCCGTAAGAGCCCAGAGAAAGTCACTCCCCCCGCTTCTTAATCAGCTGCCTCTATCTATTTATAACCACACAACTTTGCTGGCGGTAGGTCAACAAAGGCGTGGAGAGCGGCGGAGAGTCTCCGCAGTGCAAACAATGAAATAAACGGGACGTGTCTGTTTGCATATACGTTACCCGGTGAAATCCGATTGTCCTAGGACAAACCAGCGCTCAAAGGCTGCAGTCATTTTATTTCTCCGTAATTTTATTTGCCTACATTTAAGGAAGTAGAAGGTACTAATCCTGCACGGCAAAAATAGAAGGGCATCCGGTAAACAGTCTACTCTCTTCCACGAAATGTTTTAGAAGTCTGAGCATGTGATGATGTCCTGTACAGTGAATTCTGGTTCTGACAAAAATGCAAATTCTAACCCGAGAAACTGAGTTTACATATTCAGATGTTGTTTTTATTGTTACCGTTCCCTCCCCCGACCCCACACCCTAGGTGGGGAGAGTTTTGGAGTTTTTACTTTTTGTTTAGTCCCTACTGTCACCATTCTTTAATAGATAATGTTATTTTTTAAATAAAAGTAATTAGTCATTTTAGAAACGCAGACTCGAATTATGTGAACAAAGTGCACAATAAAATATGTTATCAATATTTTTACTGGTGTAATGGAAAAATATATCCTACGCAGAAGGATTAACTCGAATAAAATATTGACTACTGTAAAATAGAAACTTCATGGTTTCACCACATATATTTTCGGTAAGTGGCTGAATCAGCAGAAAATTATTTAAAACTACACTACAGTTACAATGTCTTAAAAACAGATTATGGCACTACCTCAAACCATGTAAATAACTAGATCGTCATAGTAAAACAGAGGTTTCCAAAAAACATCAGGAAGAACTTAGAAAATTAAAAAGTATTTTTTTTCGCTGCTGTCCTCAAATAAGTTAGGTAGGTTCTACAGTCTTTGTGGACAATAGGTGAGCCTGGACCTTTTGTTCTTTGTGTGTGTGTGATCATAAAGGAACAAATGTCTGTTTTGCGACTAGAGAATCAGGCATCTCCAAAAGAATAGCCATGCTCAGCATCCTCTGCTTATCTAAACTAAATTACAGCTTAATAATATTGCATCCTGTGCTACCCGGATGCTCTCACACACCTGAGTGGACCAGGGCATTTTACTGCCTAATTTCTCTTTTGTGTTATGTCTTGATAATTAAAATGCATTATTCCTTCTTTTTCAAAATACAATAGGAATCCCTCATCTCCTGCCCCCAAGTTCTGAAAATTCTCAGACCGGCCCTGGAGAAATACAAATGCACAAAGCGACAGGCGAAGCAGGCCCTGTGTTCAGCACTCAATCATTTCCTGTCACAGGTGCAGCCTCTATGCATTATCCTGCCATGATTGATAGAGTGGGTTTGTGCAGACCAGGGGAGCTGGGGAGGCTCAGATGGGGTCCTGTCATTTGGGCTCCATTTCATACTACCTGTAGGGAAAAGGAAATGCTTTGCAGGGATTGGCTGTTTAGTGAGTTTTAAATTTTAGTTTCTCATATATAATAGAAAGGTCATATTTTCTAAAAGTTAACTATATCTTTAAGCTTTATCTTAGAGACAACTTCATTCTGGGAAAAACAAAACAGCCAATGGTAACGCAATAGATTTCATTTCATTTAGAGTTGATATGTTACAGAAGTACACCCACAACCTAATTTCCCATAATTACATTAAGTATGTAGAGTTATTTCCTTAAATCTTAGTCTTTAAACAGAAGAAAACCAAAACATTTTTGGTTTATACCCATATTGAGATTGATTTCTATATAACAAGGCTAAAAAATGCACTTACATCATTGCAAAGCACTTTACTACACGACAAATTTTGTTTTGTTATTGTCATTCAATAATACACTAAACATACAGAATACAATACAAAATAAAGCAGAAATATTTATCGTGTTAGATTGTGGCTATTTTTCATTTTAGCTGAGGACCAGATTTTTGAGTTAGCTGTTGCTATGATCAGTCAAGATCTTAACTAATTAATGTAAGATCAAAGTTGGCAACCATCTCACCAGTGTTATGTAAAACTGTAAAATCCTCTAGGTCCTTCATTTCTTTTTGAAATGGCTAAAGGCAAAATGATTTGCATAAGGAGGTCTCAGATTTTAAGATGTAAAACTTCTTTCATTGGGATTATTAAGTGGCTTTCAATGATATCCACAGATGTTCATGCACCCACTGCAATGCTTTAATATTTTTCCTTGTGGTTTTTACATACAGCCTGATAGATTGTTTAAAATGATAGGAGTGGGAAATGAAATGGCCTTTAAAATGTTCCCAATTTTTTTGACACCAGAGCATTCTATCAACACATCTCCATTTTATAATTGCAGCAAATGCTACTACATTTCTCTGAGAAATTTGCCAACTAAATTGTTACCAAACATCAAATTATCCTTTATTTTTCTTAAACTGACAAATTACACCCAAAGAAAAGAAGGATTAAACATTTTAGCTTCCTAGAAAACAGACCTACAATCTACAAGGCATTTTTGGTTTTTCGTATTTTCCCTATTACAGCAATGATCTGGAAAATACAACAATTTAAAATTCTGAGCGTCCACATAATCATTTGGAGTAAATGTTTATATAAGTAGCATTTATAAAGAAACATTAATAAAAGGTAATTCATATTGCCATTTTCTCTTTTTTATAAGAATTAGAATGAAAAGGGACAAAATATTAAAAGTTTTATATTAATAATAAGCTTTCAATGGCTAAAAAATTAATAGACATTATTTAAATGAGCATAATGCTGAGTAAATGTGTGGATTGCTGTATTTAGGTACATATAGTAAATACAAATAATACTGACCATTATCTTTAAAAATGCACATTTGTTTTATTTAGAGCAATGTTTTAGAAAATCAGCATTTTATTATTTGGAGAGCTTTTAATTATTTTAGCTATTATGACAGTATATTTTAAGACACTAAAATAAAAAGACAACTTTAAAATACCTATCATTTTATTGTAATTAGCATTAGACTACTAGATTCATAGTTAACTCTTGTCCATTTTGTTTTACGTTAACCATCAAGCAAGAACTGTGGTTATAAAGTGTTCATGATACAGAATGTTCCTTTGGTGTGTCATTTATTATTATTAGATGAAAAACGTCCTCTACCTTATAACACCATTGCATGAAGGTTCTTAATCAAGAAGAAATAACTTTTGTGTATACATAGAGAGAAACCTGCAGTGTTTTTTTTAAATACGAGTCAGTTTCAGGTTTGCGTTGAATTGCATTTATGACTTACGAATAAAATGGATACTGGATGAAAGATGACTATGGTTAAGTGAAACAAACTTTGTGAGTGGGAGAAAAAAATCTTTGGCATTGGGTATATGTATGTGTTTGTCCTTTTCATGATGGGCTTTTTACAATCTTATTTAAATATTGATATAGACCCCCCAAATTGAGAGAGAAGCCAAATGAGATATCGTCACACAAGGGCAAGTTCATCTTTTTTGCCTATACGAGGAATACCCTAAAAAGCAGACCCAAAGCTGCCAATGTGGCCAGTAGGTGAGTCAACCAGAGCCAGATGCTGCAGCAGGGGAACATTTTCTCTGTCCTTTCAGCTCTTTCTTTGAAACAACTCAGAAGGAAGAGAAGTGGAGAGGTTTTACCTCTAAATAATAGGTGGTATCCTTCAGTGAATAAAAATGACATTTCTACCTTTTTCTCAAACACACACCCACATATGATGGCATTCTTGAAAGAATATTATAATGTTATGCTGGTAGGAGTGAAGGATGAACAACAATATAATAAAACTTGAAAAGTTGAAGCTTGAAAATGTTTTTGGTTAGCTTGAATTATGAAACTCCACTTTTCTATTTGTTTCAAGTTTTGTGTTTTGAGGGCTGCAGACACTGATTATCAGGTTCAATGCTCCTGAAGGATCTTTTGGTTGACATCTAGAACAATACCTTTACAAATAGATCTCTAAGTAAACAGAGTAAGCCAATGAGACAGCTACCTAAGGAAACAACATGATTGAGCTCTCTGTTGGAAAGTCACAATTCTCACCTTTCTACATCCCTTCCCGCCACCCCAGTAGATCTCAGTGCTGTTATTTTTCAATGTCTTGCAGCTTTTGATTCTTCATGGCTTATAAGGCGAGCTTTTTTATTTCCCCCTGAAAGGTATCGTGCACATAGCTTGCTAATGAAACTTTTTGAAGTAGACTGGCATAGTGATTTATTAGTAGTAGCATTACTAATAATATACATAGTAGTATTTCTCAAGTGACAGCAATGTAATTAGTAATATCAAGAATACGAAAAAGACAGAACTCAAGTGCCTGTCTGAGAAAAAGACAAATAACATATAACCAAATCAGGATACAAGTACCCATTCAACCCAGTTCATGAACCTGGAATTTTAGACTTACTGCTTTCTTTTTAGCTAAAGGATAATTTTAAAAAATTACTAGAGCTGCAATGCTAAATCATGTAAACAAGTTGAATAAAATAAAAAGCATTTAGCTAGAAACTTGATTTTCCAATTCTATACTTACAACTTACTTGCCCTAGTGATAATCTCGTTTGGCAGAAAAGCTGAAAAAATGTAAACTTGCCACTATTGTGAGAGAATTCGGGCAGGGTAGCATTCAGGACAGTGCTACTAAAATGGACCCTAGGTTAGCCGTATTAGCAAGCATCTCGTTACCTGGGGCTCTGCCCCAACCTATGGAATCAGATTCATTGTGAGTGGCACCCAGGGTTCTGTATTACAAGCTCAAAGACAATTCTTATGCATAATGAAGACTGATAACGTCTATCTTAGAGTGTAGCAAGATGTTTTAGTCTTTCTCAGAAATGTATTTTCCTGAAATAGCTTCTATTTTAAGTAGGTTTCTATCAGAAAATATTTCTTATATGAGAAACGAAATTGACTAGAAAGTCTCAGAGCTTTGGACCTCTGTCTAAATTACATTTATAACTCTCTGTAACTTGCTTAAGATGAAGTCTCTAAAGTTGAGATAATGTACAAACATTTCCTATATTCGTTTAAATAACATAAACCATGAGTGTGTTAAGTAGTTATGTCTACATGCAGTAGTTGTTTGGTATTTTGGTTTTAGTGACTAGTGTATATGTGTAGCCCTAAAGGCTCTGACAAACCAGCCATCGTTTTTGAGGGTTGATTACAAGCCTGTTTTCTTGTGTATATCACTTCCTACCCTGGATCGCAAAGGAGGTGGCAGAACAGCAGGAACAGTGGAGAAATAAAAAAATAGTCTGGACAGTAGTTGGTATTTGACAAAATGACATGTATCATTTTTTGGAAATACGTTAGCCAATCAGTCAAGATTGAGATGCCCATAATAGAAAAGGCAATGTAACACAGATTTGATCAACAGATATTAGTTGAATGATTAACAAAATATGTAAAAATCTGCTTAGAGAATTCTTAATCACTTCTTCTGTCTGTAAATCTCCTTCTTGATACAGGAGATGAAAATGACTTCTGTACTGCATTACAGTAGAGAAGGGGTGTCCAATCTTTTGGCTTCCCTGGACCACACTGGAAGAAGAATTGTCTTGGACCACACATAAAATACAATAATGATAACTGATGAGCTTAAAAAAAGTCGCAAAAAAAAATGTGTTAAGAAAGTTTACGAATTTGTGTTGGGCTGCATGCAAAGCTACTCTGGACTGCATGCGGCCTATGGACCGCGGGTTGAACAAACTTGCAATAGATCATGCCCGATCAATGGAGCTAGCAGGTCATAAAGCATGTGGTGCTACTGCCTGAAGAGATGATGTCTTTGTCAAGGAGGACAAAGCATAAGTCAAAGCCAGGAGTCAAACCCTGAATGTGTATTGACTGTCTACTCTGTACCAGCACAGTGGTCAAGGAAGAAAACAGAAGAACCAATGGATATTGTTGTACCCTCAAGAAACGTTGTTGGAGAGAAAATAATTGCTTGCTCAAAAACATAGAAAAGCCAAAATGAGCGGTGTCTATTTATTGCAAATGCAAATTTGTTCAAAGAATATGATGGCGGTTTTGTTGCAAGGAGCAGAAACTGGCCAAAACCTAAAGAGAATACTTAGCTTACAAAACTGAGTTGTCTTTAGACTGGCATTGGAAACGACCTAATTGAGAATCTTAGTGATTCATCGCATGTCTCATATGCTTCCTTCTTTCTACCTTACCTACAGGAGTGTCAGTTTCATCCTAGGTCTAACTTGTTCATAGTTCCAAGATGTTTTCCAACAGCTCCTAGACCTGCATGCTTGTTTGTGCAGTTGGAAAAGAAAGTGCATCTTTGTCTCAGCATTTTAGCCAAACCCTAGTAAATTTCATATGTCTATCCCTGAACCAAATATACCATCAAGGGAATTCAGTCCCTGGGTTTAGCTCAAGTCTCAAGTCCTGCTTTTAGAGCTGAGGATGGAGTGAGCATCCTTGGAACCAGAACCTTGTCAAACACATCTTGGGACTGGTTGGAAGGAGGGAATGCAGGAAAAGGAGGCAAACAAGCGGCCAACATAAAGGGTAAGTGAAGGCCAGAATAATGAAGGAGTACTTCTTATAAGCAGTGGGACTAGGCTGGCACTAGAAGAGCCGGTAAATAGAGGGAAAGAGGAGAGGAGAACACTCGGTAGCAGAAAAGAAAAAAGAAGCCCAAAGTCGAGAATTGGCACGGATGATGGGAACAATGAAATGGTCCTGACTAAGCCAAAGAAAAAATCATATTGGAGAGTACAGGCATTAAGTTTGGTTCTTGGGGCTGTATTTTGCAGGGTAGGCCAGTTTAGATTTAATAGGGTAAGCAATAGGGAATCATAGATAGATGGAGTCGCACGGTAAAAAGTATTCTCTTACACTGTTTTGTTGTTTCTCAAACCAATTGAATGTGCCTTCATTTCATTTTTGTTTTGTTTTTTAGCAAACAATTAGGTATGAGGTGCTGGATATAAAGATAAAAGGCGCAGAGCTGACACTTAGAGAATTTCCAACCTAGTAATGTAGATCCATGTAACCGACTTCATTATGCAAACTGTGCCAAACAAATTTGACCCCACTAATTCATTTATCAAAACTAGGAAAAACACGATAAAATATGATTTTATATTTTGCTTCAAAATAATTACATCCCCTTCCTCCTTACATCTTTAGGTTTTATATTCAGACTCAGGGCCTTGTTTGGTCTTCTGTTTGGCCACAGTGAAAGAAGCCTTCATGAGCTCTGTGGGTGTGAGAAAGGAATTGAGAAGTCTAGCTGTGAAGGGACTCAAGTTATTTTGGAAAAAAGTCATAAACAAAAACTCAAAAGAAATGCCCTACACAAGAAGGTTCAGGACACAGAGAGAGAGAGAGAGACAGAGAGAGATTGAGAAAGCGCTCCTGTGTGCTCTCTTTGGAGGAACCTTCCTGTCTCCCAATGGGCCGGGCAGCCTGGCTGCTCCGTTCAGCGGGGACGAGTGTCAGGTTGCTGCAGGTGTCGCTGACGGCCGGTGAGTGATTGCACCATCAGCTTCCTACCGCGATCCATCATGCGGCCCCAGCCGGTGAAGAATCACAGCCTCAGCAAGGTGCTGAGCCCAGCAACATATCATTAAACAAGGTTACCACCGGCAGATTTGTTCCCATGATCAATCTGGTCAATAACCGTTCCACCTCGCTGTACAATTTCTCCCCCACCCCCCCCACCTTAAAACATAAACAAGTATTATGAAAGCACTTGCAGAACAATGTAAAGCTTTCAGAAGTCTTCATTTCTCCCGTGGCATTCCGCAAGCTTCTTTAAAAACCCTTATAAATCATGAAAAATAACCTTTACTACAGGATATATCCTCAGGCAAATGCTCTACCCTAATTCCATATTTTATTACCTGATACTGACTGATTTTTTTTCTCCAATTGATTACTGAATAGCATTGGGACAATTTCTTTTTTTATTTCCCCTCAAGTCTGCATAGCTCACTAGTTTCTTCCCTTAGGAGGTCCCAAATGAGATAGAAGTAAAACACTTATTGCTTTTACGGCTCAACTTTAATTCTCGTGTTTTGCATTTAACTCTTCACGTGCCTTGGCAGACAAATTACTAAGTGGTGTTGGATACTTGCTTGACAGAAAGTATCTTGACTTCATTACAGTATAATTGAGATCGGTAAATGTTATAACCATTAGAATTGAGCAAATTGAACAAGAATCTCACAAGAAAAACCAGTTCAGTACTCTCCATTGGGTGGTTTAAAACAAAAGATCCCAGTAGATATGGGAATTAAACAAACAAAAATGAAAAAGTCCATATATATGAACACTTATTTCAAAAAAGAATATTTTTCAAACATAAACTCTCTTTTCTGACTAAGCCCCTTGACTATTTCAGAAACTTTAAATTTTATCTGATAAAATATCTTATACTTTCAATATGAAATCATCCTTCAACTGTGGATTATGCCTGTAATCCCAGCACTTTGGGAGCCTGAGGTGGGAGGATCACTTGAGCACAAGATTTCAAGACCAGCATGGGCAACATAGGGAGACCCCCATCTCTACAAAAAGTAAAAAAAAATTAGCTGGGCATGGTGGCATGAACACCTGTAGTCCTAGCTACTTGGGAGGCTAAGGAGGGAGGCTTGAGCATGGGAGGTCAAGGCTGCAGTGAGCCATGATTGCACCACTGCAGTCCAACCTGGGCGACAGAGTGAGACCTTGTCTCAAAAAATATATACGTTAATCTTGTTCAAGTGGGATCTCCTCTTATTCTAAAATTAAATTATTGATCTAGTTGCTCCTTATGCCTGAGTCACTTATGGTTGTAAGTTTATATTCATATGATTAAAAATATATATAATATGTGGTTAAAAACAGACACATTGGTGATCTTGGCCTTCTTAAAAATCATTAGAATTTGAAACTTAATCACCAATATGAATTCAAACTCTATACCAATTTCCAAATACTTCATTAATACATTAATACAAAAATAAAGTTTGTTCTCACTCCTAACATTAGGGAAGGCCCTCTTGAGATGGTCCCAGGGAGAGAAAACAGATTTCATTTTTAAATCCTTCCAAAAAAAAAAGGTTTCTACAAAGTCTCTTTAAGTAATTGCATTGAGTAGAAAATCCATATAGAAACTCAAGTTGCCTAACCTATTTTTCTTTATTCTATTATTTAAATCCATTTCCTCCATTTCCTTATCTTCTTAGTAGAGATAAATTGCAGCTGGGGATTTATCTCTGTGTAGAACACCATGTATTCTAAGTTAAGCATTCATGGATACAAGATTAAATGCTTTAAATGCCCATGGTACAAAGCATACCACTGGCTTGATAAGCCTGAGACTTCTTCCCAAGTAAAAATTTAGTTATTTGGGGAAAGTAGAACTCATTGCTTAGACTTCAAAAATATATAATCGCTTCTTCTTTTAAAAGTATGATATGTTTCCTGTTTATTAATGGAATTCACTCTTTATATTATTTTTAATGTTTATTTTTAGCTTATTTTTGAATATTCTTGTAGTAATCCTTGCCAGGGAAGCCAATTTTAAGAAGCGTATCTAACCTATATTGATACTACCACTAGAAAATTGATTGCATACTGGTGTAGATTAAAAGAATGCATTGTTCTTTCAGAAGATGTGTGTTAGTCTATTCTGTTCTGGCTAATGTGAGTTCCAGATTTTCCCAGGAATATCATTTCATATATCAATGTTGATGACATGATGAAAATGTTATAGATTGGTAACTCTTAATTCATTTTTAGAAGAAAAATAGGAAAGATTTGTAGTAGATCCAGGTCATATTTTTAGTTCAACTAATATTTATTGTATGCCCATTGTTTGTAAGGCACTAGGTTTTAGTTTTCTCTTATAATAATTGCATGGCTGCAGATTACATTGCTATGTTCAGAAGATACTAAATCTGAGTCATGTAGTAGAGACTTAATTTGGTTAAAACCAAGATGACTTATAGTCTAGACACAACATTCATGGCAGCTTCGTAATGGGCTTAGGTGGCTCTTATAGTACAATAATGCAAAAGATTGAAGGAAGCTATTGCTTCCATAATATACTATAATTTGACTTAGGCTCTGCGTAGATACAGTCATCAATAACTCAGTAAAAACAATTTCACATCTAAGCATCGGCTCTAACGACAAAAATGCTTGGACTCTTGAAAGGAAGGTGATAGAAATACAAGGCATTTTTCTTATTATCCATTATCTTTCTTTTGTTGCTGATTTAACTAATGACATAAGCTCAAATTTAGAAGGGCATAAATGAAAAAAGATACATATGAAAATATATTAGTTATAGGTGGCTTTAGAGAGTATTTTCATAGCATTTTTAGTATTCTTCATAAAAGTGTTTTCAAGCATTAATAAATAACCAAATACTGTTAAATAATAGCATTTAATTTTTAATTCAATAAAATTTTCATTTTAATCACCCAGAACTAGGGATATTTGTCCCTATTTAAGGGTCAGTTAAAGCTTTCCCATTTATGTGTATTTGTATGTGTGTGTGGTTGTGTGTGCATTTTTTATGTTTTTCTGGGTCCCTATGGTAAGCCCCAGTTGTGTGCCTCTCACAAATTAATTTTCAAAGTCCCTCCAACTCCATCTTACATAAATTTTATTCTCAGTGGAAATATTGTAGGAGAGTCAATCAAATACTTTAAAGATGCTATCACCACATTTACTGTTTGTTCTACATTTAATTATTAATTTACAAATCCTTCCTAGAAATTCCACTCACCTCAAATCAAATGTGTTCCCATATTTGTTTTCCTCTGGATCATTCTCTTTAGACCACGTATGGTCAGCACAACATATCAAGCAAGGCTTGAAGCTTTACCTTAACTGAGGTTGCCTCTCTTTCTCACATCTGGTGCATTACCAGGTGGCATGATGCAACTGGCACGAGACTCAATGCCAACTGTTATGTATTCTAGTCCATTCTGTTCTGTTCGTTTTGTATTCCAATTTCTTTTCGGTAACAAAATTTCACATATGTCCTTAGGTATAACAAAAGAAGCTCCCTTTCTTTTGAAAGAAAGAGAAATGTCTTTTGCTAAGCAAGGATGAGGTACAGGGCTGGGGAGTAGGAGTGGTATGGAAGGTAAGATTTTTGTTTGTGTTTAATTTCATTCAAGGCTGGAAGTTAGCTTACCAAGGCATTGCAAGTGGATAACTTGGCATTGTAGAGAACAGGATTTTCTAAGTTTTTGGGCGATGCTAGCAAAGATGGGAGCCTAGTTATTTCTGAAGGACTTTATATTTTGTATTTTCCATTCTGGCTTTTTAACTTGTGGCCATCATTGCTTGGATACCCCTTCCTAGTTTCGCCTGATTAAAGCACAATCACAAGTAGTCAGCACAATGGAGGCCTCAGCCCCTCCAGTGGTACTTGTTGGTCCCTGGTATTATGCCAGGTTTAGGGTCCTTTGAATGGCAACAGTCTTGCACATTTCGAGACTATAGGGCCAGATATAGTGCCTTCTATAGGGCCAGATATAGTCTCCTACTAATATCAGGCAGCTGTATGGTGTTTTTGTTATCACTTCTGGACACGGCTGTATGCGCCATGGCAAAACAAGACTAATTGAGAGTTTTTGTGTGTCCAATCAGCCATGATGCATTAAGATGGCTAAACACGAACAGCAGGAACCTGTAAGTTCAGGCTCTTGCAATTCATCTCACTGGAGTAGACAAGTTTCAGGGAATCACATCTACTAAAACACGAAATACACTTGAATTTGCCTTTTTCTTGATGCTTTGCTTGCTTGCTTCATTCAACAAACACAACAGGGGCCTTCTTCAGGCTCTGTGAGAAATGGGATTTAAAAACACAGCTCCAGAAGCTCAGGGTCTAAAGCAATAACCTAGAGAAGCAATGAGATCATGCCAGGATTATGTGATAAGTGCAATGGCATGGGTATGCACAGGGTGTGCTGAGAGCAGGTGACAAGGAACTACACTGTCACCCCACATCGGGAAAGTCTTTGTGAAGGAGTTAATGCTTAAAAGCAGAAGACTGCTGTTTGGACAAGCAGGCAAAACGAGCAGCATGGTAAAAGTTCCCCAAGCCCAGGGGCTTGCAATGAGGCAGGTGTGGTGGTTGGATCACTGATTTGCTATAAAGTACAGGTGAAAGACGAGGCTATCTCAATTGGCAGGACCCACCTCCTAAAGGGATATGCTGAGAAGTCTAGATTTCATGAAGGAAGAGAGCAAAGTAACTCAGCAGTAACCTTGGAAAATGATTTTCCATCTTGTGTGGAACACTTCAACTCAGAGTACTAACAGATGTTTTAAAAATGTATTTTTAATAATAAATATCATAATTGTAAAAGCAATTAACTGTCATTTTCAGTATAAGTCACACCATCTGTTTTATAGAGGTTTATCATGGCTGTGCCCATTGAAAGAGAGATTAATTCATTATGTCTGAAAGTCATCAATGGAAAGAGAATAAAATTATTATAGAAATAGAAAATCAAGGGGGCCTATGCACTTAGTGAAATTATACCAATGAGGAAAATTGCATAATATTCTTTCTTGAAGAAGCATTGTTGTCAAAAGGATTTTAAAAGACAAAGAAATGGCAGGTAGAGAGCAGGCTCTAAATTTCTAAAGGGGGAGATGTTGTCAAGAACTGTGACTAGATGGATTGCTGGTGATGGAGAACTAGTGTGATTCTCTCAGTTTGTCAGCTTTTCCTCCAAGATTGCCATGAGGGATGGGACTCTTCAATTCTTGTTTTTCCACTCTGACAGCAGAAGCAGTTCTGCTGAGGAGCCTTCAGTGAGTGGCTGAGCTGGATACAGGTACAGTATTCAGTGGTTCACAGGATAGACATGCATTTGGGGGAAGACGGTCACCAAGTCAACAACAGCAAAGAACTCTACCTAATGTTTATTGCATCCATTGACGGAGAGGTCATCTAAAGAGAAAATATTGGAGTCATATATGAAAGATCAAGTATTTCCATAAGGAGTACTATTTTGAAATAAATAAAATGTTAAAACTCTTTGGCCTTAGACACTAAACCCAAAGTGGAAACACAAACATGCAAACGGTTAAATAGAGGATACACAAGAGCTGACTTCTTGTTTACATTTCAAGATCATGGATAATATTTTGTTAGGCCAATTTCTGTGCCTTTATCCATGTATAAACATTTGAAGGGATCAGAACAGAATCAATTCAAAATGTAAGCTTATTTGTATTCTTAGCATCATATTTTGTTTTTATGAACTTTATATAAAATAGAATCATATAGTATATAGTTCTCATATATTACTTATTTTGTTTAATATTATGTTTGTGAGATTCACCCATGGATTATGCAAGCAGCCTTTCTTTCATTTTTATTGGTGTACGATATTCCATTATATACCGTAATGTACTTATTCATGCTGTTATTGATGGGCATTTAGGTAATTTCCATTTTGGGGTTATTATGAATATTGCTGCTGTGAGTATGTCTTTGGTGAACACATGTACATATCTCTAAAAGGTGTACAGTTAAAAGTGCATCGGTCATTGGGTATATGTGTTCAACTTTAGTGAATACTGCCAAACAGTCTTGCTAAGTTGTATTAATTTATAGTCTTTTCAGCAGTGTCTGAGAGCTTGTTCCTCCACATTATTGCTAAATATTTAACACTTGATACTATTTTTTTAAAGTTAATCATTTTGGAGAGTGTTAAATAGTATCTCATTGTGGGTTTAATTTGCATTTTCTGGTGCATGATATTGAATGCCTTTTCATTTCTTTATTGGGTAATGAATATACTCTTTGAAATGCCTTGTTTAAATTTTTTGCTATTGGATATCTTTATTTTTATTAATGATTTCTGGGGGTTCATTTATAGTCTGGATTTCCATTATTTGTTGGATATACGTATGATATGCATCTCTCATTCTGTGGCTTTCTCATTCACTAGCTTAAGAGTGTCTTGATGAATAGAAGTTCTTAAAGTCAATAAGGTCTAATTCGTCCATTTTCTTCTTTAGAATTATTGCTTTTTCTATCCTATTTAAGAAATCATTGCTCATCCTCACAGCCTACAGACACTTTTCTATATTAAATTTTAAAAAATTTATTGTTTTACTTCTTACATTTAGGAAATAGATCTGAAGTTGATTTTTGTGTTTTGTGTGAGGTGACAGTCAAGAATTATTATTTTTTTCCCATGCTGATACCTATCTGGGCCCCCTCCCCGTTGCACTGGAATGTCACACGTCTACATAAGTGGGAGTCTGTTCTTGGACTATGACATGGTTTGGCTCTGGGTCCCCACCCAAATCTCATCTCAAATTGTAAACCTCACCTATCAAAGGAGGGACCTGGTGGGTGGTGATTAGATTATGGGTGTGGCTTCCCCCAGGATGTTCTCATAATAGTGAGTGAGTTGTCACAAGATCTGATGGTTTAAAAGTGTGGCACTTCTCCTTTGCTCATATTCTCTTGCCTGCTGCCGTGTAAGACATGACTTGCTTCCCCTTTGCCTTCTGCTGTGATTATAAGTTTCCTGAAGTCTCCCCAGCTATCTGGAACTGAGTCAATTAAAGCTCTTTTTTAAAAAAAATAAAATAAATTACCCAGTCTCAAGTATTTCTTTATAGCAGTGTGAAAACAGACTAATGAAGACTCTATTCTGTTCCATTGCTCAGTTCATCTGTTCTGGCACTGATAGCACACTGTCTTAATTACTGTAGATTTGTAAGTCTGGTGGTTTTAGTTCTCTAATCTTGTTCTTCTTCAAAGTTGTCATGGCTGATATTGATCCTTTGTGTTTTCTTGTTAATTAAATTTCTTTCATTTCCACAAAATATGGTTTTTCACTGGAGTTAGATTTTTCTATGAAGTATTTGAAAGGAGAATTTACATCTTTACAATATTACTCTTTTAAGCAATAAGCATGATACATCCTATCATTTATATGATTTTATTTAATTTCAGTAATGTTTTGTAGTTTTTCTGTAAGATATTGCACATGTTCATTAAGCTTGTTTCTAGGTATTTAATTTTATGATATTATTATAAATGTGTTTTTCAAATTTTATTTTTCTAATTATTTGTTGCTAGAACATAGAATACATTGATTTTAATTTACTGATATTTTATCTAATAACCTTGCTAAATTCGTTTAATAAGTCTGATAATGTATGTGTTAATTTCTTTTTAAGATTTTCTCTGTATACAGTCAAATCATCTACAAAATATGTTAATTTTTTCAACTTTTTACCATTTATTTTTTTCTTGACTTATTGCCCTCTCAATAACCTCCAATTTAATGTTGATTGTGGCAGGAATTCTTGTCATTTTTTTCTACTTTAAAAGGGAAATGAAAGCTTTCAATATTTTACATTTAATATGTATGACATTCATTGTAATTTTTTTGTAGATATTCTACACCAGATTAAGTTTTGTTTTCTACTATTTGTCTATCTTTTTATTTTTTATTTTATTTGTTTTTTTATTTTAGAGACAGGGTCCCACTCTGTCACCCAGGCTGGAGTGCAATGGCATTGTCATAGCTCACTGCAGTCTTGAATTCCTGGGCTCAAGCTAGGATGACAGGTGCATGCCACCATGCCCAGCTAATTTATAAATTTTATGTAGAGACAGGGATCTAGCACGTTGCCCAGACTGGTCTCAGACTCCTGGACACAAGTGAACCTTCTGCCTCAGCCTCCCAAAATGCTGGAATTATAGGCATGAGCCACTGTGCCTGGCCTATGTGTGCATGTGTTTTTTTAATCATTAATCAGTGTTAAGTTTTATTAAATGCTTTTTGTAAGTCATGTTTTTTCTCTGTTATGTTAAAGTGGCTAATTACTTTGATTTTCAAATTTTAAACAATTTTATAATTCTGAAATAAATACAACTTTGTGATAATTTATTATCTTTTTAAAAAATATAATTTAAAAGGTTATTTTATATATAATCCGAAGGGTTGAAACCAAAGGGCTTCAAATTGACAATGCAAGACTTGGACAAATATTACATTCCATTTTTACTACTGAAAGTTTCAAATTGTTGACATTATAAAAAACAAGCCAAAATAGGTTAATGCTTATTTATGAAATACTAAGATATTGTTATGATTTAAGTTTGTCTCCACCAAAACTCATGGTCTCATGTTGAAAATTGATCCCTAGTCCAATATTGAAGGGTACAGCCTACTGGGAGGTGTTTGGGTCATGGGGGCAGATCCCTCATGAATGGTTTGGTGCCATTCCAGTGGTATTGAGTGAGTTCTTGCTCTTATGAGACTGGTTAGTTCTCTTGGGAATGGATCAGTTCCCACAGAGTGAGTTGTTACAGATTCAGTTTTCTTCTGTTTGGTCCTCTCTTTGCACAGGCCTTCTTCCCCTTTGATCTTCTCTGTCATGTTATGATGCAGCATGAAAACCCTCACCAAAAGCCAGGGTCATGCCCTTGAATTACCCAGCCTGCAGAATCATGAGCTAAATAAACCTCTTCTCTTTATAAATTATCCAGCCTCAGGTATTTTGTTATAGCAACACTAAGTGGACTAAAACAGACATATTCACAGTGCTTACAAGTGCAAAATTAAATTAGAATTAGAGAGGCAGCCTTCCCTAGGGGAAAGCACCCTCTTTGGAGTCAGATGGCCCTGATTGAAACCTGGGTCTCACAATTTACTTAGATGACTTTGATAAGTGACGGTAAGCTCAGATTGTTTATTTTATCTTATTCTTAGGTTTATTGTATGGTTTAAATAAAATCATGTATTTAAAAATCTAGTTTCTTCTACAGGATTTACTTATTTTAATCAATATGGACTTTTAATTAATTTTAACTGACATTTGTCAATTTTGCTCTTAAAAATGTGTCAGTATGCATTACTGGAACATACCAATGCAATTTCCTTACATTCTGGGGGGATAATTTCCATTATTTCTGTGAATAAAAAGCAAATTAAATAACAACAACAACAACAACAAAAAACCCAAGGAGCTAAATTTTTACTATTACTGCAAGTTTTGGCCAACTTTTCTCTAGCACCTTTATTAAATAAAGCAAAGTTGGCTGGGTAGAGAAGATGGGGAGAACCATATTCTGAGAAAATTCTCCCACATGTACCATGCTTAGAATATTTTGTTGCTCTTAGATTCTTAGTGGTTGCTGTAGGGATTATAATCGGTACTTTATTACGATGTACTTCTGGTTAATGCTGATTTATTTGCAGTTAAATATGGCAACTTTGCTCCAATAGAGCAACGGTTCTTTTCCTCTTTTCATATGTTCTAATAGAGCAACATTTTTCTACATTCTTACTTTGTACTATTACAGTCATATATTTCATGTTATGTGATAAATTCAACAATGCAGAGTAATTATTATTTTATAAAATTTTGTATGTCTTTTAAAGAACATAAGAGAAGAAAACAAAAAAGTACAAAGTCTATGGTATTGACCCACATATTTACCATTTCCACTGCTCTTTATGCTCTTTCTTTTTCTTTTCTTTTCTTTTTGAGATGGAGTTTTGCTTTTGTCGCCCAGGCTGTAGTGCAGTGGCACAATCTTGGCTCACTACAACCTCCACCTCCCAGATTCAAGTGATTCTCCTGCCTCAGCCTCCTGAGTAGCTGGGATTACAGGCGTCCGTCACCACGCCCAGCTAATTTTTTGTATTTTCATTACAGGTGGGGTTTCACCATGTTGACCAGGCTGGTCTTGAACTCCTGACTTTCAGGTGATCTACCCACCTCGGCCTCCCAAAGTGCTGGGATTACAGGCATGAGCTACTGCACCTGGCCTATTTTTCTATAAATTCAATTTACCATATGGTGTCATTTCCTATCAGCATGAAGGACTTCCTTTTAAGTCAGATGCGCTAGCAATAAATTTTCTCAGTCTCTTTATCTAGAAATGTCTCTTCTTTTCCTTACCTTTAGAATGATAGTTTTGCTGCATATGGAATTCTTGATTGACAGTTATTTTTGTCACAGTACTTTGTGGCATTCCACTTCCATTTGGGCCCTGATGTTTATGAAGAGAAGTCAGCTGTTAATAATATTATTATTCCCCCTTACAAGATGAGTCTGTTTTCCTTCTGTTTTGTGTTCATTTTTTAACATTTTGACTATGATATGTGTAAGTGTGGATTTTTTTGTTTTGATCATATGTGATGTTACATTGACTTTCTTGGGTCTATAGCTTAGTGTATTTTTTTTTTTTTTTTTGTCAAATGTGGAAAGATTTTAGCCTTTGTTTCTTTTTTTGTTTTTTGTTCCTCTCTCTCTCTCTCTCTCTTTCTCTCCACTATTTATTAGACTTCCATTACATGTATTTTTTTAATTTTTACTTTTTATTTCAATAGGTTTTTGGGAAACAGGTGGTATTTGGTTTCATGGGTAAGTTCTTTAGTGGTGATTTCTCAGATTTTGGTGCACCCATTACCCAAGCAGTGTACAACTGTATCAATGTGTAGTCTTTTATCCCTCACCCCCTCCTACCCTTCCCCCAAGTCCCCAAAGTCCATTGTATCATTCTTATTCAGTCCTCATAGCTTAGCTTCCACTTAGAAGTGAGAATATATGATGTTTGGTTTTCTATTCTTGAGTTACTTTACTTAGAATAATGGTCTCCAATTCCATACAGGTTGTTGCAAAGGCCATTATTTTGCTCCTTTTTATGGCTGAATAGTATTCCATGGTGTGTTTGTGTGTGTGTGTGTGGCTGTGTATATGTGTGTGTATATATATATATGTGTTTGTGTGTATATGTATATATGTGTTTATATATATGTGTGTGTGTGTGTGTGTGTGTGTATATATATATATATATATATATATATATATATACACCACATTTTCTTTATTCACTCATTAATTGATGGGCATTTGGGATGGTTCCATATTTTTGCAATTGCAAATTGTGCTGCTGTAAACATGCATGTGCAAGTGTCTTTTTCATATAATGACTTCTTTTCTTCTGGGCAGATACCCAGTACTGAGATTGCTGGATCAAATAGTAGATCTACTTTTACTTGTTTAAGGAATCTCCACACTGTTTCCCACAGTGGTTATACTAGTTTACATTCTCACCAGCAATGTAAAAATGTTCCCTTTTCACCACATCCACAGCAACATCTATTATTTTTTGATTTTTAAATTATGGCCATTCTTGCAGGAGTGACATGGTATCACATTGTGGTTTTGATTTGCATTTCTCTGATCATTAGTAATGTTGAGCATTTTTCATATGTTTATTGGCCATTTGTGTATCTTCTTTTGAGAATTGTCTATTCATGTCCTTAGCCCACTTTTTGATGGAATTGTTTGTTTTTTTCTTGTTGATCTGAGTTCCTTGTGGATTCTGGATGTTGGTCTTTTGTTGGATGCATAGTTTACGGAGATTTTCTCCCACTCTATGGGTTTCTGTTTACTCTGCTGATTATTTCCTTTGCTGTGCAGAAGCTTTTTAGTTTAATTAAGTCCCATCTACTTGTTTTCGGGTTCTTGGTCATGAAGTCTTTGCCTAGGCAAATGTCTAGAATGGTTTTTCCAATGTTACCTTCCAGAATTTTTGTGATTTCAGGTCTTAGGTTTAAGTCTTTGATCCATCTTGAGTTGATCTGTGAATAAGATGAGAGATGAGGATCCAGTTTCATTCTTCTACATGTGGCTTGCCAATTATCCCAGCACCATTTGTTGAATAAGATATCCTTTCTTCACTTTATGTTTTTGTTTGCTTTGTTGAAGATCAGTTAGCTGTAAGTATTTGACTTTATTTCTGGGTTCTCAATTCTGTTTCACTGATCTATGTGCCTCTTTTTATACCAGTACCATGCTGTTTTGGTGACTATAGCCTTATAGTTTGAAGTCGGGTAATGTGATGCCTCCAGATTTGTTTTTTGCTTAGTCTTGCTTTGACTGTATGGCCTCTTTTTTTGTCCCATATGTATTTTAGGATTGTTTTTTTTCTAATTCTGTGAAGAATAATAGTAGTATTTTGATGGGAGTTGCATGGAATTTGTTGATTGCTTTTGGCAGTATGGTCATTTTCACAATGTTGATTCTACCCATCCATGAGCATGGGATGTGTTTCCATTTGTTCGTGTCATCCATACTTTCTTTCAGTAGTGTTTTGTAGTTTTCCTTGCAGAGGTCTTTTACCCCTTTGATTAGGTATTTTCCTAATTATTTTATTTATTTAATTTTTTGCAGCTATTTTAAAAGGGGTTGAGTCTTAATTTGATTCTCAGCTTGGTTGCTGTTGGTGTCTAGCAGTGCTACTGATTTGTGTACATTAATTTTGTATCCTGAAACTTGACTGAATTTATTTATCAGTTTTGGAGCTTTCTGGATGAGTCTTTAGGGTTTTCTAGTTATACAGTCATATCTTTGGTGAACAGCAACAGTTTGACTTCCTCTTTACTGATTTGGATGCCCTTTATTTCTCTCTTGTTTGGTTGCTCTGGCCAGGACTTCTAGTACTATGTTGAATAAAAGTGGTGAAAGTGGGCATCCTTGTCTTGTTCTGGTTGTCAGAGGGAATGCTTTAAGCTTTTCCCCATTCAGTATAATGTTGGCTGTGGGTTTGTCATAGATGGCTTTTATTACCTTAAGGTATGTCCCTTGTATGGCAATTTTGCTGAGGGTTTTAATCATAAATGAATGGTCGATATTGTCAAATGCTTTTTATGGCATCTGTTGAGATGATGATGTGATTTTTGTTTTTAACTCTGTTTATGTGGTATATCACATTTATTGGCTTGAGTGTATTTCATCCCTGTATTCCTGGTATAAAACCCAACTGATCATAGTGGATTATCTGTTTGATACAGTGTTGGATTCAGTTAGCTAGTATTTTTTTGAGGATTTTTGCATCTATGTTCATCAGGGATATTGGTCTGTAGTTTTCTTTTTTTGTTAAGTCCTTTCCTGGTTTTGGTATTAGATGATACTGGCTTCATAGAATGATTTAGGGAGGATTCCTTTTTTCTCTATCTTTTGGAATAGTGTCAATAGGATTGGTACCAATTCTTCTTTGAATGCCTGATACAATTCAGCTGTGAATCCATCTTGTCCTGGACTATTTTTTGTTGGCATTTTAAAAAAATTATCATTCCAATCTCATTGCCCGTTATTGGTCAGTTCAGATTTTTTATTTCTTCCTGGTTTAATCTAGGAGGGTTGTATATTTTCAGGAATTTATCCATCTCCACTAGATTTTCTAGTTTGTCCACATAAAGGTGTTCATATTAGCCTCGAATGATCTTTTATATTTCTGTATATCTATTGGTTGTAATATCTCCGTTTTGTTTCTATTTGAGCTTATTTGGATCTTCTTTCCTCTTTTCTTGGTTAATCTCACTAATGATCTATCAATTTTGTTTATTTTTCAAAGAACCAGCTTTTTGTTTCATTTACCTTTTGTAATTTTTTGTTTCAATTTCATTTAGTTCTGCTATGATCTTTATTTCTTTTCTTCTGTTGGGTTTGAGTTTGTTTTTGTTTCTTTAGTTCCTTGAGGCGTGACCTTAGATTGTCTACTTGTGGTCTTTCAGACTTTTTGATGTAGACATTCAGTGCTATGAACTTTCCTTTCACCACTGCTTTTGCTGTATCCCAGAGGTTTTGATAGGTTTTGTCACTATTATTGCTCAGTTTAGAGAATTTTTTAATTTCCATCTTGATTTTATTGTTGACCCAGCGATCATTCAGGACTAGGTTACTTAATGTATTTGCATTGTTTTGAGGGTTCCTTTTGGAGTTGATTTCCAGTTCTTTCCACTGTGGTCTGAGAGAGTACTTGATATAATTTCAATTTTCTTAAATTTATCGAGACTTGTTTTGTAGCCTATCATATGGTCTATCTTGGAGACTGTTCCATGTATGAATGAATAGAATGTATATTCTGCAGTTGCTGGATAGAATGTTCTGTAAATATCTCTTGGGTCCATTTGTTGAAGTGTATAGTTTAAGTCCATTGTTTCTTGGCTGATTTTCTCTTTTGATTACCTGTCTAGTGTTGTCAGTGGAGTATTGAAGTTCCCCAGTATTATTGTGTTGCCATCTCTCTCATTTCTTAGGTCTAGTAGTAATTGCTTTATAAATTTGGGACCTCTAGTATTAGGTGCATATATATTTAGGATTGTCATATTTTTCTATTGGATTAGTCCTTTTATCATTATATAATGTCCCTTTTTGTCTTTTTTTAACTGTTGTTGCTTTAAAGTCTGTTTTGTCTGATATAAGAATAACTTCTGCTCACTTTGGGTGTCCATTTGCATGAAATGTCTTTTTCCACCATTTACCTGAAGTTTATGTGAGTACTTGTGTGTTAGGTGAGAAGAGAGCAGATACTTGGTTGGTGAATTCTTTTCCATTCTGCCATTCTGTATCTTTTAATTGGAATATTTAGGCCATTTACATTCAACATTTGTATTCAGAAGTGAGTACTATTCTATTCACCATGTTACCTGAATAACTTGTTGTTTTTTTTCCTTGTGCTATTGTATAGGTCCTGTGAAATTTATGCTTTAAGGAGGTTTTATTTGGTATAGTTCAAGGATTTGTTTTAAGATTAGAGCTCCTTTTAGCAGTTCTTATAGTGCTGGCTTGGTAGTAGCGAATTCTCTCAGCATTTGTTTGTCTGAAAAAGACTGTATCTTCCCTTCATTTATGAAGCTTTGTTTTGCTGGATACAAAATTCTTGGCTGATAACTGTTTTCTTTTAAGGAGGCTAAAGATAGTACCCCAATCCCTTCCAGTTTGCATTTATCTGGTAACTAGGAATTTGAACAATTTATCAGATATTTATTTACTGTTTGTATTTCTTCAACCATAAAGTAAATGTCCAGTTGAATTTTTTGTTTGTATGATACGAGTTCTTTGAAATTGCATTGGGACTTGACTCATGGTATAGGTATGGTTAATTTTTACAAATGTGACATGTATGTCACAGAATGTATTCTCTACTAGATTAATGCACTTTCTAAATGTACTAAATAGTTCCTGTTAGTTGTGTTACTCAAATAGTCAATATCATTCCTATTGCTTTTGTTTATTTGCCATGTATATTAGTTTCCAGGTTTACCATAACAAAGTATGACAAACTGAGTGGCTTCAAACAACAGAAATGTATTAATTATCTCATAGTTGTAGAACCTACAAGTCCCAAATCAAGGTGTCAGCAAGACCATGCCTCTCTAAAGGCTCCAAGAAAAAAATCCTTTCTGCTGTTTTCTAGCATCTGGTGGCTGCTGTCAATTATTGGCATTTTTTGGCTTGTAGCTGGCTGCATCACTCCTATTTCTGCCTCCATATTCACAGGGCCATCTTCCTTCTGGGAGTGTCAGTGTCTGTGTCTGTGTGTCCAAATCTTCTTCTTTTTCTTTTCCTTTTTCCTTTTTTCTTTTTTCTTTTTTTTGTGACAGAGTCTCACTCTGTCACTCAGGCTGGATTGCAGTGGCGCAATCTCAGCTCACTGCAACCTCCGCCTCCTGGGTTCAAGCGATTCTCCTTTCTCCACCTCCTGAGTAGCTGGGACTACAGGCGCACACCACCACACCTGGCTAATTTTTGTATTTTTACTAGAGATGGGGGTTTCACCATGTTGGCCAGGCTGGTCTCAAATTCCTGACCTCAAGTGATCTGCCTGCCTCGGCCTCCCAAAGTGCTGGGATTGTAGTCGTGAGCCACCGCACCCAGCCCAAATCCTTCCCTGCTTTCTTATAAAGACACCAGTTACTGGCATAGGGCCCACTTTAATTCAATATGACCTCATCTTTACATGATTACAACTGCAAAGACCATATTCAAATAAGGTCATATTTACAGGTACCAGAGTTTAGAACTTCAATATATCTTATGTTCTGGGGAAGAAGCACAATTCAACCCACAATCCTCAAATAAAAATTGAGAACTTTTACAATATTTATCTTGGAAAAAAACTGAGTTTAACTGAAATTTTCTTCAATGAGGAAGTCATTCTGGTGATGGCGAACTGAAGCAATTGATAAATTCTCTTCCCCAAAAAACAATTATAAAACTGGACAAAGTTGCAAAAAATAAAACCCTACCACTTCAGGGATCTGGAAATTGACCAAAAGCAAACAACAAATTTAGAAGCATTATTTATGAAAAATGCCAAACTTTAGGTAGGAACAGTGAGAGTATGGGGGAATTCTTGCCAGAGGCTGCTCCCCGGGTCAGTTAGTACAATAATGCTACCAGGGCAGGGCTGGCTGTGAAAACCAGCAGCTTTGCTGACTGAGGTGGGTAATTCTTTGAAGCAGAGGAAGAAGAGCTCACACAGTAGCGCTGCCAATAAAAACACTGAATTCAATGAGAAACAAAGGACTGCAGCTTTGCTAGGCTAAAGTTACCATCCCATTGGGGTGAGCAAAACACTGGTGGACCGTCCATAAGTTTGACAGGAAAAGCCTTGAAGTGAAGAGAGCCATAGAGAGGCTCTATATGCTCTCCACACACCCCCGGCTGAATAAAAGGCTGTACACCATCATAGGGAAAACCTGAGAAGGCATAATCACTCCACATTTATCTGGCTGACTGGGAGCCTATGTACGCATGCACGGCAGACCCAAAAGGGCCTGGCAGAAAGTTACGGCTGGGGAAGACTTGAAAGCTTCTTGAACCTTGACTATGTTCCCCAGCCCCTACACAAAGCAGTCAGTCAAAGAGGAAGCCTTTCTGGAGAGATGTACTTGAACACAACCTCTGATTAAATATTTACTGATCACTATGCTATACAAACACATGCCTGGCTAGTTTTTTTTTTTTGTATTTTTTGTAGAGATGAGGTTTCACCATGTTGCCTTGGCTGGTCTCAAACTCCTGGGCTCAAGTGATCCACCTACCTCGGCCTCCCAAAGTGCTGGGATTACAGGTGTGAGCCACTGTGCTCAGCCTTAAATTACTTACGTTTGAGTAAAATTAATGCCCCCACAATATATGCCATACTCATTCAGTGCCATCCGTTTCCCAGTTTGGGAGGTTGTGGCACTCAGTTCAATCTTCAGTGGTAATAACATTTTATTGGTTTAGATTTTAAGATGTGCTTATAGTCGTATAAAGATTGGAGAATGCATCATTCCTTATGAGAAGTGTTAAACCGTGAGAAATTGTGATATTTTTGAAGTGATGGAGGTCTGTAGTAGTGTGGTGGCAAAAGGAATAGCAGTCAAGCAAGCACTCAATTCCTTATTTCTAAGGTACAAAATAATAATTTTAAAAAATTAACTTTATTAAGGAATAATTTTCATTTAGTAAAGTGTACTAGTTTTAAGTGAGTCGTTTGAGTAGTTTTGACAAAAGTAGACATCGTGTAATCACTGCCCCCGGATCAGGCTTGCATCTGTGTGCAGTTAGTCTCCCATCCAGCCCTGATCCCAGGCAACCACTAATCTGCTTTCTGCCATTACACAGTAATTTTCCTTTTCTACAACTTTACATAAATAAAATTACACAGTATATACTCTTGTGTTCAAGCTAGATACTCTTCATGTATATACTCTTTATTTGTACTCTTTTGTGTGTCAATAATTCATATATGTTATTACTGAGTAATATTTTATTGCATGGATATTCTTTACAGACTGTCCCTGACTTACGATCATTTTGAGGTAGGAGGTGGGACTTGACTCCAGAGATGGGGCTTGGACACTGGACCAAATTCACGGCTAGCTAAAACAGGGATGGGGCAGAAGCAGCTTTTTCCATAGGACACGCCCACCAGTGTGCCATGTCAGTTTACCATTGCCATGGCAGCACCCAGGACTTACTGTTCCTTTCCACGGCAATAACCCGATGACCCAAAAGTTACCCCCCCTTTCCCCAGCAATTTCCCTAGCAATAAACCACCCCTTGATCTACATGTAATTAAAGTAGGTAGAAATATGACTGCAAAACCACCCTAAGCTGCTACTCTCTGCCTATAGGGTAGTCCTGCTCTGCAGGAGCAGTCACGGAGCTGTAACACTGCAGGAGCTGTAACGCTGCCTCTTCAATAAAGCTGTTGTCTGCCACCCTCCACCATCCAGCCCTTGAATTCTTTCCTGGATGAAGCAAAAGAACCCTTGTGGGCTAAGCCCCACTTTGGGGGTCACCTGCCTTGCATCAGTTTGACTTATGAGTTTTCATCTTTACGATGGTGTGAAAGTGATATGCATTCAGTAAAAACTGTACTTCGAGTTTTTAATTTTAATCTTTTCCTGGGCTGGTGATATGAAGTATGATACTGTCTCATGATGCTGTGAGCCACAGCTCCCAGTTAGCCATGTGACCATGAAGGTAAACAACCAATACTCTACAGCGTACCGTGTTGCCGGATGATTTTGCCCAATTAAAGTATAATGAAAGTGTTCTGAGCACATTTAAGGTAAGGTGTGATGTTCAGTAGATTAGGTGTATTAAATGAATTTTAGACTTACAATATTTTCCATTTACAATGGGTTTATTGGTACATAATCCCATCGTAAGTTAAGGAGCATCTGTAATCTGTTTCTACATTTATGTGTTGGTAGGTATTTGGGTTATTTTCAGTTTTTAGCTAGTATAAATTAAACTGCTTGAACATTTTTAATGACTAATGAAGACTAATAATATTGAGAATCTTTTTATTTGATAGTTGGCAATTCGCATATAATCTTTTGTGAAGAATCTGTTGAAGCTTTGTGTTCATTTTTAAAAACTAGATTTTATCTTCTTATTATTGGTTGTAAGAGTTCTTTACAAATTCTGGATATTAGTAATTTCTCAGCTGTAGGTTCAATATAAAATATGGATTCAAATCTTCTGTCAGAATGTTTTCTTCCAGTTAGAGGTTTTTCTTTTTTTCTTTTCTTTGTTTGTTTGAGACAGGGTCTCCCTCCGCTGCTCAGGCTGAAGTGCAGTGACATGATCGACCTTGACCTCCTGGGCTCAAGCAATCCTCCCACCTTAGCTTCTAAAAGTAGTTGGGACTACAGGCATGCACCACCACGCCCGGCCAATTTTTAAAACATTTTAATTTTTGGTAGAGATGAGATATCACCCAAATTGGTCTCAAACTATTATGCACAAGCAACCCTCCTGCCTCAGCCTGCTAAAGTGCTGGGATTGTAAATATGAATCACCATGCCTTGCCATTTTTCGTTGTTTTTTTGTAATGGTGTATTTGAAAAGCATAAGTTTTACATTTTGATGAAGTACATATATTATCTTTTTCTTTTATGGCTTTTGCTTTTTTGTATCCTAAAAATCTGGACGACTACTACAAGGCTAAAAAGTGTTTTCTCTTATGTTTTCTTCTGGATGTTTTATCATTTTGACTTCTATGTTTAGGTATGTGACCTCAGTCTATGGTGTGAAGTAAAGATGGATGTCAATTTTTTTCATATCGATAGACAGCGCCATTTGTTGAAAAGACTATCCCTTTCTCATTGAAGTACCTTGGTACTCCTGTCATATACCAATCACCCATATATGTGTGGATCTTTTTCTATCCCATTGATTCTTACATGAATACCCACTGCCTTGATTACTGCAGCTTTATATTTTGTTTTGAAATCAGAGTAGTATATAAGTCCTCCAACTATTTTGTTTCAAAATTACCATGACTATTTTAGGTCCTGTGCATTTTCATCATAAATTTTTGAACCAGCTTGTTGATTTTTACTACATCCAACTTAGATTTTGAATGATTGAGATCTCTATAGATCAATTGAGGGAGAATTAATGGCTTCACATTATTGAGTCTTCTAATTCTTGAACCTAGGAAGTCTTTCCACTTTCTTAGATTATCTTTGGCTTATCTCCACAAAGTTTGAGAGAATTTTCAGTATATAAATCTTACACACAACTTATTAAATTTATCCCTATATATTTTATGTTTTGAAGCTACTCTGCAATTGATTTTTGCTTAGTGATCTTACATTCTGCAAACTTGCCACATCTACTTATTAGTTCTAGGATCTGTTTTGCAGATTTCATATGATATTGATTCACATGATCATGTCATCTATGAATCAAAACTCTTTTACTTCTTCCCTTTCCAATTTACATGATTTTAAAAATCTTTCTCTTGCTTTATTACACTGGCCAGGACCTCCAGTATAATGGTAAATAAAAGTCATGGAACTGGACATCCTTTATTCCTTCCTGATAGGAGGAAAGCATTGAATCTTTCACCATTATGTTATTAGCTATGGGTTTTATAGACAACCTTTTATCAGGTTGAAGAAGTTTCTTTTTATAACTAGTGTGCTGATGTTTATGTCACACATGGCTGTTGCAGTTTAAATTTTTTCACACATCTTTTCTGTACCTGTTGAGATAATCACAGAGTTTGCACATTCGTCTATTAATATAGTGAATTACATTGATATATTTTTAAATGTTAAACAAATCTTACATTCCTAGAATAAATTTCACATAGTCATGATGTATTATTGTATCAAATAGGTTTTGATTAGAAGAAAAGAACCACTATACTCAATATAGACTACAGAGTTTGTATATTACAAGGATTTGACTTTATGTAATTGTGGGAGCTAGCAAAACATTTTATGTACTACTATCACTTCTATCTTTGGTGCTGGGACTGGCCCAAGTGTTAGAGAACCTGGCAGAAGAGATTCCTCCAGGAGCTGGAAGAGTTGTGGGCTTGGCCGCTGCCCCAGGAGTTGCACATGCTGGCCAACGATTCAAAGAACCTGAAGGAAGAGATCTGGCGGGAGCTGGAGAAGCTGCAAGCTCAGCTGCTGCTTCCGGAGCTGTACACTCTGGCACTGGATTCAGAAAAGCTGAAGGAGGTGATCCAGTGGGAGTAAAGCAACTGAAAGCCCAGCTACTGTGCAGTGCCAACAACGTAAACCAGCAGATCAGCAACAATGTGTGTACACTGTAACGGCACCAGCTGCTCACATCAACCTTCCATGCATGAAAGTAATATGGTGGTAGCTTCACTTCCACCTTTCATATCTTAAGCAAAATGTGTCTTCATGCCCATGCTAACTTAAAATTATGGATGGAGGCCAGGCTCAGTGGCTCACGCCTGTAGTCCCAGCTACTCGGGAGGCTGAGACAGGAGAACGCTGTGAACCCGGGAGATGGAGCTTGCAGTGAGCCGAGATGGCGCCACTGCATTCCAGCCTGGGCGACAGAGTGAGACTCAGTCTCAAATAAACAAATAAATAAATAAATAAAAGAAAAATAAAATATGGATGGATAAGAATTCTGGAAAATGCAGTTTCAGCTTAGCTAAGTTCATGCAATACAAATCAACCATAATTATCCTTTTTACATATTGTTTAATTTGAATCCTTTTTCTGTTTTTTTGAGACAGGATCTCATTCTGTCACCCAGGCTGGAGTGCAGTGGCATGATCACAGTTCACTACAGCCTTGACCCCCCAGGTGCAAGCGATACTCCTGCCTCAGCCTCCCGAGTAGCTGGGACTATAGGCACGTGCCACCACACCTGGCTAATTTTTGTATTTTTAGTAGACACGGGGTTTCACCATGTTGCCCAGACTGGTCTTGAACTACTGAGCTCAAGCGATCTGCCCACGTTGGCTTCACAAAGTGCTGAGATTACAGGCATGAGCCACTGCACCCAGCCAATACTATTTTGTTAAGAATTTTTGCATCTGTATTTATGAGGGATTTGACCTGTAGCTCTTTTTTTGTGGTTTGGTTTCGGTATTAGACTAAAACTATCTTACAAAATAATTTAGAAGGAGTCTCTTTTTATTTTTTGAATAGTTTATTGATTGATTTAGTACAACACTAGTTTATCTTGTTGCTCATATTGTTCTTCTCTGTCCCTTTGACATACTTCCATCACTGAGGGGCTTGGTTTGTTTATTTGTTTTGAATACCTCTTTACTTTCTGGCACGACAAGAGGCTCCAGGCTCACTTGTATATTTCTTGCTCCAGTCCTAGAATCATCCATTTCTCCAAAGAGCCCTGGTTCTTTTCACTGGAGAGTGATATTAGAAACGAAGTTCTGGGTACTAAGTGTGCTTGTTGCTACTAGAGTGTCACTGCTTCTAGGCCCTCTTAGCTGACAGAAGGGAAACATGCATGTGTATACTAACTCCTTTTTTGTAAACTCCCACTCCAAGAGTGAGAAATTCAAATTCTACCATTCGCCATCCATTTACTAGTGTTTAATTCCATTATCCAGAAGTGTCAGAATTATTAATTCATATTTCTGTCAGGTACAACTTTATCAGCTAGAGTACAGTGCTTATGTACAGTTGTTTCTTTTTTGCTTTAAAAACTCTGCTCATTGATTTAGTAAGGCCATATTAAAAACAAACAAACAAAAATCCATTTCTAAAGTTACTTAGGTCAGCATCTTTTCTTCTAGCCCCTTCAGTGAGATTTTTTTTAATACATTTATAATACAGCCAGATTATTTTGTCATATTTAGGATTCTATCCTGATATTCTCCCAACCTTCTAAACCTCCTAAATGACCTTTTCTCTCCAAATTTGTGTGTGTTATACTAACATTCACTCTTTGGGCTGTAAAATTCAATAAGTTTTGACAAATGCATGATATCATGTTTCCACAATTACAGCATCATACAGAATAGTTTCAGTACTCTAAAAATATCCCCAGCTTCATCTATTTGACTTCTGCTCCTCTACTGCTAAACCTCTAGCAAGCACTGATTTTTTGTTTGTTTGTTTGTTTTGTTTTGTTTTGTTTTTGTTTTTATTCAGAGTCTTGCTCTGTTGCCCAGGCTAGAGTGCAGTGGCAGCATCTCAGCTCATTACAACCTCCACCTCCCAGGTTTAAGTGATCCTCCTACCTCAGCCTCTGGAGTAGCTGGGACCCTTGGCATGTACCACCATGCAGGTTAACTTTTTTTAAATTTTTATTTTTGGAGAGATGGGGTTTTGCCATGTTGCTCAGGCTGGAAGCACTGATCTTTTAATCATCTCTGTAGCTTTATCTTTTTTAGAATGTCATACAGTTTTTAGCCTTTTGAGATTAGCTTCTTTAACTAAGAAATGTGCATTTATGATTCATGTGTGTCTTTTTATAACTTCATAGCTTTATAGTAAGTTTTGAAATCAGGTAGTGTAAGTCCTTCAACTTTATTCTTTTTTCTCGGGCTATTTTACATCTTGTGCCTTTTCTTATAGATGTTACAATAATTTTATTGATATCTAAAAAATATCTCACTGGGATTTTGATTGGTATTGCATTGGACCTACAGGTCAATTTGGGCAGGGTTGATATCTTAAAAATATTGAGTCTACCAATCTATGAATCACAGAATTGTCTCCTTACTTATTTGGATCTTCTTTGAGCTCTTTAATCAAAGTTTGTTGTTTTCAGCTTATAGATTTTGTACATATTTTGTACATATTTTGTTAGATATATATATCTAGATATTTAATTTTTGGTACTATTATAAGTGATATTGTTAACAGATTTCAAATTCCAAATGTTAATTACTGGCATAGATCTTCATTTTTGATAGATGTTTTATATATATATATATATATAAAATTCTAGGTTGACATTTTTTCTTTCAAAATATGGCAGCATAGTTTGAGACAAGAGGCTCACTTTCATTCTTATTTTAGTTGTTTGTGTAATGGGCTTCTTTTCTTTTCTTTCTTTTTTTTTTTTTTGAGATGGAGTCTCACTCTGTCGCCAGGCTAGAGTGCAGTGGCACCATCTTGGCTCACTGCAACCTCCGCCTCCTGGGTTCAAGCAACTCCCCGCCTCAGCCTCCCAAGTAGCTGGGATTACAGGCACCTGCCACCACGCCCGGCTAATTTTCGTATTTTTAGTAGACACGGGGTTTCACCATCCTGGCCAGGCTGTTCTTGAACTCCTGACCTCGTGACCTACCCACCTCGGCCTCCCAAAGTGATGGGATTACAGGCATGGGCCACTGCGCCTGGCCAATGGGCTACTTTTCTATGTCAATATTTTTTCTTTACCGCAGATTTTTGCTTATGATTTATCTTGGTGTGGTTTCTTTGTGTTTATCCTGCTTGGGGCTTATTGAGCTTTCTGGATTAGGGCTTTGTAGTTTTCATCAAACTTGGAATGTTTTGACCATTATTTCTTTTCCAATTTTTTTCCTCTCCATCCTTCTTTTTTGGTAGTCTAATTACTCAGAAGTTAATTCATCTTATCCTATAGTCACTGAAACTCTGTTCATTTTTTCATAACTTTTCTCTTCTTCTTTGCTTTAGTTTCAATAAATATGTCTATTGATATAACTACAAGTTAACGATCTTCTGCAGATTTTTTTTTTCTTTTTGAGACAGAATCTTTCTCTGTTGCCCAGGCTGGAGTGCAGTGGTGCAATCTCAGCTCACTGCAACCTCCTCCACCTCCCAGGCTCAAGCAATTCTGCCACCTCAGTCTCCCAAGTAGCTGGGACCACAGGCGAGTGCCAGCATACCCAGTCAATTTTTGTATCTTTAGTAAAGACGGGGTTTCACTATGTTGACCAGGCTGGTCTCAAACTCCTGACCTCAAGTGACCCACCTGCCTTGGCCTCCCAAAGTGCTGGGATTATAAGTGTGAGCCACTGTGCCTGGCCTTCTTCTGCAGAATTAAGTCCCATATAGTAAATTTCTCATTTGGGAGATTGTGTTTTTTAATCTCTAAAAGCTCAGTTTGTTTCATTTATATATCCTTTATTTCTCTCTTTATTATTTTTATGTTCTCTTTTAAATCCTTGAGCATATTTACAATCTCTGTTTAAAGTCCTTGTCTGTACATTCCATCACCTGTCATTTCTGAGTTTTCTATTGAGTTATTTTTTTCTGATTATGAATAACATTTTCCTGCTTATTTGTATGTCTAATAATTTTTATTGGGTGCTAGGGATTTTGAATTGTACACTGTTAAGTGCCAGATTTTTTTTTATTTATTTAAAGTATTAGACTTTGGGCAGGAAGTCAAATGAACTGAGAATCAGTTTGATTATTTCAAGAATTATTTTTAGACTTTTTAAGGCATGTCAGTAAACTTTTTCTATAAAGAGCCAGGTAGTAAATGTTAAGTTAAGCTTTCTAGATAACACCCAATCTTTATTGTGTAACTTCCTCCTCCTCCTTTTTTTTTTTTTTTAATACAACCTTGTAAAAGTGTGAAGACCGTTCTTATCTGGTGGGTCAAACAAAAACAGGTCATCAACCGGATTTGGCCCACGCACCATGCTTTGCTGATCACTGATCCAGAGCTTCCTTTATTCTAAGGCCAGCTTAGCATCACTATGAAAGTGTAACTACTTGGGGCCTTCAGTGAAGGTATCTTTCAGCCCCTCAAGTCTTGAGTTGTTTTCCTGACCCCATGGACTTTTACCTTATTCATATATAGTTTAATACTCAACAATAGAGTCACGGGATCTGCGTCAATATTTTTGGAACCCTTTCCCTACACAACTGTCTTCTCTCTAGCCACCTCAATCTTCCCAAACTCTGATCTGTGTCTACTCAACTCAGTGAGAGTGCCATGCATTTTGGGGGTTCTCCTCACTGCACTGCAATCTGGAAAGCGCTCCCAGACAGAAAGATATGGCAGTTACATGGCTCACTTCATTTACTTCCCTTCTATAATGGATCCTAGTTCTGTGCTATCCAAAAACCACTGCCTCATATATTCTGCCTCCCCATTTCTTAGTTATTTCATTAGGAGGGTATGTTTGATTTTAGGTACTCCAATGTCATGAAATGGAACTTCTCCCCAACAAGTGCTTTAAAACATTTCTCTTCTTTTTGGAAAATTAAATTCAGAAAGAACTATAAATGGTGATTATTGTTGTTTAAAAGCCTGTCCAGGCCAGGTGCGGTGGCTCACGCCTGAAATCCCAACACTATGGGAGGCTGAGGTGGGCAGATCACTTGAGGTCCGGATTTCGAGACCAGCCTGACCAACAGGGAAAAACCCTGTCTCTACTAAAAAAATACAAAATTAGCCAGGTGTGGTGGCACAAGCCTGTAATCCCAGCTACTCAGGAGGCTGAGGCAGGAGAATCACTTGAACCCGGGAGGCGGAGGTTGTGGTGAGCTGAGATCATGCCACTGCACTCCAGCCTGGGTGACAAGAGAGAAATTCTGTCTCAACAAAAAGAAAAAGTCTGTCTGATTTTTCCTTTCTTCTGTGTTTTTCCTGCTATTATATAAAAGCAAGTTGTACAAGCCTCATCCTTAGATTACTGTAACAGCTAGATTATACACATATTTGAATTCAGTGATCATATACTATATTTGTTATCTTGAACAGGTCCTTGCTATGTCTTCTCAGGTAAGTCTGGACTTATTTTATTTTATTAAAATATTTTTAAACTTTAAATTAATTTTTTTTTCAGGGGACAACATGAACACGGGCTGTACTACTACAAATCATGCAGTCAAGTTTCCAGCATTTGGGGAAATTGCAAGGGTCAGCATACCTGGAGTGCAGTGGATGAGCTTAGCCTTGGAAAAACCACCTTTGGAATCGTGGTTTGTTCCCTGACAGGTAAGTATTAGATTTTTATTTATTTTTGTTATTTATTTATTTATTTATGTTATTTATTTATTTTTATTTTTTAGAGAAAGGGTCTTGCTCTGTCACCCAGACTGGAGTGTAGTGGCATGATCATAGCTCACTGCAGCCTTGACATCCTGTGCTCAAGCGATCTTCCCAACTCAGCCGCCCGATTAGCTGGGACTACAGGTGTGTGCTACCATATCTGGCTAATTTTTAAACTTTTTTAGTAGAGATGAGGTCTCAGTATGTGGCCCAGGCTGGTCTTGAACTCCTGGGCTCTAGAGATCCTCCCGCCTCAACCTCCTAAAGTGCTGGGATTACAGGTGTGAGCCCCTGTGCCCAGCCCCTAGACTTTTATTTTTGTCTTCTTTAAGCAGCTCTATAATTAAGAGCATATAGACTTTTATTTTTAATATGTACTTTTTTGTTCATATGTTGAGATGTCAAAGAACCAAACATCTGAACTTTGAAAAGAATAGGTGAGATACTATGGAAACAATATTTATAATAAAATGAAATGTAACACTTATGGAACTAGACAGTACGCTAAACATGTTTTATATCTTATCTCATTTAATCCTCACAACATTTCTATGAAATAAAGTATTTTATTTCCCACTATATTGATAAAGGGATTATGAAACCATTCCATTAATTCTCTCCTAAACACTCTGAGTTTGGTAGAGCTCATAGTTTTCCAACTTATTATTTCATTAACCAAGGCACAAGAAATCCAACATAGCCTACCCATTGTCATTTTGCAGACAGCATAACTTGATGAGTAATAGCATAAGCTAAATTCTAGCTCCATCGTTTACTATATACATGACCTTGGTAACTTATCCTCTTAGTACCCCAATTTCTGAAGCAAATTAAAAGTAAAAATAGAAATGTTCTTCCCAGTGCTTATGTGCTCAGGTTGGGAAATTTATTTTCTCACCTGGAAAGATCAATTCCAGTGATAGGAACGGAAGCTCTGAGAGGATGTAGAATTATGTAAAACTCTGGCAAGATCTCCTGAAAACAGTCTGGGAAACCAGCCTGCTTGCCTAATGACTTATCCTCTTGGGCATCTGGCCTCCTGGTCTCAATGCCTTTCCAATTGTAAACAAAACAAATTTAGTAAGCTCCACCTATTATTTCTCAAAAACCACCTCCCAATTCAGCCCAACTGCCATGCTCGCGAGAACTGTGCTGTGAAATATGGAGGCTGTGTAAAGACAGAGGTCCAGCACTTGAGCACTAGGCTCAAGGAAAGGAAAGGCCATTGACTCAATGCCTATCCACCCTTCGGCTAACTTAAAGTCACTCTGTTAAATGCACAGCCTCTAGGAATATAATAATTCTGCCTACTCTAGCTTTAAAGGTGAATTTTGCAATTTTTGAAAAGGTCCTTAGAATCACATTGCAGAATTAAAGGGTGTATTATAATTATCAATATCAATAGTAATAAAAGTTTATTAAAGGTCATTAAAATGAAAGGGGATGGCTCTAGATCCCATCAACCTGAATTGACTCCCTCCTCTTGTGTTAATTAGAAAACTCAGATAATGGTTCTATGGGGGAGTACAGGGAAAATTTAATTACGAAAGTTTAATGGGCCACTATCTACTTCCTGCCAGATTAAAAACTGATGATTTACACAATTTTAGATACTACGACAGGCTTTTCTAACAAAACATGTTGCGGAGTAATGTAAAAGTTTACTGAGAACATTCTATTCATTTTTAAACAATGCCAGCAAAAGCCATATTTGCTTGCTTCTTTTAAAAAACCAGGCCATATATTTAAAAAACTTATATATTGTTTTATTTAAATAATTATGTATTATTTACTAATATTTAAACAATTGTTTACAATATTTAAACAATTATATATTATTTACTAATGCTTACAACCCTAAAATAAGTAGCAATCAGAAAATGGAGATTTTTTTTCACATATATATTGGTTAAAAATAAAATTAAATCTTTTATCCTATTGGAACTGGGGAAAGGGAGACATACTGGGGTGGGGTGGGAATAGATTTGAAGCCATCAAGGAAAGGAAAAATGTTTTAATGTTTCTGACTCTTGTTTTTTATTGAGAGCTTTCTACCTGGGATCTCAGCATCTCATCCATTTTCCCTGATCTAGGGTTGCCTGTGCCCAACACAGAGTGATAGGCTCTCTGCAAAACAGAATTTGAAGGATATGGTTGTAGAGAAAAGAAATGACACAGGAGAGAAGTAAAAGAAATAAGAAGCGTCCCATTCTTAACTATGACTTACTTTTTAAATGGTGTAGCATGGGATCATTGAGGAGTCAGTTCTCTAACCTGAGTTGGAAAATATAGGAAATCCAGAACACTTACATAAAACACACAGACACTTTTGAATTTAATGATGAATTTATGATTGCTAGTAAGTCCTCTAGATCTGCACTGTTCAATATAGTAGCCACTAACTGCGTGTAGCTACTGAGCACTTACAATATCCCTAGTTCAAATTGAGATGTGCTGCAAGAGTCAAATAAACACCAGATTTAAGGCTTAGTATTTTTAAAAGGATGTAAAATATCTCATTAATAATGTTTACATTGATTACATTTTGAAATGATTGAGCTATTGGATTGAATAAGATCTATTATTAAAATTAATTTTACCAGTTTCTTTGTACTTTTTTAAATGCAGGTACTAGAAAATTCAAAATTAATATGTGGCTTGAATCCTATTTCCGTTGAACAGTGCTTCTGTAGATATTTAATATGACACTCAGGGAAGTGACGCATTTTAGGATGGAACTCCATGGCTTGGAGAATACTTTTAGAGACCACCAGGACTTACTTTTGAGGCCTGAGAGCCTGCGATCCAGCTCAGGAACAGCACAAGAACGCAGGGAAGTGTGATACTGTGAAGTGTCAGCTCGCCTCACAGCTAGAGGGTCTCAACAGGTTTCTGAGAAGATACAGTAGTGTCACATCATACACATCTTCAACTTATGTTAAAGGAACAAGAGAAACAGAGAAACACTTAGACTGAGCTGGAGAGCACATAGGACCTAAGCAGAACTGGTGAATCTGCAGTGTCCTCCATTGCATTCTTTGACCACATGCCCCAGAGTGAACAACTGTGAAAGAGACATAGAAACCTCATGTTTCTTCAATATCAGCTCCCTTGAGCTTCCCATAGTGTGGAACTCTTTTATGTTAGATATTATTCTAGAGCTCAAAAAACACTAACCCGGTAGGGCCCGGTGGCTCATGCCTGTAATCCCAGTACTTCCGGAGGCCGAGGTGGGCGGATCACGAGGTCAGGAGATCGAGACCATCCTGGCTAACACGGTGAAACCCCCGTCTCTACTAAAAATACAAAAAATTAGCCAGGAGTGGTGGCGGGCGCCTGTGGTCCCAGCTACTCAAGAGGCTGAGGCAGGAGAATGGCATGAACCCGGGAGGCGGAGCTTGCAGTGAGCTGAGATCGGGCCACTGCACTCCAGCCTGGGCGACAGAGCTAGACATCATTTCAAAAAAACAAAAAACAAAAATCAAAAAATGAAACAAACAAACAGAAAACAAAAACAAAAACAAAAAACACTAACCCATGCTAACTTGTTCACATCGTGCTGTACGTTAAAAAATATCCATTGTTCCAACACTGGAGAAGATGATGGCTGTGTTGAATTTATAGAGAGACTATATATTGCATATTCAGGGTGCTATATAAGAGTTTTTTTTCACTATATATGGTGAAAGCCGTGTATAGTTAAAATTACCCTGGAAAATCCCGTATATATGGGATTTTCACCACGTATTAGTTTCATCACATATAATGACTTCTCTGTATGAAAGAAACAGTCTCAAATTTAAAAGGGAAACCTGGGAAGTAGGTTATTTGGAAAAAAGTTAGCCCATCTTCCTACACCGTGCGCTAAAACAATTTCTGCCTAAATTAAATAGTTCAATGTAGACATAAAAGCACTAAAAAACAAAATGAAACAAAAAATAGAAGAACACATAGTTGAATATTTAACTGGATTAGAAAACAAAACACTTTTTAAAAATGCATACAGACAATAAACAGAGTTTCAAAGGATAGCATGGATAAATGTGACCAAATAAAACTTTAAAAGTTTTGGATGTAGAATAAATGAAAATTAAAGTCAAACAACTCAAATGTGAAAAGTATATGTAATAAATATGACTGATAAGGGATTAATATCTTTAAAATCTAAAAAAGCTGTTATAAATAAGAAACATTAATTTCAGTTAGAAAATGAGAGATAGGATATAAACTGGTAATCTATAGTGCAAAAGTACAGTGGAAGCATTTTGAAATTCAAGTTTATTTGTAATAAAATAACTGCTAATTAAAAAACAATACAATATGATATTTATGATAACAAAAATTATAACTAGTTGTTTAATAAGATGGTGAGATATAAATAAATTATTGTACATTCAATGCATAGGAAATAATGTAACTATTTTCAAATAGTTGTATTGGAAAGTTATATTTTCAATTTTTTAAGAATAAGAATAATGCTTTAAATAAAAAGCAGACTTCTAAATTATATATACTGTATGATTCACTTATGTAAAATACATATAAATTCTCATTGGAATAAGATTTAAACCATAAAAAGTAAAATATTATTAATGAGTAAGACATCTCTCAGTTATGCAATTACAAATGATTTTTATTTATACACTTCTATTTTGACATTTTCCTGATGACCTTAAACTACTTTTATCATACAAAAATTATTGAAGAAAAATATAGAAAAATTATTCAATATAGTGATTAATGAATACAAATTATATCAGTATCAAGTTACCATTTTTTCTCTTAAATCAGCAGTGAAAAAGAGCAACTAAGCATGCGTTGCTAAGACAGAGCCCCTGGCTGCAATGTTGCATGACCAGGGATTAAGAACTGTCAATACAGTACCGCGACATTCAGGAATTAAGGGATTAACCTGAAATTTGGGCAAAAATTCATTGTATCAAGGTGTTAATTAAAATTAGAATAGAACATTAGAAATAAGCCAAGCATTCAACAGTGGTGATTTAGTTAAACGAGATTCAGCCATACAGTGATCTATTAAATAGTCATCAAAAAGGTATTTGGGGAGTGCTTTCAATGACATGGGGGATATTCATGGCATTCCACTGAAAGCAAAAATTAAAATGCAAAACTGTATATACTATGTAATCCCATTATGCAAAATATTATATTGTATACTGAGAAAAGACTGAAAGGAATCATGGTAAAATATTAATAGCAATTATCTCTGAATTATAACATGATTATTTTTTTCTTATGGCTAATTTTAATTTTTTCTTTATCATTTTCTATGTTTTCCAAGTTTAAAAATCAGGAAAAATGTTTTTAAATTACTTTGATCTTAAAGAGCTGTGTTTAGTGTGCAGCTAAGATGCTCCTCAGAGGTTGCACTGAATGGTCCAGGGACTGAGGAATCCATAAACTAGAAGAAAGACTGGTTGCCTTAGGAGGTGTGGTCAGGAGCTGCTGCCAAGAGGGGAAGCATTCATGGCTGCTGGGGAAGGATGCCCTGGCCAGAGTAGCAGCTTCCAGGAGCAGCTGTCAGGAGACTTCACAGAGAAATGCCTTGGGAGCAATGCGTGGTCTTTATGCAGGAAGGCCACCAACCGCCCCATCTGCCTCCGCCAGTGGCATCATTCAAATGTAAAGGGCCAGTCATTCTCTTGCTCAACTTGCCCGCTTAGGGAAAAGTAAAGACTGTAGACTTTTCATTATAATCCTCCCTGAGGAGAGGAAAAAAATATTTTTCTTTTGGAACTCTGTTGATATGTGATGCCCAATCTGGGTTGGTCCTTACTGATCATGAATAATAATAACTGAGCTTTTTTCTCAGTTTCCAGCCAGAATCATATCGCCCGGAAAAGAGAGTTGGAGGAAAGAGTTACACGTTTTAAATACTTGTTAATTTTAAACATTCTTTATTTTATAAGTCATTTAGATTATATGAATTATATATACATACCAAAAAAGTTTTTGTCCCAGACCTCATCAGCAAAAAAGTATTGGACAACCCCCTTACATAAAAGTTTTTGCCTGAAATTTATATAATACTCTAATATACTAAGAGTATGTTTACTATAAAACATATAAACTACATAAAAGTTACATAAAAGTTTTTACCTGAAATTTGTATAATACTCTAATATACTAAGAGTATGTTTACTATAAAACATACACATATGTATGTGTGTGTATATATATATATATATAGTATGGACATATAAAACCTACATAAAATAGAAATTTAAAAGGGATAAGAGATAAGATCAACAATATTAAAATAGTTTTATTTTATTTACTGATGCTATAAAAATATAATAGGAACTGTGGTTAAATATGCTTCATTAGTTTTGAAAGAAATTTTGTTAATTCTCTGTAACATAATGATTTGAAGATCTGGTTTTTAAGCCTTTATTTTAGCAGAGTTTTAAGGGGATGTCACTGCTGGGAAAGAGGCACCTCACAAAGAAACATAGATCCAAATGGAAGAAGTTCATTCTTGGCTCATCTTACTAAATTATGATGCTCATTTTTCAATCCCAAGCTCCAATTATGCAAAGGTATTTATTGTTGGCAAGGCTGTGGGGAAAAAGACACTCTCATACATTGCTGGTGGGAGTGTAAATTGGTACAACATTTATGAAGATAATTTGGCAGTATCTTTCAAAATTATAAATGCACACACTTTTTGATCCAGATATTCGACCTCTTAAGAATGTATCCAACAGCCATACAAGCATGTGTGTAAACGGCACATAAAACATGGCTATCCAATGCAATGCTATGTGCGCTAGCAAAAGACTGGAAACAACATAAATATGTATTACTTGGGGACTGCTAAATCAATCATGGCATATCTATAAAAAGGAATATTTCAAATCTTTTGGGTAAATACCCAGAAGTGGGATTGCTGGATCATATGGTAATTCTATTTTTAGTTTTCTAAGGAACCTCCATACAGTTTTCCGTAATGGCTGTACAAATTTACATTTCTGCCAACAGTGCACAAACATTCCCTTTTCTCCAAATGCTCATCGTCACTTGTTATTACACAGCATGGTGAATATAGTTAATAATAGAGTATTGTACATGTCAAAATTACTAAGAGTAAATTTCAAATATTCTAGCCAAAAACATTGTTAAGTATTTGAGGTGATGGATATTTTAACTAGCTTGATTTAATTATTTCATATAATGTTCATAAGTCATAACATTACTTTGTACTACCATAAATTTACATAATTATAAGTTGTTAGTTTACAATAAAAATATTATACAGCCATTAAGAAGAGCACAAAAAGTCTTTACAAATTGATATGGAACTAACTCCATAACATAGCAAATAAAAAAATTAAGATGTAAAATGTTTTGGGATGCAACTATTTTTATTATAAAAGAGAAGGGTAGGCCGGGCAAGGTGGCTTATACCTGTAATCTTAGCATTTTGGGAGGCCAAGGTAGGCAGATTACTAGAGCCCAGGAGTTCAAGACCAGCCTGGGCAACACAGTGAGACCCCATCTTACAAAAAAAAAAAAAAAAAGAAAGAAATTAGCCAGGTGTGGTTGTGCATGCTTTTAGTCCCAGCTACTTGGGAGGCTGAAGTAGGAGGATTGCTTAAGCCCAGGAGTTTAAGGTGGCAGTGAGTTATAATTGCGCACTGCACTCCAGCCTGGATGACAGAGTGAGACCCCGCCTCCAAATAAAATAAAATAAAATAAAATAAAAAGAGAGTGGGTTGGAAGGCAAATATGGAGAAATGCCAGCTTGTAGTGTACGCATAGTGTATCTCTAGAAGAACCATAAGAAACTAGTACTGCTGATCATCTCCAGGAGGTGGATTGAGATGGGCAACCAGAATGGGAGGATGACTTCATACTTTATGCTCTGAAGTGGTTTGGATTTTATACACTATGAAGGTATCATCTTTAAAAAAAAATGTTAGGTTACTAAAAATATTTGTTTTTATAAAATTAATCACATTGATAACATCCCGTAGCATGTAAACTGAAATATATTGCAGCTGACAAATGAAGGCCTGAGAAATGTGCTGTCTACAGTCGCATCGTAGAACTCTTCACCTCTTCCCTCAGGATGTGGCAGATTCTACATGTCACGTAGGAACCAAAAGGGCAAGTGGTATCCATCCCTATATTAAAGGTCAACAAAGCTTAATTTTTTTTTTTTTTTTTTTTTGGAGATAGGGTCTCTCTATGTTGTCCAGGCAGTTCTTGAAATCCTAGGCTCAAGTAGTGATCCTCCCACTTCAGCATCACAAATAACTGGGACTACAGGCAGGCTACCACACCTGGCTTTTTCCCCTCACAATTTATACATAAAATGAATAAAAATAAAAGTTGTATTGTTATGATTATTTTATTATCTGTAGCTAAGGCAGGGGTGTCCAATTTTTGGTTTCTCTGGGCCACATTGGAAGAAGGAGAATTGTCTTGGGCCACACATCAACTACACTAACACTAACGATAGCTGATGAGCTAAAAAAATAAAAATGGTAAAAATATCTCATAATGTTTTAAGGAAGTTTGCGAATTTGTGTTGGGTTGCATTCAAAGCCGTCCTGGGCTGCACGCAGCCTGCAGGCCATGGGTTCGACAAGCTTGAGTTAAAGGATTCCCACAAATCCTGTGGATGCAGGCACCCTGCTTTGGGGGAACTGGTTCCAGATCTGTCAAAAGTCATAGTACCATTGGTAAAATAGCCAAATATTAGCATAAACTAAGAGATAAGAATTTATTAATGCATCCTACATATTGATAATACTCAACTTTTTCCACAACACAAATTCTATGTAGTAAAAGCTGTACACCAAGTCAGTGAGAGGGTAACATACTTCAGAAGTCTTTGTGCCGTCCTATTTCTGTGGCACATACACTAACCATGTGCTACAGTCAAGTCCCTTTGGACATTAAAATGGAGTAACTACTTTTGATTAATCATTTAACATCAGAAATATTTTCCTTTAAAATAAAGAGACATTTATACAAAGGACAACAAAGGAGGTGCCCCAAAGCAAAACAAACAGAAAAACTCAGTTTGCTCTGTTTCCTTCTCTAGCTAGGTTCCAGTGTTCCATGCTGAAGAATTTTGCCTTATAAATCTGGGGCTGAGTTGTCAGTTCTAATTTAGGTGAATGTAGACAGTTTTCCACAGCAGCTCTCTGGCCTGAAGCTGTCTATTTGGCTTCTAGACACCATTGTGTCAACAGTGTGTCCTTGACCATTTCAGGTGCAGATAGAGTTAGTGGTTTATATCAGAAACTAAGAAACTAAGACGCCAAGCAAGTGGAGCCATGTGATAGCAGTAGATATTTGAAAGTCCTCGTAGTCTTGTGTTACAAGATGTCCAATGACTCCAGATGAAATACAGAAAAATATTTATCCTATGGACACTTAGTAAATATATTGCAGAGAGTTTTTCCAAAGCATGTTAATATTTTCTGGGAGGAGGAAGGTGTACCACAAATAGTGAGAGTATAAACTGCAGAAACATTGTCCAGTATGCATCACAAGACAGATGCTGTGCCTTTTCCACATTTTCATTTGCAAGCCTTAAACTCAAAATCAGACTGGCACGTTCTATCTTGCCCATTTGACCAATGCTTAGACACCCAAGATTCATCTGGATTGTAGCCTCCTGACTGTAGTCTTCCTCAAATTTATGAATTTCCGCCCCAGTCCCTAGGCATGTAGAATTATTTGCTCCCTCTCCCGTCCTAAAGGCACTTTTAAGCAATGTCTATTCTTGCAATTGCGTGTTACCTTCTGGCTTTGTCCACATGTCTGCCTTCCTACTAAATAAAGTGAGCTTCTCAGGCAATGACTGTGCCTTACTCACATTTGATTATATTTTCTAGTGTCTAGTGCTATGCCTGACACTTTTAGATTTTTCATAAAAGTAGATTTTAGAGTCAATAATTACAATTTGATTTTGGTATATACACAGAATTCTTTCCTCTCAAATAATTGTTACATTCCTTTGGTTTTTCTAGTTATATTTTCAACAACATTTTTGTGTCGTCTGTGATCTACTATAATTATTGCAGCTGTACATGCTTCTTTGTGCATCCATAAAGTTGTAGATACATTTTTTGGACTGTAGTTAAGAAAATAGCTGGCACATAATAATGACTAGAAAAGAACGGAGTCTGATGTCAGGACCACTTACTTTCTCTAGGCGATCGAATAATTTTTAGTAAGAAAATTTTCTCCCCACCTCCAGGACCTACAGTAAACAAGTTAGAGTAACCAAGAGCAACTGGGTCAAAAATTAAGTTGGCAGACTATTTTCCTTGCAGTTTCCCAATTACCATTTCCCTGTTTCTTACCACCTGCCCTGCAGATTCAATACACCTTTCATGGCATTTTTGTAACTAAGTGCCTATCGTGTTTCATATTCAAAATCGTTTTTTGTCCAGAAATCATTTGAAGAAAAAACAAATCTTTAGATATAAACTCATCAGGATTTGAAGTTAATGAGCATTTTCATTTCAATAGAAAAATCTTAAAAGAACAATTTTTTAATATGAAGTTATCTTTGAGAATAAAAAGTGTATTGAATGGTTAAGATGTGATATTATAAAGAGAGCTTAGAACTAGGAATGAAGAGATAGAGCTCTATCCATCACTAATTTAGCCTTTATATCATAGATTCTAAGACATATGTTTGATGCAAATGAACTGAAAGTTTGTGCCCTCACCCCTCCCAAATTAATATGTTGAAACCCTAATCCAAAAGTGATGGTGTATGGAGTTGAGGTCTTTGGGAGGTAATTAGATCACAAGGGTGGAGTCCTCATAAATGGAATTGGTGCCCTTATAAGAAAAGGCCACAGGTGAGGTGCTGTGGCTCACACCTGAATTCCAGCACTTTGGGAGGCTGAGGCGGGTGGATCATGAGGTCAGGAGATTGAGACCATCCTGGCTAACGAGGTGAAACCCTGTCTCTACTAAAAATACAAAAAATTAGCTGGGCATGGTGGAAACGCGCCTGTAGTCCCAGCTACTCAGGAAGCTGAGGCAGGAGAATCATTTGAACCCAGGAGGCAGAGGTTGCAGTGAGCTGAGATCGCACCACTGCACTCCAGCTTGGGTGACAGAGTGAGATTCCGTCTCAAAAAAAAAAAAAAGAAAAAAAAAAGAGGCCAGAGAGCTATCTAAGAGCTATCTAGTTCATTTCCTGCCATATGAGGACATAGTGAGAAGTTGGCCATCGTCTACTTAGAAAATGGCCCCGGGCCAGGCGCGGTGGCTCACGGCTATAATCTCAGCACTTTGGGAGGCTGAGGTGAGTGGATCACCTGAGGTCGGGAGTTTGAGACCAGCCTGACCGACATGGAGAAACACCGTCTCTACTAAAAAAAAAAAAAAATATATATATATATATATATATATATATATATATATATATATATATATACACACACACACACACACACAATTAGCCAGGCATGGTGGCACATGCCTGTAATCCCAGCTAGTCAGGAGGCTAAGGCAGGAGAATCGCTTGAACCTGGGAGGCGGAGATTGCAGTGAGCCAAGATTGCGCCATTGCACTCTACCCTGGGCAACAAGAGCAAAACTCTGTCTCAAAAAAAAGAAAAGAAAAGAGAAGAAAGGTAAGGTAAGGTAAGGGCAGGGTCCTCAGTAGAACTCAACCACGCTGGCACCCTGATCTCTAACTTCCAGCCTCTAGAACTGTAAAACATAAATTTCTATTGTTTGTAAGCCACTCAGTCTATGGTACTTTGCTATAGCAATCTGGGCTGAATAAGATATTTGGTTATTTTTTAATATCCCTGAAATCAGAACGGTTATGATCAATGACATACCATAATTTAACTGACAGTGTTTTTTCTTTATTAATGGTGCATAAAATAATGGCACAATGCATGGCATTTTATTCATTAAAACATAGTAAATATTATGTTTGGCAATTCATAATCACATTTATTCATTCTGGTATTTAATAAATGTTTATCCAGCACCTACTATGATCCACTGTACTTGGCCTTGGAAACTCAGGAACAGTTTTTATCCTAAAGTTTAAAATCTATTAAAAGTATAGGGGGTGGTGATTCTGTGTATCTGTTTTCTCACCAGTAAAATGAAGGAGTTGAAATAGATGGCTTCTAACATTGACTTTAACATTTTATAGTCTTTAAAAATTAAATTATATGAAAAGCCTTTTGAACACTTTTTTTTCCCTATAAGAACAATCTTTTGTTACATTTTGCATTATTTTATGGTTGGGAAGGACACTAATATTTATCTTGTACCAAATACTGTAATAGCTGATTCACATGCATTAATTTTTTTTAATTCTTATGCTTTTGTCAGATGAGTATTATCCCCATTTTGCAAAACTACAACAAAAAGCTATAGTAAATATTTTAAAGAATCTACAAAAAAGATGAATTTAATGGATAAAAGAGTGGGAAATCCTAAATGAGATATGAACACTGTAAAATCAGAATAAACTGAAAATCTTGGGACTAAAAATTATAATATTTGATATTAAAAACTGGTTTAATGCAACTAACCAATGATTAGACATAGCAGAAGAAATGGCCCAGTAGAAATTATCCAAATTGGAAATTTTTTTAAGTTTTAAAAAATGAACAGAGCCCCCCAGTGACCTGTAGGAGAGTATCAAGTGGACTAAAACATATCAAAGAATTCCAGAAAGGAAAGAGAAAGAGAATGGGACATAAAGATATAAAAAAAATTGGCTAAAAATTTCCTAGTGTATTCGAAAACAGCAATCTACAGATCCAGAAACTGAATAAACCCCAAGCAGAATAAATACTAAGAGAATAACACATTATAGTCAAATTGCAGAAAACCAAGGATAAAATAAAAATTCTAAAATAAGTCAAAAAAAAAAGATGCATTATCCGTAGTATGCTGCAGCTGGTTTGTACTGACTCATGAGAGCTGATTGTGTATGCCACAATCTGTGCTCACAATCTAAACTCTGTGCTCTATGATGTGATGTTGGTACCTTGAAATTGGCCATAGTCAGGGCATTTACACCATGGAAATCAGCAAACACTGCAAATCAGGCTGTTTCCCCCCACAGAGAGCCAATTGTTAAACATCTACCAGCTCACCACTGCACATTACGTACAGGAGAACAGCAATAAGAATGATAGATGATTTCTCATCAGAAACAATGGAGGTCAGAAGAAAATAAAGTACATTCTTAGAGTATTAAAGAAATTGTCAATCTAAAATTGTATGTTGAATAAATATATCTTTCATACATGAAGGTAAATTACAGATATTTCCATGTATCAAAGCTAAGAGATTGTCATCGGCTAAACTGTACTGCTGGTAGTTCTTCAAGTTGAAAGAAAAATTTGGATCTGGGACGAGAAGAGCAATGAAAATGGTAACTATAAAATAGTATTTTCTTCCTTATCTCAAATTTTAAAAAATTGAGTAGACTTGTTAAAACAAAATAACAAAATTGTAGTGTAAGGTCCAGGACTTGTGTAGGTAAAATACATAATAACATTGCTCAATGGATGGGAAGAAGTCTGAATGAAAATATAGTGTTATAAGATTCTTACATTATGTGTGAAGTGGGTAATGCTAATTCCAGGTAGACTATGATCAGTTAAAAACACAAATTGGAATCTCTAGAGAAACCACTAAAAAATACAAAGAGATATGAGTAAAAGCCAATGGAGTAGATAGAATGGGATACTAAAGTATTTGTTTAATCTGAAATATTTCCAAAAGGGATAATGAAAGAAGAAAGAACAGAGTGGATGAATATAAAGCAGATAGAAAGATGGCAAATTTAACCAAATCTTAACAATAATGCATTAAATATGAATGGAATAAGCACTTCAGTTCAAAGACAAATATTATCAGATAATAAAAATAAGACAACTTTTTACTACCTACAAGATATGTACTTAAAATATTAAGACACAAACAAATTGAAAGCCGAAGGACAGAAAAAGCTACACGAACCAAAACTAAACACAAGAATGTTGAGCTCATACTATTATAAAAGTATATTTCAAGAGGACTATTAAAAGAGAAAAAGGGTCATTTTATAATGATAAAATAGTCAATTCGCAAAGAAGGCATAACTCTTAAATGTGTTTGAATCTAATATCATAACATTTTTTACTTACGGACAAGCAAAACTGAGAAAACTAAAGGAAGAAACCAAATCATAGTTGAAGATTATAACATCTTTCTAGACAATAATAGGGAAATCTGGGAATGGGAACTCACTGGGCTGTCTTTACAATTTTTCTGTATGTTTTAAACTGTTCTGCGATAAAAAGTTTGCTAACACCTGTAATCCCAGCACTTTGGGAGGCCGAGGCGGGTGGATCACGAGGTCAGGAGATCGAGACCATCCTGGCTAACCCGGTGAAATCTCATCTCTACTGAAAATACAAAACAATTAGCTGGGCATGGTGGCGGGTGCCTGTGGTCCCAGCTACTGGGGAGGCTGAGGCAGGAGAATGGTGTGAACCTGGGAGGCAGAGCTTGCAGTGAGTCAAGATCATGCCACTGCACTCCAGCGTGGGTGACAGAGCGAGACTCCGTCTCAAAAAAAAAAAAAAAGTTTGCTAAGAAAAAAACAGAGCAAAATGGAATGATAGAGTTGAAAAATTACAATAACCTAAATGAAAAATTTACTAGAGAAGCTCAACAGTAGACTTTAATTGGCAGAAGAATCAGAGCTTATAGATAAATAGAGATTATGTAATCTGAAGAGCACACAAAAAAAAAAGAATAAAGAGAAATTAAGAAGCTTCAGAGAATTGTGGGACACCGTTAAGTAAACCAATATACATATAATAAGAGGACCAGAAAGTGAAGAGAAATAAAAAGGAACAGGAATGTGTGAATGATATTGATGAATGTATGAATGATAATATAAACACAACATATCAAAATTTGAGGGAACACCCTGAGAAGTGCTTAGAGGAAATTCATTGCTTTAAAATGCCTATATTGGATAAGATAAAAGTTCTAAAATCAATTATCTAAGCTACTACCATAAAGAAGCTAGAAAAAAATGCTAATTAAGCCCAAAGTAACTACAGTAAAGGAAATAATGAAGATAAGAATGAAAAACAATGAAATACAAGTCAAAGAAAAAATCATCAAAGTAGAAATTGGTTCTTTAAAAAGATTAATACAATTAACAAACCTCTAGCCAGACTGATCAAGGAAAAAGAAAAGAGAGAAAACATCTTTTATCACTATCGGGAATGAAAGAGGAGATATCACTACAGATCCTACAGACATTACATTTTGTTTGTTTGTTTGTTTGTTATTTTCTTAGTGGTTTCTCTAGGGCTTACAGTACATATCTTATTGCATCAAAATCTACTTCAGATTTATACCAACTTAATTTCAGTAAGATATAGAAAAATTACCTCATATGTCTCCCTATTTTTTCTCCTTTTTTGATATATTATTGTTACACATATTGTATGCATATATATTATAAACCCAATAATACATTGTTGTAATTATTGCATTATATAATTTTCTATCTTCTAAATATGCTAGGAAAAGACAGAAGATCACAAATACATGTGTCATAAGTGAAGAAAGAGAAATAAATATGCAATTATGCTGTCTTTCCTTATTACCTACATAATTACCTTTATCAGAGTGCTTGTGTGTTGGGGTGGACATGGGGCTTGTGTGTGTGTGAATTCAAATTACTCTCTGGTGCTACTTTTAGCCTTAAGAACTCCTTTAATGTTCCTGTTAAGGCAGTTCTGCTAGAAATAAATTATCACAGATTTTGCTTATCTGGGAATGTCTTTATTTCACCTTTAGGAAGATAGTTTTGCTGAATAGTTGGTTGACAGAGTTTTCATTTAGTCCTTTAAATATGTTGTCTCACTGACTTCTGGCTGCCATTATTTCTCATGAGAAGTCAGCAATTTCCTTGCACATTATGAATCATTTTTCTCTGGCTGTTTTTAAGATTTTTATTTGTCTCTGTCTTTAGACAATTTGACCATAAAGTGTCTAGGTATGAATTTCCTTGAGTTTATTCTACTTGGAGGATGTGCTTGTCGACCCTCTTAAATGTGTAGATTAGTGTTTTTCCTGAAGTTTGGGAAGTTTTTAACCATTATTTTTTCAAATAATTTTATGTTTCTTTTCATCTTTCTACTAGTAAATTTCTCATTTAGGTTATTGTAATTTTCAACTCTGTAATTCCATTTGGTTTTCTTTTTTCTTAGGAAACTTTGTATTGTAGAACAGTTTAGAATGTATAGAAACATTGCAAAGATATCACAGTGAGTTCCCAAGCTGTTTCCTCTATTATTAACATCTAACATTAGTAAGGTACATTTGTTACAATTAAGAAACTAATGTCGATATGGGTCACACTTTCCTGTTTCTTTGCATGTCTTTTTGTTAAAACCTGAACATTATATATAATTTATTGAAGCAACTCTGGATACTGATTCCATACCTGTGGGGCTGGTTGTTGTTTGCTCAACTGTTCATTTATTTTTTTGCTGCCTTGTTTGAACTACTCAGTGAAGTTTTTTTGTTTTTTTTTTTTCCTGCATTTTTCAGTCTGTGATATCCCTGCTCAGGTTTTTCTCCTTGTTTTATCTCTTAGCTTCCTATGAGTCACCTTTGGTGATTATAAGTCACTTATTGGTCAAGGTTCGTGTGTAAACCCCCTTAGCCAGTTCAATTTTCACCCTTTGATATTAGATGTGGGTGTATCTTGGAGACTGCTTTACATTTCTGGCCTTGCATTTAGCCAGGAACTAGTAGCTCAAAAGTGCTCTCACTGGCTACTCTTGAGAGAATGCAATCTTGGGTATGCAATAGTCTTCTAGACTGTCAGGAATTAGTGTGGGTTATTTTTAATTCTAAATTTCCTGGAGCCACCTCTGGGCCAGAGTAGCTTATTGTTTAGTCAGTGGTTGGTCAAAGGTTTTGCTGAAGCTCCTTGAACCAGTAAGTCTGCTGTCATTTGCTAATAGATCTGTGGGTGGTTTGGGGAATACTTTCAAATCTGCCCCATGTCCTTCTCTGATTGGCCAATGGTGTGGGTGCATCCTAGTGCATGCATTCAGCCTTGTAGATTGCAGAGTTGACTGTGATCCCAGCAAAGCTCTTCTTGGCTATTCCTTTCCCTGGATTTATCTTCTAAATGTCTAACTACACTGAGATATTGCTTATTTCATGCAGCTAACAGCCTCCTCTTACTTTCTGCCCACCAAGATTTTCACTGTTTTTGACAAGGATGTTAGGCAAGGAGTTCTCTACATTCTGTTCCAAATAAAATCAGTCCCCTTAGGCCGAGTTCTGGAGCTCTTCACAGTCTGCCTTTCCTCCCCTATGCATAACCTGAGAGTTATTGCACTTTAGTTGGGGTGTGGACAGTGGCCCACTTTTCCAGAATGACACCTCTGCAGACACAGAGGAAATGGTAACTCCTGGTCTTCTAGATTTGCCCTTCCCAACATTGAACCTCTGCTCTACAAGTTAGCTGGGACAGGGGTATGGAATATGGCAGAGGGGGAAGTGTTGACATTAAGCCCCAGTAACTGATTGCCTGTTGAAATTAACATAAAAATTTGAAACTAAGAGCTGAATGGGGAAAGGGAGTCCAATGTTTTGGGTCATGACCACTTAAAACAGAACTTCTACAACACTGAGCTGGGGTGAAAAATAATGATGGCCTGCCCCTTTCAGGGTAAAACCATAGCCCCTTAGAGCTGAGATAAGCTTTCATAAAATGTTGCTGGCTGAAGGGAGGATGATGGGGACTAGAGTCTTGTTATTCCTACTGAGATAACAGATTTTCTTCAATTAATGTTTCTCTATTTGCTATATTTTCATGGTCGATTTCTAGACACTTTAATTTTTTTTCTTTTTATAATTTTTATCAGTTAAATGGTTGCTAAAGTGGGAAAAGGGTTGGCCAAGCTCCTTAAAAAATCATTACAGAAGTGCTGCCTCTACAGATGTGAAAATTCAGTATTGGAGTAATAAAAATAACTAAATGCCAATATATTAATCAACTTGAATTAAATGAATAAATTCCTTGAAAACTACAACTTACCAATGACAAGAAATGGTTTTTACAAGGCTGTATCTATTTTCTTTTGATATTGTAATTGATATAAGATGCTACACCCTACAATAGATATTAGAATTCCTATTGGGGAGGATGGGTGGAAAGAAATGGTAGCATTAATTTAGTTTAATGGCTCATTTAGTTCTTAGTGGAATAATTTTGCTATACACTACCCAGTTGGAAATATTTGAAAAATAAAGAGTATAATTTCTAAAATTATTTAAAGACTTGGCTACACTTTTGGCTTAGAAATATAACAACAAATTGCATTAAAAGGAAACCATAGACATAAATATGAAATCATTTGAAAATCAAAGAAACAATTTGTCATTTTATCTATTTCTTCAAATGAGTTTGAAGAGTAGTTCTAAAAAAGCTGCTTCATATTGTTGTGGTTTCACTGCTACTCTTGAGAGTTCCTTGTAACCACCACTTTCTGACCTGTCTAATCTATACAATTAGTTGTGGGATATAAGTTTTCTTCTTTGTTGTTACAAAGTTTCTGGAAGCCTCACTAGAAATGATGGAGTGAAGAGTATAATGTGAAAAGGATCATATTCTAAACAAGTCTGATAACACATACACAGTTTATTCTAAATTGCTTGTTTTGTAGATCATTCATAAAAAATCAAGTAGAGAGTTGCTACAAATTTCCATGTAAAGTGTGCCCTAAAAGTTCAAAATACTCCTGTCTAAATGATCTAAATGTTGATAGTTAAAGTAGTATTGAATGTAGGTAAATTGCCTCAGTTCCCTCCTATGCTTTGAGTGAGAAGACATCACCTGAGAGGAAATAACCGAGGAGGGTATCCTGTAGGCACCTAACAGCTGCTCGTTCTGAGGCTAGGAAACTGCATCATTAAGGATGATGAATGACAAAGTTGAAGGACAAGAGGTGAATTTGGCAGGTTATCCTGGAGTATGGTAATGGAATGTTGTAATAGCACTTGGATCGGCTTCAGTAATTCCATGTCCAGAAATTTCTGATGCATCTGGTGTCAAATTATTGAGTTTCATCTCCAAGAAGTCGTGCTATTAAAAATCTCCTTGGCTTGTATTGGCAGTAGTGGGGATTTAATAAGAGTCAGTAAATAAATTAACGAAATTTTTCAATAGTTGAAAAGCGTTATTATTTCAGATCTTTTGCAAGCCTTTAATAAAATTTCATTTTTTTACAAACTTCTGCCAGACTCCATACTATAGTAATTAAATTTTTCATCCATTATTCCAGTCTACTGAGCTCTGTTGAAACCTGCTTTTATGATCCAATAGATAACTCCTTATTTCAGCTTTATGTCATCTCAAGATATGATCAACATATTATCAGATACACTGTGCCCTAGTTTCCTCATCTATAAAGTGAGAGTAATAGTAATGCCTAACCCAAAGGGTTCTAGCAAGTATTAAATGAGTTAATGTATACAAAGTTTGTAGTAACTTTAGTATTTTAAATATTATTACTGTTATTACTATTTAAAAAACTGATTTAAAATAATAAAGAATTCAAAGGCAAGACCAAATCCCATATGTCACTACTCATACTACTACAAATCTCTTCCAAAAAATGGTGGTCAAATAACCAAAATGATTTGAGGGTTTTTGTTTGTTTGTTTGTTTATCGAGTGATATATCCTATTAGTTGGACCAGCACTCAGTTCATGCTTCTCCTTCTCACAAAAATAAAATGAGAATTTTTGTCACATGGGTTGCTCCAATCAAGAAGTACCATGTATTTTTCTGATATAGGTAAATAACCCAATCCAAATATGAAACAAATTTTTGTTATGTACAGACAATACCAATTATCTGTATTATATTTACAGATATTTCCTCTGTAAATCTCTGGCATTCTAGAGATCATCATTGTCTTTCGTAAATGTTTAGAGATTCTTCTCACATTTATTCCTTATTTTGAGTTGATGAGTACTTTCCATGTTCTAGGTAATAGTCTCTACATTAGAGATAAAGAATAGCTACTGCCTGGATGTCTGATAGTCTAAGGAAACACAGGAAGTCATTACAATTTTATGGGGAAATTATGGCAGGGTGCCATGAAGGCCCAAAGGAGGGGTTTCTTTAAAGACGTGACTCTTGAGCCAAGTCTGAAGACAAGTGAACCCTGGTGAAGGGAACAGGTAGAGCATTCTAAGAAGTAAGAGCATGTGTGAAGGGGTGGACATGTGTGTGAGAGGCAACTGTTGAGACAAGGAAAATAATGTGACCTATAGAGTTGTAGGGAATTGATAGGCAATGATGCTGGAGATGTAGGTAAGACTGATTAGTATAAATTAATTAGAGAACAGCACTGTGTGGTACATGACTTAGTGCTAAATTGCTTGTTCAGTACTGTGATGTTAAAAGAGTTGAAGGCAGGGGATGGCTCTGGGATGGGGAAAGGTTGTGTAATTCTACGGACAACAGAGGCTGACTGAGATATGACATACTCCAAGTCTTGTGAGTCTTAATCCTCTAAATGTTGCATCCTTTCTGGGAAAAGGGTAATGAGGAGATCACCTTGCTCCCAACATCAGTCCCATGGCAGCCTCAGGGACTGGGGTGCCTCTCATCCAACACCCTCGTGGGCAGTGAGTGGGGCAGTGACTCCTACTGTCCTTCCTGAGGTTCCTTAGTGGAGGCAGGCTGGAGGAAGATAGTTCTCTCCTTTCTATGCAAGAGCAGACAGTGGATATAAGTTCCATTTTAACTGGTGCCTTTCTTTGCATGTGTGAGTTCTTTTGTTCTCCACACAATGGGAAAAAGGAAAAACTTGTCAGAATAACTGATGCTAGAATTGCTATTCAATTGTAGTCCATTCTTAGTTCAGGCCTCACTTCTGTCTCACAAAATTTTCTGTTTGAGCCTCATAGTACTTTTTAAAAATGAAAATAACATTTCTATGCTGTACACAGAAAGTTTAATGTAAGAAATTTCCAACAACCTAGCCATTTTAGAACATGAAATTTTCCTTGAGTTTGGAGCCTAAGACTTCAATAAGTAGTAATATATTAAGGGTCAAATAGTGCCACCAACCACTCTGACCAATTCTTGCTAACTTAATACCAAACTGATTAGTTTAAAGAAGCCCAGAAAGCGTCCTACTTCTTAAGATTGTTGTTGTCACAAAATCTTAATGGTCCCTTCAAATGAAAATGTACCTCGCAGGCCTAGTAACTGACCTATTTGATTCCAACATAGATCATAATAATTTGACAGTGTCACTTATTTTAGAGTCTGATTGCCTTCTTTGCCTCCGGGTGCAAGAGAAAAAGGGATTTGTGACTGAAAGGGTTAAGTGGATTTTATTATAATGTGCTCCTATTTCATTTCCCTCCCTTCAGCTCCTTCACAAAATGTTAATCTAATTGTGATACTATCACTTTGATGACAATATGACAAGACAGACAAATTTGATTTTATTCTCCACAGAGCAAAGCATATGCTGCTTGGGAGGCTTTGACAGAGAGAAGGACATAAAACAAATGGAGTTCATGAATATACAATTTTTATTGTACACAGTAGTGACATCCAAACTTCGGAGAGTAGGTAGGTGAGACTGAGACTTTACTATTGAGATTAATGGGTACGTAAAATGGTGCCAACAGAGAGTACTACAGTTTATGTTAAAAATGTCGATGTGGATAAGAATAATTTTCTTCTCAAGATGAATGATACACTTAACGGTTGTGAGACATTTGTGCCCAGTAGCAGTTCCTCCAAAGTAATTTTTTTGTTGTTATTGTAAATTATATAATCTTAACTGCAATTATAGTCCTGTTTAGGTAAAGGTCAAGTTAGTGCTGTGGATAGTTATAAAGCAAAGAGGAAATTGGTATATGGATTCCCTTGTTGATAGCTTATGAATGATTTCAAGTAAGATGATTTTTTGGTAACTCTATTTCTTGTTTAATGTAATATAGCAAGTAAAGACAGCACACATTAACAAAACACAAATTAGATTTCTCTAAGTAAACATGTATCTTCTAAAGGAGTGGGGCTGTTGGGGAAAGGACAGTTTGAAGGTTAAAGGCATCCAGCAAACAGGGGAGGCTCATTTTCAAGAAAAGCAGAAGCATGACAAATTCTCATTTTTGGGTTTTAGTCTCTATTTTTCCATTTGGCTTACCGAAATGCAAAATATGGCACAGTTCCTGCTCTTTGCTTTTAAAAGCTTACTCTGACATTAAGTGAGATTCAACTCATTTTGAATGTCTGAAAGGGATAAAAATGGTGTCTGAATATCCTGGGCTCTAAGCAGGAAAGTTTGGATCTCCCTATGATAATGCGTTTAGAGCAATTCAGTCCAGGTCCAATTTGAATCTCAAAGTTTATTCTTTATTTTGCAAAGAAGAATAAAGGCCAAGATCATCATATGAAATGTGAAAGCAGTATGTTAAACTTTAAAATTTTTTTAATGTAATATATCTCATATAATTAAAGGCCTGAAAAAATATTATTGGAATTAACTGAGTTAGTATGTCTTAAGAAATATAAAACTTTATGGTTTAACTATGTAATTTCCTTCTACTTGAGTTTCCACATGATTTTGGTCAACAGAAAAACTTTCACAGAATGTAATGTCAAATAGAGTTAGAATAACTTTGATATTTACATCTGTTTAAGATCATCTGGTTAAGCTACAGTTTCTTTCTCTAGTAGATGTATCCCTTTTGGTCAGCGCAGCGCCTTCTTGGGAAAAAGCCTCTCCTGGAATCAGGTGGGGCTGACTCTGATCCTAGGCTCTCAGAGGGAGTTTATGACCCAGGCCTGTCCTGTGCAAGCTCTCCTAAATCATTTGCTAGCGTATGCAAGAAAAAGGTACTCTTTTCTTCGCTAGCAGTATGTATGTACTAAACACAAACTGAATGCAGTCTTGGAGCTTTTTGCTACCACCAGAATTTTGGATTAGCTGGGATACCAGTTTTTCTCTTCTGATTTGATATAATTTCAGCCAGAAACAACTTTGATGTCTTAGTTGGCCTGTGCTGGCCCAAATTGGGCTAGGTACATATAAAATTTCCACTGGTGCTTTCAAAATACTGAAAATATCTCATGGACGACTCTTCTTACTATCTTGAAAGGAAACTGGAAAATATAGCCTTGGATTGTCATAAAGGTCACTTATGGATTTTATTACATGCTTGGAACCCTCTTCAAGTTAGAATATGGAGTTCAGATGTGTTTTGGGATTAACTTGGGTACAAACCATATGCAGAAAGGTAATTATAAATGCATTTTTGTTCCCATTTTAATGTAACATGGGTTAATTTCAATAAAAACTGGTTTTAGTATTATATAAAAATAGTCTCTGAAGCCAGGGGCAGTGGCTCAGGCCTGTAATCTCAACACTTTGGGAGGCCAAGGCATGAGCATCACTTGGGCCCAGGAGCTTGAGACCAGCCTGGGTAATATAGTGAGACCCTGTCTCTACAAAAAATATAAAAATTAGCCAGGCCTGGTGGCAGGGGCCTGGAAGTCTCAGCTACTTGGGAGGCTGAGGTTGGAGGATTGCTTTAGCCTAGGCAGCTGAGGCTGCAGTAAGCTGAGATCGCTCCACTGTTTCCCAACCTAGGTGATAGAGTGAGATCCTGTCTCAAAAGTAAATAAATAAATAAATAAATAAGTCCTGGAGCTATTCTAGACCACTTAGAGGCAAGGTAGTCTAGCCAGTGATTGAGAAAGTAGATTCTGGCACCAGTTGGTTTGAATCCTGACTCCTTACTAGATGTAGATCTTGGACAAGAAACTACATGTATTTTTTCTTAGTCTCCTTGTCTGTAAATTGAGGAATAGAATCACATTTTTGTGGGGAATAAATGAGTAAATATATACAAAGTACTTAGAAAATTGTCTGATACCTACTATGTGCCACATACTTAGTTATTGACATTATAATTACTTTCTGCATCTATATTTAACATTCTTCCCCTGAAAGGAATTAGAATATGCAATCCCCAGAATACCTGATTTTGGCATAAAAATTATTTTGAGCTGAAGGCAACCGAGTAAAAACAAACACAGAAAAAGCTATCTGCCTTTTAACCATTTCTTTGAGTCTTCACTTCTTTCCTACATAGGCCTCGATGAACATAGAAATTAAAATGTTAACATCATATAAAAATTTTATGCCTTTTCTCCTATTAATCTGCCTTTTGTCAGTTTAATTTATAGGCTAGCTGCAGATCTAAGAAGGTAGAGGAAAATGTTTGTTTTCTCTCCTACACTCCCCACCCATCCCCTGCAAAATCAGTAACTTCTTTCTCTGTAGGTTCTTCCTGGTCCCGTTATAGGTCACAACGATCCAGCACCCAAACCAGTTGTTCTTAACCGAGCTACACGGTAGAATCACTTAAGGAACTTTAAAGCATCTCAATGCCCAGTCTGCACCCCTAAACCAATAAAATCAGAGTCTCAAGGTGGGGGGGGTGTAGAATTCAGGTGTCAGGATTTTATAAAGTTCCTCAAAATTATATGCAAACTAGCATCACCTGGGGCAATTTTTAAGCAATATCTATTGATATGGTTTTTCTGTGTCCCCACCCAAATCTCATCTTGAATTGTAGCTCCCATAATTCCCACATGTCTTAGGACGGACCCAGTGGGGGGTACTTAAATCATGGGGGTAGGTCTTTCCCATGCTCTTCTCATACTAGTGAATAACTCTCGCAAGATCGATGGTTATAAAGGGGAGCCCCCCTGCACAAGCTCTCTTACCTGCCACCGTGTAAAATGTGACTTTGCTCCTCATTTGCCTTCCACTCAGCCATGTGGAACTGTGAGTCAATTAAATCTCTTTCCTTTATAAATCACCCAGTCTTGCGTATGTCTTTATTAGCAGCATGAGAACAAACTAATACATCTATACTGGGATTTACTTCTAGATTTTCTGATTTAACAAATCTAGGATGGACCTGAAATTAATATTTTTAAAAAGCTTCCAAATGAATAAAATCTGCCATCAAGACTGAAAACAATTAGGGTGTAATGTTAACTACTAGAGGGGCAAAAACCAGCAATAACAGTTCCCTGAACTGGAGGAGCTGAGGTTCCCAACTGATTTTGAGTCCAGCTCAGGCTGAAGGGAAGGGTATGAGACTGAGCAGGTAGAACTGGGTCACATGATCAGAGCAGGGTTTGAAACTCAAGTGAAAGACTGAACTTAGTAAAAGAGACATCTGACTAGAAGAGGAAGAATGGGTATGTTCAATAGAGGGTATGACAGATTGACAGATGGTGCGATAGGAGCAGAAGTGGAGAATGATTTGAGACGAGGCTGAAAAGGTATGTAGGGTTAGGGCAGGTAAAGCCTTACAGGGCCTGTTATGGGTCTGATATGCATCATAAGAGTACAGACAACCACTAACAATTTTGAACATGGAAGACTACAACCACCTTTTCTCCCAGGTACTCTCTTTTCCCCTAATCGGGCTGTAGTTTTTCTCCCTAGCACTTACCACCATCTAACCCACTATAAATTTAATATGTTGAGCCATATGAAATAGCTGAAAGTAAACCATTTTGACCTACAAAAACAGCAGTTTCATTTAGCATAATCTATTGCTTATTTAGTTTTATTTCTTTCCAACTAGAGTGTAAGTTTCATGAAGGCAAAGATGTTTGTCTTTTCTGTTCATATTTGTGTTCTTAGAGTTTAGAACAGTGACTAGCACAAAAAAGGTAGTTAATAAATATTTGTTAAATAAATTCTATAGAAAGGGCTCACTGAGGATTAGAGAAAAATCAATGAATAAGATCTATCTATCTATCTATCGATATATATATATATTTTTTTCTTTTCTTTTCTTTTTTTTTTTTTTTTTTGAGACGGAGTCTCCCTCTGTCACCCAGGCTGGAGTGCAGTGGTGCGATCTTGGCTCACTGCAAGCTCTGCCTCCCAGGTTCACGCCATTATCCTGCCTCCGCCTCCTGAGTAGCTGGGACTACAGGCGCCCGCCACCAAGCCCGGCTAATTTTTTGTATTTTTAGTAGAGACGGGGGTTTCACCGTGTTAGCCGGGATGGTCTCTATCTTCTGACCTCGTGATCCGCCCGCCTCGGCCTCCCAAAGTGCTGGGATTACAGGCACTACATTTACAGTAATCTACATTACAATCTGTAATTGTAGATTACAGATCTACATTTACGTTTGCTGGTGAGATGTTTGAATTGAAAATATAAGAAAAACGTATTTATACATATTCAGAAAAGAAAAATAATTAAAACATAGTATCCGTAAAACAAAAATATTTCCTTTTAGTATCAGATTTCTCCTTGGACTAAATTAACAGAAACCTTTGAAATACATTTCCCAAAATTTTGATGGGAAGACCCATCACCCAGAAATTCTATTGCCCATTTTTTATGTATATGTAAAAGCACATAAGGCTGGGCACAGTGGCTCACCCCTGTAATCCCAGCACTTGGGAGGCCCAGGCGGGTAGATCACTTGAGGTCAGGAGTTTGAGACCAGCCTGGCCAACATGGTGAAATCCCGTCTCTACTAAAAGTACAAAAAATTAGCCCGGCATGGTGGCACATGCCTGTAATCCCAGCTACTTGGGAGGCTGAGGCAAGAGAATTGCTTGAACCTGGGAGGCAGAGGTTGCAGTGAGCTGAGATCGTGCCAGTGCATTCCAGCCAGGGCAACAGAGTGAGACTCTGACTCAAACAAATAAACAAACAAAAGAAAAAACAAAAACAGGCACATAAAGTTTCTCTGACATGAAAGGACTAAATAAAAATACATCATTCTCTAACGTTTTTGGAAAAGATGATCTTTGAAAAGAAATCTGCAGAAGACTGAGAAATGAGTCACAATAAGGAACTTAAGAAAGGGAGAGAAGCCTGGGCAACATAGTGAGAGACCCTCTTCCTACAAAAAATAAAAACAATTAGCCAGGCATGGTGGCATGTGCCTGCAGTCCCAGTTATCTGGAGGCTGAAGTGGGAGGATTGCTTGAGCCTGGGAGGTCAAGGCTGCAGTAAGCCATGATTATGCCACTGACTCCAGCCTAGGTGATAGAGTGAGACCCCATCTTGAAAAAAAAAAAAGGAAAGAAAGAGAGAGACTTAGTTTTAAAAAAAAGTGCTGAGCAATAGGGCCATAAAATGCTTAATCAACCCAGTGTGTATCTCCATGGGGTTCCATTCACATTAGTTTCAGCACAGTTATGAAACAATGCAAATGTTAAAATAATTTCTGAAAGATACATAGCTTATAAAATTAATTATTTAAAATCACATCCAAAATTCTAAATGAACTCAATGAAAATTTGAAGAGATAGAGAGGCATGTTTAAAGAGCATTATTTATAATAATAGAGAATTACATATATGTATTTCTATATGTACATATATCCATGTATACAAATATATACACATATATTTATCTTAATTCCTATCTATGGGCTTATTATTCTAAAACAATTTCAACTTACAAGAAAGATTAGGGGGGTGAAACATCAAGATAAGTCTTTTGACTTAATTTACATTCTTAAAAATTAATATTAGATTTGACCTTACTTTTAAATACACAACAATGGCTAATCATTGATACTATCCTTTCATACCTCTGCTGATTTTTGATGGGATACTAGATATGATATCTCTGAACTATGTGCTTTGTGCTTTTTTCTTAGAAAAAAACTACAAGCTATCATGCCTGCAAATGTGTGTAAGTGAATTCACCAATATATGTTTATGAAATAAAAATTTAATTTTCTTTAGACTAGAGTCTGTGTTCTCCAGTTAGCAGGAGGTGAGATCTGCAGATTCCCAACCCACTCTAAGGGGGATGCTGGCAGAGAGCTCCTGTAACTCATCATAACTTCCAAAGCACAGTGGGGTGGCATGGCTTTGCTCTGAATGAATGCCAAGGTTGACCTTTCTCCTTTTCCTTCCCCTGGGGACTCAAGCCATCCTGATTAACCAAAACTTTGTGAAAAATGATCTCTCCTGCTATTTGCATGTTTTAAGTATCCATCAATATCCTGTGCAGTGACGGCTTTATAATGCAGCTGTGACAGAGCTTGAAAGATGCCAGTTCTATCAATCAACGTGTAGTAGAATTACAAAGCAATGCTTTCCCATGCTATTTTCTTCCCTTTGTTCTTTTACTGTCCCCTTCTTTGGCAGTAATCATTTTTCTGTGTACACATTCTATTTGCCAAAAAAAAACTTCTAGGATTTGCAGTTTAAAAGCCAGGATAATCTTTTGTGGATAAACTTCAGCAAACTTCTTGAATAATAAACTTGGCTGCGCAGGCTATCAACAACCTATTTCATTTCCTGTTGGATGTTGTTATTTCAATTATGGAATGAATGAGTTACAGTTGACTACGTCAGAACTACATATGTTTCTCACTCCTTTGCTGGTTTTGAATTCCTTTAAGGTATTTCTTATTTGGTTCTCTATCCCTTCCATCACCTGCATACACCAGGTAGAGAAATTTAAGCAGTTTTAAGGCAGGAAAAATGTTTTATCAAACTTCACTTTGCTTCCTGAGTATCTCTACTCAATAACTGCATTTCTCTCTACACACACTATTTGTAATTGGCCACCAGATTACAATGATTTTCCTTCTAGTCATCTTTTTTAAAAATTGAGGTCAAATACATGTAAAGGGGCATGCACAGATCTTAAGTGTATTATTTGATTAGTTTTTATTCTATTTATTAACATCTAGCTAGCTATCTTCTGTCCATCTATATCTATACCTATATAGCTATTTAATCATCACCTCAATCAAGATATAGAACATACCCAGCATCCCAGATTGTTCTTTCATGTTCCCTGCTGGCCAATTTCCACCTCCTTCCCACACCTCAAGAAATTACACATCTCATTTTTCTGACTTCAGCTTTTTTTTTCCTTTTCTTAAACTTTTATCAAAAGGAATTATAAAATATATATTTTTTGATCTGGCCTCTTTCATTCTACATGATGTTTTTGAGCCTCATGGTTTTTTATGTCAGCAGTTTATTCTTTTTTTATTCTTTTTTACATATATGTTCATGAGGGATATTGGTCTGTAATTTTACCTTATTGTAACGTCTTTGTCAAGTTTTTGGTATTAGGGTTATGCTGCCCTCATACAATGAATTGGGAAGTGTTCACTCTTTTTTTCTCTTAAAAAATAATTTTTGTAGAATTGGCATTAATTTCTTCTAAAATATTGAATGGAAATTACTAACAAAGCCATCTGGATTTTGAGGGTGTTTTGGTGGGAAGGCTTTTGAGGATGAATTCAATAGTTTTAACAGATATAGGGTAATTTAAGTTTTCTATTTCTTCATGTGTCAATTTTGGTTAGTTGTGTTTTTTAGACAATTTGTCCACTTTATCTACTTTTGTTAATTATTGGTTATTCACAGTTTTTTTTTGTTACTTTTCAAATGTCTTCAGTGTATATATTCTTCATTCCTGATATTGGTAATGTTAATACTTGCCAATTTATTACACTTTATAAACAATCAACTTCTTGGTTAACTTTCTCTTTTTTCTTATTTCATTGACATCTGCTATTATCTTTATTTTTTGTGCCTATATATTTTGAGTTCACTACTCTTCTTTTTTTAGCTTCTTGAGGTGTAAGCGTATACAATTTTCTTTATATCTGTGGTTTTCAGCAGTTGGAGTATGACATACCTAAGTGATTCTTTTTGTACTATAATTCTACAAAATTTGAAAATTTTTAGCTATTTTTATTTAGGCTTTTTTTTGGTTCCATCTCTCTTCTCCCTCTGGAACATTTAAATGCATGAACATTAGACTTCAACATATTATCCCACATGTAACTGAGGCTTTGTTCTTCTGTGCTTTGTTTTGTTGAGGATTGTTTTAGTCTCCTTTCTTCCCTTTAGATCTAATACTATCTACTGATCTCTCCTCATATACACTGGATCTTTTGTTGTCTTCATATTGCCATTGGGACCTTTTGATGTTTTGTTTTGATTTTAAATTTCAGGTATTATACTCTCAGATCAAGATTTTTCATGTGATTCTCTTATCATTTTCATGTTTGTATTGAGAAACTCTATCTCTTCACTCACTTCAACCATTTTTTCTTTTAAGCCTTGAAATATATTTACAATAACTCTTTTAAAGTCTTTGTCTGCCAATTCCAGGACCCGAAACATTTCATATTCTGTTTCTGTTCATTGCTTTTATTCTTGATTGTGGGTCATATTTACCTACAAGTCTGGATTTTCCAAAATTCTATGTTAAACACTTGGGGTGGTATGTTGTAGAGATTCTGGGTTATGTTAGCATCTGTTAATTGGTTAATTAGTTTTGTTCTGGAAGACAATACATTACTGGCAGCTCCTTTTGAACATGTCAAGCATGGTTGTATTTTTTATTAGGGCGAATCTCTTTGGATTTTGACTTTAGCCATTGAGTGTGGCATTATCCTTACTCAAAAATTGTGTCTTTTGGGGAGTTTCAGCTAAATGCACGAAGGGCTTTTGAATTCTTTCTTCTCTGGCTGAGCTGGGCCTCAAATGTCTCCCAATACTGTATGACTCGATACCATCATTTGACATTCCATCCCATAGCTATCACTCTCTGCTAGGTCTTGCATAGTTTTCCCTGTTCATGTACAGCTTAACCTTGAAGTAAGGGCTCATGGTGAACTACTAATACAGACTCATGGTGACCTTCCCCCAACCCTTGCACAACTCCCTTTTCTCAGGTACCTTGTCCTGCAAATCCCAGCCACTTCAGCTGCCTTAATACGCAACTCTCTCCTTCAGCTCACTGTGCCTGCTGCAGTTTGAGCTCTTCCTCCTGTGCTAGCAGTAGGGAAAGTGCCCCCATTCAGAGGACTGTGTCATTTATGAAGCTCACTTCATGAGTTTTTCTTCTGTCAAGTCTCTCTGTTATTTAATACATGCAAACAATGCATTGTATATTTTGCCCAGTTTTATACTTGCCTACTGCAGAAAGACAAGTCTGAGAACAGTTATACTACCATGGCCAAAAACGGAACCTCTTAACTATTTTTTAAAATATAACCACTTTTCTGTATCTCCAAGCTGCCATTATTTTTCATTTTGATTGTATATCCTAGTAATTGGTCTACCAGTGTTTACCCTGTTTCCTATACACTATATGTCTCACGGTAAGCAGAAGTCGGAGGGTTATTTATCATATATGAGTCTGATTATGCCACCTCATTGCTTAAAATTCTTAGATGTGTCACAGTTCTTTTAGGCTAAAAGTAAAATTTATCAAATGATCTGCATGGTCGTGTTTGAATGCACCTCTTCTGCATGCTCTTAAACAAAGACCACCGTTGATCTCTCTCTGCCTTAGCCTTATCAGATTTGCATATCCAGGGCTTTTGCACATTCTAGTCCTTCTCCCTGGAACTCTATTTTCTTTTTTATTTTATTTTATTTTACTATTATTATACTTTAAGTTTTAGGGTACATGTGCACAATGTGCAGGTTAGTTACATATGTATTCATGTGCCATGCTGGTGTGCTGCACCCATTAACTCGTCATTTAGCATTAGGTATATCTCCTAAAGCTATCCCTCCCCCCTCCCCCCACCCCACAACAGTCCCCAGAGTGTGATGTTCCCCTTCCTGTGTCCATGTGTTCTCATTGTTCAACTCCCACCTATGAGTGAGAATATGCGGTGTTTGGTTTTTTGTTCTTGCGATAGTTTACTGAGAATCATGATTTCCAATTTCATCCATGTCCCTACAAAGGACATGAACTCATCATTTTTTATGGCTGCATAGTATTCCATGGTGTGTATGTGCCACATTTTCTTAATCCAGTCTATCATTGTTGGACATTTGGGTTGGTTCCAAGTCTTTGCTATTGTGAATAGTGCCGCAATAAACACATGTGTGCATGTGTCTTTATAGCAGCATGATTTATAGTCCTTTGGGTATATACCCAGTAATGGGATGGCTGGGTCAAAGGGTATTTCTAGTTCTAGATCCCTGAGGAATCACCACACTGACTTCCACAATGGTTGAACTAGTTTACAGTCCCATCAACAGTGTAAAAGTGTTCCTATTTCTCCACATCCTCTCCAGCACCTGTTGTTTCCTGACTTTTTAATGATTGTCATTCTAACTGGTGTGAGATGGTATCTTAATGGATTCCTTCAGAGCTTAATTCAAGGATCACTTTCTAGAAAACTCTTCCGACGTCCTTGACAAAGTCGGATTCTACTAAGATAAGCTTCTCTAGCACCACAAACTTGAATAGTACTTATCATTGCTGCAATTTTACATGGATTTCTATAATTATTTGACTGATGGCTCTCTTACCCACTAGGATATGAGCTCTATTAGGGAAGAGATCTTACTTGTTATTGCTCACTATTATATCCCAGTGCTTGGTGAATGCAAGCATAGAATAAATACTTGCTAAATGAAAGAATTCCTACAGTGGATCCCTGGACTCTTTGGAAATATATTTACAGGTAATTAATATAATTTCTGCACTATAAGGATAAAACAAACAAAAATTGGATTCAATTGAGAAAATTTAGTAAACACTACATAAACAGCTTATGTGTGATGATAAAGCTCCTTGGCTATGTCTATGCAAAGTTACACTATACAATGAAAATACAAAACATCAATTAACTGTTTATGTATTGGAAACAGCCATATAATATCCTGTTTTGTTTTTCATTCCCTCGGTATCTATGGATTTAAGTCAGAAAATATGCAATATAATTTCTGAATCCAGAAATCAAAACAGCCAAAGCTCATTGGAATAATTTTATTTGATGAAATATTTTTATGCTTTCCTAAAAAAATGGGAATGGCCCATTTTCAAAGGCTCCAACTCCTGAAGAATACATCTGGCCTAGTTACAACACATATAGTTTATTTGCTTGGTTACAGAGTGAGACTCTGCCTCTCACTCTCTTCATATCTATCTATCTATATATGTATATATAGATAGATATATGAAACTGACTAAAATGCCATATTTACCACATTGATGTTGTATTACAAATTATATTATATTGCATTACAAGAAAGTATACACTTCATGAGACCATGCAGATCATCTTCTTCTAATTCTTACCTTTATTTTCCTTAAAATATTGCTAAAAATGCAGTCAACCATAGCATAAAAATTTGTTACTGATATTTTAATTGTAATACACTTTATATCACAAGACTTGCTTGTCAGTCTTTACTGTTGGAATATCCCAGCTATGGAGAATCTTAGGTTTTTAGATTAAAAAATAAAGAATATCCCAGCTAGATTATAAGTCACTTGAATTAAAAAAAAATAGGCATATAGTCACATACATAAGTATATGCATATGTATATACTTACATGCATGTGTGTATGTGTGATGTATCCCTTATTAACTAGCAGGAGCATGTAACAGAGTATCAAGTAAAATTTGCTGATTGAATGTTGAGGAAAACACAGACTCAATATTTTAAGTGTGAACTGCCCATAAAGCATCCAAGACTCTCTTATAACTAAAATAAGATTGGCAGCTATGTGAGGACCTCTGCTGTGGTTTCTGATATGATTGCCTCTGTAAGGATATAAGAATAAACAAAGTCAGTTTTTCCTATTGTGCTCTCACAACACAGAATGCTTCTTTGACTCAGATGAGTGGAGTTTTTTTCCCTCCACACACCAAGCAATTCTGCAGCTGATTTTTCAGTAGACACCTGCTAAGTGTCCTCTAACTTAATTCAGTGCTGATGCTGTCTACCCGGAGATAGCACCAGACCTCACAGGTAGAAGGCTCAAACCCACAAAACTGTTCTCCACTTCAGATACCAGTTGTAAGTTTCAGATTGTGGTCCCTGCTTCTGACTCGCTGCCTGTAAATCGTTCCCACAACCCCCTCTTTGGTTTTGATTAATTTGCTAAAGCGGCTTACAGAACTCAGGGTGACACTTACTTACATTTACTCATTTATTAGAAAGGATATGACAAAGGATACAGATGAACAGCTAGATGAAAGAGATGCAGAGAGCCAGGTATGGGAAGAGGCATGGAGCTTCCATGTCCTGTCCCAGGTACTCCACCCTCCAGGAACTTCCCTGTGCTCAGCTATCTGGAAGACACCAGAACTCAATCCTTTCGGGTTTTTAGGGAAGCTTCATCACCTGGGCATGATTGATTAAGTCACTGGCCATTGGTTTGTCAACCCAACCTTCAGTCCCTCTTCCTTCCACAGAGGTTGGTGGGTGGGACTAAATCACTTGGTTGGTTCCCTTGGCAACCAGCCCCCATCCTGAAGCTATTTAGGGGTCCCCAGCCACTAATTATCTCATCAACATACAGAAGACATTTATCACTCTGGAGATTTCAAGGATTGTAGGAGTTATTTATCAGGGAAACAGGGACAAAGACCAAGTATATATTTCACAATATTACGGTCCCATTCAAATTTCTTCTTAGCTGAACGACTTAAAATACAAATGATTGGTTTTTGATAGTCAAAAAAGCAATGACTAAATTGGGCATCACTGGGCTTAATTTAATATGGATTCTTTACCTTTTTTTTAGAATCATACATTTATAATGAAAGTTCTCTGTTAAATAGGAAGTAAAATGCGACAGGATTTGTGCACTAAATAACATATTTAGGTGTAAGTGAGATTCTGAGCAACTTCTGTAATGCTCACTCTTTCTACCATAAACTAGAAGAGGTTGGGGCAGGAGTAGAGGAGGGAAAGGATACGGTAAGGATGAAGGGTGCTATCTTTGTCCATTATTGCTGCTATAACAAAATACCATAGACTGAGTGGCTTATAAACAATTCTGAAGCTTGGGAAGTCCAAGATCAAGGTGCCAGCAGATTCCGTATCTGGTGAGGAGCAGTTTTCTTGTTCATTGATGCCACCTTCTTGTTGTGTCCTCACATGGTAGAAGGGGCAAGGCAGTTCTCTAGGGTCTCTTTTATAAGGCCACTGACCCATTCATGAAGGCTCAACCCTCACGACCAAATCACTTCCCAAAGGCTGCTCCATCTAATACCATCACATTGGTGATTAGGTTTCTACATATGAATTTTGGAGGAAAACAAACTTTCAGACCATAGCAGCTTGGAAACAAGGGAAAAAGTATTTTTGTTGTTGTTGTGTTCTGTTTTAGCAGAAGTTAGAAGCTAGGCACATTAGATAAATTACCTAACTTAATTTTGAAGTCAACTCAATCAAGTAGCTATTGTTACCTTCTTTGTTTTGAAGAGAGGTTCGGAAAGAGTAAGTACTGTTGTTAATTATGAAGAGCTGATAAGGCCAACTTGGAACCCAGGACAAACTTGAAAGAAATCCTGAGAGCTTTCCAGTATAATTTTAGGGAGAGAAGTCTGATTCTTTATTCTAAAATGTCTATAGTTTAACATTTTACTTGTGGCATTAGCCATCAAAAGGACACTTCAAATTTCCTAAGTAGGATAATAGTATCCTAAATCTAATAAGATGTGACACAAGATCTAGGAAAAGATGACTCTCTGCTAACTAGGCTGTTAAGATGTTTTCTGTGACTGGCTCAACAAGAGGACATTCTTGCTCTTTCTCTTAACAGTGTCTGAAGGGGGTCAGCTGCCACTTGGAGGACATGCTGGAGCTGAAGGGAACTTGGTGCAAGTGATGTGCTGCCTCTTCTTCTCTTGTGGGCTTGCCATCTCCCAGCTCCCAGAGGGCTCCAGGCTGCCACAGGGGCAGTCCCAGCTGTCCCCTCTTATAATGCGCATTTAATTCAAGGTTGGTTTTCTCACATTTATAAAATGCTGCTACAGCTACAAATTAGGCAGACAGTTGTTTTCTAAGCATAGTAAACTGTAAGGTGCATATATACATATGGGTCTCTGCATATATATAAGGTGCATATATATACATATAATTTATACATATATAATTTTAACTTCAATCTTTACAACATTATGACCTTTATCAGTTCATCTTGAAAGATGAAGATAGCTTCTTATAAACATATCTTAGTTACCTGTGTAATCTTATGTGTTTTCTCTCGAAGTTTAGAATTAGGCAGTATTTACCCAACTGGTAGGATTAAAGTAGGTGAAAAAAGTTCTGGTTTTCTGTGAGCCAGCTGAAATGTCTTAAGCATGTCACTTTAGTTCTCAGTGTTACAGCTTTTTCTCTCCCATAGTTCAGTGAGTGGAAGGAAGTGGTGCCCAGCAGTTTTTTTGCTTCCACCTCCCACAGCTTGGTGAATGGGAGCATTACAGCTCTTTCACTCCTGCAGTTTGACAAGTTCCTTGTTCTTGTCCTACAATCAAGAGGAATAAGATACGTGGAAACCGCAGAGTGAGTAAGGCAGAGTAGAATTTTATTGAGCGACAGAAGGAAAGCTTTCATCAGCGAGAGGGGACCCGAAAACGGGTTTCCATCTGTGAGGCTGAATCCAGGGTTTTGATGAGCTTAGAGTGGGGGAATGTGTGCTGATTGGTCCATGGATGCACTTGGAAAAGGCACCATTCAATTTGTTAAAAGGGATCATTCAGAAGGAACCAATTGAGAGAGAGTGGGTAAGACAGGGATGGAACTTCTCACTCCCGTCTTGGACTCTATCCAGAACTGGCAGCTCAGTTTTCAGGCTTCAGACTGTCCTTGACTTGAGGGTCGAGTTTCACTGGGGACTCATCCTTGTCTGCCTAGGAACTTGTCTGTCTCCTGTCACTATCATTGGTAGCTCAATACCTTCGTGAGAAAAATGCAATTGGATGCATGTGTAGGTAACTACTGGGACTTCCTTTATCCATCCATTTCTATCCTGTCTAAATTCACTGTTAATTGAATATAAATACATTTTATTATAATCCTAGTAAATCACAATTAAGAAGGTAAATATTCCAGTAAAGTTATATAATACAATCTCAAGCCAAATATATGTGCATGTTTATGTACATGTATATATATATGCACATATATACATGCATATTTTGTCAATTATGTATACATGTATAAATTATTTGTTGTTTTGGCCGATATTCATAATCATTATCCCCACTTTTATTGTATTCAGAAGATTTCTCACCTGTGTAGTGTTTACAGTTTATGTTTTCTACCCTTGGCTCAGCTCCCACATAGTCTGGAAGTTGCTCATTCTACCCATAGAAGTTATTTCTTTCAGCCATGGTTTTACAATATAAGACAACCCCCATTACTTCAATTGCTTGGGTCAGAGATGGGCACTTGACATAGGTTTGGTCAATGAGGAAAATTGGTTTTCGGAGTGGGCAAAGGATAGGTAAACTGGGGAGGTTTCTGAGGGAGATGTGCTTCAGGACTTCACCAGGAGATGTAGAGGAAACTGGCCTGCGTAACAAAAGAAAAGGGATAAAGCAGATTTGCAGAGAGGAGAAGTGATACAGATGAAGAATGATTACTAAAGGTATCCAGTACCTAGGTCCCACCTGTTCCAAAAGCCAGCTACATCTGTGCCCTCAGGTTCTGCAAAACACTCATTCTTGTAATCAATTCCATTTTTGCTTAAGTTGGTTTCAGAAAGGTTCTGTTATTTGCAATCAAAGCAGTCCTAACCAATGTGACCTCCAGCCAGCCATATTTACTTCCAACCAATCAAATGTGTTTAATTCTCTGTCTCTGTAGTAAGTACTGTAATCTGCACAACTTAGATCTAATGTACATTCATTCTAATCAATGTGTACAGCTACTAAAAGAGTCTTTCAAGGGAACTTGGATTTATAAATCTCTCCATTCCATTTTCTCCACCAGCTACTGAACTATTACTTTGCAGCAAAACTCTTGGAATGAATTGTATATATTCACTGTCTCCAATTAACGTCCTCCATTCTCTGTTATACCTACTTTAATCCACTTCTATTCCCTGTGTCTAAAGTGCTTACGTCTTGGTCACTAATAAACACCATTAGAAAGCTTGTGGTTGATGTTTTGTCTTCATTTTACTTGGCCTATCGGCATTTGACAATTGATCATTTCCTCTTTGACAAATTTTCTTGACTTAGCTTTCAGGACACCACACTCTTCTAGCTTTTCTCCCACCTCATTGGTCACTCCTTCTCATTCTTCTTTGCTAGTTTCTTCTCTTCTCCCAGTTCCATTATTGTTAAAGTGGTCCCAGCTCAGTCCCTGGGCTTATTTTCTTCTTCCTCTTTTTTTTTGAGACGGAGTCTCGCTCTGTTGCCCAGGCTGGAGGAGTACAGTGGAGCAATCTCGGCTCTCTGCAAGCTCCACCTCCTGAGTTCAAACGATTCTCCTGCCTCGGCCTCCTGAGTAGCTGGGACTACAGGCGTGTGCCAACATGCTCAGCTAATTTTTTGTATTTTTAGTAGAGATGGGGTTTCACTGTGTTAGCCAGGGTGGTCTCGATCTCCTGACCTCATGATCTGCCCTCCTCAGCCTCCCAAAGTTCTGGGATTACAGGCCTGAGCCACCGAGCCCGGCCTATTTTCTTCTTAATCTATAGTAATTTCCTCATTGATCTCATCTAGTCTCATGACTTTAAATACATTTTTATACCAACAACTCCCAAATTTATGTCTCCAGCCACACCTTTCTCCCAACCTCTAAACTTAACTAATTACTTGATATTTCCAAGTGGATATCTAACTGATAGCCTCAGCTCAACATATCCAAAATTGGCCATCTGGTGTATCCTGCGTTTTGTAATTATGCCATCTCTGTTGATAACAATTCCATCTTTCTAGTTTCTCGGGTCAAATATCCTGTAGTCATCCTTGGCTTCACTATTTCTCACACATATATAAATGTGTTTTTTTCACTATGAAATTCCTTGGCTTGGCTTGTAAATATGTAGAGAATCTCACCCCTTCTTGCCACTTGCATCGTACCACCATTGTCTGAACCACCATTGTTTCCTGCCAGGATGCCTGCAGTGTTTCATAGCTGGTCTCCCTGCCTCCTTTACCTTTGACCTCCTTCAGTGGATTCTCAAAAAAGAAACTAGAATGGTTCTGCTAAAAATGTACATCAGATGATGTGACACTTGTGCTCAAAACCCTTCTACACTTCCCTATTTCAACTCAGAGTAAAAACTACAGTCTATAGAATGGTTTACAAGGTCCTGCCTGATCCAGCCCTTTCTCTCCTCTGACTACATCTCCTACTCCACTCCAGTACTATCTCACCTCAGGACATTTGTGCTGACTGCTTCCTCTTCCTGATCTACCCATCTCCCAGATATCTGCATGGCCAAATCCCTCATGTCCTTCACTTATTTTCTCAAATTCCCTATTCTCAATGAGACTCTGTTTCTTTCCACTATCTGACATCCTATAAAGTTGCAAATCCATTACATTTATTGCTTATTGTCTCCCCCCATGAGAATGTAAGCTCCACAAGGACAGGGACCTTGGCTTCATTTACTGATATATCCAAGGGCCTAAAACAGTGCCCAGAAAATTGGTGGAAATCAATACATTTATTGTTGAATGTATGAGGAATAGCCTGGTGCATCATGAATTCAAGTAACATTCCCTTAGTCCAACAGATAGTAAATTGAAAAGTTGGGATCCCATCTATGTTTGGTTAGCATCATGCTTGATGTAATTTATGCAATTCCTAGGAGGAAAAGTGCATTAAATAATTTGTTCCTTATCTATTAAACTGCACATAAACTGGTGTAAACAATTCCAATTCTGCTTATTTATGAATTGCCAAGTTTTATTATCAAAAAAATCATTGTGTGTCAGTACATCACAACTTTTATGTTGGCTCCAGTGATTGTATGTTCTCTTTCCATTTGGCACAAACAAACACAAACAAAACTAAATAAAAACAAAAACAAGTGTTCAGAAATTGTATGTTGGCTTACTTCCGTGTTTCTGGTCTGCATCTGACTTGTAGACATGGTGGAGTGGAGAGAGGAGGGAATAAGGAGGACAATTTCTTTCTCCTAAAACCTATTTAAAGAGTAACATAAGTTAATAAGTTTCTTTAAACATTTTTCAATTTTAGAGTCAGGGGTACATGTGCAGTTTTGTTACATAGGTATATTGCATAATGCTGAGGTTTGGGCTTCAACTGAATCCATCACCAAAATACTAAGCATAGAACACAATAAGTAGGTTTTCAACCCTTGCCTGCTCCCTCCCCTCTCTAGTATTCCTCATTATCTATTGTTCCCTTGTTTTATGTCCATGTATGCTCAATGTTTAGCTCTCTTATAAGTGAGAACATGTATTATTTGCTTTTGTGTTTCTGCATTAATTCAGTTAGGATAATGACCTCCAGCTGCATCCATGTTGCTGCAAACGACATGATTTCATTGTTTTTTATGGCCGTGTAGTATTCCATGGTGTGTAAGTTTTCTTTCGCATTTCCTTCATCCAATCCTCAGTTGAAGGGCACCTAGGCTGATTCCATGTCTTTGCAATTGTGAATAGTGCTGTGACAAACATAGGAGTGCAGGTGTCTTTGGTAGAACAATGTATTTTCCTTTGGCTATATACTCAGTAATGGGATTGCTGAGTCAAAGGGTAATTCTACATTTAGTTCTTTGAGAAATCTCCAAGCTGCTTTTCACAGGGGCTGAACTAATTTACAATCCCACCGACAATGTATAAGGCATTACCTTTTGTCCCCAATGGGTTGTTTTTGTTGTTTTTGTTGTTTGAGATGAGGTCTTGCTCTGTCACCCAGGCTGGAGTGCAGTGGTGCAATTACAGCTCACTGCAGCCTCAATTTCCCAGGATCAAGAGATCTTCCCACTTCAGCCTCCTGAGGAGCTGAGACCACAGGCATGCACTACCATGCCTAGCTAATTCATTTTATAATTCATTGTGTTTTGTAGAGAAGGGGGTCTCCCTATGTTGCCCACGCCTGGTCTTGAACTCATGGGCTCAAGTGATCCTCCTGCTCCTGTCCTCCAAAGTCCTGGGATTACTAGCATGAGCTACAGCACCTGGCCAAGTTTCTTTTTTTAAAAATCAGATATCCTTAGGGTGAGTTTTTCACTTCATTCCCATTATATATGAGTTTCTTTAACCGTGTTTATTTTTTCTTAATCCATGCTAAAATAGCCCATTTCTGGTTCAGATTTAGGGAGGAAGTATTGGAGAATGGTGTACTCTCCAATGGCTGCCTGATGAACATTCTGGAGAAAGGGGCATCATCCAGCTAGGAGGAAATGTCAGGAGTCATGATATAGAAGAAAGGAAAAAAAAATTAATAGAGATTGGAGGTGACAAAGCCAAATTCCCCTGGTTTAATGTTTTTCCCAGGACTCTATTGTCATCAATACTGATTATGCTGTAGCGGGTGTTGGGGCTTGCCTTCAGCACTTACTTCTCAGCTTTAAAAAATATCAGGGGTCATTTTCTTGCAGTCTCTCTTAGCAGGTCTATTCTCTGTCTGTCCTGTGAAATTCATACAACACACCTGCACAGGCACGCATGAGTCCAGATGATCTTTTTTTTTTTTTGGAGATTGTATCTCACTTTGTCACCTAGGCTGGAATGCAGTGGCATGATCACAGCCCACACAGCTCACTGTAGCCTTGACCTCCCAGGCTAATTGTTTTTTTTGTGCGTGGAGACGAGGCCTTGCTATGCTACCCAGGCTGGTCTCAAACTCCTGGGTTGAAGCGATCCTTCTGCCTTGGCCTCTGTAAGTGTCGAGATTACAGGCATGAGCCACCATGACAGGCCCCAGCTGTTCTTTTGATTAAACAAGTTAGAACTTACCAGGGACAGGAGGAGTCCTTGTTTCTAACCTGTCTCTGCTTTCTGTAGCCCCTATGATGTCTCCAAGTTCCAGCCTCCTCTTCTTCAAAACTGGCGAGTGGAAGGGTGGTTGATACAGATAATCTCTACTGTACTTTTGATCTCAAAAAGTCACAATTTAGTAATTCACAGGCAATCCCAAACTTGCCTTGTAGTAACTGACCCACATATGCCCATACAGGACCATCAAATGCACACAGCAGCCACCTGATGCCTGTTGGAAGAATGTAACTGCTTCAGTTCCCACAGGAAGTAATTTGTGAATTAAAAAATTGACAGGCATAATTCCCTCACTTATTCATCAATTAAGAAATATTTTTGAAGGCTGTGTGTGTGTGTGTGTGTGTGTGTGTGTAATAAGGCAGCAGTTCCTAGGTTTTGTTATTTCACGAAAATGTATAAAATAAAATTTAAAATGGGACTGACATAGATTTGTCTACTTTTGTTTTTTCTGGTTAAGGGCATAACTTTCCCTTCCCATCTACGTAAGCTTAATTTCAAAAAGAAAGGAGAGTTTAACTGAATTAATTTAAGAGAGCACAATCTCAGAAAAATTGAATAAATTTATCTTTTTCTTATTTAATTGTTGAGTAATGAAACACTTGACAACAGATGCCATTGCTCTGCTGGAGTGTTGGGGCCAGTGTTACAGGGAATAAAAAGCAAGTCTCTCCTCACCTGGAGAATGTAAATTCCATTTACATGCTCACATTTAGGAGGCATGTATGAAACTTATGTAACAAAATTTTAATAATGCAATAGGGTAGTAACATTGAAGCTGTGTAAAGACAATATTTGATTAAGGGTCAAATCAATAGTGCAGAATTAATAATATCAGATTTCTCTTTTAGTTGGGATATTAGAAAAATTAATTACCAGCTTTCATATTTTATTGGTGCTGGAGAAAATAGATTAGACAGTTATGTTATATAAGGTCTTTCTTTAAGGAATAAACTGTTGCATAGAGCAGGACACTATTATTTCTGGCACTATGGTTTTTGAAATACATTTAGCATTTTATAGTCCACAAAATGCTGTGCTGTCTTCCTTCCATTCATCTAATTCTGTCCTTGAGTATTAAATGAGTGCTGCAGCACCCTAGGCCCTCTCTTAGGCTGGACACAGTACCTACTCTCTGCAGCTAACCTTGGGCTGGTGGTGGACTGTGGGGAAGGATGTTAGACGGGTTCCTGAAAGGAAAATTTCAGGTTACCTGAACCCTTGGGTTGGAGCATTGGGAAAGGCGCCCCACAGGGAAATAAAGTGAAGTTTGAGAACTTCAGGATGAGTATCAATTAACTGAGTCAAGAGTGGAGGAAGCAGAATTCCAGATAGAGGAAAGAGTGTATGCAAAAGGCTCCCAGGTGGGCTAAAGCAAGGTGGGATACAGCACATCTGGAAAAAAAAAAAGCCTAGTCTGACTGTAGTACAGGTAGAAAGACCACGGGTCAGACCACACAAAACCTTTGAGGCCATGGGTGAGATATTATCCCAGGGCAATAAGAAGCTATTCAAAAGGTTCAAGAAGGGGATTGGTATGATCAGATTTGCTTTTTAAAGAGATCACTGACTGCAGAGACAAATTAATTGGAGATGACTACAGTAAATGTAAGCACTAAAAAAATTCAAGAGAATAAACTGCAAAACTATTAGAACTAATTAGAAATGTCAATAGATCAAAAAACTAAACCTAATAGTTTTCATACACATTGCAAGAATCAGCAGAAGGTTAAATGCATTTCTCAGGCTATACAGGTTGCAAGTGGGAAGGCTGGATATGGAAACCTGATTCCAAGTCTGGTGCTCATCTAGACTCAATTCCTTAACAAGCTTCACTTAGTTCAAGAAATATTTTCTTTCAGTCTAGAAGTTATTTTCATTCAGCAAACTTAAGGGAATCTATCAGGCTGGTGCAAAAGTTTGGACCAGCCTGATAGATTCCCTTACATTAGGTTTGCTGGACTAGAAAACTGCTATTTATTTTAAAATATATTTTAAAATTTTATAAAATGGGTTTTAATCACCAGAACTCAGGTTTACAGGTAACATTAAATGTACTTGCTAAACTCAGTGGCTTAATTAAAGATATTGTCCTAGTTACCTATTGCTAATAATTAACACATTGCTCCCAAAACTTTGTGGCTTAACTTACCTATTGTACTATCTCTCATTATTTTGTGGGTCAGAAATTTAAACAGAGCTCAGCTGGGCAATTCTTTGACTCCAAGTGTCATTGACTGATGCCATTTAATAGTATTCATTGGGTAGCTGGACTGCTTTTTAAGGTCCAAAATGATGTGCTCACATATCTGACCGCTTGGTGAGGGTAGCTGGAAAGCCTAGACTCAGTTGAAACTGTCATCTGAAATGCAGTGAAATTATAGGTATTTTAATGTTCTTTTCCCTTATACTATTGTAGTAGTTTCAAAATTGTTTACAGTGACCATGTGTTGTTTCTATCATCCAAAAGGCAATAACATAAAAATAAATTATTGAAGGTTTTTAAATGTGGTTTGAATGATTGTCCCCTCCAAAACTCATGCTGAAACTCAACTGGCATTGTACCAGTATTAAGAGGTGGGACCTTTAAGAGGTGTTTAAGTCATGAGGGCTCCACCTCCATGAATGGACAAAATGCATTGTTGCAAGAGAAGGTGTGCTATCAAGGGAGTGGGTTTGCCCTCTCTGGCTTTCTCTGTTGCCCTCTGTTTGCCTTTCTACCATGTGATGCCCTCTACCATGTTATGATGCAGCAAGAAGGCTCTTATCAGACACCAGCATCTTATATTGGGCTTCCCAACTTCCAGAATTATGAGCCAATACATTTCTGTTCGTTATAAATTACCCAGTCTCAGGTATTTTGTTGTAGCAGCACAAAACAGACTAATATAACCTATGAAACTTTTATTAAAAAATAAAATGCACTAGGCATGGTGGTGCATGCCTGTAGTCCCAGCAACTTGGGAGGCTGTGGCAGGAGGATTGCTTGAGCTCAGGAGTTGGAGGCTGTAGAGCACTGTGATTGCACCTGTGAATAGCCAGTCCAGCCTGGACAACATAATAAGACTCTGTCTGTAAATAAACAAGTAAAACAAAAATAAAATGTCAGGAATTCAAAAGTTATGTCAGCCTAAATATCAAAGTTAAATCTATAAAACTTCTGGAAGAAGGCAAAGGAGACAATCTTTGCAACTTTATAATAGGCACATTTTTTAGGCTGTAAAAAGCCAAACCATAAAAAATAGATAAATTTGGCTTTACCAATATTATAAACTTTTGCTCGTAGGAAAATACCATCTAAACAACAAAAGAGAAGCCACAGACTAGAAGAAAATATCCACAATACGAGTTTCTGATGAAGGATTTATATCAACCTAGAAAAGAACTCTATAAAAAATAAACCTGATCATATGAAGTGTTGACAAAGGCGAGGAACAACTATTACTCCTGGAAAAGTAAAATGGCACAACTACTTTAGAAAACTGTTAGCAGTTCCTTAATGAATTAAATACACTTCTACCACTCAAACCACATTCCACGACTAATATTTACCAAAGACAAAAGAAAGCATACATTCACGCAAAGACTTATACACCAATGCATATATCAGCTTTATTCATAATAGCACAAATTACAAACATCAAATGCCCACTGTACTAAGTTAAATAATGTCCCCCACTCCCACCAAATTTATGTCCACCCCGTGCCTGTGAATGTGACCCCTTTTGGAAATATGGTTTTTCAGATGAAATCAAGTTAACATGAGGTCATACTGGATTAGAGTGGGACCTAAATCCAGTAAAACTAGTCTCCTTATAAAAAGAGGGAATTTCAGACACAGAGACATAATCATACACAGGGAAGAAGACATCATGTGAAGATGGAGGCAGAAACTGGAGTTATGAGTCTGTAATGCAGAGGACTGCCGGCAACCACCAGCAACCAGGAGAGAGCCGTGGAATGATTCTACCCAGAGCTTTCAGAGGGAGTGTGGCCATTTCCAAGTTCTAGAACTATGAGAAAATAAATTTCTGTTTTGTTTTAAAAAGTCACTCAGGCTAAATGGCAATTTATTAAGGCAGCTCTAGGAAACTGACACACCTGCCAACAGGTGTTTTTTTAGTTTCCTCCATTTGGTCTTGAGGTCTCCCTCTTAAGAGTGATTGTAAACTCAAGCCCAGCCCTGATAGGCACCGGGAATTTGGTTGTTGATGTTTACAGTGTACCTTTCCTAGGACACTTTTTTTTCATTTATTTTTTCCTGTATTACAGCTCTCAAGGCTTTCCTTTATTTAAAAAAAATTATTATTATAGAGATGGAGTCTCACTATGTTGCCCAGGCTGCTCTTGAACTCCTGGCCTCAAGCAATCCTCCCACCTTGGCCTCCCAAACTGCTGGTATTACAGGCATGAGCCACTGTGCCCAGCTCCAGGACACTACTTTATCCTGGTAGATGGCCTAATGCCTAAGCATCCAACCTGCAACCAGGTCCTCCTCTCACAGGAAACTTGTTTATGCTGGAAGATGCCCTTATGGGTCCTCTCTGATCTGTGTCCAGTTTATTCCTACCCAAACAGCCACTGTCTAGGAAAGCCCTGCCCAGGAAGAGGGTTAGGTTCAGCTATGTCAGTCGAATGAGACACAAAGGAGGTGGCACAACAAAACACATGAAATAACAGAAGCAGTTTTTATTACCTACAGATCCAGAGAGGAGAGGACAGCATGCCTCACAGGCCCAGTGGGGAATGGGGGCTGTCTGGGACATGAGCTGTCGCTCAATCAGTGGAGGGGGAACAAGAAACAGAGTCAGGCATCTGTAGGGTTTAGGGCATTACCCAGGCAGCTTTCCCTTGGGGAGTTTCAACGGTGGGTTTACAGCAGGAAGGTATGAGCTCTGCAGAATCCTGCTGTGACTGAGAGGTGCAGTCCATGGGGCTGGTGGGAGTCAGTGGGGCAAATCGAGTAGGAGTAGATCTAGCAGCCTTATAGGGAGGTGGTCACTAGGAAGCAGTTGTATAATGCAGGCATCTGGATCCGCCACATTGAGGAACCAGGAAGACGGGGGAGAACTGGAAACTGTGTCAAGGGTGACTAAATCTTGCTTCGGGTGTGAGAAAGTCCAAAATATATTCAAAACAGATGCTGAGGCAACATAAAATTATGAAAATTCGCTACGAGGTGAATAAAACACAAAACGTGGTAGATCTATATAATGAACAATAGAGACGAATGATCCACAGACCCATGAAGCACCACGGATGAATTTCAAAGTCACTATGCTGAATGAAAGGCGCAAGACACAAATGTGTATATGCTGTATGACTCCATGTATATAACATTCCTGAAAATTGCAAACTAATATATAGTGACAGAAAATTGACTCGTGATTGCCCGAGGCTGTGGAAGAAAGGATGGACTTTGAGAGAGCACAGGGAATCTTTTGGGGGTGAAGGAAATATTCATTTTCTTGATTGTGGTGTTGGTTTCAGGGGTAAATACAAATGTCAAAGCTCATTTAATTGCACACTTAATGTAAATTAAAAATACAGTTTATAGCACATACATTATACCTTCATGAAGCTGCTAAAAAATTGCCATGAGTGGCCGGGCGCGTTGGCTCACGCCTGTAATCCCAGCACTTTGGGAGGCCGAGGTGGGCGGATCAAGAGATCAGGAGATAGAGACCATCCTGACTAACACGGTGAAACCCCGTCTCTACTAAAAATACAAAAAAAATTAGCCAGGCGTGGTGGCGGGCGCCTGTAGTCCCAGCTACTCCGGAGGCTGAGGCAGGAGAATGGCGTGAACCCAGGAGGCGGAGTTTGCTGTGAACCGAGATCGCTCCACTGCATTCCAGCCTGGGCGACGGAGAGAGACTCCGTCTCAAAAAAAAAATTTACCATGAGTTCAAAATAAACCCAAACAGACCGGGTGCAGTGGCTCACGCCTGTAATCCTAGCACTTCGGGAGGAAGAGGTGGGGAGATCACCTGAGGTCAGGAGTTCAAGACCAGCCTGATCAGCATGGTGAAACCCCATCTCTACTAAAAATACAAAAATTAGAGAGGCATGGCGGTGCACTCCTGTAATCCCAGCTGCTCGGGAGGCTAAGGCAGAAGAAGCGCTGGAACCCAGCAGGCGGAGGTTGCAGTGAGCCGAGATCAGCCACTGCACTCCAGCCTAGGCAACAGAGTGAGACTCCATCTCAAAAAATAAATAAAATAAAATAAACCCAAACTACAGACAATTCAACAGAATGAAGCAATTCACTTGGATGTCCTTCACTTCCTGAAGTTAAGGAAAGAACTTGTAACCACTTTGTTTACCTATATTGTTTAAAGTAAAACATTATAGACACAGAGACAGGTGTCAAGCATATTGCTAGTACCTTTAGCAACCATAAAATCATAATGCATTGTAATCCTTCTTTGAGTGTTGCCAAGCTCATATAGATGGATGTCCAAGATGATGAAAGCTCAGAGGAGGCTAGCATGATTTCAGTTCACCTTGCTGTGTTGCCAGACCACTAAAGCTCTCAAGAGCTGTAGAAACAAAATTATTTTGATATTTTCCATTATAATACAGTTACAAAGTGGGCATTCATTTTAAAACATTAAAGCATTTTTTTACAAACACTTACAAACACTTGCCATAAGGAATTCCAGGGTTCTCTAGATTGTTAATGAAGCCCTAGCATAGAAGAGCAATCAATGGGCCTATTTTCTTCAGTTTCCTGTCTGCCACATCTGCCTGTTTCTATAACTATGCTGTAATTTCAAGAAACATGTGTGAACTACGTTTTACAGTAGGATACATTGTCCAAAAGGTCCCTGGCTAGCATCATCTAGGCGGCAGAGGTCCATCAGACTGCTACCTTGGCAGATGGCAGCTTTTCGGAAACCTAGTGACATATGGTCTGCATGCACAGTGGTGAGGCATGCTTGTCACCCTGTGGCCAGCTTGCTGCAACAGCCACCATTCTCCCCGCCTCTGGTTCACTTGCACAGATCACTGTTCCTGAAACATCGTGTTCATTATATCTCAGCCCTATTCAGAAATAACTCTGTAACAGACTAACATTTATTGTGCATTACCTACTGGGCACCACAGCGCTGGTCGCTTTCGCATATGTTATCTCATTCAGTTTTTACAATGCACTCATGAGGTGCTCAGGGATCTATGGTGACTTCTTGTTGCTAATCAGATCACATTCAAATTCCTTAGATGAAAATTAAGGGATTCAGGCAATATGCACCTTAGACAGTCAACCTGTCCTTCATTATTCCTGCTCATGCTGTGTTTGTTAGGGCAGTCCTCCCATTCCTGTGCTCCACCTTTCTTTCCTTGCCAGACACCTTTCTTATTCTTCTTTATCTACTCAGGTTTTTAACTTCCTCCAGGACCACCCCTAGTTCACCTCCTCCAGGAAGCCATGCTTAACCAAAGGCCTCACCAGTTACAAAGTGTTCTTTCCTTCCCATGTTTATCCATCTAGTCTGTGCCTTTTTGGTATAGACATGTTTATGTATTGATTTGAAATAAACAGTTGTCTAGTTTTTTAATTAATTAATACATATGTTTAATTTCCTAGGGTGGCCTTTGTAGCCTTAGATACTGAAATTGATTATTGAATTGAGTTGTATGCCTGTGAGCGAAAATTTTAGTGGATTTGCCCCTGAATAGGAGTGTGATTCAATTAGACTCTAATTTTATTCAGGACCCTTCTTGTGTGGTGTTGGCTAATGCAGGAGGAGACTCAGAAACCTGCTGCTATTGCCCCAGAACTTCTTTTCTCCATCATAGTAAAAAGAGAATCATCTTTCTCCCTCATTGATACCACGAGAGTACAAAAGTGATTCAGACGCTTGAGTCCGTCAGAGCACACCAATACAATGTCAAGCCAGCAATCCGAATGAGTATTTACTCATTCAATAAAATAAATCAGTGCCTCATGTCCTCTTAGTCATATAATCAGAGAAGACTTTCTCGGTCAACAGGATATTTACTCTCTTGAAATGCAATGTCCTTTATCTGTGAGAATATTTTGGTAAAGAAGCCAGAGAGAATACCTTAGACTTACAACCCCAAACTTCAATTACTTTGAACCAATGGCCATCAGGTATTTTCACCTTTCTTTTTCTGACCACTTAAATTATAGTTTCTCTATTTCAGTTCTACTAAATATGAATGAAGCAGGTGAAGTGTGGCCCAGTTGGAACGTTATAGTGTTTGGGGCTGGTTACTATCTTCAGCAGAGATGCTGGAATTCATTCTCATCTCATTTGCTGAGCGCTCTATCATTAAAGTGTCATTGAGAACTGACACCACTTAATTTTAGCAGCTTTCAATTCTCGTTTGCAGCAAGAATAGCTTTAAATGGAGAGGAGTGCAAATTACAGAGAGAGGGATATTTTTACACCACACTCAGCATTTTATCAAACAAAGAAGCCTCCTGGGGAATAGAGGACAATACATTATAAAACCAAACTCTCCTCTGATGCTGCTGAATGGGTATTTAATCTTCAGATTGCAGGCATCCACTCTGATGAGCCTGTCATGAATATACTGGCGGGGACATTATCTGAGCTGTTGTGCTTTCCTACTCCTCAAAATATCCTTGGTTTTTATTTCGGGTGTGGTCAAAATGAAAAAAAAAAAGAAGGAAGAAAGAAAGAAAAAGAAAAAAGCTTCAGAGCTCAGCTGTCCCCTGCAGGCCAGCGCAGAACCTTTACCTCTTCGAAAATTACAGAGCTCTTGAGATTTTTCCCCTATTAATTGCATAATTGCTTTTCCTGCCAAAGTAATTTGAACCCTTGGGGGTTAAGAAAATCACTTACTGTGAAATAGTGGCAATTTTTAACCCATTCAGCTGGAGTTTCTTTGCCTAATTAAATGTAAAATGGCTGTTTGCTGCCCATGGTGTGTATGTGTTTCTGATGCTGCTCAAATTGCTTTGCCTTGGTAGTCTCTGAGTATTTAAACCTTAGTAGAATTATTGCACTTAGTTTCTGTGTGTCCTGAAGACTTAAATCATTATTTTGTGCAGGAGAACACTTTATTTAATCATTGACTGATCTCTAATATTTGTGTCTATCTTTCTGTGCATGAAAAAAACAAGCCATCATTAGTTATAGAGAATGTTTTGGCTGCTGGGAAAATATCTTGTCAGATGCTGGCTGTGAGAGCAGCTCAAAGTGTTTTCATAACAATCCAAATTATCATTCCATGGTGTAAAAACTTGAGCCCAGAGGCTTCATGACTTTTCCACGGTCACACCTGAAGTCAGCTTTGGGATTTTCAAATTATCCCTGCATTTCTGCCTCTTCTTTTCTTGCTTTAGTGTAAGTCACATTCTTATATCATGAACCATTTATAAGAAGCAATTTAACCCAAGGGTTTATGGTTCTAACGACTAGATGTAATTTGGTATTTTGAAAGAGATAAAATTGACCTATAGCAAAGAGACTTTAAATATCCATTCTCTACTTAAGAGAACATGTTTTGTTGCCTTACAATATCTGAGCATAAGTAGTGCAGAAAGAAGGGCCTAGCTGGGCTGTGCACTGGAGACCAATACAAAAGTAACCTCAATTTATAGTCTTTTTCTCCAAAATATTAACTTAACACATGGCTTAAGTTCTAATTTTCACAATTCCCTCCGTGCTTTCTCTCTTTTCCCTTTGTATTTTATCTTAATTTTTTTCCTTTTCCATTTCTGGTCCTATTGCTCCATATAGTTGACATCTGGAATATTTAGATGGCATTCAGTTGGCAAAGTTTAAAAGTTCTTATTAAAGTAAAACTGAACTCTTTGAAAAGCTCAGTTATCAACTGAAAAATACAGACATTGTATAATCAGAGTATATATTTATTCCCCCAAAGGAGTCAAGTTGTTGGTAATAAAATTTCCATGGGGGTGGCTTGTGGCAAAGGCTAAGGGTGCAGAGGAGAAGAGGTAGGGAGAGCTATATTTTGGGGTAGAGCTTCCTCTTGAGCTGTGTGGCTAACCCTGAGTGAGAAAAATGAGGCTCAGAAAGAAGACATGATGTGTCAGGGAGTTCTGGAAAGAAGGGACAAAGCTGGAATAAGATACAGCTCAGGTATTCTACTGCTATCATTTTACATAATACAATACCATCTATTGGACATGAAGTCCTAAATACTCTTCTATGCCTTTTATGTTATTTTAAATGGTTAAATCACAGCATTAGCGATAGTAAGTATTGTGTGTAGGTGTGTGTATAAACTTTTTAACAATCCACATACTGTTATTGTTACTTTACGCTGATTTCTGTTGCAGATGAATTCTCAGCATCTAGTCATTATTCACCCTGGCAACTTTTTGACCTTCTTTAGAGCATCATATGAATCACTCATCCAGGTTGAGTGGCCCTCTAGACACTGTGCTCTTGTCATCATGGAGACCTAAGGTAAATAGGTCTACCTTTCCATCTATAGTTGCCAAACAGCCCTGATCTTGGGGGATAAGTCCCTGGCCTTGTTTCTAAATGACACACAAGCCACCCATGCTAAAAAACAAAACAAAACAAAAAAACAAGTAGAATTTGAGCATAGTCAGGTAAATGGAGTTTGGTAAAGGATGCTGAGGCAAGAAAACACAGAAGTAAGATACTTCAGTGCATGGATGGGAAATACTGAGTAGTTGGGTTTGGCTCTAGCTTGGGGCACTGGAAAGTAAGTTGTGACTAGATTGTGGAAGACCTCAACTACTGGGTTAAGAAATTAATTCTTTACTTTTTAGGTAATAGGGAGGCTTTGAAGCTTTTGGAATGTGACATGATCAGAGCTCTATGGTAGCAAATACTGTCCAATATAAATTAGACATGGGGAGACCAGAGGCAAAGTCAAAGCCATTTCAGAAACTCTGCCAAAAGGTAACGAAGTCCTGAAATCTGCTTTTGGCAGTGAGAACAGATATAAGAAGGTGATTGTCAAAGACATTGTAGAGATAGAATTGGTAGACTTTATTCTGGGGTGCAGGGAGAGAAAACTGAGGAAAGTGATGTCCTACTGTCTAACACTGATGTTTCAAATTTGTTTTACCACCAGGAAGGTGATGCATTTCATAAAATTAGGAAACACAGGAGGCTTAGAAAAGGCTTAGAAAAGTGATTATTTGGTCTCATCTATAAACAGCCTGAGATGTCTTTCTGAGAGTAAGGTAGTGATGTCCAGTTGGTTGTTGAAAATACAGGCTGAAATGGGGAGAGAATTCCATTTCATCTGTATAAAGAAACCAAGACATTGAATGTGGCTATCAAGGGAGAGAGAATAAAGATAAAATATCAGAGTCCAACTCAGATCTTTAGGAAACACTACATTAGAGTGTTCGCCAAGGAAAATACAGACAGCAAAGGAAGAGAGAAGTAAGTAAGAAATGGAGTATGGAACATCATGAGAGTCAAGGAAGGAGAAACTTTTTTTGTTTTGAGAGGGAGTTTCACTTTTGTTGCCCAGGCTGGAGTGCAATGGCACGATTTTGGCTCACTGCAACCTCCGCCTCCCGGGTTCAAGCAATTCTGCCTCAGCCTCCCAAGTAGCTGGGATTACAGGCATGCACTACCACCCCTGGCCAATTTTTGTATTTTTAGTAGAGACAGGGGTTTCACCATTTTGGCCAGGCTGATCTCGAACTCCTGACCTCAGCTGATCCACCCACCGCGACCTCCCAAAATGCTGGGATTACAGGCGTGAGCCACCGCAGCCTGGCCTTGAGTGACTTCTTGAGCAGAAGTATTAGACTTATAAAAACAAGTCTGATCTTTAGAGGTTTAACAAGTTTAGGAAAGTTGTTCACAAAGAAACTTTCAGTAAGAGTACCAAAAGCAGCTTGGTCACAAAAGGAAAGGGAAATGAGAATTTGAACAGCAGACAGAATGAAAGAACGGTTTTATTTGAGTGAGAAGACCTGAGTATGTTTTTATAATGTGACTAATGATCTAACTGCAGAGAAGAGAGAGGGAGGACAATGTTTGGAGCAAGGCCTTGGAACAGGGGATGGGAAAAAATGCATGGGTGAGGGTGGTTACCTGTGAAAGCTACCAAGGATACATTTATCTCAGGGATGGGCAAGAAAGAGAAGAATGGGTGAAATGAAAAAGAAATGTTTAACTGAAAGAGAGAAAAAAAAAAGGCAGTTCATGTCAAAGGTTATCAATACAACATGGGACTAAGTCACATAAAGAGAGAAAGAGAACAGAGGATAGGTATCCTAAAGTACACTTGAGTAGGTACTGTAGAAAATCTGATTTGTGGCTGGGGGCGGTGGCTCACGCCTGTAATCCTAGCACTTTGGGAGGCCGAGGCGGGCGGATCACAAGGTCAGGAGATCGAGACCATCCTGGCTAACATGGTGAAACCCCGTCTCTACTAAAAAAACACAAAAAATTAGCTAGGTGTGGTGGCGGGCGCCTGTAGTCCCAGCTACTCGGGAGGCTGAGGCAGGAGAATGGCGTGAACCCAGGAGGCGGAGCTTGCAGTGAACTGAGATCGAGCCACTGCACTCCAGCCTGGGTGACAGAGCAAGACTCCGTCTCAAAAAAAAAAAAAGAAAACAAAAAGAAAATCTGATTTATTATTATTTTAACAAGCATTTACATATTGCTTACTATGTACCAAGCACTGTTATAAAAGTAGTTTACTTAAACAGTCATGAATCACTTAATGGTGGGGATAGGTTTTGAGAAATGATGATTTCATTGTTTTGTGAAGGTCATAGACTCTGCTTACACAAAGCTAGATGGTATAGCCTACTACACACCTAGGACCACCATTGTATATGTGCTCTGGCATTAACTGAAACATCGTTATGCAGCATATGACTGTATTTGCTTATTAAATATTTTAAACAATCCCAAGTATTATTATTACCTCCATTTTACAGATGGGGAAGCTGATGTACATGGAGGCTAAGAAACCTGTCCAAGGTCACACAGCTAGGAAGCAGCAGAGTCACCATCCCCGAGGCAATCCTGTTGGAACAGGTTTCTCTGAGACATGCAGTCTTTCCTGATAGTGGTCCATTGGGTATAAGCACAGGCAATGGCCAGCAACCCCGATGATACAGGTGAACCATATTACCTCATTAGGATTAGAAGGAATTGGTCCACTGTGGAAATGTTTATCATGTTCTGCAGCCCAAAGACCAATAATGAAAATTTTTAATTTTTATTTACTCAGAATGACATTAAGTAACAAATAACATCAAAAACAAGTCAAGAGAGAGCCCACGGAAGGAATCAACAGGGTTTATACTTCAGTACATTTAATGTCACCTTTAACGCTCTGCATTTTTATTCATATTTTGCACTGAACCCTGCAAATTATGTAGCTGACAATGTAACTACAGCAGAAATGTAGCTGCAGAGGAAATGAACAGTGAGTTTTCCAAGGGCCTCAGTGAGCGTGTCCATTAGAATCTCCAAAGGAGCTTTTATAAAACGCTGTGCCCTGGGACCTATCCCAGAGCAATAATAGTAAAAAGCTGAAGGTGAAGTTTAGGAATTTTTTTAAAAAAGCTCCCCAGGTGATTGTAACAGATAACCAGGTTTGAAAACCCACCAGACTTGGCAAATCCAGATGGAGGATGAAAGAGGGAGACGATCAAAGGTTCTTGTAGGTGTTTCCTTCACACTATGAGGACAGGCAAAGCTGAATGGGTAGCATTGGAGGACAGGAAAGGATGGAGGCTCTATAGACCCAGATTTGGGAGCAGATGAACTGTGGAGCAAAAGAAAGCATTAGAGGAAGTTGTGGTTAACTAGGGACATTCTTGATTATTATAGGCCAGTTTCTTCCAGAAGTAGCTGTACTATAATAGAAACCCCTTGTCACTGTTTCTAGAAAGAAATAAACATCTGTCCCAAAAAAGATCAGATCCCTGCAAAAACAGAATAATATGTCTATAAGCAAAAACAGCTTGTGGACAAAGCACGTACAATCTACAATGCAGGTAGAGATGAAGGCTTCTCAAATGATCTGTAAGGAAAGAGCAGGTTTTTGTTGGTTGGTTTGTTTTAGTTTCCCACCTGTTATGATCTGATGTTTTTGTAAGATAGAATAAAAAGTGAATTGCTAGAAAATGAATTAGACATCCCAAATACCTACAAAACACAAGCCCAAATGTTTTTATTTTTCAATAAAAATTTAAAACAGACTAGATTCAACAGACATAAAATTATTCTGTCAAATTGCTATAATCTTTCCAAATGCTCTGAATTGCTGTATCTTAACATCTCATCATGAAACACTTCAGAGATCAGCTTCAGTTCATAGACCTCACTGTGAATACTCACAGTCATTCTTCCCCCACTTGGAAATGTTCACGTTTTACACCATCTCTGTGACTCTCTCTGCACACCTAGAACCAGGGTTAGTTATACAATTTGCAGGGCTCAGTGCAAAATAAAAATGCAGGGCTCCCTTTTCACAAAGCAGAGAAAACAGTGATGTTGAAGGCACTAAAACATCAAACTTCTTCTTGTCTTCCATGGTCTCTCTCTTGACTTGTTGTGATGCTATTTATTTGCTATTAAATGTCATTCTAAGTAAAGAAAAATGAAAATTTTTAATTATCAGCATCAATGTAACCATTCATCCTTATGTTGTGCAATACCAACTTTAAATTTGAATACAAAAGCATTTAATTATATGCAGACTCATCAAAATTACATATTTTATATTTCACAGCTCAAACATTCATGTCTTTTCTTCTTACTGGAACAGTGGAAACTGTCAAAACAAACTCAAATGTTTTTATTTCTTTTTTTTTTTTTTTTTTTATTATACTCTAAGTTTTAGGGTACATGTGCACATTGTGCAGGTTAGTTACATATGTATACATGTGCCATGCTGGTGCGCTGCACCCACTAATGTGTCATCTAGCATTAGGTATATCTCCCAATGCTATCCCTCCCCCCTCCCCCGACCCCACCACAGTCCCCAGAGTGTGATATTCCCCTTCCTGTGTCCATGTGATCTCATTGTTCAATTCCCACCTATGAGTGAGAATATGCGGTGTTTGGTTTTTTGTTCTTGCGATAGTTTACTGAGAATGATGGTTTCCAATTTCATCCATGTCCCTACAAAGGATATGAACTCATCATTTTTTATGGCTGCATAGTATTCCATGGTGTATATGTGCCACATTTTCTTAATCCAGTCTATCATTGTTGGACATTTGGGTTGGTTCCAAGTCTTTGCTATTGTGAATAGTGCCGCAATAAACATACGTGTGCATGTGTCTTTATAGCAGCATGATTTATACTCATTTGGGTATATACCCAGTAATGGGATGGCTGGGTCAAATGGTATTTCTAGTTCTAGATCCCTGAGGAATCGCCACACTGACTTCCACAATGGTTGAACTAGTTTACAGTCCCACCAACAGTGTAAAAGTGTTCCTATTTCTCCGCATCCTCTCCAGCACCTGTTGTTTCCTGACTTTTTAATGATTGCCATTCTAACTGGTGTGAGATGATATCTCATAGTGGTTTTGATTTGCATTTCTCTGATGGCCAGTGATGATGAGCATTTCTTCATGTCTTTTTGGCTGCATAAATGTCTTCTTTTGAGAAGTGTCTGTTCATGTCCTTCGCCCACTTTTTGATGGGGTTGTTTGTTCTTTTTTTATACAAATATGTTCTATTATCATTTTCTATCCTATCTTTGGCTTAGTGGTGATAGGAAAAGAAGCACTAAACTAAAAAAAGGAATTATGGATTGCCTTGTTGTTCCTCTTTCCTCTATATCATTGTTTTGACCTTAAGTAGAGTGCAAAGAAGTAACTCAGGTAAGGATATGATAGAGTTCCCTAGTCATTCATGTTTTTTTTCTTTTCTTTCTTTCTTTCTTTCTTTTTTTTTTTTTTTGAGACAGTTTCCCTCTTCTTGCCCAGGCTGGAGTGCAATGGTATGATCTCGGCTCACTGGGTTCAAGCAATTCTCCTGCCTCAGCTTCCAGAGTAGCTGGGTTCAAGCAATTCTCCTGCCTCAGCCTCCAGAGTAGCTGGGATTACAGGCACCTGCCACCATGCCCGGCTACTTTTTTTGTATTTTTAGTACAGACGGGGTTTGTCAATGTTGGTCAGGCTGTTCTCAAACTCCTGACCTCAGATGATCCGCCCACCTCGGCCTCCCAAAGTTCTGGGATTACAGGAGTGAGCCACTGCATCCGGCCCATTCATGTTTCTTAGAATGTCATTGCCTTCTTTCTGTGTTTGAAGCGTTTCTGGTTCAGATGGAAACCAGATGGAAACCTCTCATGGCTGTCAGCACTCTTGCTTACTCAATCATAGATGTAACACACTGATCTCGTATTTGCTTTGCACTTCTACATCATGAGTCCACTGTAATTCTGTGCTCGGGGCACTGCAAACACTATATGTAAATGGATGTCAAGTAACAGCAGACACACATATTGTGTGTATCTCCTCTGCTTAGGCTTATGCTTCATTGTCCCATCAGACTTCACCTACAAAACACGCAATGCCAACAGAAGAGCAGACACCAAGCTCAGGGCTCTTATGAGCCTAAGACCCTTGCATGGCTTCACAGGTTGAACTCCTACAGCATTTTGTCAACAACTTTCTTATAGAACATTAAAAGGGTTTGTGTTCTGTATGGTTCAACTCTGAACATCATTTTCAAGGGTTTCAATCATGCCTTCTTGATCCCTGTTTTAGTTTGATCTTGTGCCTTGTCTTATTCTAGCAGGTTCTTCATACCTCTGCCATGGTAAGCTTTCTATACAAAAATCTCATTACACTACTTTTTGTCTGAAAATTCTTTCAGAGTTCCCATTGCCTTAAAGACAGAGTCAAATCTTTTAACTAAGATGCTACAGACTTTCCTGATTTGGTCCATTCCCTCCTCTCTAGCCTCATCACCAACCATGCTTCTATATATATGCAACTTATGATCCAGGCAGAGTCCCTTCCATAGGCCTTCCTGCCACCTTGAACATATGGTTTCCTCTGCCTGAGAAACAAACCTTTTCTCATCCTTCTCTTCTCCTCCACCACCCCATGGCATGTCCTCTGGATAACATGTACTGAGTCTTTAAGATTCAGTTTTTGCAGCATGCTATCTTCAGTCTTTCCTAATATCCAGGCTGGTTTGGAAATCTTCCTTCGTACTTCTCTGTACCCCCCACCGTGTGCCATTTTATTACTCTGTTCTCACACTGCTAATAAAGACATACCTGAGACTGAGTAATTTATAAAGGAAAAAGGTTTAGTGGGCTCACAGTTCTACATGGCTGGGGAGGCCTCACAATCATGGCAGAAGACAGAGGAAGAGCAAAGGCATGTCTTACATGCAGGCAAGAGGGCCTGTGTAGGGGAACTTCCCTTAATAAAACTATCAGATCTCATGAGACTTATTCACTATCATGAGAAGAGCATGGGAAAAACATGCCCCTATAGTTCAATTACCTCCCACGGGGTCCCTTCCATGACATGTGGGGATTATTATAATTCAAGGTGAGATTTGGGTGGGGACACAGAGCCAAACCATATCAGCCATGGTCCAGGGTTTGCTTGCTATGGTTAAGACCGCTCCAAGAGTACAGGCTGTGTATCCCCAGGGCTGCTCACCAAACTTGACACTTGGGAGATGCTTAAGACATCATCCAAGTGTCAGGATGTGGCCTTATGTTGCTTAAGACAAACATTTGATTAAGTCTTTGTTTAACCAAATAAATGAACAATCAGTATTAGGTACTGATTTGAGCTATATTTAAATCCTCCCTTGGGGCATATTTCAATGTTGGGGAGGAAATCTTATCTCTTGATGTTCTAACTTAAAAGAGCTTCCACAGTTATTTGTGCAAGGGGTGTGTGTTTGTGTAATTACTAGTGCTAAATTTTCACCTTTATTGCTCAGAATATGTTTTCATCTTCAACTTTTTTTATCCTTGCAAAAATGCCCCTGTGGGTTTCTAAGAGATGCCTTATTTGAGATCCTGGAGAAGGCAGTGTAGTATTATGGAAAAAGTGTTTAAGTGTTGGGTTTCAATCTCAGCTCAGCCTCTTAACAGTTATGTGACTTTGGAGAAGCTCTTTAATATCTTTGAATATCAGTTTTCTCATCTTCAAAGGAAGATTAAGGATTGTTGGAAAGAGTAACAAATACATACAGAAAACCTTTTTTCCCAGAGCTCATACATAATACTCAATGAGTAGCTGTAATTATAATGCTGTGAAATTTCTCATTCCTAAGTGTATAGCTCTGAGTCTGAAATAAGAACTGAATTCAAATAATGTGCAACATCCTAGAATGTTAGATCGGGAAAAGATTCAGGATAATAAACTTGATACTTTCTAGATGAAGAGACTAGGTCTCAGAGAGATCAGTGACTTACTTGCCTGAGGTTTCAAAGCTAATCAGAACCAGTCTTGGGACTCAAGTCTTGGTCTTCTGATTCCAAGTGCAGTGTTCATTTTCTAATAGCCATTTTTAAAATTCTCAGTGACAGCCAACTCTATGTGCAGGGCCAGTTACTGAGAAGTCTGGTCAGTCTGTGACCCTGGCTTCCATCCATTACATTCCAGGGGCCAGTGCTCTCTTCTCTTACTGCTCATGTTGGTTATGATGTGTGTTGATCTAACCAAAGATATGTAACAATGAGAGTGAAAATACACGAAGGAGACGAAAACAAAGAAGTGCTTCTTGGCCAGAGAGTAAACATCCAAATATATTCTTCCTCTATATTTTGAACTGAAGGCCTTTTGAGACAGAGACACCATAAAGAGGATTTCAGTGGCAACACAGCTGTGTCTGCACTTCTTTTCTTCTTTACTCCTGCAGTGCTGAGCTTGCTAGGGTTTTCTTGGATGCTTTCTGCTACCTTGCCACTCATCAGTGTCACAGTGGAACTCTCTCACTTGACATCTCAGCGTGAAATTATTTACAGTGAGCTGATACTCATTGAGGTCCAGGCTGCACTTACAGAGAGAACTGACCATTTGACTGTGAGGATATACTGTTGACAGGACATATAGCAATGAGTCTAGAATGTAGGCCACTATGATGTGTGGCTTTGGAATATTGAATGAAAATGCACAGATTTCAAATTCTATTTTATTGCAGATGTTGGGATCGAGCAGTTATACTAGTATTCTGTAAGAATTTGCATAGGTCTTTATTTTTTTCTTTCAATAACTTAACAAGAATTCCACTTGGATAATATTTACAGTTTCCTAATTTTAATATTTTATTTTGCATGATAAGGGAGCATACAATACATAGACTTTATTAGTCTTTTGGGTTTTTTTCCACAAACAAGGACTTGAACTCTCACAGTATGTTAGTATGCTATTTATACAAATATTTTTATTATCATACAGGCATAGATTAATCTGCTGTTCTTAAAAACTTGTTAACTATCCCCCAATGGATATAGAATCCTTTGAATTACCCTTTGAAATTACTTTTTACTGTAAATTGCATGGATTTGTAATGATCCATATACCTGACTCATACAACTTCCTTCTAAAAGAATGTTTGTTTCCAACGAGGGTCTGTGAAGTTAAAGGTAGAGTCTAAAATCATGGGAGGAAATGAGAAAATAGGACTTTGAATGGCAGCCTGAAGCCCACTGTTTTAAGCATCTAATTCATCCAGCCAAAAAGTCTACTAAGGTACCACTGAAATATGATCAGGCCACCAAATCTTTATATTGTTTTTCTATTTTTTTCTCAATTTTTGTTTCATTTTGCGGGGGAACATGTGTAGGTTTGTTACTTGGGTATATTGCATGATGCTGAAGTTTGGGGTATAAATGATTCCATTACCTAAGCACTGAGGATAGTACCCAACACTGAGTTTTTCAATTATTCATCTACTGGGTGAAACAACAGGTGTAGTTTTTCTCTCCTTTTTCTTATATCTGACACCTGTGACCCCCTCCTCCTTTACCAACCACTGAAGAAAAAATCCACTGCCACTGCCTCTTCCTCCTCCTTCTTTTCATTTTTTTTTAAACTTTTTTATTTTTATTTTTTAAGAGATGGCGTCTCACTCTGTTGCCCAGGCTGGAGTGCAGTGGCATGATCATAGCTCACTGCAGCCTCAGACTCCTGGACTCATGCAACCCTCCCACCTCAGCCTCTCAACCAGTTGGGACTAGAGGTGCATGCCACTAAATCTGGCTAATTTTTTAATTTTTATTTTTGAAGAGACAGGGGTTTCACTATATTGCCCAAACCGATCTCCAACTCCTGGCCTCAAGTGATCCTTCTACCTTGGCCTCCCAATGGGCTGGGATTACACATGTGAGCCACTGCACCCAGCCTTCTTTTTTTAAAGCACATTTTTGTTCAATTAATTACCCTTGAAAGGTCTTGTTATTTCTTTTACTAACCTTTAGTTCCTGATAGCCTGCAATTTTTATTCCATTTTGTATAGTCATCTTTGTATTTATATCTTTTCTTGTAAGTTGCTCCAAGACTAATCTTTTTTTCATATATAATTTAGGTACTAAATACCTACTGTTTCATTTAAGCAGAATGAATAGAGTATATCCTCTGAATACTTTTATTCGTGGTCTTTAAAGAATAGAAGAATAGATATGCATCTTTAAAGCTTTAAAAACTGTTATTTTTATTTTAAGGTAAAGAACAGATGTTGTAGGTGTCTGGGACATTATTACATTCACGCCTCCACTTTCAGTACCCTTAGTATGATAAAAAAATAATAAGGGAGCATAGACATCTATATACCACTCTCTTTACTCTCTAGGGCATCTGTATGACCATAATATGACATTTTAGCTAATAAGCTAGAACTAATTCATTCAAATGAGTGGTGCCCCCTTCAAAGTTGTCACCTTGGGAAAATACACATAAATTCCATTAATGCAGCCTTGTTCAAACAACATTTTATAACTCCCTTTTTGAAATAACCTTGAGAATCTGAGAATGTCCTAATTAGTGGCAAATTGATATACTTTTTTGAGGATGGGCTTGTTTTTTGGAACTAGCCAAATGTCATGTAGGAGTAAAATTGGATGGGTAATTTGATCATTAGTGGTATAATATCATCAATGGTCTAAAAAGATATTTGACTCTAAATAAATGGCACTGATTCTCAGGACATTCCATATAGAGTTATAGTAATTTTTTTTATCAATGACAGTGTCATTAGAGTAAGTGGGTAGTCAACTAAGGTGACTATTTTGAAGGCGGTTACCTATTTGATAGAAAGGCTCTGGTATGTTTGTTAAATTAAAAATACGACTTAGACTCACAATTTCTAAAACTTCCTTCATCTTTGTAAAGTCTGGTATTATGTAGCATTAGGTCAAAAGGATCCTTCATTTGGCTAGGAGAGAGGCAACGGTCTCAGCAGGACCAAGAACTAGACTCCACCCTTCTTTCAACTTCATAACACGTGATCTTGGCTTTCTTTGGCTGTGTGGTTGCAGGAGTCTCTTTTCTATCATCTTTCATTGTGTTGTTTTCCCACATGGGTTTCTTTGCTTCTTGTATTTTTATTTTTCTAAACAAGTAGAAAGGATTGAAACTGAAGACAGACAGCTTAATTGAGACAGCTGGGACAGGGCAGTTTGTATTAATGAGAAAAATGTTTCACTACAAATGAAACTGCTCTTTTTAAGCATACATGAAAAACATACTTGTTTTTTCTTTGCAAATGGAAGTCTGTCAATCTGCTTAAATTTCTGATAAAAATAAATTATACATTTATAAAATTATAAATTATAAACATCTTACCAATCTTTTTAGATAAAATACATGATTTTCCTAAATATGTTAACATTACATTTCTCCCTTGGTGCCACCTCATTTGTGTGACAAACACAGTTTGACATGGCACAGAAGAATTCAGCAGTGACTCTTGCTGAATTATCACAAATCTTTAATTAAAGGTGCCTATATTTTGAGGATGTTACTGAGGCGTACTTACTAAATACTGTTAATCCATGACTTTGATGTTCATTGAAAAACTTACTGTGTCTGGTATCAACCTCATTTCATCTTCATTTTAAACACCTGGGTATTGTAACCGGATCCTTGAAATGACAAAAATATCTTGATATTTTGTTTCAAGTTTGCCACTATTTCTCATTCATCTTTTTGTATTTTCTCATATGCCTCATAATAAGAAGTTTGCTTTAAGTGGATGGCAGAGGCATTTTTGATATGGTATTTGCTAAGTATTTCTTCAACAACTTGCCTAGATTCAAGGTGCAACATCCTCTAAAAAATGGAGAAAAAACCCTTAATTTGACTCCTTTAGTATATAAATAACTGCAGGAGAGAAGTATCACAACACACAATTGCATGGGGAAAGCGTATTTGAATCATTGGGATAAGATAGATTTCATTAATAAGACTCAGAGTCAAAACTGGCATTACATAAACAGAAATACAATTCCACTTTCCATGCCAGCAAACTTTGTCGTATAAGCTGGTTGTGTGTCTCACATTTTCAAAATTCTGACGTGTTCTATTTCTGAAGAAAACCGTGGGTTCTGCCTTTCCACTGAAAGCATTTATCTTCTCCCCATTTGGGTTGCTCGTGATTTGGTTAAGTCTTGCATAGCTTGAAAATCTAACATTTTTGCTTCACTTTAGATAATATTTCTGGATGTTTGGATCAGGATGTCAAAATTCCCTTTATTCCATTCTCCAAGTTCTAGCTTTAATTCCTTTATCATGCTGCAGTTCATGCTTATTAGGTTTCCCTTGGACCTTTATTCAAAAGGTAATACATCAGATACACAATGTGCCAAGCTTCTTTGCATACTGAAAACAAATGTATGCTTTGGTGTTTGGAACAAGATATAATACATACATACACAAACATATTTGAAATCTAAGTGTCTACTTCAGGCCTTCCTTTAAAGGAAAGCAGAAAGTAGATCACGGTGGGGATAGAGATGGGGTGGGGGCAGATAATTGAACTTTCCAAGATCAGTACTTAACATAAAAATTTCATCACAATCTTTATCATCTTGCAGTGGTTGCAGAAAAGGCCTAGGCTCCCTCCACCTTTAACTTCCTAAAGTCGCCTATTTTACCTTCAAATCTGATGAAGTGTCAAAGTCATTTACCAGTAATGAGTTCTGCTGCAAATTTTATTTTGCTTGGAATTTAATTAATGGGCCAAAGACTTTCCATTGTGATTTGAGCAAATGAATAATAAATCAAGAAAGGAGATTTGTCAAGGAAGGAACATCTGTTTCTTACAAGCGTTACAACATGACTACAGCTTGGCTGTGCATTACCAGCACAAAGACAGTAGGAGTCCTCTCCGGTGGAGCTCTCTTCATTTATTGCTCCACTGAAGGTGAACAGAGAGCACTCTAATGGGCCTCTGGTGTTAATAAAAGCTTTGCGCTTCTCCAGTTTGGCTGTAGCCTCTTCCTTTAGGGTGCTACTGTCCTTAGTACATGGTTTGTTGAGCCACGTCAGGATTCTGCAGCGTCAGTACTTTATTGGATGATTAATAAGGGAAAGACAAATTCATAAGCAGAAACAATATGAAATTACCATCATATTAGTGTTCACTGTCATGCTTTTTATTTTGGGGGGTTTGTAAATGAGATCGTGATTGAAGTTAAGTACTTTGACTTGCACTGTCAAAAAGCAAAAATAGGTCACCCGAACTGTTGGGCTTTGTCTAGTTAACCAATAACAGACTATCTATAGGAGTGTGACTTTTGTAATAGTGCCAGAGCATGTGGTCGATGGTTAAAAAGAGGAGAAGAATTAGTCTATCCACCAAGGTCTGCTCTGGTTGGGGAAAAAGAGAGACACAGTAGTGCTTTCTCTGCTATTTATTGCTGGAACACACTTTGCTCCTATAGACAAAGGAGGTTTAAGCGCCCACCAGGTAGGAATAAATCGCCTTATGAAAATTTGCACTGCAGGGTTCATGATGACCCTTGTGTAATGTTTATAATGTATGCAGAACAGTAATGGGCGCTAATGTCATGCAGAAATAACACCGGGTCCTACATGTTACCCTTTTTAAAAAACCTTTTTTTGAAGGCTGGTAAGATGATAAGAAGAATTTCCAATTTTATGATTTTTTAATATGTCTCTGGAATACACCTTAGAGGAATGTTTCCCTGATGAACCGAGTATTTCCCATCATTAGAATAATGTGCAGCCCCCCAAACAGTTCTTTCCAGCATCCTGCACAACGCTGCTCTGTTTGATATGGCATCCTTCATGCAATTTCTGTCTGAAATAGCTCTATAGAGTGAAAGTAAAAAATAGATCTATCAGCTGTGGGAGAGAAAGACAACATGAAAACAGAGAAAGGGGTTATTTTGGACAGGATTTAGTAAGTACTGAGTCAACAAGATGGGTTGGGATTGCTCCCATTTTTCAATGTCTGGGAATCAAGAATATAAATCTATCTCGAAAACCAGCATACTGAAAACCCTATTAACAGTTTCCCCCACTCGTTCCTTTTCAACATAAAAGAGTAAAATTTTAATTCATCCCAGGAAAGCATTGCCACATAAAATACAAAACGTTCTGTTAAATTTAAGTAAATAGCTGATTTTGTTTTTAGTATAAGTATGTCCCATATATTGCATGAGACATCCTTGTACTAAAAAATATTCATTGTCTATCCAAAATTCAAATGTAACCAGGCAATCTGTATTTTATGTGCTAAATCTGGCTACCTTACTCCAGGGACATTTCATATTATAAACATCAAAATTTCAAATGACCAACACATTATCTTCTGATTGCAGTGACTTAAAACATTAAGACTGGTTTGATTGCTAAGATTTTAAAAATAATTATTGAATTTGAATAAATAATTTTGAGATACATTTGAAAGTCAAATATCTATTATATAATTTAGAGATTAATGTAAATTATATATTAAAGTAAATTGTATAATACCATTATATGTTACTTTAAATATTCATATATATGAATTATATATTATATATAATATGATATATAAAATCATATTATATATGATATATAAAATCATATTTTATATATTATATATTATGTATTATACATATGAATCTCTAAAGTAAATTGTATAATAGATATTTGAAAATACTTTGTCCACTCTCACACTTCATGCCAGTCTTATTCAAACTCTTCCTCACATCTTTGACATCAGTGTCTTTATCACCACTGAGCCTCATTTGTCATCACAATTTTACAGTGGCTTCCCTTGCACTTTCTTCTTAGCTGTTTGAGATATAACACCTTTACATTTATATATGGTAGTGGCACTAAAAATATTATCCCAAGCCATGATGCCTATTCATATTATATTTGGATAGATTTTGGTTTTCTGTTCATCACAAATGCACATTTGTGTTTTTCACAGCATGACTGTTCATGGTGTTGTTTTAAAGTGATCTCTAAAAGACTTGATTACAATGGCAGCCAATACTTGTAACTGTACTCTCAGAATAACTACTAACCTGTGTTATATTTCTTAATATTTGTTTTTTCTTAAGCCAGTTCTAGCAACAATATTAACTGGTGATTTAGGGCTGTTCAGTTTTTTTCCCCAAATGATATGTTACTTTTGAAAATGAAGTAATTGAGAGTAAACCCCTTGGATATAAGAAAGTTCCTAGGGCCTCAAATATAAGGTGAACCACTGTTTTCTGAGGAATAATTTTTGGAACATCTCTTGCCTTGTAATTGGGCATATGACAGAACTGTGCCCATCACAAGAACTTGCCCATGTATTTTGCAATCGGAAGTTATCAAGGTCGCTTCTGGAGCTAACTGACAGTCCTTTTGAGCCTCATAGATATAGCTCTTCCCCTTTTTTTTTCTGAGTCACAGGAAACAAGGAAGACCTTCTTATTTGGATGTATATGTAGTGGGACCTCGGAAACTGGGAATTCATCTAGGCATGGTCAGGAACAAAACAATTAATCAAGGTAAAGGGAACAGAGTTATAAGCATATTATACTTCTGTGACTCCATCTTCCTTAATTGTCTAGGTAAATTATATATTTAAGTGAGGGTAAGAGTTCTTGTATTTTATTTTATATTTGAACATTTGATATTAATTAAATGATCAAGCTCATGTGGTATATTAGTCACCAAATTCTGGACATTAACCTTTGGTTTAGTGTAATTAAACTGTGTGTGTCTGCATACCATGAGCATCTAGACACAGGTACTTATGGCATGGCTTTTTTAAAAAGCATTATAAAGGAAATTTACTTCTCAAATGTAAACCCAGCTTTAGTTTCATATTCCTAAGGCTAAAATGAATTTATTGGACTACTCTTTAAAAGTAATTCAGATTCTTTAATTCCTAAGAAACTAGCAACTCTCAGGGCTATACAATATAAAGTTGCAGAAGCAGGTACCATACTCTATAGAAAACAGCTGCCCCAAAAATGCATGTTGAATGAATTAACTGAGAAGTTAAAAAAAAAGACTGAAATGATTTTTTGCTTCAAGAAACACTTCCCCACCTACCCTCAAATTGATTACATAGAAATATAGTGAAGGTAGCTGTTTTATGTCAATATTCTCACACAATCATCAAAGTTGATCAATTCTCCTCAGTCTGTCCTATCTTGTTTCTATCTCAGTCTGCCTGTGTGAACCTACCCTTAAAATCAGTCTAGACTTTCCATATTTGAAAATGGAGGACTTAAATACCATAATTGATGATGTCATTTTCAATGTGATGCCACTGAAACAGCTCACTCATAAAACGCCTCATTTCTACTTAGTCTTTGCCACGGGATAGTGCCCTAGAGGGACATATCAGAGTCACCTGAGGAACTTTTTCCAACCTCCTCCCTTTACCTAGAGCTGAACAGGCCCCTCTCCCCTTGAGAATTATTCTAACTGATGGGGGGGGGGGGGGTGGGTGTTGTAACCCTCAGGTGGGTTGGGGTAGAAAATAATTTGAAAGCAACCAATCAAATGAAAAGCCAAACATCTGGCCAATTATTAGCTATTTTCCATTATGTTGATGTAGATGTTATGTGAGCAAACATTCAGATAACAGAATTTTCTCCAGAATCCAGTACTTGTCATCATATAAATGCTGCTTTAGGCTCAATGGATTCTGTGGGATAATATATTTGTTTTCTTTTCTACAGACACACAGAAATGTTAACAGCCTAACAGTGTTTTTTAATTTTTATTTTTTAATTTTCTGAGAGAGTTCAAATGTGGTAGGCAGTAAAAGTTTTTCCCGTGTTCTGAAAACATTTTTTTAATGAACCTCTAACAATTATGAAGAAATTTCTGTTCATGAAACAGAGTCTTTACATAAGAGGATATGATTTGCATGCAATTCTACCAATCAAAATCACATTGCCTAACTTGTTTAGTCATCTGGGCAGAATTATGGCCATCCTTCACACTTTAAATTGGTAAGACTTGCCAATTTCCTGTGTCTTGGCCATCAGAGTTCCAAGATTTCATTCAAATTAGTACATTCAGAAAGTATTTGTCACTGAACTCCCACCCTCTCGAGACAGGAACAGCCAGCTACACGTTGGCCTCACTCAAGAGGGTAAAGACTGTGCCTGGCCGGGAGATGCTTTAATTAGGTAATGAGGTGGTGTTCAGCCCCTCTCTCTAAAACAAGGGTGGTTACATTTTAGATTACTCGTCTTGTTTATTTCATTATGGATTCAGATCAATTTGTCTGAATTCAATACAATACACATACATAATTTTTATGTTTGATTTCAACAAAATAACCATTTATAGAGGGAGGATGAGATTGAGTCTGTGAAAGAAGTTCTCTATATATGATGGCAAAATTTGGTCTAATAGAATATTCAGCTGTTGACCAAGTCATTTTTGTAAAGCTCATCTTTGATGGGAATTATAACTGTACGAACAGAGAAACAATTCTCTGTCTGACAGGAGATCCAAGCACAGTGTGATGTTTACTAAGATTTTCCCAATCAGTCATGGCAGTCTGATTCCAGACCACACCTACTGTGAGAAGGGGAAATGTTTGAAACTTCAGTCTGCATGTTCGCATCTAATGGTGAGGAAGGGAATACAGTCATTTAAAGAGCTGGGGGCAGAGGGAAGGAGGGCAGATAGACCTATACTTATGGATGAATTAAGAAATCCTTCCCTGCTTTTCCAAAGTAGCAAGAGTTACTACATTCCAGCCCCTTTTCTCCTCATCAGAGAATTTACACTTACTTGCTTTCTGTTTGCTTGTAACACTCTCCCTGCACCGTCTTCTATCCTTAACTTCTATGGCTGGTTTCTTCTCATTATTTAGGTCTTAGCTTACACTCCAGTGGATAGGCCATTGCTCCCAGATAGATGCAGTCTCTCTTCAACCAACTACCCCCTCACAATTGCTGCTACTACATCCTGATAATTTCTTTTGTTATATTTGCCACTTAAATATCTTCTCTTCCAGGTGTTCCATTCTATTCCCTTTACCTGAAACCACTAATGTCTGGTATATTTCAGAATTTAGATTAGTATTTTTTTTTTTTGAGACGGAGTCTCGCTCTGTCACCCAGGCTAGAGTGCAGTGGTGCAATCTCAGCTCACTGCTAGATTAGTATTTTTAAAAATAAAAGGTATTTAAATATATATATATATTTAGATTTAATTTACATTAATATTTACATTTTTAAATGTATTCATTTAAAACAACAAAAATCTAAATTCTAAAAATATGAATGACATAACCACATGTACAATATGACATGGTACATCATTATTTTAAAGAGCCTGGCACAGTACCTTGTAATCAAGCACATTAATATTTCTGTATAGTAAAACATACAAATATTCCCACCAAATGGGATGGATAGACAAATAAATAATGCTTTATTTTAATACAAATTAGGTTTTACTGCTAAAGGGGTTAAAAAAATACTTTTCAGAGTCTTTGTGATATCAAAATAATTGATGAGGGATGATGACTTGTCTATATGTATTTGTTTATTCGTTCATAGTCTGTGACCACACTAGCCTATAACTTTCATCAGGGCAGGGACCAGCCTATTTGTTCATCACGTACCTGGCTCTGTTCCTGGTTATGACAGGCATTCAAAAGACATTTATTAGATGAATGATTAATTTTTTCCCCAAATGAGTCTTGGCTTGTTCTTTGTGCTCACATGAAATACTGTAGCCATGATTAAATGTCACCTGTAGACTTCCACAGAAATCATCCCATCTATTTGTTGTCTTGCCACAGAATGCACAGAACTGGAATATATGTCAATAGAAACCAATTTATCTTCATTTTGGCAGTAGGAGGTATTAGTACCCATCCTTGTCTTTTGTACCCAAACAACTACAATCAGAATTCAAAATGGCAATATTCAAGTAAGGGAGTTATCCCCTGTATCATCAAAGAAACGTTGAGTAGTATTACTTTAATGTTATTCTTTTTTAAAATTAGCAGTCCTTAAATAATATAAAGGGCATTGTTCAGAATGTTCATGTATAAGTTAGGTTCTTGAAATGTAGAAATATTTTTTCAAGGAAAGAGAAAAGAGTTGGAAAGGGAAACTGAGTAAAAGAGAAAATAAATTTGTGAAAATGTTAGCCTTGGTGAATCTAGGTAAAAGGTAAGGTATATGCAGCTCCACTGTACTGTTTATTCCTTTAACTATTCTGTAACTTTCTAATGTTCCAAAATTAAAGGTTGGAGGGCCGCTGTGGTGGCTCATGCTTGTAATCCCAGCACTTTGGGAAGACGAGGCAGGCGGATCACAAGGTAAAGAGATCGAGACCGTCCTGGCCAACATGATGAAACCCTGTCTTTACTAAAAATACAAAAATTAGCTGGGCGTGGTGGTATGTGCCTGTAAGTCCAGCTACTTGGGAGGCTGAGGAAGGAGAATCACTTGAACCTGGGAGGCAGAAGTTGCAGTGAGCCGAGATCAGGCCATTGTACTCCAGTCAGGTGACAGAGCAAGACTCTGTCTCAAAAAAAAAAAAAAAAAAAAAAGTTGGGGACTATATACAATAGAATCAAACACAATAGAGTAATTAGAAATAAATTATAAACTTAACAAAGAAATGTAAGAGTAGTAAACTGAAAACTATAAGACATTGTTGAAAGAAATTAAAGATCCGAATAAGTGGACTAATATTCTATGTTTCTGATTGAAAGACTTAAAATTGTTACTATTGCAAACAATACTCCCCAAATTGATTTACAGATTCAATGCAATACCTGTCAAAATTTTAAAATTTGCAGGAGTCCCAGAGTAGCCAAAATGATCTTGAAATGGAAGAACAAAGTTGGAGGATTCTCACTTCCTGATTTTAAACTTATGTAAAGCTACAGTGATAAAGACAGCGTGATATTTGCAAAAGAATAGACACGTAGATCAATGGAATAAAAGCAAAAGTCCAGAAATTAACCCATAGATCTATGGTTATCTGGTTTTCAACAAGGATGCCACGATCACTCAATGGTGAAAGCATAGTCTTCACCAAATGATGCTGGGACAACTGGATATTCATTTGCAAAAGAATAAACTTGAATCCCTACTTTCTATCATGTGTAAAAATTAACTCTAAATGCATCAAAAACTTAAATGTAAGCTAAAGGTATAAAACTCCGAAGAAAACATGAGTATAAATCTTCATGACCTTGGAATAGACAATGGTTTCTTAGATATGACACCAAAAGCACAAGCAACCAAAGAAAAAGTATATATATTGGACTTCCTCAAAATTGAAAATGATTATGCATCAAAAGACAATACCAAGAAAGTGAAACAACAACCCACAGAATGGGAAAAAATATGTGTAAATCATATACCTAATAAAGTTCTGGTATTCAGAATATATAAAGATTTCTTACAACTCAACAACAAAAAGACAAACAGGCAACTGAAAAATGGACAACAGATTTAAACAGATATTTCTCCAAAGAAGATACACAAATGGCCAACAAGCACATGAAAAGGTGCTTAACATTGTTAGTCATTAGGGAAATGTATATTAATGTCACAATGAGATACCACTTCATACCCACAAGGATGGCTAAAATCTTTTTTTAAAAAAAGGAAAATAAGAAGTGTTAGTGAGGATGTGAAAAAATTGGAAACCACATACATTGCTAGTGGGAATGTAAAATAGTGAAGATGCCATGAAAAACAGTCTGGTAGTTTCTTAAAAACTTAAACATAGGCTTCTCATATGACCCAGTAATTTCACTCCTAGGCAAATATCCAAGAAAAGTGAAAACATATGTTTATGAAAAAAGTTGTACACAAATTGTTGATAACGGCATTATTCAAGATGGCTACGAAGTGGAAACAACCCAAATGTTCCTCAGCTGATGAATGGAGAAGCAAATTGTGGTATATCCTTATAATGAAATGTTATTTGCCCATAAAAGTAAGTAAAATACTGATTTGTGTTATAATATGGACGAATCTTGAACATGTACTAAGTGAAAGAAACTAGGTTCAAAAGGCCACTTACTGTATGATTTCATTTATATAAAATGTCCATAATTGGCAGATCAATAGAGACAGAAAGTGGATGAGTGCTTTCCAAAGGCTGGGGGTGGTTTGAGGGTGGGGAGCGGCTGCTAATAGGTACGGGGTTTCTTTTGGGGGGTGATAAAAGGGTTCCAAGTATCCAAGATTAGATAAATTGTGGTGATGGTTGTGCAACCCTAAAGTATACTAAAAACTACTTAAGAGTAGAAATGAAACTTCAGAAACTTTAAAGAGTGTTGAGAGGCTGGGTGCAGTGGCTAACGCCTGTAATCCCAGAACTTTGGGAGGCTGAGGTGGGTGGATTGCTTCAGCCAGAAGTTTGAGAACATCCTAGGCAACATGCAAAACCCTATCTTCACAAAACAAAAAAATACAAAAATTAGCCAGGCGTGGTGGCGCCTGGTCCCAGCTATTTGAGAAGCTAAGGTGGGAGGATCACTGGAGCCTGGGAGGTGAAGGCTGCAATAAGCTGAGATGGCACCACTGCATTTCAGACTGGGCAACAGAGTGACACCCTGTCTCAGGAAATAAATAAATAAATAAACAAATAAAGATGAGGGAGAAAAGCCTGAAAGAGTAGTGTAAAATGCAAAGCATAATGACATAGATATAAAACAAAATAAGAGGGCAGACACAGAGAATGAAGAATGAATACTCCTACCAAGTATTATAAATATGCATCTTCCTAGGAGTTAGGATCCTATACTGTGCCTCAATTGTTAGGAATAACTTTGCTTATTAAGCTTCTGAAATCAATGAAGGAAGCAACAACTCTTTCTTGTCCACCACTATGTCCACCCTGCCCTAACACAGGGTATGATGATACATAATAGGTACTCAACAAACAATTGTATAATTAACAAATTAACTAATTATATTCCAGAGGGATAGATCAGAAAGATAGAACTAATCACAGTTATAATAGAAAACAATTCCAAGCTCAATAAATACCAATCTAAAATTGTAAGGGATGTTTAAAATCTAGGTAATTTTGATTTCTTTTAATCAAACTATCATATTTCCTAGTATACCCATATACTAGGAAAAATTTTGAATTTTAAGAATAATTGCAATAATAACTGTAAGCATCCAAATAGAAAAGCTAGGTTTCCATAAAGAAACTGGCTTCAGACTTCTCTTCTACCACATTCAATGACAAAAGATGATAGGGAAACAGATTGCCACTTACGAATTAAATAGCAAGCCAACTTATCACTCATGTGCTAAGCCAAAAAGGCTCTCAGCTTAAGAAGGGCTCAAAAATATGCCACTTTTATACCTTGTCTAAGAAGAAATACCATAAAGATAAACTCAAGCAAAATGAAAAATGAATTAAAGCATCAGAATGGTATAACATAAATGAATGGTGATTAAACAGAGCTAATGCATTATTACAATAAACAATAAGTAGAGGCCTGGTGCAGGTCATGGGAGGATCACTTGAGCCCAGGAGTTCGAGACCAGCCTGGACAGCATAGTGAGATCCTGTCTCTACAAAAAAAAAATTTCAAAATCTCCAGGGTGCAGTGGCACACTTCTGTAGTCCCAGCTACTTGGGAGGCTGAGGTGGAAGGAGTGCTTGAGCCTAGGAGGTTTAGTCTGCAGTGAGCTATGGTGACATCACTGCACTCCAGCCTGGGCGACAGAGCAAGACTCTTTTTAAAAACAAAAAAATGAAAACAAAACAAAAAAACCCCAGTAATTATAAGTATCGTTAACAAATTTAATGCAAATATCCAGAAATGTTTACTGAGAGAGATGATACTAGACTAGAATGTTTCTGAAGGTTTTTCATGTTATGGCAGAGAAAATTCTGTTTCTACAACACACTGGCATAAATGGATGAGCCTGCCAGCAGCCGCAGGCCCCACTGAGTAGCTCTGTTAGCTGAGGGAGTCAACATCCGGGCACACCTGTAGCCAGCGTACCCATTGTACATAGATTTAGATTTAGCTCTCACCGAGTTGGAAAACCAATGGAGTTTTTAATAACAAGTAAATGGTAGGAGAAAAAAATCACAAAACAAATCTGAATAAAAAGTATGCTTTCAATTTGGCTATAATTTACATAATTGGCATACACACATTCACAGGAATGTTAATATATTATCTAGGTGGTAGGAGAGATTTTTTAAAATACTTTTCCTTATTTTCCAAATAGTCTACAAAGAGTTTTTTAATAATCCCCAAAATAGTACACATTTTTCATAGTTTCCAAAATAAAACCCAATAAGGGTTTTAAAAACAAAAGCTGTCTTGGCACTAAATACTGACAGATTAATGAAACAGAATAGCCTTGGGTGTGTGATACTAATTCTAATATGTATGTGTGAGTACAAATAAAAATGTGTAAATATATAAATAAAAGAAATAAGACTCCAAATATGAGCTGGGTGTGATGGCTGGTGGTTATCAGCCCAGCTACTTAGGAGGATACAGTGAGAGGATATCTTGATCCTTTGAGCCCAGAAGCTTGAGACTAGGCTGGGCAGCACAGTGAGGCCCCAGCTAAAAAAAGAAAAAAGAAAAGAAAAAGAAGCCAAATACATAACTATGTTAATAGACATGGTGTTTGCAATGTGATATATCCATTAATTTAAATAAGGGGTATTATAATAATTATTATTTTATCTATAATATCATTAGTCATTATAATTTCCAAATGTACCTTAACTTCTTGTTTTTTTTTTTTTTTTTTTTTTGGAGATGGAGCCTTACTCTGTTGCGCAGGCTGGAATGCAGTGGCGTGATCTTGGCTCACTGCAACCTTCACCTCCCAGGTTCAAGTGATTCTCCTGCCTCAGTCTCCCAGGTAGCTGGGATTACAGGCACCTGCCACCACTTCCAGCTAATTTTTGTATTTTTAGTAGAGACAGGGTTTCACCATATTGCTCAGGCTGGTCTCAAACTCCTGGCCTCAAGTGATCTACCCTCCTTGGCCTCCTAAATTTCTGGGATTACAGGTGTGAACCACGCTCCTGGCCGTACCTTAACTTGTTTTTTTGTTTTGTTTTTGTTTTTATTGCTGTGTTGCCCAGGGTGGACTCGACCTCCTGGGCTTAAGCAATCCTCCTGCCTCAGCTCCCCCTACTTTCAGCATTTCAGCTTTTCTTGGCATTTGCCTTTGTAATTATGTCTGAAAGTCATCCCCCAACTTTCCCCACTTCCCAGGCAGCTAGTCTGTGGAACTAAGTGTCTTAGTATTGAACTCCTCAGCTGCTCATTTAATGTATTTTCCTTAGAAAAGTTACTGTCTGCTTCTCATTGATCCTAATGGGTGCATCTTCTGTCTCATTCTGTCCTAATTCACTATTTAATTTGCTCAGCTTTAATTTTTGTTATTCTCTGAGCAGCAGGAGAAAAAGCAGCTCTGTAGTTATGAGAATTCTGTAGAACTAATGTCTGGCTGTACCAATGAGGGATTTATATATTTTTGAATCACTCCTGCTTGTGTCTCCTCTTCTGCATTATGAAGGGTAATTTAACCAGCAGCCACAACAGACAAACTGACATCTTGGTGGCTGAACATACTAAAAGTTGTATGTTACAGTCTCATACTGCACTTCCTCATTTCTTTTTCTTTTCTTTTTTTTTTTTTGAGATGGGGTCTCGCTCTGTCGCCAGGCTGGAGTGCAGTGGTGTAATCTTGGCTGACTGCAAACTCTGCCTTCCGGGTGCAAGCGATTCTCCTGCCTCAGCCTCCCAAGTAGCTGGGACTACAGGCTCATGCCACCACCCCCAGCAAATTTTTGTATTTTTAGTAGAGACGGGGTTTCACCATGTTGGCCAGGATAGTCTCAAACTCTTGACCTCGTGATCCGCCCACGTCGGCCTCCCAAAGTGCTGGGGTTACAGGTGTGAGGCACGCGCCCGGCCCTTCCTCATTTCTTAGCTACACAATCTGATGCTTGTGGCCCCAAGGTTACTGAGGAAAGGAAAGAGAGAGCTGAGACTCAACAAAATGTTTTTAGGGCCAGACCTGGAAGTGACTTATGTAATATCTGTCCACACTTCATTAGCTACAATTTAGCCCACAGCAACTTAACTGCATGGCAATCTGGGAAATGTAGTTTTGCTGCGTGTCCTACGTGATGCCTGACTTTGTCAGCTTCTTGTGATGCTGTCTCCACATTTTCTTTCTTTCAGCCTAACAAAATATTGAATGCATGTCAAAATGCTTTTTGTCACTAGTGTTATAGGACAGGGTAGCTCAAATATTTGCTGTGATTATGAACAATAATCCAGCTATCTTGATTTCATACTCTAATACATTAGACAACATGTAAAGTGAAAACAAAATGTTTATATTATATATATATATATATATATATATATATATTTGCTTTTGCAAACCTATGTAATTATTGGCACTTTGGGACTTATTGGCAAATATTTCTAACTGATTATGTTAAATTTCCTAACCCAACATTTGAGGTGAGAAGGCCACAGGCCTCCTATTCAGTGCACAGACCTCCTATGCAGCAGGAACTCAATAAACATTAGTGGATTATATAAATCCACTTTGTCATCTACTTTGGGAAGGTGGTAGTTGAGGCAGAAAGAAAGAAGCTTTTGGATTCCTGGTGTCTTCTGTGCCGTTCATTCTCTTGACCACTGGGGCAGAATGTAAGTTTAAATGTATCTACTTTGTGTCTCTTCCCTCCTTTCTCTCTCCTTTATTTTTTTTTTCTCCAAGCCCAAATGTAGGTATGATGGGATAAGGGGCAGTAAATAGCTTAGCAAGGGCAGGCAGAGGGGTTTGGAGGAAAGAATAAAGAGGGCACCTACACATTCACATAACTAAATTCATAAATTATAGACTCAAAGCTGAGAGTTGAGCTATTTTTTAGGTATTATAGGAAGTAGGAACAATGTCAATTTCACATTTTGCCAGTATCTGAGATGGTGAAAGCATTGCTCTTCTGTTTTTAGTTGACACCAGATTGACAATGTTCTAATTCCTTAGAAGTCAGGCCGTTTTTCTCTTTATTTTTAATGTCTTGTAGAAATAAGAGAACAATTCATGAAAAAACAGCAATAAAGAACAATTTATTGGCTGGGCGCAGTGGCTCATGCCTATAATCCCAGCACTTTGTGGGGTGGAGGTGGGAGGATCCCTTGAGCCTGGGAGTTCAAGACCAGCCTGGGTAACATAGTGGGACCCTGTCTCTAAAAAATATTATTAAAAAATTAGCTAGGTATGGTGGTGCACACCTGTGGTCCCAGCTACTTGAGAGGCTGAGGTGGGAAGATTGCTTGAGCCTGGGAGGTTGAGGCTGCAGTGAGCTGTGATCATGACACTGTACTCCAGCCCGCGTGACTCTGTCTCAAAAAAAAAAAAAAAAAAGAAAGAGAGAGAACAATATATTCAAATTTTCAATGTCTCCTTTCTGAGTAATTGCAAATATATATTTCACATATATGCAGACTGGAAGCCATTAATAGAATTTCACTGGTAAACCTAAACATTCCCAATGTAAGGTTTCATAGAAAACATCAAAACCACTCTGTTCCACTTTGGGTTCCCAGCCAAAATTAATTAGGGTCTCATCAAGAGAAGCACTCACCTTGACTTTCAATGAGCCATAGATAAATAATGAACTAAGTTTCAGTTGACAGTAAAAGGGCTTTGCTTAAAGGGAAAAGAAGGTTTAATACTTGGTTTGGGGACAGCCACCTACAGTGTGTCTCTGTAGTTTTTTTTTATTTTCTCTTAATATCTCTCTGTAAAGCTTCATCATCGCCCTCTGACATGTCAAAAGAGAACACGGGCCAAAAACATAACTATGTTTAGATAAAGAGAAGTTTGGGGTTGCATTTCGCCTTTGAGAACAATGTTATATGAGACAACCAATCTTTTATAACAAACCATCCCTAGAGGCCACTGTGGGAAACAAGCACTGGGAAGAATGAGCTATGGGTCTGGATCATTTGGCACTGGGATTTCGATCACAGAATCATCTTTTTTCCTCTGACCTCCAGATGCCAGTTCTCATCTCCCCATTATATGTATTTCATTGTACCTCATGCATGGACTTTGATTTGAGCTTAGAACAGTTCCTGTTGAGACACCTTTTAATTATAGTGCGAAACATTTATTCAGGCAAGGAAGTCTTTACTGCAGTTTTCATACTTCACAAAACTGAGCTAAAACTTATCTGTTTGGATGAAAACTTAAGCAGTGGGCAAGAAACATTGATTCTCCAGGCCAAGACCACGTAAGACAGATATTCTTGATCTGAGTGAGAAGTTTGTGGGTTTGGAGTTATTATTTCTCTTTCAACCATGTCCTATTTGGAAGAGGATAACAATGCCCAACAGATCTTTTGTTTAGGGCTTCTTATATATAGTAAAATACTGTAATTTAACAGCTTGCTGGGGGAACAAGAATTTGTTCCAGTTCCTGATTTAAATGTTTATGCTAATTGCTATTTATTGGCCCAGATGCAAATGATAGGTTGGCCAAAGTGAAATTTTATGACGAGCAAACTCCCCCGTTTTGTGCAAATTGAAAAAGTGAAACAAGAGGAGGATGAAATGAGCCGAAGATGGTCTTAATGGCTGCTTTTTAATGGGGAAGATAAAATTAAGACTGATTTACGTGGCCAACTCCCCTGTTTTCTCTTATCAGCTCATTTGGCAGGAAAAATGGAAAAGTAATTGTTCCTCTTTCAATGTGGGCCTCAAACCATTATTTATTGGCTGAAATTAATCGCTGTTTATCCTTCATTCACGTGGAAACCGCTCTATCAGCATTATGAACCCCAGCAACTCAACTAGTCCCTTGCAATTTTGTCGACAGCAAGCTTGGATCCTGATGAGGCGTGCCTTAATTTTCTGGGCTGTGGGAGTTAATGAAGACTCCTTTCTGAGGTGGACATATTTGTATTTCTACAACATTAATAACAAAGACCCACACTTTCTCTTTGGCAGCAAATAAACTTTTTTTTTTTTTTAAAAAAAAGAGGAAAAATTATTGAAAGGACAGTGCTTGGGGGAAAAACAGAAATAGGATCATGAAACCGATTTGTTTTCACTTCAAGCACATCTAAAACATGAAGAGCTGTGTAGACACTCAAGGGGCTGCACATGGACTAAAGTGCTTGGGAATGCCCTGCAAATTGGAAAAGGGGAATGGAGATACTGCTAAGCCACACATTCAAGAAGAATCACTTCTTAGTTCTTTTTTGCTTCCACTTTGCCTCTTCTTAACACTGCTTGATGCATGCAATTGACAGCCTGTGATTTTTATGGGGCAGAGATTTCTGGATTGCTTCCTGCTCATCCTCAGGGGACCATCTGGAACTGACAGTCTGTCCTCCAGACTCATATCTTCCTCTTTCCAATCAACCAGTCAATCATCAAGCATTTATGCACACCTTATGTGCCCAATAGGCCTCCTTTGCTGTGGAAGAAGCACTGAGAGCCAGAGTGCCCTCCACATTCACCAGAAGCACAGCTAAGTGTCAAGGCTCAGGTTACATCTTAGGAAGCATTTATGGGGAGGAGACAAGCAGGTTGTAATCGCAGGCTTTTCAGAGACATGTCCAGTCTCTCTGTGAGTTTCTTTGGATCTCATCTCTGGCATTTTCCTGCTAAAATCCAACCTTTCTACCCTTGCCTGACTGACTCTACTCTAAGGCTTTTGATCTAGAAGAATAGGTGAGTAAATGTTTTCATCAGTCCGCAATTTCCGTAATCAAAACTTAAATTATGTGCTTTACCACATAGTAGCTTAACAGATGCCTTGAGCATGGATTCACACTTGAAATTTTTTTACTTGACTTTTATTTATTTTTTTCAGAATGAAAAACATATTTTCTTCAACTTTGTAATGATTTTTGTCTTTAGTTAACCTTTTAGTGATGTGTGATGTTTTATCTTATTTTTAAAGTTATTTATTCATTCTTTTATCCAACAAGTATTTAAATAACCACATATTGTATGTCACACATTATTTAGGTATCTGAGGATAGAGCAGTGAACCAAAGAGACAAAAGTCCCTGCCTCTATGGAGCTACATTCCAGTTGACTGCTATAATGATGGTAAGTTCCTATGTTCTTAAATTCTCTGTGTTCCTAATTCTGAATAGCCAGATGCTAGTCCATTTATATATGAAATGGTTTACTTAGCAGTACATGAATTTTCTATTTTAAACAATGCAATGATGAACATCTTTTATGCACACTTGTTTTCTTCATGTCTGATCATTTCCTCAGGCTCTCCAGAATTGTTGTGGTCTGCTTTCAAGTTCTGAGCCTAGCTGCATGCCAGAATCACACCATCTGAGGCTTAATGAATCAGCATCTCCAAGGTAAGTTCCAGGTATATGTATTTCTGATTCTTAGCGAAAGTTTAGAATATTATCTTATTATGATTCTACAATGTCACTTTGATTCTGTTTTTAATTGCATATTAATTATATTTATATTATATATAATATTTATTATATTTATAATCCCAAGTTTCTCTGGGTTTTAAGAATAATTTACTGTAATAAAACCATACCAACTGACCAGTTCCCATAGGGGCTGGGCTCAGTCTTTATTATTATGCCATATTCATATTTTAAATGAAATGCTACCCAAAGAATGAAATATACTTTGCAAGTGAAAAGAGAAAAAACAATGATTTGTGTTTATCACAACAGTTCTTAACCTCCCTTAAGAAGAGTTTTCTCAAGTCGTATTGAAAAATTGATTTTATAATCCATATTATAGATTTTTATATACTGATGCTGTCTTTCAGCTATTTCTTTTTACTCTCCATTAGCACTTTACTGTCTTAAAAAAGAAGCAAAAAAAAATCTTACTAATTCATAGAACATTAAAAAATCCTATTTCTAGATAAGAGTCCCTCTAGTTGACTGAAAAACACAAGGTAACTCAAGATTTTGGTCGGGGGGCAGTGGTGGTAATAAGTTTGTGTGAGGACGGAGAGGTTTGTATGTCTGGTGAGAGGTCTAGAGAGATTTGGAATCTAGCACCTTAGAAATCTTTCTTTTTTTAAAAAAAATTGTACCCTGACTTTTTTAATGAGGTGCCTTTGTATTAAAAATAAAAAGCAGAGATAAAATAATCATTTGATTTAGATATTTTAAAGTATGAATATCATTCAAAACTTTGAGGACCATACAGCAATTGGTCACTAAATTCAGTTTTAAGCCTCCTAGAAGCCAAGGCAAAAAAGGGAAATCTATACTTCTTATTGGTCTAATGAAGTATATAAGATCATTCAGGAAAGCATCCTTTCCTCTGGGAGGTTTTTAAAGATACAGTCAAAAAACTTGAAAATATGATGGATGTATGTTCTGAGGATCAGAGTTATTTCAAAAACCTTTCAAGACTTTCTATTCCTTTCTGCTTCTTACTCTTAATCACTTCTCTTGTTTTGTCTTTATTATTTAGCATTTTGTAGATTGGCAAAAGTGCCGCTATCAAAGACAGGTAGAATGACTCCTGTCTCTAGCTGCTTTCCTGGCACTTGAGCTATGCAGTGATAATACAAGTTGGGAGGACTCAACAGAAGCCAGGTATGTCTAACTTCACATCAACTGTATTAGCTTTTTTCTAATTACATTATCAAATTCCATTAGACAAGGGTCAGGAATTAACATTTTTGGCATTAAATGTTTTTTATATTATTTGTATGATTTAAATTATTAAAATGACATAGATTGTTCTTAGCCACTTGCTATTATTCTCATTTGTCTTCATTGCTATGAGACCACTTTAGTAATTTACAGTTGACCCCTTAATGCAGCTGTATGAATTATTGACTATTCTTTAGCTTTCTGCTACAGTGTTTTCTAGAGAAACTTTTGATCGTGAACACACCCTGCTATTATAGTTTGCAGAACATAGAAATATTTGTGCTTTTTTTGTCTTTACAAAACATTATACATTCTCTCGGTAAACATATTCAACCATTAGAAAGGTAGAAAGTAGAAAGGAATATTCCCTGCTTCTCAATTTCTGTTTTCAAAGACATTTTGCTTGAAGGTTTATTATTTTAGGCTTTCAAAAGCAGTATTAGTGTTTCAGAAAAAAAGCAACATTTTTTTTTACCAGTAACAATTTAAAATTTTTATTTACTTAACATATACTTATCACTTGCCATGTTACAAATTCAAGTTCTATATACTTACATTGTTCTAAGTGTGTTAAAAATCATTAGTTATTGTAAAACTATAAAACTAAGACACGGAGGTTTAGCCACTTGCCTTAGGTAGGAGGTTTAGTCACTTGCCACAGCTAGGAAGTGGTAGAGTCAGAATTTGAATCTAGGCAGCTCCGCCTCTAAGACTTCTGTCTACCAAGCTCTTGATTCCTATACAACATCCCTTATCAACAAAAGAAAAAATTCATCTTTGGGATTTTTCAGACATAATAACATTTTCATAGTTTAAATCTTTATACATCTTCCCTTAATACGTGCAGTTTTTAGAGTTACCATGGTTTCTTTATCCTTCTAAGGTTGCCAGATAAAATAGAAGATACCAGGCTGGGTGTGGTGGCTCACACCTATGATCCCAGCAATTTGGGAAGCTGAGGCAGGTGGATCACTTGAGGTCCGGCCAACATGGTGAAACCCCATCTCTACTAAAAATAAAAAAGTGAGCCGGTCGTGGTGGCGTGCTCCTGTAATCCCAGCTACTCAGTAGGCTGTGGCATGAGAACTGCTTGAACCTGGGAGGTGGAGGTTGCAGTGAGCCGAGATCGCACCACTGCACTCCAGCCTGGGCGACAGAGCGAGACTCCATCTAAAAAAAAAAGTGGGGGGAAAGAAAATATATATATATATACACACACACAAACACACACACACACATATATGATACCTAGTTAAATTTGACTTTCTTATAAACAAATAACTTTTTAGTATAAGCATGTCCCAAGTATTGCATATTTAACCAGTATCCTGTATTTTTCTTTGCTAAATTTGATAGCCTTATCTCTTTCCCCTTGTCTTGAAACTTCTCAAAGTCAATATATTTACTTTCTGACCACCATTCTCTCTGTAATAGGACTCTTGTTAACCCTATTTTCTCAAAATAGTCCATGACCTTGTCTCACTTCCCATATTCTCAGAACTCTTGGCCACCTTGTATAATTTTGATAGTGTAACTACATAATTTAACATCAAAATTAGATATTTTTATGCTGGGACTGTAGGTGAAACAGAAATTGTCTAAGGAATATCAAGACTTAGGGTGGAACTAAATGTTGAGCACCTTATCCTTCTTAAAACTTATTTTTTTCTTGGTTTCTAATGTATGTTACCCTGTTTTTTGCACTTTTAACCAATTACACACTCAAATCCTCTTTACTGGCTTTGTTTTTTCTTTACTTCCTACCTATCAAATGCAGGTATTATATTTGTGATTTTCTCCCAGATTTATATATCTAGACTTGAATGCTTTCTCGAATATATTTCCAACTATCCTCTAGCCATATTTCTGTTATGTCTCCCAGACATTGCAAGTTACATGTAGATAGATAGATACAGAATCATAATATATAACATTTATGTAATGCTTACTTATGCCTCACATATACTGACTTATTTTATTTTCACATCTCTATTATTATACCTATTTTACAGAAGCTGAGGCACAAAGAGGCTTAAGTTACACTTTCAAGGTCACAAAGATAGCTAATGGAATTGCCAAGATTTGTCCCTTAGTACTGGAGAACTTCCCAGGAGCTTTCCATCTGCTGGGTCCAGGTGCCACTTCTCAGAGTCAGACAGATCTTCCATATTCGCTTTCTTTCTTGCACCAAGTCACAGAACCTCAGCCAGAACTTCCTTCTCCTTATGCTAGCTGCCACCGCTACATAGCTCCACTCCTACACCCCTTTCCCCACCCCCAACTCACCCTGGATGGCGAAGGAGGCACAATTTCTCCTGTGAGCTCTTCCATGCTCTCCAGTACAAACAAGCACAAACATAATCTGGGGGAAGGAAGTGGTGCAAATTATAACAAGAGATTGCAAAAATAAACACTTGGGGAAATACAATTATTCAAAGTTTCAACACTCATGATCTGCCCTATAATTTTTACATGTCTTCTGATACAGTAACTAACGAGAAGTCTAGTAGAAATTAGCACTTTTTTTTTTTTTGAGATGGGGGTTTCCCTCTATCACCCAGGCTGGACAGCAGTGTTATGATCAGGGCTCACTGCAGCCTTGACCTCCCTGGCTCAAGCTATCCTCCCACCTCAGCTTCCTGAATAGCTGAGACTGCAGGTGTGCGCCACCATGCCTGGCTAATTTTTAAATTTTTTGTAGAGACAGTCTTATCATGTTGTGCAAGCTGGTCTCAAACTCCTGGGCTCAAGTGACCCTCCTGCCTCGAACTCAGTGGAGAGATTACAGGTGTAAGCCACTGCACCCAGCCTGAATTATAAATTTTAAATGGATGATTTACAAAATAGCACAAGGCAATTTCTGGAGATATGGATATATTTAATGGATATATTTAACCTTTGGTTATGGCGATGGCATCATGGGCGCATGCATATGTCTTAACTCATGATGATGTATACCTTAAATGTGTGCCATTTTTTATATCAATCATACCTCAGTAAAACTAAAAAATAAAATGGGTGATTTGTCCCTCAATAAAGCTGCCCTAAAAAGTAAAAGTACACAATCTTCATGATACTGATCTAAGTTTCTCACATTCTTCATAATTCAGAGTCTGCCCTTTTTTCCTGAAAGCAGCTGTTGTTGTTGATGTTTATCCACGTTACTTGAATGGATCACTACTCGTTTATTTTAAAATGATGATTGAGCATCTAATATGTGCCAGGCCACGTTCTAGATATGGAGGAAGAGTGTAGCGATGAACTGCAGAGCGTTCAGGAAGTTACCGTTTCATCGCGGAAGACATAAGCTAAAGAAGTAAACAAAGGAAACACAAGTGTTCCCTGCCTGTGGGGAAAGGAAGGGCCCTGCTGCCCACCTGCAGCCGACCCTCTGTTCAGCCAATTCACCTTCTAAGCGTCATTTTCTTCATCTGTGACGTGGCAATCATTATCTTTGTTTTGCTTGCCACACAGGATTTTTTAAAAGAATCAAGTGAAATAAGTGCTGTGAAAAGTCCTCAAACTGTAAGAAATATGAAATTTAACGTTAAAAGAAGGTTTGTGTATATTCAAGGAAAAGAAATCTTATGTTTAAATGGAAAATGTAAACAGACACATGAAATGTCCATGAATCTGGGGAAGAGTTTCCTCAGTCACATTCCTCCAACACTTGTGTGCATTTTTAGTACAGTAACGATGCTTAAGATTGTGTAACTGAATATCGCATCAGAACAATCAAGGTTACCCTTCAAAGCAGTTATAGAATTATCTTCTCCTAACTAAATATAGGTACCTTAACAAACAGAAGGGCTTCCCCATGAGCCAAATGAAATGGCCTTTATATTTGAGATACTCGCTTACTTAAAAAATAAAAAAGGAAGCAATTTGCTAAATTTGCAGCTTTTCCTTCCTAGAACTTTGAGTTAAAATACTTGCAAGGAAAGATTTTTCACATGATGTATATTTAGAAATAAGAAAAAGAATTAAGTAAAAGGTAAATTTGTTATTGGTGAAAGGAGAGGGTTTGCATAGAGTTTTATATTCTATCTCTTGGGTATGTTTAATCTTCTGAATTTTAAAAACGATTACCTTGTATCTACCTTTTCTCTTTCTTGATTCCTTTATTTAACCTTTGAATTTAGTAAAAAGTAGTCTCTGTTTTATTATAGTTATAAAGATTAAAGCTGATCTTTACATTTTCCTTTTTTAAATTCAAAACTTTGGTCATTTTTCTTTTTTAATAAAGATGGTTATATAAAATTGATCCACCTACAAATGATGTAGGAATTTCAGGGTCTTATTGAGATTAGTCTCTATTTATTAATTATAAGGTGCATTAATTACACTCTAAATGATAATTAGCCTATTCGCTAATCTATTGCTTATTTTCTATTGGTTTCATACTTGGCTTTCTGCAACTGGTATTTAAGTTAGAAATTTTGTTTGAAAACTAACTTTAGTAGTGAAATTTCCTACATTACTAGACATTAACAAAATATCATAAACTGGGTGGTTTATAAACAACAGAAATTTATCTCTCACAGTTCTGGAGGCTAGGAAGTTTAAAGATCAAGGAACCAGCAGATTTGGTGCCTAGTGAGGATCATGCTCCTAGACTACCATCTTTTTGCTATGACTGCATAGTGGAAGCAGGGAGGGGTCTCTCTGGGGTCTCTCCTTTATAAGGGCACTAATCCCATTCACGAGGGCAGAAAGGACTTAGGCTCTATCTCCTAATGTCCTCACTTTGGGGTTAGGAGTTCAACATATGAATTTTGGGGGGAAACAAACATTGAGATTATAGCAGTATTATTATACATTCAATTTGTTATTTGCTGATTTTGCTCCAAGCAGCTTCCTCACCATCAAATCACTAGCTATGCATCCATCATCATTGCTCCTCCATGTCTCCTATTTAACTTCTCTTCTTTGAAATTCTCTTCCACTTTCCATCTTACCTCTTCAATGCCACTTTGTCTGGATCTCTGACTCCTCTTCTTCCCTGACTTAGAAATTTGGATGTTCTTAATCATATCCACGGCTTGTCTCTGTTTTTTTTTTTTTTTCACCTATATTTTTTTCTTTAGTGATCCCTTTTATTTCCTAGCACCATTTCTTAAATTATTTCATTTTACATGTAATTCATTCATTTTACATGTAATTTATCAGTACTAGAAACTGTAAACCGTCATTGATATGTATGTAAACACTAAATCTATAATCTGTAGTCCCATCCTCTCTTCAAACTCTGATTTCACACTTCCACTTGAGATGTCCTTTTGGAGAGGCTGAAATCTTCAATCTCATTTTCGCAAACCTAACCCATAGTCTTTCTTCTCCTCAAACTTGGCTTTTTTTTTTTTTTTTTTTTTTTTTTGGTTAATGTGTTCTATTTCTATTACACATCCTAACCTTGCTACTTAGGTGTGATCTTTGACTCTTTCCTTGCTTTTTCTTACTCTATATCCAGTCAATCTCCAACTCCTATGTATTCTGCTGCTAAAATGTCAGTTTATATCTAGAAAACTCTCACTAACACTTGTCTGGACTAATTGCAATAGTCTGTTAATTGACATAGTCTTTGTAAAATCCAATTTCCTTTCATTGGCATTATCTTATTCATGATCTATCTTCAACTTACTTTCCAGACTTCTATCTTATTAATTTTCTATGGCACAGCCAAACATAATTATTCATCTTTCCTTAAAACATCCCAAACTTTGTGTCTCTTTGTTCATCATTTACTTTTTTCTTTAATGTGCCCACCACCCCTTTACCTTGTTGAAATACAATCCATCTTCAAGCTCCATCTTGAATACTACCACCTCCCTGGAGATAATTGATTTCTTGATCTCATGATTTCTTCTCACTCTGAATTCCCACAGGAATTTGTTTCTACTGCTCTTATTTTGTACATTTTCAAGACTTTCATTCCATATAGCCCAATATTATGGCTATGTATGCCTGTCATCTCCCTCACTCTTGTATATTCCTGTAGCTCTCTCACTATAGTTAGCTCAGTGCCCTGCATGTGGTAGGCATCTGATGCAGAAATGGTTGCGTGACTGAGCCACTTGGCCATATAACTGAGTCTTGATGTTGTGCTTCTCTTAAAACATTCATCACCAGGCCAATTTCAGTGAAACATTCCACAGGATTTTCAGAATCATTCCTTTCTAAAGATGAAGGGGCAAGCACTCTGTAAGTGCTCAATATTTTCTTAGACCATGTACATTGAGGTCAGAAAAGGAAACAGCCCTCTAGGGAGTTTTCAAATGTCCTTGAAGAGTGTGAAATTAATATAGGTATCTTCCAGCTTTTTAAAATTGTCTTCTGATATATGAAAAATGCCTATGCGGATAAAAAATCCATCATTCAATGGGTACTAATGGGAGCAAGACCTGTAAAGGTAAAGCTCCTCAGACAGAACAATGTAAAGCTGCAAGTGCCTTCATTGCAAAATGCTTTGCCACCTTAAGACCTGAAGCAAATAAACTTCAGTGAGGACACTTACATAAAGACACATTCACCCATTATCTCTCTTCTCTGCAAGGACAAGAAATGGATCTCAGGGTCTCTTTTTGAGCATGATGGCTGTATTTATCCTGAAGTGATTATTCACTTACTTGTTAAATATTGCTCCATTTTAGAATATTAAAACTAATATTATTTCTGGCTTTCGAAGTGATATGTCACTTGCATCCAATATAGAGAAAATCAGCTGTTATTTAAAAACTCCAGAGAAAAGAGAAGCATGTACAAACCTTGGGAACTGCAAAATACCATATGGGAACAAGAATTATGCTAATGTCCAACTTACAAGAGAAAAAGAGCAAAACTGAGGCAACAGCTGCTCTCAAACAATGATATTCAGGAGAATGGCACTGAAATATGTTTAATTTTTAGGATTGAATATCTCAGGTTCCTAGTCTTGCATGAGCAAACCTAGATATAAGAGCAGAAGTTAATCTGACCTAAACTTTTTGCACATAAAACCTCAAGTTGCTTAGCACCTCAAAGACCTGCTGCCAAATATTTTAACTCCCACCTCAATCTGATTCCTAAGGTATAATTCTGAGACCAACAAATTCTTTATCTTGCACATTTGTTGCTAGAAAATAATTTCACATTTCTGAAGGGCAATTAGGTAATTCCAGAGTACATGTCTTAAAATACACAATATTGAGTTATCTTCTGTTTAAAAACAGCTTTATTATAATTCACCTACCATAAAATTCACCCATTTGAAAGCGTACAATTCAATAGATTTTAGTATGTTTACAGACATGTAAAACCATCCCCACAGTCAAGTCTAAAACATTTTCTTTGCCTCAAAATAAAACCTTGTACCTTTAGCTATCATCCCCTACCCACCAACCTCCATCTGATCCCTCAGTCCTAAGCAACCAATAATTTACTTTCTGTCTCAGATTTCCCTATTCTGGACCTTCATAGGACTGGAATAATATGATGTGTTGATGTTATGTGACTGACTTGTTTTCCTTCACATAAAGTTTTCAAGGTTTGTCTGTGTTGCAGCATCTATCAATACCTTAATTCTTTTTTAGATGGAATAATATTCCATTGTATGGGCATACCATATTTTAAAATCCATTTGTCTCTTGATAGTCATTTGGGTTCTTTCCACCTTTTGACTATTATGAATAATGCTGATATGAACGTTCATGAACAAGCTTTTTTGTGGACATATATTTTCATTTCTCTTGGATATATACCTAGAAGTAGAATTGCTAGGTCATATAGTAACTCTATGTTTAATCATTTGAGAAACGGCCAGATTGTTTTTAAAGTACATGTACCATTTTACATTCCCATCAGTAGTGTATGAGTGTTATGCTTTATCCTTATCCTCTTCAACACTTGTTACTTTCTGACTTTTTAATTCTAGTCAGCCTAGTGGGTGTGAAATGATATATCATTGTGATTTTGGTTTACATTTTTTTATAACTAAGGATGTTGACCATCTTTTCATGGGTTCATTGACCATTTGTACCCTATTGTCTGGAGAAATGTCTATTCAGATCTTTTGTCCATTTTAAAAATTGAGTTGTTTTACATGATTGAGTTATAAAAGCTATATATTCTATATACCAGGCCACTTTTGGGCACATAATTTGCAAATATATTCTCCCGTTCTGTTGGTTGTCTTTTCTACTTCTTGATGGTGTTCTTTGAAGAACAACAATTTTTAATATCAATGACATTCAATTCATCTATTTTTTTCTTTTTTTCCTTTTTTGCTCATGCTTTTTCTTCCATCTCTGAGAACAATTTGCCAAATCCAAGATTATGAAGATTTAGACCTATATTTTTTTCTAAAAACTGTAAAGTTTTAATTCTTTCATCTAGGTCTTTGAACCATTTTGAGTTAATTTCTATACACTACATGAAGTAGGGATCCAACTTTATCTTTTTACATGTGACTATTGTTATATCTGTTCCATTTGTTAAAAAAAAAACCCACAAAACTATTCTTTTCCTATTGAATGGTGTTAGCACCCTTATTGAAAATCAATTGATCATAGATGTATCAGTTTATTTCTGGAGTCTCAGTTCCATTCCATGGATCTATATGTTCATTCCTGTGCCAGTGCCACACTGTTTTGAGTACTGTCACTTTGTAGTAAGTTTTGAAATCTGAATTCTCCAACCTTATTTTCTTCAGGATTGTTTTTGCTATTTTTGTCCCCTTGCAATTACATGTGAATTTTAGTATTAAATTGTTAATATCTACAAAGAAATCAGCTGGGGGCGGGGCACTGTAGCTCACACTTGTAATCCCAGCACTTTGGGATGCCAAGGCAGGTGGATCACAAGGTCAGGAGTTCAAGACCAGCCTGGCCAAGATGGTGAAACCCCATCTCTACTAAAAATACAAAATTAGCTGAGCATGGTGGCAGATGCCTGTAATCCCAGCTACTCAGGAAGCTGAGGCAGGTGAATCGCTTGAACCTGGGAGGCAGAGGTTGCAGTCAGCCGAGATCATGCCATTGCACTCCAGCCTGGGCAACAGAGAAGACTCTGTCTCAAAAAAAAAAAAAGAAAGAAAGAAAAAGAAAAGAAATCAGCTGAGATACCGGTAAATGGTAAAGTTTTTGTTAAACCTAGGTATCAGTTTGTGGAATATTACCATCTGAACTGTTGTCTTCTGATCTATGAACCTAAAAGCTTTTCCATTATTTGGTTTCCTTTACGTTCAACAATGTTTGTAGGGTTCAGAGTATAAGTTTTGTACTTCTTTTATCCCATTTCTTTGTAAGTATTTTATTCTTTATAAAGCTATTGTGAGTGGAATTGTTTTCTTAATTTCTTTTTCAGATTGTTCATTACGAGTGTATGGAAGTAGAATTGGCTTTTGTTATTGATCTTGTGTCCTACAACCAACCTTGCTGAACTAACGTATTGATTCTACTAGTTTTTTTAGTGGATTACTTAGGATTTTCTAAGTACAAGGTCATGTAATCTGTGGATAGAGATAGTTTTACTTCTTCCATTCCAATCTGTATTCCCTTTATTTCTTTTTCTTTTTCTTGCCTAATTACCCTAGCTTAAATCTTTAGTATAAATATTGAATAGAAGTGGCAAGATCAAATATTCTTGTCTTATTTCTGATCAAAAGGGAGAAACTATCCAGTCTTTTACCATTAAGTATAATGTTAGCTATGGGGTTTTCTTGTAGATGTTCCTAGTTTGTTGAAAGTTTTTATTACAAAAGAATGTTGGATTTTGTTAAATGCTTTTTCTGCATCTGTTGAGATGATCTTATGGCTTTTGTTTTTCATTCTATTGATATCATGTTTTACATTAATTGATTTCAGAATACTAAACTATATAACGTTTTACATTAATTGACCTCAGGATTTTAGCCTATTGATACAATGTTTTACATTAATTGATTTCAGAATTTAATATTAAATTAACCTTTTATCCTTGGGAAACATTCCACTTGGTCATGGAACATATTTCTTTTTATATGTTTTGGATATACTGTGGAATTTTCAATGAGTTTCATCCACTCTATAGAGTGTGTTTGTATTCTTGACAGCATAAGGAGTGCAACAGAAATGCAGGCATCACACTGAGGGTTCGGCATTTCATATTTATCACAGTGCGTTAGTACTATTTGTTGGCTGACTGCTGACCAATATTGAAAATACTTGGCTTCCTTTACTCACTCATCATATGATAGTTTACTACATCCTCATCAGTCCAAACTCCAAACATACATTTGAGTGAAAAAGCCCAACCAGCTCCTTGCTGTTACATACTAGGTGCTCTGTATATATTTGTAGACTAATTAATTGATTAGACAATGGGTCCTGAGACATGCAGGCAACTCACATGTCATGTCTGGTATCTTGGGCACATTTGTAGGCTGTCCATACAGAAGAGCATCAGACTACCATCAAGTGGCAGGTTGGGAGAGCCATCTCAGGAACTTAGAAGGGGAGCAAAGTAGGCATGTCATGTTCAGGAAACATGGCTCCAAGCCTCCTGAGTAGTGGTTTTATTGCGAGCTGAAGCAAGAAGTGGGATATAGAAACATGAAACATGATTTTACTTTATCTGCTAGAAAATAACATGATGGATGCCTTTCTCTGAGTTCCCACATGCCCTGCGCAGGCCTCAGTCATAATACTTGCTGATTTACTTGCCAGTCCCCATTACCGGAATGTCTGCATATTGAAAGTGCTTGGCATACAGAAAGTGTGCAATAATTGCTTTTTGAATGAGTAGATAGTAAGCTGACCGATCCATTTGGTGGGTGACAATGGTGATCATAATAGCTTTGGCCAAATAAAGCAAAGCAACTCTCAGGGAAAGAGGCTACATGTTTTAAAAAATATTTTAAAATAACAATAGCTACTGTAATCAAATAGTAGATTTTGATGTATTTGGCTTTAGCAGAAGTGTAATTCGATCGGAAGTCTTGAACAACATAGATGATGCTGTTTTATACTCCAAGGGCCAAGCTGCCAAACTCACATGCTTCTTCTCATTTCTAGAAAACAGCAATAATCAACTCCCAACAAATCCTCAAAAAACAGTTTTTCCAAGGTTAAAGCACACACAGAGATCAGGAATAAAGAAAGGATGTTTCTGTCTTTCATTAGTGCACTACATTTCTAAGGCACCTACAATTATATTTTCTAGAATTCATAAAAGTATTATGCTAAATATAAAAATTGATTGCAAATTGGATCCTAATTTTCAAAACATTAAAATATGCATTCTAGAAGCAAAGAAATAGAGTCTATCTGTTTGCACTTTTCAGCTCATGATATCCCACTAAAAATCAAATAGCATTTTAAACATGTGTTTAATGTGGTGTGTTTTTTCTGTTATGTCATATCAGGATGACAATGAGGTACTTTAATGATAATACTGATGACCATAGTACTCTTTAAATCTCACTTGGATACTTATCCAACAGGGCTTAACTTGTGGGTAAATAGATGTCTGATTATATCTATGTAAACCAATTGCAATTATTCTTGTCCTTCAGATAATAAGGGCTTCCCAGCTTTGTGCAGTTTCAAAGGAAATAATTTTGGTCTTTTAAACACAATAACCAGCAGGCAGAAATGAGAACAAGAGCATTTAAATTCCTGTGGAAAATAGTATCTCTGCAATAGGGAGGGGGTCCTTACAAGTCAGGGAAAGATAGATGTGGCTTCCAATGTACTTTTCTCTGCCCTAAGTTCTTGGTTCTCACAGCTCTCTTGGTTTCATAGCTGATTTCATTTAGAAAACCAATAGATGGGAAAGACTTTTATCCTCTAAATGTACTGCCTAGCTTGAAAAGAGTGATATGTACAAGGTGTTTTCCTTTCACCCAATGACAGCTTAAAACCTAGTGTAGTAGACACTGAATTTAAGGCATTTGAAAATCTGGTGAAATTTTTAGAGTATCCGACCCCACGCCCACATATTGTATGAAAGAGATGTTCTAGTTAATCTTTTTTAAGGTCCTATTCACTTAATGGAAATGCTTAGCTGCATAATTGCTTTGAGCCTATTGCCATTCCAAATGGAAAATATAATAATCTAATGGTATTGTCTCTATAAGAGAATGAGAATTTCAGGAGTGGCTGTTGGTGCCACCCATGTGATCCAGAGAGGTTAATGCAGTTAAAGTTATTTCACAGTCCATTAAGGAGCTTACGGTGACCTCGCGACCTTTGCGCCAACAACACGGAATCCATTATCATCACAATGGAGGAGCTGTGGGTTCGGCTGACTTGACAATGGGCCCGGGAAATCCCAAGTTAGTACTTAGTTTAAAAAAATGCACTTTTCTTTCTGCTTCTTGGGTATGGCTATTAATATGCCCTCCTATAATTTGTAACATTAACATTGCTGAAGGTACAGAAAAGGACATTGAAATGAAGATGTCAAAACTGCTGACTTAGTTCAGTGCATGATAATATTGGCTATGTATTGAAGTAGTAGATATCTAACAGCAAAATCAAGATGAAGAAAGTCAAGGAACTCAGTTAAATTAATGATAAATTATCACAGGTTATGAGATTCATTTAGGCAAATAATAGCTTTCCTCCATTTTTTAATGTTACTTCCTATTCTGAGATTTAATACATGATTTAGAAAGAAACAAACACTTTTAAATTAAGAATAAGAATGTTAAGAATGCAATTCATCAAAACTACATTAAAAGAGTTACTTTATGAAAATCCAAATTTCAGAGAAATGTGACACATTGTGTTACTTCAAGCACATCTCACTATGACAAATAATGCCACCAGACAGACATTAATTGTTTGTCTTTCTTCTATACGTAATTGGGTGAAAGATATCACTGTCATTTTTTTAAATAGATTTAAGGCATGGGGTTAAAAAATAAAAATTTTTATGAGAGTACTGGTTAATAGGAAAGTGTTAATTAGCATTTTTGCCCTCCAAGATGAACTTTACTACACAGGACTCTACTGTGGAGAAATAACAAATATTAAAATTAAAATTCGATTTTGCAGTACAGGTACTTTCTATCAACAGAAAAGAAATAGCAGATCAAATAGTTCTTATGCCAAAAAAATTAAACAAGATCATTTATAGATGTAAAGGTTAAATTGTAAACACAGGTTGCGAAAGAGCCATTTATATTTCCAGAACCCAAAAAGGAATTATTTTAAAATAATTTAAGGAAGGCATTTAAATGTAATTAAAGAATCTAGCAGAACATTTCAAAGATAGTTATTGCTGATGTTAGTTAACATATCTTACCTCATTTAAACACAATAAGGTTTCAGCATTCATTACAGTTCCAAATGCCTGTAATATAATCACACTAAAGCTGAGATCTCGAGTTAATTTTCAGGGACACATTGTGACGATGGCTTTTTATGGTTTGCTGTCTGAGAAAATAATTTTTAAAAAAGTTTCTCCTACTACTGATGATTCAGAGGAAAATAACATGATCAAACAGTATTTCCTAAACAGTTCTAGTTGAGACCTGTTATATTTGAGAAAAAATCTTCAAATGACGTATTAAATTTAGTGTTTGAAACTGATGTTAAAATCTACCTGTTAAGATTTAGAATTAAAAGAAAAGTATCTTCTAGTAGGTTTACATTAATTTGAATAAATGTAACTCAGAAATAATAAACGTAATAAATAGGTATTTAATCATTTATTATTAAGGAAGTTTACAGAGGCTATAGTTACCAACCATTAAGCCTACAGTGATGCTGTTTCTAAAAGAGGGTTTAACACTATTTGGCTTTTCAATTTTTACATTGTTTTTAAAATTTTGGAATAATTAAAACCAACTGGGGACTTATTTTAAAAAGTCAGTGAATTTAATTCTGTAATTCATTTCATAACTTACAAAAGAAAAATAGCCAGATAATATACTTTCATTATCAGCTCTAATTCATTAACTAAAATGTTTTGCAAGATATTTACAGTAGTTGGAAGATGTATTTTTTATTGATGAACTCTAAAAGATATGTTTTAAATGTCTTTTCTCAGCGAATATTTGTTTTAATGATTAATCTAATTTTCATTGTAATATATTTCCTGTTAAGCATCTTATTCCTTAAATAAGCCAGAATTTCAGACAGGAACAGTAAGGTCCAGAATGAGAAATTGGGAAATAGAAAAGCAACCATGATAGGTGGTTTTAAAACAGTACATATTTTAAAGGTGAAGAAATAATACAGAGTAATCATGGGTCAGAATTTTATGTGTGCAAACTACAACAAATTTTGATGGAGTTCTAAGCCATAGTATATAAAAGTTTCTCCACAATTTGCAAAATATAATACTAAAAACCACTTAAAATGGATGTAACTATTGGACTTGACTTTCTTACAGTGTTACTGATAAGTGTCATTATTATTACTATGAGCACACATCAGAAACTGAAGGTTTAAGCATTGCACTTGTTTTCCTTTAACTTTTCTTAAAAAATATTGCTGGTTCTGACAGTTCTGTTTTCTGAGGGCTTTGTTTGCAAGGGGACCCCTTCTATCAAGAACTCTCTCTTTATAGAAGTATGAATTAATAATAGAAAAGAAAAAAAAACCTTCAAAACTCTGGCAAAATATAAAACATGATTCTTAAAGGAGAAATGTGTAACTCCAAGCTCTAGTGAGACAGAGCAAATTTGCTATGTAAAGATGCTTCTATTTGACTAAAGGGAAAGTTATCGCTGAGAGGCTGGCATAAAGCGTGAAAATATAAATGCTGCTTCCAAAGTGAATCTCAGACTTCAGTAGCCAAAAATAAACTGGTTCTTGGCTGAAAGACATAAGTGCAATTGTGAAATTGATATCCCTCCTTGGCCGAGTCCCAGACAATATGTTGCCTTTCGGGGGCTGATCAACGTGATTGATGCGATCTGTGAAAGCCAGGGGGGTGCTCCCCTTTAATCAAACCCACCGTCCTCGACAGAGAGGCAGCTGTGGACTAACAAGTTCTTCAGGCTTTCTCCCTCCAGGTCTTTTTAGAAATCTGACAGCCCAGAAGGAGAAAAAGGTGGCAAAACAGCCGCGAACCAAACTCCACCCTGGAAAAGAAAAGGAGAGAAAAGAATGAAAAGATCAGCTATTGATTGAGACATAAGATGGCAGCAATTGAACAGTATATTGCCTTTCAAAGAGAAATTCAGACTTCACTTTTAATGCCATAACAAACTGACTAAAGACATGCAGCTAAGTTTTTTTTTTTTTCCTCCTAAAAAGATATTTTTTTCTGCTTCTACCTAGTAGTGATAATCAGGGTTATAGGTTCAACACTCTTGTTTTTTCATATCCCTCTTCAGTTTTTATGTTTGCATCATAGATTTTAGAGTTTTAGTAATCTATCCCCCACAAAAGACATGCAAAGATAAAGTCATGGAGAGAAAAATAACCTAAACTTTTTCAGGGAGTAGCATTAAGTTTACAGACATGCTGTGGTTATCAGTGTTTTGAGTTTTAAACACCAGGTCCCTAATCTTGTAATCACTGAACTTAACCACTTGTTCAGACACTTCTCTGCGCTACAAATGAAGGCACAGGAATATTAAATTGGAGCTTTTGCATTTCCTATGGTAAATATTTCCAAACCTATAGCAAATTGGCACTGTTCGTTTCTTCTATAGCTATCATATGACTCAAATTGATTCTAGCTTAAAAGATCAACACCAGGGTATGATCTATTTTTTCAGGGTTTTCTTCAATGTTGAAAGGCTTCCAAATTATTTAACCTTACCACACTCCCCTGCATTGTTGTCCTATTCTCACATAATATTCTGGTGCCAGATTGTCAGCTAATTATGTCACAAGCAATCAACTAACAAAGCACAGCCATTCTTGCCTGGAGAATGAACCTTGTTTCAGAGCTACTCCAAGGAAAAAATAGGTTCTTTCATTAAAGAAATCTGGAGCAAGAGTTTTATTTAACTCTACATTCCATTTCAACACTGCTATTTCCTTGATGCTGTGGGGATGTTGATTGCTGGTTATTTCTTAAGCAGCTGCATGGGGGAACACCCTGCAGCTCCATGAAGCCCCTGGTTCATCACGAAGAGGAAATGGGAAGATGCACAACTATTTGGTAAAACTATTATGTCGATTTTAAAAATGAAAACCAACAAGTCATCTTCCTCCAAAAGGTCTTTTATGGCTTAATCTCTTTGAACAATTACCTCAGGTAAAGACTCGGTATGGAGGAAAAATACAGCAAATTGTCAATGATGTGTTTTAATGGAGATGAGGTTTAGCACAGACATGCAAACTAAGGGAATACCCAGAAATCACTGATAGTAGAAAGGTGAATTTGTGATAGAAGTGTGGAGTTGTCTGGATATGTTTCTAAGAGTAGGTGAAATTAGGTGCCTAACAGAGAGCCTGGCATGGTGTTGGCCCTCAGTAAAGACTAGTTCCCAGGGCCAGGCACAGTGGCTCACGCTTGTAATCCCAGCACTTTGGGAGGCTGAAGCAGGAGGATCACCTGAGTTCAGGAGTTCGAGACCAGCCTGGCCAACATGGAGAAACCCTGTCTCTACTAAAAATACAAAAATTAGCCAGGTGTGGTGGTGCGCACCTGTAATTCCAGCTACCTGGGAGGCTAAGACAGGAGAATCACTTGAACCCGGGAGGCAGAGGTTGCAGTGAGCCAAGACTGCACCACTGCACTCTAGCCTGGGCAGCAGAGTGAGACTCCATCTCAAAAAAAAAAAAAAAGAAAAGAAAAAAGAAAAAAAAGACTAGTTCCCCTTTTTATGTAGGCAAACTTTAAAATTAGTTCTCAATTTTTTAGTACATGGCCGCTTGGAGGTAGAGAGACCTAGCCAAGTGATATAACAATAAAAAGCCTGCATGGAAAAAACATTTACTAAGAACAAATGATTTATGTTAGTACCCATCTTTCCCTTCATCTATTAAGGGTTTAATGGTATTCATCATCTATTTAATAAAATAATCATTTAATGATGAATATATTTTAAAATCCTACTGGGGAGGGAAAACTAACACACAAGAAGAAACTGGATAAAATGTTACAATACACAATTAAGTGATATACCTTATACCATGAATAATAAAATGCAACAGGAATTCAAAAAATAGGAAAATTTGCTCATGGCTGCTTCTTGAGTTTCTTAGGTTGTTCCTCAGAGTTGCAAAGCCAAGAAGAGCTTTCAGGTTCTTGGTTATCAGCAAACGAGAGAATAATCTCTTGGAATGCTGACCAGTCCAATACTTTGCTCTGATAATAAAAATGTGAAACTTGAAATCCTGATAAGTTAGGATTAGAATCAAAATTAAAGTTTTAGGTACCATGACCACTAAGATCCTAGGGACTGAAAGTATATCTCCTGTACCTCCAACTATTAATACTTGTTATGGGGCACTACTTACTATTCTCATAAATTTCTTTAATTATATTGATATGAGTAGAAAAAATTTTTAAGGTGAGCCCCTAAAAAGCACCAAACTGCTAAGAATATTAATGAGATCTTCATTGAAAATAATGACGAAGAGAAAAAAAAATTGTTTGGAATGTACATAATGCATTTATTTTTAGTAAGACAGGCTGCATTTCCATCTAGTGTGACAGAAAACACCTTCATCCAAAGGGTTGTTAATTTCATAATGGATGATTCTGGGAAAATAAAATCTTAGCTTGAGAAATGAGTAGATATGCAGGAATACTGCAGAAAAGGATGCAATTTTCACAGTGTTTCACAAGTTGAATCTAATTCAGCTCTGCGGTATCTTTTACAAGACCATGATCTTGAAAACACAAATAGGACAAGAAACCAAAGAAATAATTCAGTAAACCTCTCATTATATTGACAATGATCAAAACTTAGTGTCAAGGCCTTTACCTATGGATACACTAAAACGATAAGTAATTCTTAGGAGGGTCACAGACACTTAAAAGGTGTTAAAATTAGGCATAAGGCAAAATTTAAGAAGTCTGAGTTTCCCAGCTTGGTGAAGTGATTTGTGATTAATATGCTGGGATATAAGAAGTTATAAGAGATTAAAAATGTGATCATATATTTCTAATTTCCACCACCAAGAGAGGAAAACGAGTGGGCAAGTTTAAAATGCATGAAGGGGATTGAGGTTAGAAATTCTGAAGATGGCCTGGACAGGGAAGATTATACTGAAATTTATAACTTGAAAAAGTCTGAAACTGTTTTCCCTGGAGATCTTTGAAAATAGAAGAGAGATGATATATTTTGGTCCAGAATGATTTTAATGCCATCCTGTGTAGAGTCAAAAGAAGAGGTGACTAAAAATGTCATATCCTGGCTTTGAAAACAAGATTATTATGAAGTCAGCCTACATTCTTCCAGTAAAATAATGCCAACAGGAAAAAACAATTTGATTTCTGTTGCTAAAAAAGTGGGTTAGGTTTAACTTTTCTAAGTTGCACACTCTATGGTAAATTTGCCTCCAAGGCCTTCCCCTGCCCATCCCCTCCCCCCAAACAAAATTAAAGAAGTCAACATATTCACAAGCGCCATATGCAGACCTTCATGTACTTATTGGATCTGTGATTGGGGTGCCTTACTTAGGTGGGTTTTTATCTTCATGGGGATCTTGAGGTTTGCTGTTTAGAAGGAAATAGGAATTCTAAGACATGAAAGTAATGTAATTATTCCTATTTTAGGATGAGTTTTGGGACTTTTAAGGCATTATAGATTTTTGTTCTTGTATTTATTCTTTTTTGGTAACAAGAGCGAAGCAAAGCATATGTAAAGTAGTAGTTCATAACCATATCCAATTGGAGGCTGGGAATCTTTAAATAAAAAGTGTTCAAAGTTATATAACCTGTATAAGGCAGCAATTATATTTTAGTGCCTCTTTGAGAAGTACATAGAAAACAATGTATGATTCCACATGGACAATATGTGTACTTTTAAGTGAATTTTTAGAAAGCGTTATTAGTCACTATCTTTACATACACATGGAAAACAGGTGTTTTTGTCTTCAGTCTATAGGCAATGCCTGGTGCACATGGACTGACAGAAACTCTTCAGGGGTCCTCAAGGACCCCTTGCCCTTGGGTTAGGAACCTCTTTTCTAAAGAAAGTGACACTCATTCTTTTTGGCATTTTCCTTCTTAGCATGCAACATTATCATCAATGGAGAAGAAAATCTGTTTTTAGGGGGAACTCAAATTTGAAATAAGTGACTCAACAGTGATTGGAGATGACTTGGCGCATAGAGGAAAGTAATATGCTATTTACAGTGACAAATTTCACAGTTGTTTAACTTCAACCCATTTTAACCATTTGGGGAAAATTTATTTAGCCACTAAAATTAAAGATTAAGAAAATCAGCCTCTGGAATCACCGAATTAATGATTTTTCAAGGTGTCTTTTTCAAAACAGCACCTTATTTATTGCCTACATTCTAGATCAACATTTAAAAGGTCTTCTTTCAGCCCCTGTCAAGCAGGCCTATTAGGAAGTGAGTAAATTTAATAAACACACAACTGCAGTAAGTATGCATCACCTAATTTGCATGTCTGTGCGGGTACAAGTGCAGTCAGTGGGGGCAAACAGCTGTCTGCTCTTCGTTTGTGTGGGTAGGTAAATGAGGCCCGCAGAAAATGTGTCTCTATCAAATATGGCAAACCTAGGATTGGAAGGGAGTTTCAGAAGCCATCCGGGACATCTTCAGGCACACTACATTTAAATCATCCCAAAGGGATATTGGTCTGCTTGTTAAGATCATTGTAAGAATATGCCTCTAAAGAGAGTTAGGAAGGAATAATACACACAGAAGAAACAAACAAAAAAAAGTATATGGTATATTTAAAAATTTTTTTGGTCAGGCAAGGTGGCTCACGCCTGTAATCCCAGCACTTTGGGAGGCCGAGGTGGGCAGATCACCCGAGGTCAGGAGTTCAAGACCAGCCTGGTCAACATGGTGAAACCCCATCTCTACTAAAAATAACAAAAAATTAGCTAGGCATGGTGGTGGGTGCCTGTAATCCCAGCTACTCGGGAGGCTGAGGCAGGAGAATCGCTTGAGCCTGGGAGGCGGAGGTTGCAGTGAGCCGAGATCGTGCCACTGCACTCCAGTCTGGGCAACAAGAGTGAAACTCAGCCTCAAAAAAAAAAAAAAAAAAAAAAATTAGTTTGATAGGAGGTATAACACAATTATTCCATTCTGAAATACTATTTGCTGTAAAAATGGGATTTAAAACTTTTGCAGTAAAATGACATATCAAGTCAATTAGTTGTTTTTGCTTTTAATGGTAATAAGTATTTGTACTATATATCTCGTGGACTATAATACCAAATAGGAATCCCAATAGGGGAAGAGTAAGCAGGGTGGGGGCAGTAGGCGAGGTGGGTCCTCTATGTAATTTGTACTAGTCTTACTGGAAAGAGGTCCCAAGCCAGACCCCAAGAGATGGTTCTTGGATCTCATGCAAGAAACAATTCAGGGCGAGTCCACAGGGCAAAGCAAAAGCAAGTTTATTAAGAAAGTAAAATGGTGAAAGAACAGCTACTCCATAGACAGAGTAGGGCATTCCCGAAAGTAAGAGGAGGAACGCATCCACCCTAGGTACGATACTTATTTATATATAGGATGAAAAAAGATCACGGAGAGATGTGCTTCTGCTACAGGGGTTTGTGATAAAGGATTCATTTTTTTAATTACTGTATTTTGCAAGAATTGATATTATTATCTTTAAAGCAAAATTAGGAATGCTTCTGTTCCAAAGATATCGGGATATCAGGACACTTCTAAGTCTGGGTCTGTTTAGTAAAAGTTATCAATATGTTCCCTTAACCGTAAACATCTAGAGGCTAGGAATACCTAACTTCCTGGGAATGCAGCCCTGCAAGCCCCAGCCTCATTTTTCCTAGCCCTCACTCAAGATGGAGTCACTCTGGTTCGAACGCCTCTGACCCTAGGTCACTCAGATCTTACCAGTTTTCAAAAACAGATACCATCCTCTGAAACTCAAAATGTATAATTGAGTTTTATCAACTTTTTGTGTTTTCATAGTTTATGATAAAAAAAAACTTTGTTTTCTTCATGTAAATAAATAAATAACAACCTGCAGATTTTTGTTCTGTCTTGTTTTCTCAAGCCATATAGGCTTTTGTGTAAGGAAAAAGGAATTCTAGCAATGGATCAGAGTCTGAGGTTAATGGTAGGAAATATCTTCAATTTTATGAGCAGTTTCATAGCATAGCTATGCCACAAAAGATAAACATCTCTAAAGTGAATCAGTTCAGTAAACCACATATGTACATACATTTGTGATGTGTATAGATTAATAGGAATGTCCACAGTCCTGTTCATTCATTGGAAATGCTTCCTCCATGATGATGCCATTTAACAGAGTCTCAATAGAGCCACATTCTGGAAGATTTCGTACTCTGCCATGAGAGGGACCCTTCAGCGGGTGCTACAGATACTGTCTGATGCATGTAGCTGAATGTAGCATATGTTGCCAAATTCCTATTTGTCCTTCACATGAAGTCCATATTGACTGCTTCGAAAACTCTTTGTATGAGCTATTATTTTCAAATTGTTTCCCAACTTATACTGCAACTGAAAATTGGACAGCTTTTCAATTGTTCTCGCATTCCAATTGATTACCAATACGGTTTTTCAGAATTAAGAATATCAGTCTATTCTTTTCCCTGGCATCATGTTGACTCTGTGTGGTTTTCATTTAAATATTGCAGTAGAGTTTGTGCCTGACTCTGTGTTAAGATAACGTGCAAGGCGATCAATTAGATTTATTATCTCTTCTCTTGACTCTGAGGTATGTATCACTGTGGGGGGCGGGGGGAAAAAAACCCTAGACATAATGTTGCCTTCGCTTCAAGGTCTCCTAGGATTAGTATCCAAACTTAGTTTCTGCTGCATCAGACAGGTCTCAGGGTTTGCAATGTATGCTTTAGGTCGAGGCAATTGTAATGATCAAATGACTAATATGTTTTCTGAATAAATGCATTCTAACACTGTTAGGTTATCAGATCAAATCAATACATATTTATTGAGTTATTACTATGTATAAGGCACTATGCTAGGTCCTGGAGGATGGGAAGGGGAGTGAATTTTGAACTGCATCTTTATTCTTAGAAATATCTCAGAAAATACTCAAAAGTGAAATGAATAGGAACGAGAGAGAGAATCATTTAATGTGTATAAGGCATTTCTGAGTGCTTTAGAAATCATTCAGTAATATCCTCAGTGGTCCTGTGATCTTTAATAGTAGTCACTGTTTTCCAATGGGACAATTGAAGAAGGGAGAGATTAAATACTTTTCTCAAGGTCGCACAGCAATACAGATGCAAAGCTGAGGGTGTTACTGTAAGCCGCTGTCTCCTGGCTTTGTGTTCAAACTGCTGTGGAAGAACAGTTGTTGTTAGGTGGCTGGGAGGAGGTCTGTGCTTAGGCTTGGCTGTGCTTTGTTAACTGGTGTTAATGACATAATTAATTGACACAAAACTGCTGGAATTTAAATTAGCATAATATGACTGGTGTTCCTCTATCAATACAGGTTTCTCCCTGTGTGAATAAGTCTAACTAAGCCCTTTGCTTTTACATGACTAAAGGAAACAAGAGTTTATTCTTCTTTCTATGAGCATACATCCCTACAGTTTATTGTGAAAAATTTCAAACAAACATATAGTAAATTAAATAAATTTTACAGCCACCACCTATAGACCCACCACCTTGATATTGTCATTTATATTTACTATACTTGCTTTGTCGGATATCTACCCATTCTACTATTTATCCATCAATCCACCCTAATTTTTGAAATATTGTAAAACAAATTGCAAGTATGTCCCTTTGGGAATTATTTTCACTACAGGGCAAAGAGGCTTATAATAGTGACATGATGGTTTGGGAAGAAATCATTATAACTGATGTTCAGACAGAATTGTTCAAGATTCTCCAAAGTATTGACTAGCCTTATATCTGTGTAGTGCTGCATTCATTAGTTTATTTGATCCCAGCAATTAACCCCATAGAATGGAAAGGCAGATAGCAATAACTCCATCTTACAAATTTGAAAACTGAGGCTTGGACCACCCAAGATCATCATCCAGCAGGTGGCATATCCAAGAACAAATGACCTATTTTTTTCAGCTCCCAGCCCAGTGTTCCTTTCACTAGACTATGCCACCTACCCTTTTTTGTTAAGACCGCAAGATAAGTTTAGTAATTAGTTCTTAAAATAAAAATATTGTGAACCCTGAATATCTGAGACAGGTCTCCATTAATTTAGAAAGTTTGTTTGTCAAGCTTGAGGATGCTTGCCTGTGACATAGCCTCAGGAGGTCCTGACAACATATGCCCAAGGTGGTCGGGGAACAGCTTGGTTTTATATATTTTAGGGAGACATGAGACATCAATCAATATATGTAAGATGTACATTGGTTCTATCCAGAAAGGTGGGACAACTCAAATAGGGAGGGGGCTTCCAGGTCACAGGGAGATGAGAGACAAACAGTTCTACACTCTTTTGAGTTTCTGATAAGCCTTTCCAAAGGAGGCAATCCTATGCATTTATCTCAGTGAGCAGAGGGATGACTTTGAATAGAATGAGAGGCAGGTTTGCCCTAAGCAGTTCCCAGCTTGACTTTTCCCTTTAGATTAGTGATTTGGGGGCCCCAATATTTATTTTTATTTTTTTCACATTTCCCCTCTTTACTTTTAAAAACCTTCAGAGAAAGCATTTTAGAAGAAAATGAGTCTCTGGCCTCAGCTTTTGTCTGATCTCTCATGGATAAGACAGTTTATTCTTAGACAGGTAGGTCCTAAGTTATTAGGGAAACTCACTTTTAGCAGGTTATGATGTCTCATGTCCTATGAAGAGAAAATGAGGAAGGAGGGGAGAAAAACTACAACCAAAAGAACAATCCTGGAATATTGATATAGGCCACATTATTCTGAAGTCCATACATCAGTAGGTAGGTATGAAAGAGGCTTAGGTATGTAAATAGGTTGCTGTTATTTTTTTCTGAAATTTAAGCTGTCTAGCTTCAGTTTGTAGGGCTTTAAGAAAGCACAGTTTAGTTTTCAGTGATTTCAAATTAGAACAAATGGGGGACAAAAAGAAAAAAAAGAAGAAAAAATTGAAAACATTAATTGGGAGATTTATAGCCAGGAAAAATTGGAATTCAGCACAAACTCTAGAAAATAATAAAAATTGAAAAACATTGGGCAAGACTAGAATCTGACAACCCATGTACTATAGTTTTAGAAACATAATGTCTCTCTATCCAGTTTCCCATTTTCACTAAAGACAAATCATGGTAGGAGTGGTTTGCTTTATTATACTTGGCCAGATAATTTGTTTAAAGTGCAACAAGAATAATTATTTTTCACATAAGCTTTTTAAATTGGCTTTGATGAAACTTTGTTCCATAGAAGGAATCTCAAATAAGACTTTTTTTTTTTTTTTTTTTGAGACGGAGTCTCACTCTGTTGCTCAGGCTGGAGTGCAGTGGCACGATCTCGGCTCACTGCAAGTTCCTCCTCCTGGGTTCACACCATTCTCCTGCCTCAGCCTCCCAAGTAGCTGGGACTACAGGTGCTACCATGCCCAGCTAATTTTTTGTATTTTTAGTAGAGACGGGGTTTCACCATGTTAGCCAGGATAGTCTCAATCTCCTGACTTCATGATCTGCCTGCCTCGGCCTCCCAAAGTGCTGGGATTACAGGCGTGAACTACTGTGCCCAGCCCAGATAAGACTTTTTTTAAAGCTGAGTCCAGCTATGGAATTGTACCATCAAATACTACAAGTTGGGTGAATTCCTCTCCTCTTGAGGTTCCAAGATAACTTGGGGCTCCTGGGCCTGTCAGAAAGTGGCATTCTTTACTTACCACAGGTCAGGAACCCTGTGCAGGGACTGTGTAGACAAGGTATGAGGCCAGTTTTCCCAAGGGGCTTTTATTGGTTCCATAAGTCAAGTTTGATTCCTTAAAGGAAAGCACACCATTCCAGTCAAAGCCTGGGAAAATAACCAGTGTCTCCAATTGTTTCCTGTTACAAATGAAAACAGACTCTTATTGCACTTATGCAAATAACTATAGTGCCAGAAGTTAAGAATACTCACAAATAATTTCCAAATTCTGGAGAAAACAGGTAGAGAGAAACAAATATGCTCCAAGTTTCTGTTAAAAGCTGTCAATAGCTCAAAAGAACCGTTTCCTTGACTATGAAAAACAAAACAGCAACGTTTTAAGCAAAAAGTCAAGATTATTTCAGTCTTCTATTAGTTCAGTCCATGCAGTTAATTCCTATTCTGCTTGATATTCATGAACATTTCAGCTATCCATGAATTCTGAAAGTTTTTCCTCTATTCTGATGTCACAATCTCCAAAGTTATCAGAAATCTGCATTCAAGAATACCTCTTAGAGTTATATATCTGATTATAAAACCACTTTCTAAAGAAGACCAAAACAAAACAATTGTCTGTGTATGACAGAGTTTCAGGGCAGCTATAGTCAAAGACACAGTTGACAAGGAATTTTGTTACCTCTGTGACACACAAAAATTTAATATAACAATTATAATTATTACTGATAACATACACTAAATCATATCAGAATTATAGGAGTTTCCCATAATTTTGGAACACATACCAATAACATGTTTGTACAAATACAACCCAAAGAAAGTCAAACAGCATTTCATATTTGACAATGCTTCCTGGTATAATTTTTATACCGAATAAGACAAATACATCATTTTTGGATTGCAGGGAAACTAACATCTTAAAGGATTAACTGTATCAGAAAAAAGACATAATTTATAATTTGATTTTGGAAAGTTTGTCAAATATCAAAGCTTTAAAACACTTGATATTGAAGCAGGATATTACCCTGACCCCTTTGCGGGATTCATACCAGGGGTGCCTCATTTACTCATCCTGCTGCTCTCAGCTCCTCACAGGAGGGAGCATGCAAGCAAACAAAGTGGGAACTACAGTGCATGAGTGCTGGAACCAGCCAGCTGCTTCGGTGCTGGCAGGATCAAACCCTACTCACTTGGACCTGTTGCATTCCACCCTTGGTGGGAGGGAGCACAGAGGTGAGTGGGTGTAGGAGCTGGGGCAAGGACTTTTGGGTGCTGGCAGGAGTGAATTCTGTGCAGGCTCTGAGGCAGTGTCCAGGCAGCATGGCTGCCACATGGGGTGTGTTACAGTGTCCTTTTAGCTCTGCTGTCAGTGGATGGCTTAAGTGTTAACAGCTCAGTGGGCCCTCTGCCTTTTTGCATGAGGTGGCTCCCCTCTGCCAGTGAAGGCAAAGGGCCAGTGTGACAGCCTTTTGTATCCACACTCATGGCTCCTGAACGCTTGTCCAGTGTCCAGGAAAAATGAGGTTGCATAAATGAATTGAAGGATGGTAAAAGCAGGGGATTTTATTGCCAGTGAAAGTGGCTCTCAGCAGGAAGGGGAGCTGAAAAGGGGATGGGGCAGGTAGGTAATCTTCCCCTAAAGTCTGGCCATCTATGGCCAGGTTCCTCTCCAAAGTTATGCTATCAAGCTGTCCCTCTGAAGTCAAGCTGCTTCTCTCCAAAATTCAGCTGTAGACCCTGAAGTCCAGCTGCTTCTTCTCTCTGCTGGCTGAGTCTGAGCTCTTTATAGGTGCAAGATGGGGTGGAGTGGGCCATGGATGGTTTAGAAAAAGACAACATTTGAGGGGAAAACAGGGATAGAAGTTCTCACATTGGCCCACTGGCTGCAGGATTTTCTGCTTGAGGGTGGAGTTTGTTGGGAACCTGCCCTTTTCTGCCTAGAATTTCTCTGCCCCCTGTCACTATCAATATCACAAAATAGGATCACAAGTCATTGTCAAATAAGTCATTTATTTAACCAAAGCGATAACTCAAGGATTTCAAAAAAAAGATGAAAACCTTCATTCTTTGAGAGAGAAGACTTAATTTTCCAAACAATAAGCCCTAATAAAAACAGTGTGAAGCCAATTAAATTTGTTTTTGAAAATTTTATAAACTATCTATTAAATTTTAAATTGACCATAAGATATAACTTCCACAAGCCTTTTATTACCTTTATAATCTTTATTAAGGAGCCAGTTAATGCTTCAAGAAAACCTTGTTAATCTGACATACAGGCCCAGATGCTGGTTTTGCATCTGTGTGCCTTTGATATTAATGGTTAATGTATAGAGAAACTAAACTTATCTCTCAAAATTGGCCCTTACAAAGTCTCATGCTCCCACCTCTTTTGCTACAGTCTCTGGGCCTTGGGGAGTTGAATAGCTTTAATTTCTGGCCCTATGTCTCAGGTATGCTCTTTATTTGATTGGCATTTTCTGCCAGGCCTGAAGATGAGGCTTTAATTGCTGTCAGCATTTAAGATTTAGCAAGACATGGTTTCCTTTTTAGACCCAGGAGTCAAAGCCCTATAACTCAATGTCACAAGGACTTCAAAAGCACATACAAAAAGACACATGGATGCAATAACCTTAATTTAAAAAGAAATTTTTTAAATCTTTTTTCTAAGCCAACCAAAACTTAATAATAATGGCACAGGAATTATTTTGATAAAACAAAAAATCTGTTAAGCCAGTTATCAAAAGGCAAAATAAAAGACCTTCTGCAGGGCACAGAATATTATGTGGAAGAAAATCTTTCCTTTAGACCTTTAAAAAACTATTGTTAGCATCAGGCAACAACAAACAGAATCCAAGGAAAAAATCTTATATGAACTGAAAATGAGTTGAAGAAGACTGTTACTAATTCATGCCCTGTAAAAGGGGAGAAAAACTGAAAATGGTGAGATGCAATAAACGTTGATCTTTGGGATAAAAAAATTAAAATTTCTTCTAATTTATTAAGAGTAAATCAACCCTTTAAGAAAATTGTATTGTTCTAACCAATTCTTCAGTGTATAAGTGTTTTTTTTACATCAAACCCAATCTCTAGAAAGACTATTATAATTTCTCTTTAATTACAGACAACTTGATCATATAAAAGTTTTTGTTTTTGTTTTCTTTTTATGAAGCTTCTTAGTATGACTGACACATACCATTCATAACATACTTGGACTTTCTGGTTTGTCCTGAACACCCTTCTTTCTGAAACAACCATTTTATTCTAGGACTAAATTTACCATACAAGATTCTTTCTTATATAAAATTGTTTCTCTTTAAGCTTTCTTACCAAAAAAAACTATTTATTTCTATAACTTTCTTTACATCTCTCTTATTTCCTGATTCCTTTTACCTTGTTTTAAACATAATCTTTGAATAAGCTTTAAGTTTTAAATTAGACAAAAGTTATTTACTTTTTTAAAAGGACACTTTTCTTTTTAGAAAGAATGTTTTCCTACAATATATTTTTATTGGAAAATACCCAAATAATAAAATATTTATTATTTAATTTAATATAACTTAAGATTCTAAATTATGACAAGTTTATCTACAAGTATTTACCTTATTACATTTACCTAATTGTTTTATTTTAATCATTTACCTAAATTATCTTTGAAAACTATGATAGCCATTGCAAAATTATAACTGAGAAAGTGAAAAAGATCCAACCTAACTGAGTCCATCTTGCTTCTAACCTCCAAGCTGTCCTTATTCATTCCTGGGCATAGGCCAAACTATGCTAGGTTGGTTCAAACATAATTGCGATTCCGGACCATGAATTTTAAATCATTATAACTAGGCTCAAACACATCTTTATTAATCAAAATAGGAACCATTATAATCAACAGATTTTTGCCAATGAAAAATAAGTTTGTTTATTCCTCTAGCATAAAAATCTATACTTTGGGATTCAACAAACTCTTGGAAAGCACTTCCTGCATCATGCTCGTTGTGGAAACGTTTTTCCCTGAAAAAAGTTGTTGAGATGCTTGAAGAAGTGGTAGTCAGTTGGCGAGAGGTCAGATGAATATGGCAGATGAGGCAAAACTTCATAGCCCAATTCATTCAATTTTGATGTGCAACATGCAGTCAGGCACTGTCATGGAGAAGAATTGGGTCCTTTCGGTTGACCATTGCTGGTTTCAGGCATTACAGTTTTCAGTGAGTGCATTTTATCGATTTGCTGAGTATACTTCTCAGATTTAATGGTTTTGCCAGGATTTGGAAAGCTGTAGTGGATCAGACCAGCAGCAGACCACCAAACAGTGACCATGACCTTTTTTAGTGCAAGTTTGTCTTTGGAAAGTGCTTTGGAGCTTCTTCTCCATCCAATCACTGAGCTGGTTGTTGCCTTTTGTTGTATAAAATTCACTTTTCATCACACGTCACAATCCAATTGAAAAATGGTTTGTTGTTGTTTCATAGAATAAGAGATGACAACACTTCAAAACGATGATTTTTTAAATTTTTACCCAGCTCATGAGGCACCCACTTATCAAGCTTTATCACCTTTCCAATTTGCTTCAAATGCTGAATGATCATAGAATGGTTGATGTTGAGTTCTTTGGCAATTTCTTGTTTAGTTGTAAGAGGATCAGCTTTGACGATTGCTCTCAATTGGTTGTTGTCAACTTCCAATGGCTGGCCATTATGCTCCTTGTCTTCAAGGCTCTCGTCTTCTCTGCAAAACTTCTGAAACCACCACTGCACTGTACGTTTGTTAGCAGCTCCTGGGCCAAATGCATTGTTGATGTTGTGAATTATCTCCATCGGTTTATGACCCATTTTGAACTTGAATAAGAAAATTGCTCAGATTGCTTTTTCTCTAGCTTCATTTCCATAGTCTAAAATAAACATAAAATAAACAGCAAGTAACAAGTCATTAGCAAATAAATATATATAGAGAAATGCACATTAAAATGATGTATAACATAACCACATTTATTTCAGAAGCTATTCCAATATCAGACAGTAAACTTCAACAATGCAGTAGGCACAATTACTTTTGCACCAATCTAATAACTTAGGGAGGAACTTAGTTTATAGTTTAGCTTTGAAACAAAGACAATAACAGTCCTTTCCCTAAACAAACATCCTTCGTACAAGTGCACTAGACTGCCTAAAGTCACAAGATTAGAAGTCATGGTAATTTTAGTAAATAATTCAAGATGTAGCTATTTTCATTAAACCAATATCGATGTCTTATTTATTAGACAAGCAAAGATCATTCTGTTTTTGGCCGGGTTTACAGTTGACCCCTATGCCAAATTTTGACACCTTATAGTATTTGTCAGGGATAAATATAAAATTGCTTAATCAATAAATGCAAACAAAAATGTATGCTGGCAATTCTTAAGACATTTATAATATTACTTTAGCAATAATTTTAAAGCTAGCTCATTTATTAAAGATTTTACTTAAGTCATGTAAACTCGAAAAAGCATTTGACTAGTCTTTCCTTTTTTCTGATAAAGTATTTGATTTAAGTGCTTTTAGTTTTCTTTAAGTTAATTAATTAGGGCTCTTTTATATATTTTCAGTAGTGAAACATTGTGTACACAACACATAAATACATAGACATATTAGGCATACTGTTAGAAGTACATCTTGTAGATTCATGAGGCCTCCTTTTTCCCCCCATCTTAGACTTGCCAACTCTTGATAACCTGTTTCAATACCCTGACAGTTGTCAGCTAAATACTCCTTAATCTGCATATTAAAAGAAACAACTCTTAGGTGAATCTCAAGGTACAAACAGAAAAAATCTGGTGGTGCTAGAGGTGCAAGGTACAGAGAGAAAAATTCCAGTGGTACTAGAGGGAAATTAAAGATGGATGGCAAATCAATCATAAAATTATAGAAATCTATCATAGGATTTTAAAAGGAAACCAATTTTATAGATAGGGCTACCTATCTTTTAACTGTATGTGTGAGCTCTGGGCAGAGCCCGCACTGAATACTGGGTCTCCAGAAACGGAGAATTATTATAAGGCTAGACCATGTGATACTTTTACAGTGCAAGTAAAAAAATTTTTTTAAACAGAGACATTTTAAAGTGTCTAAACTACAGTCTTCCTTACAAACCCAAGAGACTCTATTTTAGTCAGAACATCAGGTAACAAAATACAAAAGCAAACAGTTTCAGAGCTGAGACAAACTTGCCTGTTTGCACTCTTGGGGTTCTATAAGGAAAAACAGGCTTCTCCCCAAAAGGGAGTCTGATGCCTTCTCCATTTTCTTTAAGAAATTCCAGGCTATTATAAACTACTTTAGGTCCCCCATGCTGCAGAGGGTGCAAGAGAAAGGAGAGACAGCAGAAGTAAATGAAGAAAACAGAATTTGGTCAACTGAGAAGAAAAAAAACTTTTGATCAAAAAATACAAAGTCTTAGGAGAGAAAAAAAACAAAAGCATGAAGGCCTTTTAAACACAAACATACATGCACACATACACACACAGAACTTGGACGTTAGCTTTTAATTAAGCTGAGTTTTAACCATTGAGCTCGTTAAAGAAAATCTTTTTGAAGCTTATTACCATATTTCAGCTAGGACAAATTACTGCCATTTCAAAAGTACCAAATATCAAACCAGAAAGGTCTTGATTTAGAAACCATACCCTGGCTGTCATGTGAAAAGAAAAGAAGGCAGAACCTTAGCCATGGAACTGCAGCATGGGGTAACAGTCATTGCTCTTTCAGTTTGGCCTGGCTAGCAAAAAGGTGGACTTGTTATGTAAATAAATCCCCTTAAGAAGTCAAAATAGGGAGGAGCCAAGATGGCCGAATAGGAACAGCTCCGGTCTACAGCTCCCAGCGTGAGCGACGCAGAAGACGGGTGATTTCTGCATTTCCATCTGAGGTGCCGGGTTCATCTCACTAGGAAGTGCCAGACAGTGGGCGCAGGCCAGTGTGTGTGCGCACTGTGCGCGAGCCGAAGCAGGGCGAGGCATTGCCTCGCCTGGGAAGCGCAAGGGGTCAGGGAGTTCCCTTTCCGAGTCAAAGAAAGGGGTGACGGACGCACCTGGAAAATCGGGTCACTCCCACCCGAATATTGCGCTTTTCAGACCGGCTTAAGAAACGGCGCACCACGAGACTATATCCCACACCTGGCTCAGGGGGTCCTACGCCCACGGAATCTCGCTGATTGCTAGCACAGCAGTCTGAGATCAAACTGCAAGGCGGCAACGAGGCTGGGGGAGGGGCGCCCGCCATTGCCCAGGCTTGCTTAGGTAAACAAAGCAGCCGGGAAGCTCGAACTGGGTGGAGCCCACCACAGCTCAAGGAGGCCTGCCTGCCTCTGTAGGCTCCACCTCTGGGGGCAGGGCACAGACAAACAAAAAGACAGCAGTAACCTCTGCAGACTTAAGTGTCCCTGTCTGACAGCTTTGAAGAGAGCAGTGGTTCTCCCAGCACGCAGCTGGAGATCTGAGAACGGGCAGACTGCCTCCTCAAGTGGGTCCCTGACCCCTGACCCCTGAGCAGCCTAACTGGGAGGCACCCCCCAGCAGGGGCACACTGACACCTCACACGGCAGGGTATTCCAACAGACCTGCAGCTGAGGGTCCTGTCTGTTAGAAGGAAAACTAACAAACAGAAAGGACATCTACACCGAAAACCCATCTGTACATCACCATCATCAAAGACCAAAAGTAGATAAAACCACAAAGATGGGGAAAAAACAGAACAGAAAAACTGGAAACTCTAAAACGCAGAGCGCCTCTCCTCCTCCAAAGGAACGCAGTTCCTCACCAGCAACAGAACAAAGCTGGATGGAGAATGATTTTGACGAGCTGAGAGAAGAAGGCTTCAGACGATCAAATTACTCTGAGCTACGGGAGGACATTCAAACCAAAGGCAAAGAAGTTGAAAACTTTGAAAAAAATTTAGAAGAATGTATAACTAGAATAACCAATACAGAGAAGTGCTTAAAGGAGCTGATGGAGCTGAAAACCAAGGCTCGAGAACTACGTGAAGAATGCAGAAGCCTCAGGAGCCGATGCGATCAACTGGAAGAAAGGGTATCAGCAATGGAAGATGAAATGAATGAAATGAAGCGAGAAGGGAAGTTTAGAGAAAAAAGAATAAAAAGAAATGAGCAAAGCCTCCAAGAAATATGGGACTATGTGAAAAGACCAAATCTACGTCTGATTGGTGTACCTGAAAGTGATGTGGAGAATGGAACCAAGTTGGAAAACACTCTGCAGGATATTATCCAGGAGAACTTCCCCAATCTAGCAAGGCAGGCCAACGTTCAGATTCAGGAAATACAGAGAACGCCACAAAGATACTCCTCGAGAAGAGCAACTCCAAGACACATAATTATCAGATTCACCAAAGTTGAAATGAAGGAAAAAATGTTAAGGGCAGCCAGAGAGAAAGGTCGGGTTACCCTCAAAGGAAAGCCCATCAGACTAACAGCGGATCTCTCGGCAGAAACCCTACAAGCCAGAAGAGAGTGGGGGCCAATATTCAACATTCTTAAAGAAAAGAATTTTCAACCCAGAATTTCATATCCAGCCAAACTAAGCTTCATAAGTGCAGGAGAAATAAAATACTTTATAGACAAGCAAATGCTGAGAGATTTTGTCACCACCAGGCCTGCCCTAAAAGAGCTCCTGAAGGAAGCGCTAAACATGGAAAGGAACAACTGGTACCAGCCGCTGCAAAATCATGCCAAAATGTAAAGACCATCGAGACTAGGAAGAAACTGCATCAACTAATGAGCAAAATCACCAGCTAACATCATAATGACAGGATCAAATTCACACATAACAATATTAACTTTAAATATAAATGGACTAAATTCTGCAATTAAAAGACACAGACTGGCAAGTTGGATAAAGAGTCAAGACCCATCAGTGTGCTGTATTCAGGAAACCCATCTCACGTGCAGAGACACACATAGGCTCAAAATAAAAGGATGGAGGAAGATCTACCAAGCCAATGGAAAACAAAAAAAGGCAGGGGTTGCAATCCTAGTCTCTGATAAAACAGACTTTAAACCAACAAAGATCAAAAGAGACAAAGAAGGCCATTACATAATGGTAAAGGGATCAATTCAACAAGAGGAGCTAACTATCCTAAATATTTATGCACCCAATACAGGAGCACCCAGATTCATAAAGCAAGTCCTCAGTGACCTACAAAGAGACTTAGACTCCCACACCTTAATAATGGGAGACTTTAACACCCCACTGTCAACATTAGACAGATCAACGAGACAGAAAGTCAACAAGGATACCCAGGAATTGAACTCAGCTCTGCACCAAGCAGACCTAATAGACATCTGCAGAACTCTCCACCCCAAATCAACAGAATATACATTTTTTTCAGCACCACACCACACCTATTCCAAAATTGACCACATAGTTGGAAGTAAAGCTCTCCTCAGCAAATGTAAAAGAACAGAAATTATAACAAACTATCTCTCAGACCACACTGCAATCAAACTAGAACTCAGGATTAAGAATCTCACTCAAAGCCGCTCAACTACATGGAAACTGAACAACCTGCTCCTGAATGACTACTGGGTACATAACGAAATGAAGGCAGAAATAAAGATGTTCTTTGAAACCAACGAGAACAAAGACACCACATACCAGAATCTCTGGGATGCATTCAAAGCAGTGTGTAGAGGGAAATTTATAGCACTAAATGCCTACAAGAGAAAGCAGGAAAGATCCAAAATTGACACCCTAACATCACAATTAAAAGAACTAGTAAAGCAAGAGCAAACACATTCAAAAGCTAGCAGAAGGCAAGAAATAACTAAAATCAGAGCAGAACTGAAGGAAATAGAGACACAAAAAACCCTTCAAAAAATCAATGAATCCAGGAGCTGGTTTTTTGAAAGGATCAACAAAATTGATAGACCGCTAGCAAGACTAATAAAGAAAAAAAGAGAGAAGAATCAAATAGACACAATAAAAAATGATAAAGGGGATATCACCACCGATCCCACAGAAATACAAACTACCATCAGAGAATACTACAAACACCTCTACGCAAATAAACTAGAAAATCTAGAAGAAATGGATACATTCCTCAACACATACACTCTCCCAAGACTAAACCAGGAAGAAGTTGAATCTCTGAATAGACCAATAACAGGCTCTGAAATTGTGGCAATAATCAATAGTTTACCAACCAAAAAGAGTCCAGGACCAGATGGATTCACAGCCGAATTCTACCAGAGGTACAAGGAGGAACTGGTACCATTCCTTCTGAAACTATTCCAATCAATAGAAAAAGAGGGAATCCTCCCTAACTCATTTTATGAGGCCAGCATCATTCTGATACCAGAGCCGGGCAGAGACACAACCAAAAAAGAGAATTTTAGACCAATATCCTTGATGAACATTGATGCAAAAATCCTCAATAAAATACTGGCAAACCAAATCCAGCAGCACATCAAAAAGCTTATCCACCATGATCAAGTGGGCTCCATCCCTGGGATGCAAGGCTGGTTCAATATACGCAAATCAATAAATGTAATCCAGCATATAAACAGAGCCAAAGACAAAAACCACATGATTATCTCAATAGATGCAGAAAAAGCCTTTGACAAAATTCAACAACTCTTCATGCTAAAAACTCTCAATAAATTAGGTATTGATGGGACGTATTTCAAAATAATAAGAGCTATCTATGACAAACCCACAGCCAATATCATACTGAATGGGCAAAAACTGGAAGCATTCCCTTTGAAAACTGGCACAAGACAGGGATGCCCTCTCTCACCGCTCCTATTCAACATAGTGTTGGAAGTTCTGGCCAGGGCAATCAGGCAGGAGAAGGAAATAAAGGGTATTCAATTAGGAAAAGAGGAAGTCAAATTGTCCCTGTTTGCAGACGACATGATTGTTTATCTAGAAAACCCCATCGTCTCAGCCCAAAATCTCCTTAAGCTGATAAGCAACTTCAGCAAAGTCTAAGGATACAAAATCAATGTACAAAAATCACAAGCATTCTTATACACCAACAACAGACAAACAGAGAGCCAAATCATGGGTGAACTCCCATTCACAATTGCTTGAAAGAGAATAAAATACCTAGGAATCCAACTTACAAGGGATGTGAAGGACCTCTTCAAGGAGAACTACAAACCACTGCTCAAGGAAATAAAAGAGGACACAAACAAATGGAAGAACATTCCATGCTCATGGGTAGGAAGAATCAATATCGTGAAAATGGCCATACTGCCCAAGGTAATTTACAGATTCAATGCCATCCCCATCAAGCTACCAATGACTTTCTTCACAGAATTGGAAAAAACTACTTTAAAGTTCATATGGAACCAAAAAAGAGCCCGCATTGCCAAGTCAATCCTAAGCCAAAAGAACAAAGCTGGAGGCATCACACTACCTGACTTCAAACTATACTACAAGGCTACAGTAACCAAAACAGCATGGTACTGGTACCAAAACAGAGATATAGATCAATGGAACAGAACAGAGCCCTCAGAAATAACTCCACATACCTACAACTATCTGATCTTTGACAAACCTGAGAAAAACAAGCAATGGGGAAAGGATTCCCTATTTAATAAATGGTGCTGGGAAAACTGGCTAGCCATATGTAGAAAGCTGAAACTGGATCCCTTCCTTACACCTTATACAAAAATCAATTCAAGATGGATTAAAGATTTAAACGTTAGACCTAAAACCATAAAAACCCTAGAAGAAAACCTAGGCATTACCATTCAGGACATAGGCGTGGGCAAGGACTTCATGTCCAAAACACCAAAAGCAATGGCAACAAAAGCCAAAATTGACAAATGGGATCTAATTAAACTAAAGAGCTTCTGCACAGCAAAAGAAACTACCATCAGAGTGAACAGGCAACCTACAACATCGGAGAAAATTTTCGCAACCTACTCATCTGACAAAGGGCTAATATCCAGAATCTACAATGAACTCAAACAAATTTACAAGAAAAAAACAACCCCATCAAAAAGTGGGCGAAGGACATGAACAGACACTTCTCAAAAGAAGACATTTATGCAGCCAAAAAACACATGGAGAAATGCTCATCATCACTGGCCATCAGAGAAATGCAAATCAAAACCACTATGAGATATCATCTCACACCAGTTAGAATGGCAATCATTAAAAAGTCAGGAAACAACAGGTGCTGGAGAGGATGTGGAGAAATAGGAACACTTTTACACTGTTGGTGGGACTGTAAACTAGTTCAACCATTGTGGAAGTCAGTGTGGCGATTCCTCAGGGATCTAGAACTAGAAATACCATTTGACCCAGCCATCCCATTACTGGGTATATACCCAAAGGACTATAAATCATGCTGCTATAAAGACACATGCACACGTATGTTTATTGCGGCACTATTCACAATAGCAAAGACTTGGAACCAACCCAAATGTCCAACAATGATAGACTGGATTAAGAAAATGTGGCACATATACACCATGGAATACTATGCAGCCATAAAAAATGATGAGTTCATATCCTTTGTAGGGACATGGATGAAATTGGAAACCATCATTCTCAGTAAACTATCGCAAGAACAAAAAACCAAACACCGCATATTCTCACTCATAGGTGGGAATTGAACAATGAGATCACATGGACACAGGAAGGGGAATATCACACTCTGGGGACTGTGGTGGGGTCGGGGGAGGGGGGAGGGATAGCATTGGGAGATATACCTAATGCTAGATGACACATTAGTGGGTGCAGCGCACCAGCATGGCACATGTATACATATGTAACTAACCTGCACAATGTGCACATGTACCCTAAAACTTAGAGTATAATAAAAAAAAAAAATTCACACAGCTGTACAAACAAATAATGACTGAAAAAAAAAAAAGAATGTTTTCTATTAAAAAAAAAAAAGAAGTCAAAATAAAAATGTTTCCTTTTTCCTTTTTTCCTTTTGGTGACCATTTTTCTCTGCCCTCCTTACCATGTTTTTCTTTTTTTATGAGAATTTAGCCACTTCAGAGAACTTGTTCCCAATAATTTGGAAATTTCCTTCAGATTTGATCAAGTCAGATAGAGTTGGTCAAACCCAATGGGAAAAAGAATGAAATGACAACAGAAACAGAAACAAACAACAACAAAAATTAGTCAAGATAAGCAATCACACCACTTGTATGATTACTAAGCACTCTAATGGTGTTGGGAAAAGCTGAGTGTTGGGAGAAGCTGAGGCAGGGCTTGCATGTCTGACATAAGGTAAAAGAGTCTTGGAACATGTCTGGGGTCCAGGGTCTAAAACCCCTTGTGGCCTTTGGAACACCAAGCTCTGTGCTAAAGGGTGGAAGGCTACCCTGATGCACCATAATCTAAGCCCAGGGTATAAAATCCCTCATGGCTTGGACAGAATCCAGGGCTCATGGCTCTGGAATGTGTCTAGACTTGCTGGCTCCTTGCTCCTTGCTCTCTCAGGATCCATTGTATCTTGAGTTAAAAGAACCTGCTCTCCATTATCTCAAGTAGCAGGGCAAATGCTAAACCATCACAGCTGTAAATCATGTGCTTAATGCAATGCACCCTTTTGACCCCCCACATTCTCACCACCTGTTTCTTTGTTGGATTACCAATAAGTAGCGTGAGCTCCCACAGCTCAGGGCCTTCGCAGCCTCCACAATCACGATGGCCCCCTGGTTCCAGCTTTCTCTCTCAAACTGTCTTTTTCTCAATCCTTTGACGCTGCCAGACTTCATTGCCCCCACGACCTCGTGTTGGGTCTGATCACCCCAACATAATGGTAAGGAGAAATTAAGACCAGCTGGTTGTTAATCTTAACTTTAGCCGAAACAAGGCCCAATTCAGTTATTTACCTAGGGATGGGTCTCAGGCTGAAGATTACCCTACCATCCTAGAAGAAGGAAAAAACTCAAATTTATCTTCTCTGTTGGAAGTGAGCTGAAACTCCATAAAGGAGTTACCTGCCTTCCATCATCATGGAAGCAGGAAAAACTTGCCTTCCTTGTGTTGGAAGCAAGTAAAACTTAAAAAAAAAAAAAAAAAGGAGTTGTACAGTAAAATAAACTTTATATCTTGACCAAGTTTTGTGATATCAGGGATTCTCTGGAGGGTGTGCTTCCAGACCTCGGCAAATTGTCCTATTGCTTTGAGCCATAAACATAGTGCAAGCTGGGACCAAGCACTGATAGGAGATTTGTCAAAGGTCAGGAGCACCTCCACTCAAAATCCCTTTGTGGTTACCAAAATGTGAACCTGAATAGCTGAGACTGGTCTCAGTTAATTTAAAAAGTTTATTTTGCCAAAGTTGAGGATGGATGCCCATGACACAGCCTCAGGAGGTCCTGACAACATATACCCAAGGTGGCTGGAGAACAGCTTGGTTTTATACATTTTGGGGAGACATGAGACATTAATCAATATATGTAAGATGTACATTGGTTCCTTCCAGAAAGGTGGGACAACTCAAAACAGGGAGGGAGCTTCCAGGTCACAGGTAGATGAGTGACAAATGGTTGCATTCTTTTGAGTTTCTGATTGGCCTTTCCAAAGTAGGCAATCAGATATACATTTATCTCAGTGAGCAGAGGGATGACTTTGAATAGAATGGGAGTCAGGTTTATCCTAAGCAATTCCCTGCTTGACTCTTCCCTTTGGCTTAGAATTTTGGGGCCCCAAGATTTCTTTTCCTTTTACAATATTTAAATAGCTGCATATATGCCATAGCCACTGCATTTGTGCACCTATAATCTTTTTCCATTTGGTCTTTTTTGTTAAACATGCCTCCAAATCTCTACTTTAGGTAGAGCTTTAGGGCTGAGAAGACATTACATCAGCTTCTCTGCTACTGCTATGTTTAAGCATAGTCCATGGCTATATGCTTCTAGGGTTCCAATGACACTTCTTCTACAGGTTCGATCTGTGGCTTTCCTAGGAAAATTTACATGAAAAACATCCTCATTTATGACCCTGTACATTTATCCTCATTTACCTCCACTTCGCCAATTCTATTTTTGTAAGTTTTGGTTTGTATAACATACGAATGATAGCTTGCTTCTCATTAAAAATGTGAACAAAACAAACATGTTCAAAGCACTTATTTTGTAATCCTACCCTCCGAAGAAAACTTTCTATGTTGCAGTTGTATTTGTATTATCTCAGTCTGAGATTATACTGCTCTGCAACTTGCTTTTTCACCTAATAATAGACCTATTCCATGATTTGTAAAGGCTTCATAGTCTTCATTCTATGACTGTATTATGATTTACTTAATCTCTTATGATGAATATTTCATTTGTTTCTGTCTTTTTATTACAATGCTATATTAGTTCGTTCTCACACTGCTGTAAAGAACTGCCTAAGACTGGGTAATTTATTAAAAAAAGAGGTTTAATTGACTCACAGTTCCACATGGCTGGGGAGGCCTCAGGAAACTTACAATAGTCATAGAAGGGGTAGCAGGCATGTCTTACACGGCCACAGGCAAGAGAGAGCATGTATAGAAAGCAAAGGGGGAAGAAGCCCTTATAAAACCATCAGTTCTCATGAGAATTTACTCACTATCATGAGAACAGCACGGGGTAAATTGCCCCCATGATCCAATCACCTTCCACTGGGTCCCTCCCTTGACACATGGGGATTACGGGGATTACAATTCAAGATGAGATTTGGGTGGAAACACAGTCAAACTATATCAAATGCCAAGTAGACATTCTTGTGACCCCTCCATCCCCTGCCTTTTTGGCTCCCATTTGCTTTATTTGCAAAAGACAGTTCTTAAAAGTGTGGGCAAAGGGAGTGAGAAAGGAAGAGTAGAGTGACTGAGGGAATGGGGGCACCATTCACTGTGATGGGCAACACCAGGGAGGAGAAGCTTCACAGTTCAATATGTTTCAGGCAGGTTGAGTTTGAGATACGCACTAAGTTAAGTGGAAATATCTACACACCAGGTGCTAAGGGTGAAGGTAGGAGTGGAGATAGTAATTTGGGAATCCCTGATCTCTAGATGGTGTTGAAAATCTTGGGGTGGCATCAGATGAGGTCACCTAGGGGAGAGCATAGGTAGAAAATAGGGTCAACATCCTTGGGATGCCCCAACATTCAGAGATTTGGCCAATGTGGAGCCTGAAAATGAGCCCAAGGAAGAGAGAACTTAGTGTGAGTTGGAAATCCAGGAGATTTTGACGTCCAAGAAGATTTCAGAAGAAAATATTTCAAAAAAACAAGAACAAAAACAAAAACGACAGCAGTCCAAATGTCAAATGTTGCGGAGGGATGGACTAATATGAAGAAATAACTGACTATTGAATTTGGTGTGCATTAAAAAAAACCTAAAAATGTCAACAACACATATAATTGTTCTTACTATTATTCAAATATGTGCAAATTGAAATAATATAAACTGTTAGTCTATGATAGTACCAAAGATGACACAAGGAATATCTAGTATTAATAAGAATTAGAGGAAGTAAGCACTCTGACATAGCTGTTGCTTGTTTTAGAAGGCAGTTTGGCAATAGCTAGCAAAATATTTCATGTGCGTGGCTGTCAATTCAGACATTTCTCTAAAGGAAATAGAGTCCAGCTTAACCTATTTTTTCACTTGACTACTGAAAACACCTCCTAATTTATCTCTCAGCTTTCACTCTTAACTCCCTGAAGTCTACTCCCTACACTTCAGATGACTGATCTTTTAAAAATAAATATCAGATCTTGTCATTCACCTATGTATAACTGTCCCTTGATTTCCTGTTTCAGGTAGTGTAAAATCCAGACTCCTTCTCATGGCCTAACAAGTCCCGATGTTCCCAGGACTCATCTTTCTATGTTCTCCTCCATATTGGCCTTCTTTCTCTACCTTGAAGACTTCAAATCCCCTCACACCCTGGGGCCTTTCTCTTCTCTTCTCTTCTCTTCTCTTCTCTTCTCTTCTCTTCTCTTCTCTTCTCTTCTCTTCTCTTTTCCTTTACCTTTTCAGTAGCTGGCTCTTTCTTGTTATTTGAGTCTCTGCTTATTTATTTATTTTCCAATGTATTTATTGTCCATTTCCTCCCTCTTGAACATAATTGCCTTGTTCAGGGTAGGGAGGAACCATTTTCTTAATACATGTTTGTGGATTGAAAGAATAAATATTTATCATCACCTTTTGCTATTGGATTAGTCATATTTTTCTAGTTGATTTATAGGAATGCTGTATACAATTATCAAAGGATGTATCCCTTTGTAACATATGCTGAAAATACATTTTCCAATTGTGGAATTTTAATTTTATTTATGGTATTCTTTTTTTGTTTTTCTCAGAACAGGGTCTTGCTCTGTTGCCCAGGCTGGAGTACAATCATGGCTCACTGCAGCCTAGACTTCCTCAGCTCAAGCAATCCTCCCACCTCAGCCTAGAACCCCAGGGCTGGGACCACAGGTGTACACCACCACACCTGGCTAATTCTATTTATTTTCTGTAGAGATGTGGTTTCACCATGTTTCCCAGGTTGGTCTCAAACTCCTGGGCTCAAGCGATTCTCCCACCTCAGCCTCCCCAGGTGCTGAGATTACAGGTGTAAGCCACATGCCCAGCTGAATTGATGGTATTATTTTTCCATACAGAAGTTTCATATTTCCACATGATCAATCTGTTATTTACTTCTTAGTTCCTTTCAGTAGTATAATGATAAGAAAAGGTTTCCCTAACTAAATATTGCAAATTAGAAAAAACGTCCTGTATTTTCTTTTTGTATTCCTATGGTTTAAATGTTTATAATCCATTGAAAATATGCTTTTAAATATGGTATGAGATAGGAAACTAAATTTATTTTGTTCCCTAATGTTTAACTAAATTGATCACATTTTACCTTTTGAATAATCCATGCTTTACCACTGATCTTCTGAGTAATTCATCCTCTACCCACTGATTTATAATGACCTATTTCTTATATAGGAAATTCCCATATACACTCTGAGGCTCTATCTAGTTTAATTAATCTGTTCCCTAGTAGTATCAAATATACTTATTTACTATAGCTTAAAATATATTTTGATGTCTGGTTGGGTGAGTCTTTCATCATTATTTTTAATGTACAAAACTGTCTATATTCCCCTGTGTATATTTTTTTTCAGACAAACAAAAAAATCAATTTGTCATATTCTAAAAACAATTTATTGGGACTTTTTGAACTTTGACATCTTTAGAATACTGAATCTTTCCATCCTGGAAGCAGAATTTATCTCTGCATTTATGCATTATGTCTTCCTTAATGTTCTTCTGTAAAACTTTATGGTTTCCATCTCATTCAGAGCAGAACTTTTGAGGACTCTATAAGCTGTGTTCCACCATCACCACCACCACCCCACCTCCAGATCTTTGGGACCCCATCTCCAACTCCCTTTCCCTCAATTATCCCATGTCAGGTCAGCCATACCAGCCTTCTTGATGGTCCAGGAACATACCACATGCAGCTTGAGGGTCTCTATGCTGTTGTTCCCTCTGCCTGAAAAGCTGTTACCTTCCAGGTAGGTCTCGTGGCTCATGCCTCATCTATTTTAGGTAGGTCTTTACTCAAATGTGAACTTCTTGGTGAGGCTTTTCTTGGCTATCCTACATAAAATTGCACCTCATTTCGTACTTCTCCCCATATTTCCTATCTCCCTGATCCTGTTTAGATTTTCTCTTCAGCGTTTATCCCTACTTTACTTATGATATATTAGTTTGTCTGTTTACTGTTTCTCATCCCCAAGAAAAATGTATGCTCCAGGAAAGTGGTGTTTTATTTCATTGTTATATTACAGTGGAATCACTTTATAATGTTTTTTGACTGGCTATTTGTGATATAAAGAAAGACTTGGTTTTTTATAAGTGTTTCTTAAATTCCAATTCTAATATTCTTAATAGATTTTCAGCTGACTCTCTTGAAGTCTTATAGCATTATATCACTAACGAATAATGACAATTACTTATTTTCATTGCCCATCGTTGTGTATTGTGTATCTTTCTGTAGTCTCATTTATCACCTTGGCTAGAACCTTCAGAAAAATGTCCAATACTAATGGACAGAATATGCTATATCAGTCTATTTAAGCTAACTTATATGTTAGTAACAAACGACTCCAACATTTCTGTGGCTTGTAACAGTAGAGGCTTATTTCTCACTTATAGTTCATGTACATTATCAGTCAGACACAGCTCTGTTCCATGTTGCCTTTTTTTTTAAACCCAGGCTGTTATAGCCTCTAACTAGGACAGTGTAATCTCGTGGGAGAGAGGAAGAAAACCATGGTTGAAATGGTTGAATCATGAGCTGCCTCTCTTTTTTTTTTTTTTTTTTTGAGACGGAGTCTCACTCTGTCGCCCAGGCTGGAGTACAATGGCACGATCTGGGCTCACTGCAACCTCCACCTCCTGGGTTCAAGTGATTCTCCTGCCTCAGCCTCCCGAGTAGCTGGGCTTACAGGTGTCCACCATCACGCCCAGCTAATTTTTGTATTTTTAGTAGCGACGGGGTTTCACTAGGTTGTCCGGGCTAGCCTCGAACTCTTGACCTCAGGTGATCCACCCACCTCGGCCTCCCAAAGTGTTGGAATTACAGGCGTTAGCAACCGTGCCTGGCCGAGCTGCTTCTTTAAACTTCTGTTTAGGGGTGTCACCATTACTTTTAGCCAAACAAGCCAAAACAAGTCAGATGGCAACTGCTACTATCAGTGAAATGGAAATATATAATTCTCCTATAAGAATGGGCACAGCAAGTCACATAGCTAAGCCTGCCATTGAAGGAGTAGGGATCTGTAATCTTCCCATAGAGAGGTGAAAACAATAGTTAGAGTAATAATACAATCTTCAACATAGCTGTTATTACTTGTTCTTCACACACTTGTTACACATAGTGTGTTCCTATTACATCAAAAGATGCTCTCTATGACATATATTCTCTATTGTATTATGTCTGTTTTATTTTCAAGTTACTAAGACTTTGTTATTTCTATTTGAATATTATCAAATGACTTGACATGTCATTATGTAATTATACCTTTAATAAATTAGAGTTATGTATTAAAATAATAGTTGCCTGGTATTGACCCATCTTTACAGTCCTGAAATAAACTTGCTTGTTCAATTGATTTTGTTGCTAATAGGTATTTTTGCATTTATGTATTTATTCCTTCAGTCAACACATATTTACTCAATGTCTGCTTTGTATGAGGCATTGCACTAGGAACTGTGAAGGTAGCTATGAGAATTCACAGTGCCTGCCTTCTTCCTAGAGTTTAGAGTCTGGTGGAGAGTCATGCATTTTTAAACCAATTATTTAATTACAATTGAAGTAGGATATAGAGTACTACAGGAGAATATAATTGAGAGGACTTAACGTAGTCTAGAGAAGTCTTTTAAGCGGAAGTGATAATTGAGTCAAATACCTAATATATTTAACTAGGAGTTATTTAGGCAGAAGTGATGGAGTATAATTAAGGAGATCAAAAATTTCAAATAATTAGTGACCAGGCTCTGGAGTAGAAAGGAGGGCATTACATTTGATGAATTAAAAGAGAAGGCCAGTGTGGCTGGAGTGCAAGGAGCACATTGGAGAGCAGCCTGAGGTGAGGATGGGGTAGACTGTGGCTAACTGCAGAGAGCCCTTGCAGGGCAGGTTGAGGATTTCCTTTTGGTCTTTACAGCCACAGAGGAATTTAAATAGATGATTTTAGTTGTACAGTCAAGAAAATTTGAAGACAAGAAATAGTATTTTATGGTGACTAGTTGGGAGAATAATAGATTTATCTATGCAGTAGATGATGGCATGATTGTGAGTTCTGTCGGTGAAAATGGAGTTAAATGGAGAGACTCAGGAGATATTTAGGAGGTAAAACTGTTAGGATTTGATCATTGAATATATATAGGGATGAAGGAGAAGAAGTTGTCAAGGTTATATGATTTGTAAAACTGGGTATTTGAGGAGGCCAGTATTTAAAAATAATTGAGAACGAATAGATCTATGGAGAAGACCAAGAGTTTAATTTTGGATATGTCATCTATGAGATGACTATAAGACAGTCAAGTGGAGATATCAGATAAATGACTGGACATGTGTATGTGGAGCTTAGAGCAGGGTGAGCTAGAGATAAAAATTTGAGAGTCAGCAGGGCATTTGCAACTCAGGTAGGAGTGAGATTGCCTAAACGGAGAATTAGACTGAGAATAAAAGAGAACATATGCCAAACTTTGATTGGACCATTCTAACATTTAATTTAGATGAGGATGAGCTAGAAAAGACCAAAAAAACAGTTACAGAGCTAGGAGGAAAAGAATATGGTGTTATAAAAAGTGGAGAAGAGAACTATGTACAAGTGAGGTGGGGATCAGTATGGAATGTCGCTTTGGTGGTCATGGACTTATGAAAAATATTTACCAGCAAGAGATGTCTTAGAATACAGTGAACAAAAGCCACATTAATGTTGGCTGTGAAGTGTGTGGGAAATATGGAATTGGAAGAAAAGGCTTTGAGGACTTTTCCTTGAGGAAATTTGGCTGGAGAGCAGAAGGAGAGTAAGCAGATGGGGGATGTTACCGATTAAGTGTGGGTTTGTTCCCCTAGATGGAAGAAGACTTGAGAATGTTTAAATGCTGATGAGAAGGCCTTAACAAGATACAATGGTGAAGACAGAAGTTGAGAGGGGAATATTTCTAGTGAGAGACAGCTGAGAGAGTGGTAGGGGATGGGGGCAAAATTCAAGCTCATGCTGAGGAATTGAGTATCGTGGAGGGAATGCCTGCTCTGTTTTAACAGGAAACAATTGGGTCAGGATGCAGGCAGATACAGTTTGTACTTTGGATGGCCTAAAGTTGAGGGAAGAGTTCCCACCTGCAAAGCTATGGCATCAATTTCTCTCTGGAAAGATCACATCTGAGAATGATGGAGGAAGATTAGGTGGTTAAATGAGAAATAGGAAGGTTTGGAACAAACTTAATAGACTGTGGGAGAGCAGGGTATAGTCATGACTAAGACTAAACCACTGGCTTCATTTTTGACATAATCTTGGTTGGGTTTTGGTATCAGAATTATGTTGGACACAAAAGATAAATTGAAATTTGTCTGTCTTTTTCTATGCTTGGGAATGAGGTAAACGAAATGATAACACTATATTGTTGAAAATTTGACAGCAGTCACCTGTAAACTAGCCTTATCCTTTTTTATAATGGTTATAGGATGGCTCATTTTCTTTCATGGCTATCATTTTCCAGATTAATATTACTTATTTCACATTTCCGTGAACACCACAAATTCTATTTTAAATACATGTGAAACTGTCTAGAACAATTTATCATATTACAGTAATATTTTGAAAAATGTGCTATAGCCCCTTTCTCATATTTAATTTATTATACTTGAGAATTTGTTATATCCCTCTTCTTGTTCATAATATATTATATATACACATATACACACTTATGTGTATTCTCTTTTTTTCCACAAAGGAGATTTTTAGAGTTTTAACTTACTGATCTTTTCAAGATATTAGCTCTTTTTATTATAGATCAATCTCACTAATTTCTCCTAAATCATTATTTTATCATTTGTCTTTATTAATTCCTTTTCCCACCTAATTTTAGTATACATTATTGTGGTTTTTCAGGTGAATGAATGAGTGCTATTTAATTCATTTTTAATGTTTAATACTAAAAGTATTTAAGGCTAAGGAATTTTCTGTAAATAGCTCGATCATATCAATTTATAGTGTTCCTATTTGCATTGACCTTTAGGTAAACTGGAAACTGAGTTGTAACTTCCTCCTGTAAAAAAGATTATTCTTCTTGTATAGAATATAGTAATAGAGCAAGAGGATAGAGACAAAGTGACCAATTGAGGTCACTGCTATAGTCCAAGCCAGATGAGTGCCATTCAAGGAAATGGGGAAGACAGGGAGAGGAACAATTTTGAGAGAGATTCGGAAGGGTCAACCAACTAGGTCAAATTTTAATGACAAAAATTTTTTTATCACTTGAAAGCAATCACCTTCTAGAACTTTTATTTACTATGCGACGAAATATACCCTGGCATACTTTTTTAATTGCATACACAATATCCATTTTTCTTTCTGTCTTTCTAACAGAATCCTGTCTTTGGTATGCAGTTGTGCCCAGGAAACACTCCCAGACCCCCTTACTGAGATTGACATGGAAATGGCCATGTCAATCAGCTCTGGCCAACAAAATGTAAATTAAAGTCTGCTGGGGATTTCTAGGAAAGCTTTTGCTTTCATAATATAAAGGGATAAATTTTTACCTTTTCTTCCCTTCATGAAAATGTAATGTCTGGAGAAGTAGCAGCTATGTTGTGACCAGGTAACGAACCTGAAGATGAATACCTATACCTTAAGAAAGTTGGAGTAGAAAGACAAAGTTTCTCAAGTAGCTGAACCTAAAGAGCAAATATTTACTAATAGTCTTCTTGCTTTGTGAAATAAATTCTTATTTTTGCAACCCATAATTAGCATTTGTGTTATTGTCAGCCAAATATTTTTTCAACATATATATATGTTGAAACATATATATATTTTCTCTATATATATATGTGTGTGTATATATATGTGTGTGTATATATACATATATATATATATACACACACATATATATATAGTGCCAACTTTATTACTTTCCAAACAGTCCTCTGTATTCTGTGAGACCTGGTTTTGCCTGCTGCATTTTTGCAATGACCTCTCATGTTAAGAATACAACCTTTCTGTGGGGAAAAAGGAACAATTATACACTGTTGGTGGGAGTGTAAATTAGTTCAAACATTGTTGGAGACACTGTGGTGATTCCTCAAAGTCCTGAAGACAGAAATACCATTTGACCCAGCAATCCCACTACTGGATATATACCCAAAGGAATACAAATCATTCTTTTATAAAAATACATGTACTTCTATATCCATTGCAGCATTAGTCACAATAGCAAAGACATGGAATCAACCTAAATGCCCATCAGTGATAAACTGGATAAAGAAAATATGATACATATACACCATGGAATACTACACAGCGATGAAAAAGAACAAGATAATGCCCTTTGCAGGGATATGAATGGAACTGGAGGTCATTATCCTTAGCAAACTAACACAGGAACAGAAAACAAAATACCTCACGTTCTCACTTATAAGTGGTAGCTAAACAATGAGAACACAGAGACACAAAGAAGGGAACAACAGACACAGGTGCCTATAATAGGGTAGAGGGTGGGAGGAGGAAGAGGATCAGGAAAAATAATGGATAATAGGCTTAATACTTGGGTGATGAAATAATCTGTTCAACATACCCCCTTGACACAAGTTTACCTATGTAACAAACCTGCGCATGTACCCCTGAACTTAAAATAGAAGTAAAAAAAGAATATAATCTTTCAAAATGAATATTTTTGTACATGCTATATGTGAGTGCTAAAGGTGCCACATTCTCATACCATCTTTGAACGTTTTCTCTACTTCGTATATCATATTTGTTTTGTCAACTAAGTCTTGGAGTTCTTTTTCTTTATTAATCATCTCATGCATCAGGTTGAGTAACAGTTTCCCTACTGGTTCCTCTATTTCAGTCCTTCTGTTTTCTAGGCCACCTGATATTCTGCTGCCACTCCTGGCTTCCCAATGTTATCATTATTTGATTCCTTTGCACATCGCATAGCAGAGATAACCTAATACATGAGAATTAGACAAACTATTTACTGGGAATGTTCTATCCTTCTCCAAAATCTTCCTGATCTTCTTTTACAGTCATGATTATTTTCATACAAGTGCTTTATTCTAATCAAACTGTTTTCCAGCCCTAAATACATCTATCAAATATATTCTTCTCTATATTAAGTTCACTCTTATCCTCTCCTGCTCCTCTTCGAATCCTACTCATTTTCCAAGATTCAGCTCAAGTCCCATCTTCTCTGTTAAAGCTTTCTTGTGCATCAAGACCAAACCTTTTCTTTCTCTCAAATCCCAGTAATTAAGATCAGTATTTTTATCTTCTATTACACCTGTTCACCTATAGTGTGCCCCAGCTATCTTGAGCTAATCAACCAAACAAACTTTATCTTTGCTCAGGCTGTCCTTGTGACCTGAAATGAGTTCCTTCTTTCCCTATTGGGAATGTTACATGTCTTTCCACACACAGCTCAAAGATTTCTTCATTTTAAGCCCTGTTTCATTCTTAGCTTAAGATTCCCAGCTCTTCCCTTACAGCTTGTCCACTATAATAATTGTTTTTTTAATTTCTTATCTAGTTGCTATTTGTTTACATGATTTTTCCCCACAAAGGCTTACAACTATTAAGACCCAATAGAGCAGCTCCTGCGTCCTCAATTCATAATTCATCAAATCATAGCTTTCTCTCTGAAAAGAAGTTTCACTGATTATCTCATCGAATCCTCCATTTAATAAGAGAAATAATAAGCCTGCAGGCAGGTGGCTACTCGCATAGTCACAACATTCCATTCCTGGGTCAGGGCCCAATCCTGTGAATGCTCAGGGTAAAAACTGTGAATGACAGATAGTTCCATCAAACAAGGAGCTGAAAATTTAGTCAAAATGTCCTACATATATATATATATATATATATATGAGACAGAGTCTCACTCTGTCACCCAGGCTAAAGTGCAATAGCATGATCTCAGCTCACTGCAGCCTCAACATCCTAGGCTCCCTCCTCAGCCTCCTGAGTAGCTAAGACTACAGGGATGCACTACCTTGCCCAGATAACTTCTGTATTTTTAGTAGAGATGGGGTTTCACCATGTTGGCCAGGCTGGTCTCAAACTCCTGGCTTCAATGATCTGCCCGCCTCAGCCTCCCAAAGTGCTAGGATTACAGGCGTGAGCCACCATGCGCAGCCAGATGTATTTAATTAATAAATCACAGCTCCTTTGAAAAAAAATTGTGAAAATCATTCTGTACTATATATTTTCTAAAGCTTCCATAATGCGATGGAAGATAAATTCTATTTAGAAAGGCAACAGTAGGACATTTTTAAATGTTAGTAAGTATATTAATTTCCTACTAATTTAAAATTTAAAAGAGATGACCCATAAAAATGAGCCACCAATCAAGATCATCTGAATCAAATTATATTTGCAACATTGTTTTCAATTTTACAAATTCCTCCATTGTTACATAAGTAAAGTGGTACAAAATTAAACAGAATAAGCAAATACATCTTATCTTTATGTGACTAACATTTACCCATCATCTGTTTAAGAATAATAAAAAATAATTCTCATTCATGCCTGATCTCATGTTTCAGTTCATCTACTCTTTATTTTGCAAGAGAGGCTATAACGGGAAATGTAAATAATTTGCCCAGGGCTCTTTAATAGTTAAGTTCAGCCAGTTGTTTATTTTTTCCAGGATGGATTGGTGAGTTGTTAGTGCAGTAATAATTATGATTAGGGGCCATTCCTTTCCATAGTCAGAATTAGTGGCCATCTGCGTCAAAATCAAATTTCTATTTAAACAGTTTCCCATGTTTGCATTGCCTACTTAGAGAATTTCTATACTTCTTTGTATACTTGAGCATACTGTGTACACCCAGTGCATTATTGTTAAAAAAAAACAAAGTATTCTGATTTTTTTCCATAACCATCATTTTAAACTAAGTACATCTCAGTTTAAATTAAGTACAAACTATGGCCATTCATAGAGGGAAAAAGAATTATTATTTGACAAGTTTAGTATTCTGTGAGATACTGATAATGAGATCCTCTAAGAGCTTAAAGAGTGGAGTTTGATGCAATTAAACATGATCTTGCACTTTCTTAGTTTGGTTACATTAAGTACCAATTCTTTTCACTAGCTTAAATATGGAACTACCCACAGGTCATCTTCTCCAGTAAACAGGGCACTAAATTAAATGGCTGGTTGGAGCAATAGTTTTGCTTATTATAATTTGAAAACAAGACTATTGCAAAAGGTAAGCACCTAATTTCTTTAACTTCAAACTATGAATGAATAAACTTCAAAAAGATATTGGATGCAGATGGGGGATGCTTGTTTTTAAATATTAAGTTATTGATTTCTGGGTTATTCTGAGCATTCATTAAAATTGAAATAAAATTGATTTATCAATATTGACTGAAGATATTGACTTTGGGTAAGATTTATGAGGCCTGAAAACTCTAGACTGGGTTCAGACTAATTCTGACCCTCAGTGAAAGGACTTGGGAATCATCCAAAGTGAATGCTAAAAAACTTTGTAAGAGAAAAATCCACTAACTTCAACTAAATGGCTCAGTGGTATAGATTTGGTAGCAATTTAGATGACAAATCAGAATAACTAGTCAAACTCCAAATTAAGTGACAAGTGGACTAAGTGAAATCATATGGGTAATGAAACTTGGATTTCATTTAACCCGTTCCTATAATTAAGGGAAATGTGTCAGTTTCATTCTCTCAGTTGGCGATCATCTTAGTCTGCTTGGGCTGCTATAACAAACTACCACAGTCTCGGTGGCTTAAGCAACAATTTATTTCTTACAGTCTGGAGGCTGGAAGTCCATGATCAGGATGCCAGTATGGTCAGGTGGAGGCCCTATCCCTGGTTTGCTGATGGCCATCTTCATCTTATATCCTTAGATGTCAGAGGAATGAGAGCTCTGGGCTCTTCATTCCCTCATGAGGCCCTTATCCCATCATGGAAGCTCCATCCTCATGACCTAATTGCCTATCAAGCTCCCCACCTACTAACACCATCACGTTAGGGGTTTAGGATTGCAACATATAAATTTTGAGGGAACACAAACATCCAATCCATAACAGGCATCAAATGCTGTAGAATCACTTCCTAAAGATATTGAGTTGGACAGTCCTTATGCCTGTAACTGAACTGACACCCTCCCACCTTAGAAACTCAGACACACAGCAACCTGGAAGGTAAACATTGGCACAAAGTAAAGACTGAAACTCAAACTTCTCTATGCTTCATGCGTTTTTGAAATCTTGTCTCCCAAGATCCCTGTAATAATTTCTTTTTATACCTACAACAAATGCTTATCGGCTATTTTAATAAAGTGCCCCCTACAATGCCAATTTTTCGAATTCCTTTATTTAAGGATAAAGCAAACTTCCTTCTCTTTCCTGGGCACAAACAGGTAAATACATTTAAAATGCTAACTGGTACTTGAGTAAATCTCTGATAACCAGGTTGTATTTTCCTGTTTGTTTGTTTGTTTGTTTGTTCGACTCTCAGTGATCTCTCTAGCAATCTGTTTTGTCTGTAGTGGCTGACGGTATCTCAGGGAACCTGGCTTAGTAAGATTGATTGGAACCTCCAACTTAGCCATTTCCTTGCAGAATGGCTACTTCCCCACCTCCTCCTCTTTTTTTTTTTCTTTTTCTAATGATGTTACATTTGTCCTGCAGATGATGTAGAGCTCACTGCAGAGGATGAACGGCTGGGCTCAGATCACTCCTTTCTTGGCAAGCTCTCACACTTCACACCAGCCCTCCTCGGCACCATTAATATTATATATAGATACCCTTGTCACAGATTTACATTCAGTGATCCAAAATCAGGACGGGAGTGTGAAGTGTGTGTGAGGAGAGGGTGGAGGAAAGTGGGCTGATTTATTGTGGGGGATGTTAGAGAATAAAAAGGAGGTGATCAAATTTATATTAATGTCCTGACCTATATTCTTAAAACTGCTTTTTGCCCATTTCAGTGCTTAAGCATTTTGCTGCCTAAAGCCAAAAAAAAAAAAAAAAAAAAAAAGGAAGAAAGAAAAAGAAAAGGAAAATTAAGCACTATGTTGTCTTATTATTTATTTATTCTATTTATTTACTGGCAAATGGCTTAAGTTATCGTGCATGTGTGAGCTTCCGTAAAGAATATGGAGATGGAGATGGAGATGGATTGTTTATAGAGACGGAAATGCCGCTTGTCTCCTGTTCATGAAAACAGAAGATATGTGAGAGTTTTTATGCAATAATCTGAAATGACTGGTAAGTTTTGTCTGTCCTGGCCTGATCTAGTGTAACATTACCCAGAAAGTCCTAACAGTGGGTAAAATCATTTTATTATATGTGGGTCCTATACTGAAGGTCAAGAAGAAGATTGACCATATGAGATATAGAGATAACATTAGTGTGGTCCCCCACATCTAAAGTAGATTTTCTGTGGATGGATCTTCTATTTTTCAAAGTTAGAAGTAATTTACCTTGGATTTATCTTTAGTCTAAATTAAGATATTTAGCAAGATTCTAAAATTCTTCTCCATGTTTTGTGCCGGTGTCTATATTTGTGTTGTCCATTCTGCAAGGTATTTGTCAACACAACAACCTCAAAGTCTTATGTCCCAGTTCAATACAAATCATTCCTCATTGAGTCTGTTTGGGCACTCATTGGAGAATATCTGTAATTTCAGTTTCCTTGTCGTATGCAGCAGCATGGATTTCTGAATCTCTCAAGTTTTTATTTGCTATTCAGGACTTGTTATTGAAACTAGTTGCTTAGCGCAAAGAAAATAATGAGACATCCTTTATGCTTTTTCAAAATATTCTAAGAAATTTTATATGACACCTTTTTAAAACACTTTTTGTATTTACCCAAAGAGACTTTACAGAATCTATAGAGACTCTATCCTGAATCTAAATCATTACCTTACAAGTATGCATAGTGGAACCACTGAGTAGACTATAGTCATTGGATGAGCGGAGAGAGGGGAATGATGAGGTCAATACTAAGAGCTGTACCTTCTTTTATTTATTTACTTATTTTTTTCCTGAGACGGAGTTTCACTCTTGTTGCCCAGGCTGGAGTGCAATGGCGCGATCTTGGCTCACTGCAGCCTCTGCCTTCTGGGTTCAGGCAATTTTCCTGCCTCAGCCTCCTGAGTAACTGGGACTGCAGGTGTATGCCGCTACGCCCGGCTAACTTTTGCATTTTTTTAGCAGAGATGAGGTTTCACCAGGCTAGTCAGGCTGGTCTTGAACTCCTGACCTCAGGTGATCCATCTGCCCTGGCCTCCCAAAATGCTGGGATTACAGGTGTGAGCCACCACATCCGGCCGAACTGTACCTTCTTATAGCTCAAAATTATCGGCATCCAGAAAAGCTTGATGCTTATTAACTTGAGAAAATTTTTGATTTGATGTAATTTCAATCATTTTCATTTTTTGAGGCTCACTTATGTGCAAACCATTGTAGTGGATATTGGACTAAACCTTAATTTAGTAGTTAGCTCTCCACCCATTTTAGGCTTTTTTGGTTCCTTAACTAATCCCTTTGCCCTAGTACCTGTTCCTTCTTGTGAAATTAACAAAGCACAAAACTGTAGACATTCATGAAATAGGTATTTGAAGGTGACATTTCTGTGAGTCCTTTCTAGTTTTGTATATATGGGTATGATTAATGCAAATTCTAGATTACTGCTAATCTTTCCCAGACTGGAAACATAATTTCAGATGCCCATTACTGTCTAAAAGGCTGCCTCATGGACTGAGAGTTTACGCCAAAGCTTATGCTCCATTGTAATTACTCTCTTTTTAAAAGTTAAACATTTACTCATCTGAGTGTGAATGAGTTAAACGTTCACACTCATCTGTTCATAGTTTGATTTTCCACTGTAGATGACTCTGTTTGATTATTTTAAGTATGCTCTAGTGCTTTCTAAACATGATCGTTTTAGTCTTTCTTTAGAGAGGGAAGTAGTGTCCCACTAGGACTCTTTTCTTTTTTCATCTTTATTTTATTTGAGACGGAGTCTTGCTCTTTTGCGCAGGCTGGAGTGCAGTGGTGGGATCTCGGCTCACTGCAGCCTCCACCTCCCGAGTTCAAGTGATTCTCCTGCCTCAGCCTCCCAAGGAGCTGGGATTATAGGCATGCACCACTATGCCTGGCTAATTTTTGTATTTTTAGTACAGACAGGGTTTTGCCATTTTGGTCCAGCTGGTTTCAAACTCCTGACCTCAAGTGATCTACCCGCCTCGGCCTCCCAAAGTGCTGGGATTCCAGGCGTGAACCACCACCCCCGGCCCCCACTAGGACTCTCAAGACACAGGTTGGTCAGGCATACCCAGGACAGGTAGAGTACAGGCCACCATCAGAGGATGCCTGGCACTTAAGGCAATTAGTTACACTCCTCTGGGTTTGCAATTGACTTCTAGAGACCGATAGGCTGCTTTCAGTTCTGCCCTTAGACCCAGGCAAGGAGGGATCCCTGGTCCTGGGTCTGTGTAACAAAGGGTCCTGCAGATCACAAACACTGAAACACAAGACCAATTTTATTCTTTCCTAAGAATATTTCTAGAAGGATCTGTAACTAATTGAGTACTGTGTCACTACAGGTGGGGTACCTTCTAGAGGAAGTAAAACTAGGTGCCTTAGGCCAGAGAGCAGAGCTGGGAGTGTGCAAGCGCATATGGAGAAAGAGAAGACCCAGCCATAGTCCTGACTCATCAGAGGAAGAGATGCTGATTTCCTTAAACTTGGCTGCTCCGATCTCCCAAACACTACGTTCCTCCCCTCCTTTGTTCTCAGGGCTTTTGTTTTTGAGAGGCATTTGGAACTACCTCAGTATCATGAATGGGAAAAGTATGGGGCAGGGGAACCTGTCCCTCTTGGCTCCCTGAGGAGCCTGATATGGTCACTCTCCATTCTGAGTTTGGGCTGGTCCCTGCCCAGGTGTCCAGCAGTAGGCTTTGCCCCAGCAGATCATGTTCCCACTCAGGCTTAGAAGCCTATAGGGTAGTTTCACAAAGTCATCCCTGGTGAATAGGCTGAGGCCCTGAGGGTAGGAGCACTAGGATAGAAACACGAGCCAGGCCTTGGGCAGAGGTTGAATTACAACATTTGAACATAAGATACATGAGAAATGGGCCTCCATTTGTACTATTGTTTAGGGCCTCATAAATCTTAGCGGTAGTCCTGGGTGCTTTCTCTGCCCAATCCAGATTCTGGAAATCATAGATTTTTCACTCTGGTGATGACTTTGCAATCTGACCTTTATCATGATCTTGATTACACTTTGCATTTGAATCCCATCTCTTCTCCTCATATTTGACACTTACATTTCTGGCCCAAGCTTATTTTGCTTACAGGTTTAATGTTGCTTATACCTTCCTTGCCTTGGCCTAGGAATCAAACCTAGAAGGGTTCAGCTTGAGGGACCCACCATCCCCTTATTGCAACTATCCTCATGTAAATATTCTTTCAGAATGAATGGGGGCAGCAGGGTGTATTAGGTGAGAAATAAGCAATTTGAAAATAAACCACAATGGAAAGAAGAAAGCAGCACTGGTAAAATGGTTTCTTCAAGTTCAGTGACATGTTTTTGTTGTAACCGGTGGTAACATTAATAGCCACTCATGAATCACTGTGCAGGCCCCAGAGTAGAACTTGGCTCATGCTACCCTGACACTTACTTAGAAGTTGAGTGCTAAATGGCAATGTAATATTAGGGGCACTATTCAATTTACATTAAACTGTCCTCGTTTGGTGGCTGTTCAGTGGGAGCTCCCTGGGTGATTGTAAAAGACAGGCAGCTAATGGTGCTGGCATCTTAGCCTACATTTTTGCTATAAGAACAAAAGTTGCACATACAAACTGTTCACATTGACAGTAATCCTCTTACTCCATAAAATCACTGCAAATGAAGTCAGTAGGTTTGCAGACAAAATGAGTTAAGAGTCAGTGTAGAGAAATTCCCCTATTTTTCCCTGTGTGTCACTTTCTTTCAATATGATCAGATTTGTTGTCTCTTTCTCAAAGACTATAGAAAACATATTAGCCAAATTTTCTTAACTTTTTATTTTAACAAACATTCAAGCAAGCTAACAACTTGTAAAAGTCTCGAAAATGGAGGCTTTAAGTCACAGACTGAGCATTCTTTGAAACATCGTAACTTCAAAGCATAGGTCTAAGCTCACAGGAAGTGCAGCTCCCTAAGGAAAAACAGACTCTCTCTTATGCTGTTGCCCACCCAAAATGACCTTTCCTAATAAACCACCTCAGGACTAAAGAGAACAGCTACCAGACGTATCTTTTGTCTTCTCTATATTTATTTCTTTATCTATTTTAGGTGCTTGCTGACCATTTTCCCAATATGTATTAGCATCATGGAAAATTATTTCATGGGAAGGCAGTATTACAGTCAGACAGACCTTCATTTACTACCAACCCCCTCCTTACTAGATATGTGACCTTGGGCATTCTACTTACCTTCTCTCGATGATCAGTTTTCTGATTTATAAACAAGAAATGATAGAACTTTATTAGGATGATGGGGGAATCAAATGAGATAACCTGTGCAAAGCAGTGACAGAAAGCACAATAAATTAGAGTTAACCAAATGTAGACAGCTATGATGAAAGGTATCAAGTAGTAAGAGAGTACAGGTGTTCCTGAAGCTTCTTCTCTGCTCTGCTAACATAGATTGTGATCTAGACCCTATTGTAGTGACCTTTAACTTGTTTGATTTTCTTTACCATTGGGACAACAGTATAATGTTATTATACATGGATCAAAATAAACCTTATAGTCTGACTGTCAGGAATTTATCTTATGCTGATCCAATTTAGTCTAAGGGAGTATTGCACATAAATGATGTCTTCATACAAGGGCAAGGACCTGGTCTGTCTTGCTCACCTCTGTGTGCTCTGCACACAGCACAGTGCCTGGCATATAATAGATGCTCAATAAATATTTGCTACAAGAATCAAAAAATGCATAGGAAACTTTGTGACTAGATGTGAGATTTAAATGGCAGCACAGGCTACCAAATGGGGCACCTTTTGGTAGTAGAAAATAACAACAATAATTTATAACATATAGGTCATTCTAACTGCATATATCGCACCTTTAAAACAGGAAAGGGTGGGGAGGAAGCCAATATTTTATTAACAGGATATGAATTTAGTTGTGCTCGGGACATCAAGTGATTATTGTTAATGTAATTAGCAATAAATTAATTTCCTTCAAGTTTTGTTCATAATTTTTATAAATGCCTTTTAATGTTTTAAATGTTAATTTTGTTATGAAGTCAGTATATTCAGATGAGGGAATTAAACCAAATTAATTTCAATGCCCAGGACTCTTAATTGCCAATCACAGTAGAAGTCTCCTTTTGCCCACTTTATAATTAGCCCTAATTATAGGTCTGTAATATGCTTATTTTGTTATTCAAAGTTTGTTGTGCTTTGAGGTATAAAACAATACAAGGAGCATTTAAAATTTGTGGCAAATAAAAATTAAAAGACATTGGGGTCATAAAAATAACCCTTTGAGGTAGCCTAGGACATTATCTACCTATCTAGAGAAACACACACGTATTTTCAATGAGTTCCTCAGATTAAATGTGTGTCAATAAAGAAAGATTCATGTTTAAGTTACAATATTATAATGTTGTAAAAAACAAAATGATCTGCCAACCTGCTTAACTTTGGTGGCCATGGCTATTCCCTAATGAGTTATCATGAAATTACAAAACAACTTTCTCATGGTCCCTTTTGGCATCTCCTGGATGGCCAGTTCCAGGAAAGGAAAAATAAATATTGAGAGGTGGGCAAGAAGAAAAGAAGATAGAATAATTGTTGGAACAAAGTTTCATAGGAGAGGGGAGGAATCTTAATTGTATTAAGTACATAGCCAAATGGATTCCCTCAAACAATGAATAAGGGCATTTTATCACCTAACAGACAAAAAGGGCATTTTATCCCCTAACAGAATAAGGGAGGAGATACAGTGATATTTGTTATGGAAGGAAGAGATACAGAAAATTCTAAAATGACCTTGTTGTTCTCACTTGGAAGTTTCAGTAGAGTTAAGAAAGCTCATAGTAGCCAATTGGAAGTATTGGCAAAGGGTGAGAGAGGGTGCAAGGTGTTTAGGGGTGATTTGGAGGTTTAACAAGATATTTGATAAAAGATAAGATAATTTTGAATTGGTTGAATCCATGTCTGGGGATGGAACATTTGCCTTAGAGTCATAAAGTTAGAGTAATCTAAAGTACTAGGGATAGAAGTGTCGCAATGGTGTCTAATAGCCAAACTAGGGAAAAAAATAAAGACAGGAAGGACTCATAAACCTGAGAACTTGGGAAGTTAAAAGACTGGAAAACGGCAAGTGTTCAGGGAAAAAATGATGAGGTACCTGGTAAAACAACCTGTTTTGGGTAAAATATGTGAATTTCAGAATTTGTAATCTTGAAGGTGGGGGAAACTCACATATGGTGGTTGATATGACAGCTGGGATGAACAACATACTATTTGTGCCCTTTCTTTATTAGAAGAAAATACCTTGGTTTAAGGGGTTGGTGGTGGGTGAGATGGTGTTAGACATCTTAGACACTGATTGTTTTGGTTTCAGGTTATATTTTGCCACAAACGTATACTTCCATAGAAAAAAGAGAACTACACTTGCATTCACAATTTATGCTACTGAATCATGCACTATCATGTTCCATGTTTTATACAGCTAAGTTTTTTTTCTTCTTGTATACTAGGATAATATGTCGGGATGTTTTTCTTCCTATATCCCAGGATAATGGTGGGATATGGATGTTCTCATATACTAGAATCATATGTTGATAATATGTTATCCTCATATACCTCAATAATATGAAGGCGAAATCATGCTGTGTGCACAGTGCTGCTCCGCCAACACACTAGCTACACCCCATCCAAGTCAAATCACTGCAACTATTCCACAGTTTTGAGCTCCTCAGGGACAAAATCTATGTCTTATTCATCTCTGTATTCATCACACTTAGCAAAATCTTTGACACTTAGGGAGAATGTTTGATAAATATTTGGTGAATGGAGGAGTGAATAAACGATGACAAGTCCCTGAAATCCCAACTACTTGACAGGCTGAGGCATGAGGATCATTTGAGGCCAAGAGTTCGAGACCAGCCTGGGCAACACAGCAAGACCCTGTCTCAAAAAAAAAATTAAAAGATAAAATGAATACATTAAATAAGGAGAGCAAGGGTAGAACAGAAAATAAAATTATAATTCAAGTTCGAAAAAAGTAGAGAAATGAAGATAGAGTTCAGTGGATGACATGAGGGTGGGGAAAATGTGCTCTAATTAAATGACATTAATTTGAAATAGGGAGTGCTACTGAATTTATGCTTGTGGAAGTAGCAATGGGAAATGAGAAGAATTCAGGCTCTTCCCATTAGCACTGGGGAGGGTGCATGAACAGTAACTAGAAAAGGTGGTGAGGGAGGAGGTGTCATCAGGGAAAGCCATAAACAGTGCTGAAGTCCTTCAAGGAGAAATGATTCACAGTAACACTGTGCACCTATTAAAAGAATGTGACATTTTCCTTAGTGCTTGTCAAGGCATATATTTTAAAGTTTGCTTGAGTGTGGCTTTGCTCTTTCAAGAAGTCTGAGGGAAGATTAACGCCTATTTGTTAAATATTTCTCATAGAGTTAATTTTTCAATCTTGTTCTTTGTATTGCTACAGCCTGCATAACATGATTTAAAATTCTGGTCTCATGTGGCTAGTTCCAAAGTACAGTTTTGATTAATCAGAGAATTGGTTTAATCACTTGTTGCCAGGAATAATAAATTTCCGCAGCTGAGGACTCTACAGCTGCCTCTTGAACTAGGTCTGTTTTGGCCTGCTTCTAAATATTAGACATACTGTGCCACGTTATCATGTTCAAATAGGATTGAATTATGAATAAGCTCTGAAATGAAAAATTAAGCAATATTATGAGATTAGAAGCAGGAAAACATATGAATTTTATCAGGCTTTTATTGTTTTACCTAATGAAAGAAAAATAAAATGCAAAATAGTGGCAAAGTGCCAAAAGGCTATTTGATGAGTGGGTAAAACTGCACCCAGATGATGAAACTAAGAGATCTTATAAAGTTCCAAAGTGAGTTGTAGCAAGTTCACAAAGCACTGGTCACTCACCCTTCACATTCTGAGTTTTATACTTAGAAATACCTGCTATGTAAGACAGAGGCCATTCTCCCATCCCTACCATATTCTGCCTAACATAGTAGGTTGTTAGGTGTTTATTGTGGCCATTAATGCCAGTCACCAAGATAAAGGGTAAAGGCATAAATGTCATATAGCATGAAACAAGTTAAATAGCAGAACTGAAGTTTTACCTCAAAATAGTCATAAGCCAGGTTCCTATTTTTCTAAGTAATGAACTTTCCATGTCAGACCCACCAGTTTCTGATGTGTCTCTTTTAAATTTCTGAGAATTCCAGAAGAAATTCGGAATTCCTGAGAAAGTGGAATAAGTAATTTTTAGTTTTGAGCAGCAGTTTCACCCAAATAAATTTCAACTGTCAGATCCTGGTGACTTGCAGCAAAAACGAATACAAACTAATGTTATAGATCATAGGCCATTTTACAAAGAATTTTGTTTCCTGTGATGGGTCAAATTCACAGAAAGAAAAGACCGGAAATCAATGCCTAGAGTAAGAAATGAAGTAAAAGTGGGCTTTGTCTTAAGCATGTTGTTTGCTTCCATTTCATCTTTGCATCAATAGACTTTGTTTCTTTCTATTCCATTATTATAGCAATAAACTTTCTTCTTCTTGTCCATGTTCTCCAGAAATGTTCCAGTCCCAAAGTTTTTAATGAAAATTCCAGAAGAACCTCTGGTTCTGATATGGGTTGGCTGTATCCCCACCGAAATCTCACCTTGAATTGTAATAATCTCCACAAGTCAAGGGCAGGGCCAGGTGGAGATAATTGAATCATGGGGATGGTTTCCCTGTACTGTTCTCATGGCAGTGAATAACACTCATGACATTTGATGGTTTCATAAATGGGAGTTTCCCTGCACAGGCTCTCTCTTGACTGCCACCATGTAAGACGTAACTTGCTCCTCATTCACTTTCTGCCATGATTGTGAGGCCTCCCCAGCCATGTGGAACTGTGGGTCAATTAAACCTCTTTCCTTTATAAATTACCCAGTCTCAGGTATGTCTTTATTAGCAGCATGAGAACAGACTAATACAGGTCTCTTCTTTCTATCTTAACTCTGAATATTACTGAAACCTGTGGTTCTTAACTGGGCTGGGGGCACTGCCATGCTGTAAGGGGCATTTTGGTTGTTACAGAGCTGGAGGTACTCCTGAGCTGGTCCTGGGAGGTTGGAAAGCAGGGAGCTGTTTACATGTTTATTTTCTGCATGAGTCTTTGAAGTTATATTATTCATCTTTGTTCCTCCAGCACCAAGCTCAACAGATATTTGTTGAATGAATGAAGAAGTGAATAAATGAGAAAAAACAAAAAGTGTGTATTTTAAATTATAAACAATATTTGCTGGGACAAATAGATTTTTTAAAAATTTACTATACTTTGTTATACAAAATATTTAAGGGAAACTTGAATTCAAGATTTAGAGAAGTTACAAACTTTTGAATGGATAAAGAACCATATTTTTAATAGCCTTTCAGATTTATTTACTTAGTGAACCATTGCATTTTTGACAGTTTTTGTGATTGATGAAAATGGCCAAGGGAATAACTGCCTTACAAAAATCAAGAGACTCTTCAATCCCCCCTTTTAAGAAAATCTATTTTCTTAACTGATGAATATCAGAATTTGCTTCCACAGCCTCAGATGGGAACATGTTCAGAATCTTAAAAGCAACTCGGAAGAAAACCTTTCTGGAAACCTATTTCTGTCAGAATGTTGTAATTTCCTTTAGAAACTCCAGCTGTTCCACAGCACGCAGTTAAATTAAGTGTAAGCGCTGTTAAATAGGAGGTAACCATTAGAATATTTTAAAAAATATGACTAGCATCCAATGTTTTAATCAAATAATTTGCTAATCCCTCGCTGTTGTGCAGCCTCCCAATCAGCAGCTCTGTTACTCCATCCTCCTGGCTGCCTGAGCCCGGTGCTCCTGCTCCTCCCCCTCCCCTCCTCCTCCTCCTCCCTCCTCCCTCCTCCCTCAACAGCTCACTAGGCCCTTATTTTTCTTTGGAATGTTCCTCGGAGCCCATTAAGGAGTGCTTTAATCCAAGAGGATCTAGATGATCAAGAAAAATTAAGCTCCTAATAACAGCAAAATCGTAAGAAATTTGGACAAAATGACTCTCCGCATCACAGATTTTGTTTACTAGTGGGTAATTAATTCTCCACATATGTTGGGAACATCTGTCGCCGTGACCTGCCATCGGATCTGCGAAATGACTGCTGTGCGGTTTCCCGGCAGGTCATTAGCAGCGCTCTGAAAGGAAGCTCCTTCCTCCTGCCCTCAGCCCGGGCAACTTTCTCTTTAGCTGGGAGTGTCTCCATGTAAGTTCCTGGGCGTGAGATGCCCTCCGCCACTTTTCTCTGTGTCACCGGCGGGCACCTCTAGCCACCCCCCGTGGTCCCCCAACTAGATGTAAAGCAGGAGGAAAGCAGTTTCCTGGTCATGGGGAAAATCAGCTGGACGGTCAGGTGCTCGAGGAAGCCTCGCTGAGGCAGTCGGGCTGTCTTGCTAGGTGGGGGTGAAACTTTCCCAGCGCAGCTGAATAGGATCCAACAAGAGTCTGGATGTTTCTGACTTGTGACTTTCCAGTCTAATTAGTGAAAAATTGGGCTCAGGTTTCTAAGGTTTCATTGCCAAGAGGCCTTGTCTTGACAGAAACTAAAGATGGCAAAGAAAGTCTGGGAAGGGGCTTTGGCACATACTGTGAAATGCCATCCATTGATTGGCATTCCACAATTCAAGTGGAGGGGAGGAGAGGCTTGTGGGAAAGGAAGAGCATTTGCCCTTCTCCCTGAGATTATGATACAAGGCCAACTCTCCTCCTGGCAGCTATAGGGGCCACCAAGTATCCTGGAAAACCAGACATGAAAAATCACAGATATATAGGGAATTTTAAGGTAAAGTGGTGACAGAAGGGACTCTGCTGACCACTAACTATGGGTTATGAAATTTGCACACATTATATGTTCCCTAAGTGTCCTAACACAGCACTTAACACACTTTGCTGTTTGTCACTTGCCAGTTCTCCACTAGCACACTAAGCTTCCTAAATACAGGAAATTTGCCTTACTCATCTTGGTATCTCTAGCATCTTATTATGTTATCTGTTGCAGAGCATATGCTCAAAAATGTGTGATAAACGAATGGATGGGTGGATGTTACAGTTGTTCCTCACTACAGTCCTGCAAAGAAGGTGTTACAATTTCCATTCTTCTAGTAAGGAAACAGGCTCAGAGAGTTTAAGCTGGACAAGTCTTCCTACTCAACTCTGTCTACATGCAGCATCCAGGCACTCCTTAACTATAATGTTGTCTAATAATAAGAGCCATTGCCTGGAAAGGTTGGGTGATGTTCTCCCAGAAAAGAAAAAGATTTATAACCTCTTGTAAATTTATTGAGTTACACTTAGTTAAATCTTTTTCTTAAAGCATTTATTAAGCATTTATAGTGGGAAAGAGCACAGATCTTGAGGAAATCCAGACCTCTTGGATTTCATTCCTGGTTCAGCCATCATCATGGGCAAGTACTTGACTTTTTGAGCCATAATTTCCTCCTCTGTAAAATGAGAAGACTAATGGTTTCCAGTTCATAGGATTAGCATGAAGATGACATAAACAATGTATGATAAACACAGTGTCTGGCGTATAGTAAGTGCTCAATTAATTGTGCAAAAGAGAAACCCATTACTTCCTGTGTTGCTTTTTTAAAGTTATACTAAACCCACATTCTACACAACTGGCATTTGTCACCTGATTATAATTATGGTTCTTGTTAGTAACTAGATCACCCTTTCTAGTTACTAGAATTGTATCCAATACTTTATAACTGTGTGAGTAGTTATTTCTAAGTACTTAATACCTGCTTTCTTTTTTAGAGAATGCACTTCATGATGGCAGGGGCTATGTTATACACTTCATTGCCCCCAATGTTTGGCTGAATTATGAAACATCTTAGTAGGCTTGCAGTTAAGTGAATCAGAAGTAAGTAAGAAAATAAATATTCCATAAATTCTTAAACTGGATAATCAAATTAAGTTTCTTGGAATGCAGCCTTCAAAATGTATGCTTAGTACCAGAGCCAGCTTTTTTCCCTGGCTTTCAAGTTAGATTTTGTTTCTAAATGGATACTTTTTGAGCAAGGGCAGGATATAAAGTTTGGGATCTAGTTTTAGCCTTCTTGCATATAAATTAGGAGAGATTTTTGGACAGTGAAGAATGGTCAGTTTTGGAAATACGAAGAGTTGGAACCCTCCTCTCATCTTGGGGCCTGATGTTTTCTGTATCTCACTTTTGATGGGCGGAGTCCACCTAAATTCCACTGGTGTCCTTTTATGTCACCCTTAGTGACTCTAGTCTGTTAATGAGGATAAGAAAAATGAGAAGTGATGGCCAACATGATATACTTGTAAGTATCATGTTTAGACAAGGTTGAGGATGCATTGGAGCCAGTACTCCTATTTAAGAGAGCGTAAATAGAGATTTTGGAAAAGTAAGAGCAGCAGAGACACCTTTCCAATACAAAAATGAAAAAACAAAGGCACTTACAGACAGCAAACATAGGTGTACATTAATATAGGATTAAAAGGATGTCTAGTTTAATATTGGTCTTTTCAGCCCCACTCCATAGGACTAGTTCCTTTCAGGGGGATAGACAAGGACCACTGCTTAAGCTCTTCTCATGTGTATCACAGTCACGTGGCCCTGACTTGTGAAAGTGCCTATGATTCCTTCATCTAGTAGTTTGTTTGTTTAATGGGTAATTATTTTGGAGACTACAAGGTAATATTTATTTTTTAATTTGATGTTTCTTTTTAACACTATTTTTTAGTGTTTTGGAGCCCTCACCACCTCTGATAAATTAATTTATTTCAATTCAACAAATATTTCTCAAATGCTCATTATGAGCCAGGCATTCTACTTAGGGCAGGGGATACACAGATTTATAACATAGTCCCTGCCACTGAGAAGCTGACCACAAATAAAGATGAAATAAAATGAGAAGAATGACACAGGAAGAGTATGTCTGAGTGTTACCAGATCACTAAAGAGGGAATATGAAACTCTATCTTGAATGACACTGAGATGTTCCATGAAAGAGAGGACATTTGACTTGAGTCTTGAGGGATGGGTAACTGAGTAGAATCGTGATTAGGAGTACGGACCCTAGAGCTACCTGGGCTCACATTTTGGCCCTCCCGCTCCTAGCTATGAGATTACAAGAAAGTTGCTTAATTCCCCTGTTCCTTGGTTTTCTTACCTATAAAATAGAGGTATTAATAGCATTTGCTGCATAGTGTTTTAAAAGTTTGTATTAGTAAAATGCTTAGAACTCTTCCTAGCACACTGTGGTGTTAAAAATGTGTTAAGCAAATAAGGACACAAAATTATCTGAAGTGATACAAGGAGGAGAAAACCATGGTGTGTCCAGGAATCAGTGAACATTTCTATATGAGTGGGGTGTAGTTTGCTTATTAGCTAGTCCTCTCTGAACGTTAGCCATGAAAATCTAGACAAATTATTTGATGTTGGGACTTTCTTTCCTGCATAATATTGTTTTACTCTTACGTACTGCTGATTGCATGTCCCTATAGATCTACTGCAGCTGGTTCCCCAGGTGAGGCCACTGTTGTTTCCTATTCAGTTGTACAGCTGTCACTCAATCACAGTGTGTATTGTTGCGAGCAGCTCACTCATTTCTGCCAAAATTTCCATTTGCTCATGGTCTTATGGGTACATTTGTCACCAGTTTTTACTTGTATCTGACATTCCTGGTTGGGGAATGTTGGGGTCACCCACATGTGTGGGAAAGTAAGTGACAGCATGGGGTTGGGCCAGCTTGGACCTCTTTGTGCCTGACCTCCTGAGCTCCATATCTTATTGCAGCATAGCCAGGGTGATATACTCTCTCTTTAATACAGGGTCTTCTCCTACATTTGCAACATACCATGGCCAAAGTGCAAGTCTCTGTGCACTCTACCACTTAGACTCCAGTATCTATTTGGATTTCAGCCTCCAGGGTCAATCTTTGGAGAACTTTGAATGACAGGCTGAGGAATTTAAACTTAATTCAATAAACCATAAAAAGCTGTTAAAGGTCTTTGTGTAAAAAAGTGATATGATAACTCAGCAGCATTTAAGATTAGAAAAACAGAATAAAGAACTAAGAAGGTTTTAAAAGACAGGACAAGAACCGATACATCATGGAAGCCAGAGAAGGAGGAATTTCAGTAATAAAAAGTGATAACCAAGACTCTTCTGAGAAGATTATGCATTAGATTCTAAGTTATGTGATAAAGTATTCTTTGATGATAATGGTTTCAACAGAGTGGTAGAAATGAAGGATGGACAATGAGGAGTCAAGATGGATGTTGAGGAAGTAGAGGCAATGCCTGCAGATCATTTTGGAAAGCTGCAGGTGATGGAAATGGGAGATACTAGGAGAAGGCTGGAAGACATCACTGGATTTAGGGAAAGGGTAGTAGCATGCTTACAGTCTGAGAGGAAAGTTTCAGTAGAAAAGAATAATTGCACAAAGAGGTAAGAAAGGGCACAACTGAAGAAAGATGATGTAAGAGAAGAAAGGACAAGTTTTAGGTGTGCTGTGATAACAGTATCTAAAGCAAGAACATCTTTCACAACCACAATGTAAAGTTGTTTAGAAAAATCATGCTTTGTCAATTTATTCACTGAGGTCAGAATTTGTCTCAGTTCAAAATACACCTAGAATACACAATCAAAGGGATGCTTACTTTTTCTAATCTAGCCATTCTCTAGCGCTTATTTTATGCTAGTGTCTCTAATTAATATCCAAATGCCTTGATGGATGTATTGGAATTGTTTTAATTCAGTTCTTTGTAGTCATTCAGTCCATTTTATTCTTATAATTATGGGGGGCAGGATTAACTAGAAAATCCTCTCCTTCTATCAGGATTAAGCCCCAGCTAAATGAAAACACAAACACCACAGGACTAACTAAGAGGCAGCTATTTTCAGCAAATGTGGTGACTTTTGTAATGCAAGCCAAGCTCTGGAGTGAGACAAACAGTAATGGTGAATGCATTATGTCAAATTGGGGGGAGGGGAAAGCCTTCCTGATAGGAGGAATAATCTCTCTTTAAGAAAAGATTAAAAAATGATTAGCTTATGCTTATTTCTTAGGAGAACTAGTCCTAGTAGGAAGACTAAAAAGGAATGAAGTGCCTCCTGTCCCCCTCATTTGGGGACAGAGGCAGGCATCCTCTCTTCCACATCCTGTCAGGACTGAGTATCATTCACCACCCAGCAAAGCTTGAGGAGCTCCACTTTGTAGCATAAGGGAAGAGCCTTATCCATTGCCAATGTGCAGAGAAGGAGGACAGGGATGCCTGATTGTGAGACTTGGAAGATGGAAAGATAAAGGGACTCAGGAGAAGGTGCTGGAAACATCCACTGGAAGCCCTCTACTTCAAGTCCTCATAACCAAAGAGCCTAGCTAAATTAAACAGGGATTCCTAATCTCTGTTTTGCTCAGACTGAGACCTGTCCTAACCACTTTCCATCAAAGAACTTCATAATCCTTTATGTTAAATTTGTTTAAAATGCTTACAGAAAATAATAAAATTATTATTAAAGTACGCTTTTTTTCCCAAGATTATCAAAAACATAGGTATGACTTACCTTGTGGAAATAGTTACGAAGCTGTCCAAGAAGGTAGCTGGTTGTCAGATATTATTTTTAAATGAGTACGTATTCCAGATATGCCTCTTTTAAAAATCCAGGAAGAAAAAATATGAATGTGTAATGCAATGATACATGGTGGACTCTTTATATCCAACACTGATTTTTTTTTTTAGATGAAGTTTCACTCTCATCGCCCAGGCTGGAGTGCAATGGCGCCATCTCGGCTCACTGCAACCTCCACCTCCCAGGTTGAAGCAATTCTCCTGCCTCAGCCTTCCGAGTAGCTGGGATTACAGGCACCCGCCACTACACCCAGCTAATTTTTGTATTTTTAGTAGAGATAGGGTTTCACCATGTTGGCCAGGCTGGTCTCGAACTCCTTATCTCAGATGATCCTCCCACCTCAGCCTCCCAAATTGCTGGAATTACAGGTGTGAGCCACCACACCTGGCCCCAACACTGATTTTCTTATCTCCTCCACAAAATCTGCTCCACCTGTGATCTTTCCCATTAGAATTAGTGGCAATTTTTGTCTTCTAATTTCCCAGCCCAAGAACACTGGAGTCATCCTTGACTCCTCTCTTTTTCTCATGTCCTCCATCCAATCAGGGAATTCTACTAGCTCTATTTTCAAAATATGCCCAAACTCCTACCAGCCCTTCCACCATTACATCCTTGGTTCAAGCACCAAGCAATCTCTTGTTAGATCTTCGTAATAGCCTCTCAACTGACCTTCTAGTTTTTGGCTAACCCCCCAAAAATTAATCATCAAACCAGCAACCAGAGTTATCCTTTTATTAGGTGAATTGAATGATGTCCTCCATGAAACCCTCCAACAGCCCCCATTTTACTCAGCATAAAGCCAAAGTCTTCAGTGGCCTCCAAGACTTGGCCCCACCTGGCTCTCCACTAACTTCCTAAGCTCATCTTCTCACACTTGCTCATCTCACACTGGCCAAAGTGACCTCCTTGCTGTTCTTTGGTTCTATCAAGTTTTTGTCCAAATACAGACTTAGTAAGGCCTCCTCTGACTGCAACACAAAACCTCTAGCCCTGGCATCAGTAATTCCCCTTCTCCTGCTCTTAATGTTCCTTTCATATCACTTATCACCTTCGAACACTGTCTTCCCCACTAGAATGTAAACTCTATTGGAGAAGAAATTTTGTCTGTTTTGTTACTGATGTATGTCTAGCATCTTGAAAAGCAACAGTAAATGATTAATGAATGTTTGTTGAATGAACAAATGAACTTGGACGAACCTCTGTGCTTCATCCTGAAACATTGAATAGTATTACCTCCTTAGAAGGGTTATTGTGAGAATTCAATGGGTTACTACATGCGAGGCATTTTGACTAGTACCTAGTGCATGGTAAATGTTCAAAACATAGTTTAGTTATTACGTATGTTTGGCTTTACAGTAGTCACCCTTATCCACAGTTTTGCTTTCCAGTTTCAGTTATGTACCTTCACCTGTGGTTCAAAATATTAAATGGAAAATTTCCAGAAATAAACAATTTATAACTTTTAAATTGCATGATGTTCTGAGTATTGTTATTGTTCTACTTTATTACTTATTGTTAATCTCTTTCTGTGACTAATTTATAAACTTCTTCATAGGTATGTATGTATAGGACAAAACAGAGTATATATAATGCAGTACTATTTGTGGTTTCAGGTGGGGCCTTGAAATGTATCCCCCATGGAAAAGGGGAGACTACTGTACTATAGAACCAGTCTCTTTAAAAATTATTTTTGAGTGTTGTTTAATGTCCATGTGGAATATATGATTTACTCTTCACCTCAATTTCTATGAGGTAGCCTCATTTACATTGTGAGATTATAGCATTGGGGTTGTGATGAAGATGTGTTCCCAACCCTATCCAACTCTAAGACGTAGTCTTTGATAAGTGTTTGACCTCTCACCTCTTCCTCCAGTGCCATGTACCTGGATACATTTTATCTTCAAAGAAGTCTTCTTTCAGTAGTGTGGGACTCCTGCAAGCATGTTCCTACCATGCAGGTCATTTCAGCCTTTAAAACAACAGTTGAGTCCTCAAATCTGTAGCAAGATCCTTCTTATTACTGTCTCCTGCCAGATTCTTTTCCACCTATGAGATATTAGAAAAACATGGAAATGTATCCTCTTCTTCTCACTCCAGTATTCTCTCCAGACCCACTAATCCATTTTCATGACATCAAGTACTCATGGTCAACAAGTCCTGCATTTATATCTCTAGTCTAGATCGCTCTTTTGAGCTCTAGATCAATGCACCCCTCACCATCCAACAATCTCCTCGATAAATCCACAGAGTATATCCCATTGGCTCTTCATAGGGCTTACCCTAAAATGGAATTTATAATTTTCCCCTCTAAATGCACTCTTCCTCTGGAATTGTGATCTTAGTAAATGGCACAACTTTCCTTCTAGGTCTACAGGTCTCCATAAGTGGTAAACAATCCCCTATTACACACCAGAAGCCCAGAAGGTCATACCGATTCTTCTGTCTTCCTCTTACTCAGTCACTCACCAGAGTCCAGTCCTACATGGTCCTCCAATTTCTCCTCTTATTCCCATCCTCACTCCCATCATATTACTTTAAATCTTGATAATCTCTCTATTCTAGGTTACTGCAATAGCTTCCTACATGAATTTTTTCCTACTCTCCCAAATTATTTCACTTCCCAGTCAGCTTCCACACTTTAGCCACACTCTCCTTTTCTGCTTAAAATTTCAAAGGCTTCCCATTGACCTTGCGATAAAGTCAATGTGTTGGCTTTTGATATTTCAAGTTGGCTAGGCTAAACTACAGTCCCCAGTTATTCAATCAAATGTAATCAAGGTGCTACTGTGAAGAAATTTTTCAGATGTGATTTAAGATCCTAACTAATTGAATTTAAATTAATTAAAAGATTATCCTGAGTGGGCCTGACCTAATCAGATGAGTCTTTTAAGAGGTTAGTCCTTTCTCAAGCTTCAAGATACCAAACAGCTTATGCCGGTGGGATTCTAGCCTTCTTGTGATCTTTACCTCCTGATGGCTTCCCTTACAGACTTTAGACTTGCTAGCCCATCCTCACATTGTGTAAGTGGTAAACATATGTATGTTTGTGTACACACACACACACACACACACACTTCTACTTCTCTAATTGGACCCTGACTGATAGAATTTTTTAAATGGCCTATAAGGCCTGGCACTATTAAACCCAGGCCTACTTTTTGAACTTATCGCCTCTTTTCTATGTCATGTAAGAATGCACTTAGCAGCAAATAACAGAAAACTCAATTAGCTTTTGCCTAGAGATAGGGTTTACTTCTTTCACAAGCAAGACATTTGACCCAGCTCTGACAGAAGTCCAGATTTGGAGATACTACACAACAGTGTAGTACCAGAAAATACTCTCCTCTGCAGTCTCTTGTCTCATAAAGGTTACCTCATTGTGGCAAAATGGCTACAACATTCTTGGACATCAAATCAATGTACAGATGGAAAAAAGGACGAGGTTTAAGAAAAACACAGCAAAAAATGAAAGGACCAAAAGGCTCTCTCATTGCAAGGCTTTGTGTTTTTATTAGAGAATGGTTGCTCTTTTCAGGGATTTATCTCTATATCTCATTGGCCAGAACTGTGTCACATGGCTACCCCTGCTGGAAGATGGTGTGGGAAATCAAACTTTTAACCTCGATAGTCTCTATAATAGAGGCAGGCAACTGATAGTGTTTGTCAAATTTCCTCTCTTCTCTTTTCAACTGGTTAACTCATACCTCAATCTTCAATCTCAACATAAATATCATGAGAAGTCCTTTCTCATCCCTCAGACCAGGCTGAGTCCAACTCTTCTTTATAATGTTTACCATACCAAAGTCAATGTTCCGTGGTATATCATAAGCTGTCCAACAGGGCAGAAACCAAATCTCTGGTATTCTTAGTGTTAACAAAAAACCTACAACATATATTTGTTTCATAGTCTTGGCGGACCTGGTAAACATGGTAGGTTATGAAATAATGCCATCTGCCTCATCCACTAAGTTGTATTTCCAGGATTTCTTTGAAGCACCAGAAAATGGGAATTTAGTAAGATTATCTATAAGGCTCCTTCACTTATGACTAAAGTTTTTATTCCCCCAATGCTAAGAAAGTAGCATTATTGATTTCCAGCATATAGGTGAAGGGGACTTACCATATAGAGAAACCACAAGCACAGTTTTCAGGGCAACTCTCCTATCATAGCCTGATAGGAATACCCAAGAGGTCTGCATGTAATTGGCTGTCATCATTTACTGGGCAGATTTCTTCACGGCATATGAAATATACATACTTACAATTCACTAAAAGAGGATGTATTGAACTATAGTTATTCATCAGTTAGTTATTTTAGAGTTCACAGAAGGCAGAAAGCCTTGGTCCATTGTCTTGGGTGGTGCTTAGATACTTCAATTGAATTGATGATGCCTTTGTTAGAACCCCAAAGATATTTAAAGGGCAATCTAATTGACGAGCACAATAACCAATCTATCACGTGCACACGCACATTGAATCTTTCTAGTTCTCTCGTTAGCTGGATTAGTTTGTTTGCACAGAAAATTTTAATAAACCAGAGTTCTTATAATTCTCAGGAAACTAGATATAGATTGACATGGTTTTAATCATTTACGTAGTAAGATGTCTGCATCTCCTATTCCATGCATTGAAATACCTGAGAAATATCTATATCTGAATTTTTCCCACAGACACCAGATTCAGATGATTAGAATGTAAGTTCCATGAAAGCAGAGACTTTGTTGTTATTGGTGGTGATGGTGGTGTGTGTTTGTCCCACTGCTCTACTCAGAGTCCTGAGCAGTACCTGGCACATGGGAGGCAGTCAATAAATATTTATGGAATAAATTATTATAGAGTTATGAGATGGTATTATGTTTACACCTGTCACTCTTATCCTATTTATATGATGAATCACATTGATTGATTTTTTAATGTAAACCGAACTTGCATATCTGGCATAAAGCCCACTTGGCAATTGAGCTAACACATTGAGCTAACCAACTCACATGATCTAGCTTTATTAATACTTTCAAGAATACAAGCAATCAAGAAGCACAAAGAAAGAAAAAAGAGGTCTGTGAAAACCCACAGGACTCCCCAGGTACTCCCTTTCTGCACTGAGAATGTACTTTATGGACTAGAATGATAGCTGAAGTCCCTAAGTGAAATCAGTACATCATCTTACACATTGGTGAGTCTTTGGGTTATGGAATACTTTCATTTTATACCTCAGATTTTTGTGTAATCTAGGCAATATTCTCCAGTGAGCCATGCTTTAATTATTACTAGAATCTGTATGTTTGTTTATGATATGCAGTCTTAAACCAGAACATCTTGTAAAGGGGATTTCACAGTTAAGGACTATACTACTAACAAATATCATTAGTGTATTTACCCCCAAAACAACAGAATATACATTCTTCTCATCTGCACATGGCACATACTCTAAAATTGACCATATAATTGGTCGTACAATTCTTGGCAAATAAAAAAAACACAAAATTATACCAACCCCATTCTTGGACCACAGCACAATAAAAATAAAAATCAATACTAGTAAAATCACTGAAAATCATATAATTATATGGAAATTAAACAACCTGCTCCTGAATGACTTTGGCGTAAACAATGAAATTAAGGCAGAAATCATGAAATTCTTTGAAACTAATGAGAACAAAGATACAACAGGTCAGAATCACTGGGACACAGCTAAAACAGTATTAACATGGAATTTTATAGTGCTAAATACACACATTCAAAAGTTAGGAAGATCTCAATTTAACAGCTTAACATCACACCTAGAGAAACTAGAAAAATAAGAGCAAACCAACCTCAAAGTCAGCCGAAGACAAGAAATAACCAAAATCAGAGCTGAACTGAAGGAAATTGAGACACAAAAACGCATACAAAAAGATCATTGAATCCAGAAATTGGTTTTTTGAAAGAAAAAATAAGATTGATAGACTGCTAGCTAGACTAAGAAATACAAAAAGAGAAAAGATCCAAATAAACACAATTAGAAATGACAAAGGGTCATTACCAGTGACCCCACAGAAACACAGAAAAAATGATCAGAGACTACTAAGAACAATTCTGTACACACAAACTAGAAAACTTAGAAGAAATGCATAAATTCTTGGAAACACAACCTCCCAACATTGAGCCAGGAAGAAATTGATTCCCTGAACAGACGAATAATGAGTTCCAAAATTGAATGAGTAATAAAAAGCTTACCAACCAGAAAAAGCCCACGACTGAATGGATGCACAACCAAATTCTACCAGTTGGATAAAAAAGAGCTGGTACCATTTTTATTGAAATTATCCCAAAAACAAAACAAACAAACAAAAAACCTGAGGAGAAGAGACTGCTCCTAACTCATTTTATGATGCCAACATCATTCTGATAAAAAATCCTGGCAAAGACACAACAAAAAAAGAGAAAGCTTCAGGCCAATATCTTGGATGAACATAGATCATAAAAACCTCAACAAAAATACTAGCAACCTGAATCCAGCAGCACTTGAGAAAGCCAAGCCACCATGATCAAGTAGGCTTTATCCCTGGAATGCAAGGTTTAGTCAACATTGACAAAGCAATAGATGCGACTCATCACATAAACACAACTAAAGACAAAAACCACAGAATCATCTCAATAGATGCAGAAATAACTTTTGATTAAATTCAACATCCCTTCATGTTAAAAACACTCAATAAACTAGGCAATGAAGGAACATACTTCAAAACAAGAAGATCTATCTATGACAAATCCACAGCTGACATCATCCTGAATGGGCAAAAGCTGGAAGCATTCCCCCTGAAAACAAGAACCAGAAAAGGATGCCCACTCTCACCATTCCTATTCAATGTAGTACTGAAAGTTCTAGCCAGAGTAATGAAGCAAGGGAAAGAAATAAAAGGCATCCAAACAGGAAAAGAGAAAGTCAAACTATCCATGTTTGTTGGCAACACGATTCTATATCTAGAAAACTCCATAGCCTCTGCCTCAAAACACCTTGAGATGATAAACAACTTCAGCAAAGTTTCAGGATGCAAAATCAATGTACAAAAATCAGTAGCATTCCTATACACCAACAACATCTAAGCCAAGACCCAAATCGGAAATACAATTTTATTCACAATAGCCACATAAATAATAAAATTCTTAGGAATACAGCTAACTAGGGAGGTGAAAGATCTCAACAACAAGAACTCAACAAGCAAGAAAACATTTCATGCTTATAGATAGAAAAATCAATATCATTAAAATGGCCATACTACCCAAAGCAATCTACAGATTCAAGGATATTCCTATAAAACTACTAATGACATTCTTTACAGAATTAGAAAAAACTACTCTAAACTTCATGTGGAACCAAATAATGCCCAAATAGCCAAGACAATCCTAACAAAAAAGAACAAAACTGGATACATCATATTACCCAACTTCAAACTATACTACAGGGCTACAGTAACCAAAGCAGCATGATACTGATATAAAAGCAAACATGTAGACCAATGGAACAGAAGAGAGAGCCCTAAAATAATGCCACACACCTACAACCCTCTGATCTTCGACAAAGTTGACAAAAACAAGCAATGGGGAAAGGACTTCCTATTCAATAAATGGTGCTGGTGTCTCGGGATCATTCAGGTGTCACTTTTCCAGCCGGAAACCTCTGTGGCTGGTGGTGCTTTTGCCCGAGTTTTGCTTGGGCCTGCTGGGCTCCTTCCACCCACTTGGCCGGGCAGGCTGCACTTGGCTCTTGCTGCCAGCCCAGAACCCACACCTGCCAAGGGTGAGCCAGGCATGGAGCTGTGAGGGGTGTGTGAGCAAGTCAGTGCAGGGTCCAGCCAGTGTGCGCAGCCAGGCATGCCAGCTGCTGCAGCAGGCCAGGTGCTGGCACAGGCGCCAGCTCTGTGCAAGCCTGCCACTAGATCAGATGCACCACAAGTGGCTTCTGCAGCGGGCACCGGTATCTGGATGAGGAGAATGTGGTGGTGGTGCCCAAAAGCTTGGAGATGCCAGAAACTGCAGAGTCTCGAAGAGGGTGTCACAACCCTGGCTCAGGGAGCCTCTAGGTCTGGGCTCCCCAAAAGGCTGCAGCTCTTCTCTCTTTCTCATTGCCCACAGCATGGTGAGAGGTGGTGGCAGGGCGGTGGGGAGGGGCATGTTTCAGCTCTGTTTTTGTTAGTTCTTTCAGGCTCACTATTCGCTGAGTCCTGAATTCTTGTCCCATGTCCAGGAAGAATGAGGTACACAGACAGCTGGATGGTGAACAAGGCAGAAAGAAGCTTTATTGAGTAACAGAACAGCTCTCAGGAAACCCAAAGTGGGTAGCTCCTTTCCACAGGAAGGTAGTTCTGACAAGTGCAGCCCTCAGTGGAGAGGATACCTGGAGTGGGTAGCTTGTATCTGCAGGCAGGTCATCCTGATGAGTTGGAGATCTCAGCCAAGAGGAGATCCAGAGTGGGTAACTCCTTTCCACAGGCAGGTAGTCCCAATGAGTCAAGGAGACCTGACGTGGGTAGCTCCTTCCTGCAGCTGGTAGTTCCAATGTCTGTGTGAGTCTGGCCAGGTCAAGGATTTTTATGGGCTCAGAAAGGAGGAAGTGCATGCTGATTGGTCCATGGGTGGCCATGGGCAGGCCCAAAAAAAGCGCCATAAGTTCTCGCTCCCTGCCATGGACTCCACCTGGAACTGACAGCCCAGCACTTCAGGTCGTCCCTGGCTTGGAGGTGGTGCTTCACTGGGAAACTGCCCCTTTCTACCCAGGAGTCTGTCTGCCTCCTGCCACCATCAATCGTGTTGTCCATGGCACCCAGGTAGTTCATGCCAAGGGGTGCCTGCAGACCCATGCCAAGCTACCTTCAGACCTCCTGACATCCCTCACACACTTGTCGGCACCCAGAGTCTGGAGGGGGCCAAGGCAGCAAGGGGCAGCAAGGGGCTAGTGTGTCAGCTCTGCTCTGAGTGTGCACACACCTGGCCGGGTTGTGACAGCACCTGGGTTTGGCCACAACTTTGCTCCACCTCAGAGTGAGTCCTGGGAGGTGGGGAGGCCAGGGAGCAGGAGCAGGCACTTCCAAGCCTGTGGCAGCTGGGGGATCTTCCTGGGCCCCCAAGAGCACTGGGATGCCTGGGTCGGGAGCCACAGCTGGGTGGCTGCAGCTGTGCCTGGAAGCTCGGGGCTCCTGCCTTCTGACTCAGTAGGGGTTGGTGTTGCCGCCTGTTCTTGGCCCCCGCCAGTCCACAGAGCATGCAGCCCCAGCCATGCCTTCCCCACTGCAGCTGGAGTCTTTGCAGCAGCCGCTCCAGATGGGCCGCCACTGCCATAACTGGAATAACTGGCTAGCCATTTGCAGAGGATTGAAACTGGACCCCTTCCTTGCACCATACAAAAATCAACTCAAAATGGATGAAAAACTTAAATGTAAAACCCAAAATATAAAAACTCTGGAAGATAACTTAGGAAATACCATTCTGTATATAGGACCTGGCAAAGATTTCATGATGAAGATGCCAAAAGTAATCACAACAAAAACAAAAATTGACAAATGGGACTTCGTTAGACTAAAGAGCTTCTGCATAGCAAAATAAACTGTCAACAGAGTAAGCAGACAACCTACAGAATGGGAGAAAATGTTTGTGAACTATGCATCTGACAAAGGTCTAATATCTAGAATCTTTAAGAAACTTAAATTTACAAGAATAAAACAACTCCATTAAAAAGTGGACAAAGGACATGAACAGACACTTTTCAAAAGAAGACATGTGGGGTTTATGTGCAGGTTTGTTATATAGGCACATTGCATGTCACAAGGATTTGGTGTACAGGTTATTTCATTGCCCAGGTATAGCATAGTATCTAATAGGTATTTTTTCAATCCTCACCCACCTTCGCAAATCCACCCTCAAGTAGAGTCTGTTGTTCCTTTTTTTGTGTTCATATGTACTCATTGTTTAGCTCCCACTTATAAGTGAGAACATGCAGTATATGATTTTCTGTTCCTGCATTAATTCACTCAGGATAATAGCCTCCAGATCAATCCATGTTGCTGCAAATAACATTATCTCATTCTTTTCCATGGCTGCAAGTATGCCATGGTGTACATGCACACATTTTCTTTATCCAGTCTAATATTAATTGGCATTTAGGTTGATTTCATGTCTTTGCTATTGTGAAGAGTGCTGCAAAGAACATATGTGTGCATGTGTCTTTATGGTAGAAAAATTTACATTCCTTCAGGTATATACCCAATAATGAAATTGCTTGGTTGAGTGTAATTCTGTTTTTAGTTCTTTGAGGAATTGCTACACCACTTTCCACAATGGCTGAACTATTTTACATTCCCAGCAGCAGTGTATAAGCATTCCCTTTACTCCACAACCTCACCACCATCTGTTATTTTTGACTTTTTAATAATCCTGACTGGTATGAGATGGATCTCATTGTGATTTATTTGCATTTTTCTAATGATGGCGATGTTGAGCATTTTTTCATATGCTTATTGGCCACATGCATGTCTTCTTTAGAAAAGTGCCTGTTCATGTACTTCGTCCACTTTTTAAATAGGGTTGTTTCATTCTTATAAATTTAAGTTTCTTAAAAATTCCAGATATTAGACCTTTGTCAGATGCATAGTTTGTAAAAATTTTCCCCCATTCTGTAGGTTGTCTGTTTACTCTGTTAATACTTTCTTTTGATATGCAGAAGCTCTTTAGTTTAACGAAGTCCCATTTGTCAATTTTTGTTTTTGTTGCGATTGCTTTTGGCATCTTCATCATGAAATTGATAGGGACAGGAGGCAGGGAAATTCTGGGCAGAGGAGGGTGGGTCACCGGTGAGGGCCCCACCCTCAAGCCAAAAAACCTGATACCATGGCCCAAAGTGAGAACATACACCCGTGTTTTCCGGCTCCAATGTTGCCTTTTCCAAAACCCCCACCCTCCATCCTGCGTCCATAAAAATCCCAGACTCAGCTGACACAGAAGAGGAGAATAGCAACTGGATGTCAGAGACTACAAATGGACATAAGAGAGAAGCAGCTTGACTTCCAAGGGATAGCTTGATGGCCTAGCTTCAGAGAGAAGTCTGGCTGGGGATGGTGGAGTGGGGACTTCCTGCTCCAACCCATTTTAAGCTCCCTCTCCCACTGAGAGCCACTTTCATCAGCAATAAAATCTGCTGATTTACCATTTTCAATTCGTTCGTGCAACATCATTCCTCCTGGATGCCGGACAAGAACTCAGGTGCCACAAGTGTGGGTACAAAAGGCTGTCACACTGACCCTCCACTGAGATGTTAACACTTAAGCCATCCATGGGCAGCAAAGCTAAAAGAGCACTGTAGCACTTCCTCTGGGGCTTCAGGGGTTGCAGACACACCCCAGATGCTGCCACAAGGCCAGTACAGAGTTTGCTCTTGCCAGCACCCCAAAGTGATTGTCCAGGCTCCTGCACCTACTCACCTGTGTGCTCCCTCTCCCAAGAGGGGTGCAGCACAGCAGGTCAAGTGAATGGAGTTCACCCCTGCCAGCACCCATGCATTCCAGTTCCCACATGCAAAGGGGTCAGGGAAATATCCTGCTTCAAAATCTTTGCCAGGTCCTATGTCAAGAATGATATTTCTTAGGTTATCTTTCAGGGATTTTATAGTTTTGGGTTTTACATGTAAGTCTTTAATCCATCTTGAGTTGATTTTTGTGTATGATGTAAGGAATGGGTCCAGTTTCAATCTTCTGCAAATGGCTAGCCAGTTATCCCAGTGACAGTAGCACCAGCCCGTCCAGAGCAGCTGCTGTGTAAATGCCAGCTGCATCAGCAAAGGCATGGCTGGGGCTGTGTGCTCTGCAGAGCCAGAGGGGAGGGAATAGGCAGGAGCCCCTCCCCCTACTGGGTCAGTGGGACAGAAGCCCCGTGCTCCCAGGCTGCAGGTGCCCAGCTGTGGCTCCAGACCCAGACATTCCTGTGCTCTTGGGTGCCCAGGAAGCACCCCCCAGTTCCACAGGCTCAAAAGTGCCTGCTTCTACTCGCTGGCCTCTCCTAGCTCCCTGTACCCGCTCTGAGATAGAGCAAAGTTGTGGCCGAGCCCAGGCACTGTCACAACCCAGCCAGGTGTGTACATGCTCAGGGAGATGCTGACACACCAGCCCCCTGCTGCCTCAGCCCCCTCCGTACTTTTGGCACTGATGAGTGCGGGAGGGAGGCAGAAGTGGAAGAGGGTGCTGAAGGTGGCTCGGCAAGGGCTTGCAGGCACCCTTTGGCAGAAACAGACTGGATGCTGTGGACGATGTGATTGATGACGGAATGAGGCAGATAGGCTCCTGGGCAGAAAGGGACAGGTTTCCAGTGAAGCCCCACCTTCAAGCCAGGGACAGCCCGAAGCCTGGGGGCCAGGCTATCAGGTCTGGATGGAGTCCACGGCCTGGAATGAGAACTTAGGTGCTTTTCCTGGGCCCGGCCATGGTCGCCCATGGACCAATCAGCATGTACTTCCTCCCTTCTGAGACATAAAAACTTCCAGGACCCGCCACACTCACACAGATATCAGGACTACCAGCTGCAGGAAGGAGCTACCCACTTCTGGTCTCCTTGACTCGTTGGGACTACCTGCCTGTGGAAAGGAGTTACCCACTTCAGGTCTCCTGAGAGCGGTTCTGTTGCTCAATAAAGCTCATCTCCACCTTGCTCACCATCCAGCTGTCCACGTATGTCATTCTTCCTGGACACAGGACAAGAACTCCGGACCTGCCAAGTGGCAGGACTGAAAGAGCTGTAACACAAACTAAAAAACGTTTTAGAATTTTACTCCTTTTCCCTTTCTGTTTCTTTTAATGCATTGTCTGTCACATTTATTCACTTTTGTATTTCTTCTAGTCTTCATTTCTGAAATGACTCTTTTATCTATATATTTCCTTCCTTTCGAATCAAAAGTTTCTACAATTACTTTACTTTCGTATTTTAATACTTTAATTTAGAATGGGCATTCATTGATTCCACCACTTAAAATTGTTTTTGGCTCAGTTTGAGATACTAGATGATTATAGTTTTCATAAGTTTTTGGGCATGTGTTTCTGGCATGCTATTAATTGTCTGTAAGGGTGTTTTCTGTCCCTTTTTAAAAAATTTATTTAAAATTTTTTTATAATATCAAATTATCCTTTTCTATGCCTCAGAAAATTAGTTTTTCACTACTTTTAAGAAAGAAAGGTGGGCCAAAATATCTTTTCTATTAGCTTCTTGGCTCGAAGCTTCATTTTCTGTTGTTTTCTCAGAAGGATATATCCTCATATCTGCTGGGATCTGTTTCCCGCGTCCCCTTCATCACTTTTTCTGGATCTCCTCTTTGCTATACCCTGATTGTCCTTGTCCTGCTCAATCTGGATTCTACTTTTAGTAGTTTCTCTTTAGTGTGGTGCTTTGTACTAGAAGTGAGCTTCATTTTGTTCACGGGGTACAAACCACTCTAGCCTATACAACTTATTATGGTCCCCTTGCACTTACCTTACCTATAAATTAGATGCTATGTGCCCTTCCACTTTTAGGAGCTGTTTCCAGATGCGTGGTGTGCTTTGCAGTGAGAATTTGTTGGCATTTGAGGATTCTTCTGTTTCAGGGCTATTGAAAACTCCATTGCCTTTTCGCCACATCTCCTGTATGATATCATAATACCATGTGAGTTTCTTAGCTCTTAATTTTTTGTCCCTACACATTTTGATGTTTTGGAGTTCCTGGAGATACCTTGTCATCCAGTGTTGCTGTAGATGTTCTCTGTGGATTTTTGTTTTACAATCGTAGTTGATCTATTTGTTTTGTAGAGAAATTCAAGGGGATTCCAAATCAGCTTGTTACCATATTCCCATTCTCTCTCAAACTTACTCTAATCAGGCTTTCACCCCAAAATTGCACCAAAATTCTCTTGTAAATCTCACCAATAATCCCCATGTCCCTAATTTAATGGTCATTTTCTTATTATTTGACTTTCCCAGAAGCATTTGAATAAATTTTATCACATTTTCTTCCTTAATATTCTTTGTAAATTTAGCCTCTAGGACACCACTCTCTTGGTTTTCCACCTATTTTACTGGTTGATCCTGCATATTTCTCTTTGGCAGTCTCTTTTTTCCCCCAGTTTCCTCTTTTCCCCAACCTCTTAATGTTACAGCCTGCTATGTATGAACTGAATTGTGTCCTCTAAAAACTTATGTATTGAAGCCCTAACTCCCAATGTGATGGTGTTTGAAGATCAGGTCTTCGGGAGGCAATTAGGGTTAGATGAGCTCATGAGGGTAGGGCCTTTATGATGGGATTGGTGGGAAAAAGAGAAAGCAAGAGAGATGACTTCCTGTGCTATGTGAGGACGTAGCAAAAAGCAGGTCATCTGCAGGTATGAAGAGAGCCCTTGGCAGAAACCAGTTTGGCAGGCACCTTGATTTGGACTTCTCAGCCTCCAGAACTGTAAGAAATAAATGTCCACTGTTTTAGCTACCCAGTCTATGGTACTTATTACAGCTGCCTCTTAGAGAAATAGAGAGAAACCAAGGTGTATTTTTCTCACTCTTACACATCAGTTAACACAACGCTTTTGACACCAGATGTGTATGGGGTTGTACCCACACACCAAGCAATCACGTCTCCAGCATACACTATCAGGGTGTCCTCTAATTCTGATACTGTCTACCTGGAGATAGTGTCAGATCCTACAGGTTAAGGGCTCAGTCCCACAACACTGCCTCCTATTCAGAAGCCAGTTGCAAGTAGTAGGTTGTCATCTATACTTCTGACTCACCAGCCTGGCTCTAAATTGGAGGTTCCCGTGGCATCTTCCTCAGTTTTTATTAATATGCTAGGACAGCTCATAGAACTTGGGGAAACACTTCACTTACATTTAGCAGTTTATGAATAAATAATATGATAAAGGATACTGATGAACAGCTGGATGGACAGGGCAAGGCACGTGGCAAGGGGTGTAGAGCTTCCATGTCCTCTCAGTGTATGCCAGCCTCCAGCTCCATGTGTTCAGCAATCCAGAAGCTTCCTGAGCCCAGCCCTTTTGGTTTTTTATGGAAGCTTCATTATGTAGGCATAATTTATTACATCATTAGCCATTGATCATCAACTCAATTTTTAGTCCCTTTTCACTCCCCAGAGGTTGGGGGATTGAACTGAAAGTCCTAGCCTTCTACTCATGCCTTGGGCTTTCTGGAAAACATCCCCCTTCCTGAAGCTATCTACAGGCCACCAGTCACCAATTATCTTATTAGCATATAAAACATACTTTTGGCCGGACGCAGTGGCTCATGCCTGTAATCCCAGCACTTTGGGAGGCCGAGGTGGGCAGATCACAAGGTCAAGAGATTGAGACCATCCTGGTCAATGTGGTGAAACCCTGTCTCTACTAAAAATACAAAAATTAGCTGGGAGTGGTGGTGCACACTTGTAGTCCCAGCTACTCGAGAGGCTGAGGCAGGAGAATCACTTGAACCTGGGAGGCGAAGGTTGCAGTGAGCCGAGATCGCACCACTCCACTCCAGCCTGGCGACAGAGTGAGACTCCATCTGAAAAACAAACAAACAAACAAACAAACAAAACCATACTCTTATAACTCTGGAGATTCCAGGAGTTTTAGGAACTCTGTGCCAGGAAACTGGACGAAGACCAGATGCTATGTGACATTTTACAATATCACACAGCCCCAACAGGCAAATAAAGAGCTCTTTTATTTTTAGCACTGAATAATATTCCTTTGTCTGATGTACCACACTCTATTTATCCATTTATCTACTGAAAACATCTTAGTTGCTTCCAAGTTTTGGCCATTATGAATAAAGCTGCCTTAAACATCCATTTGCAGGTTTTTGTGTGGCTCTAAATTTTTTATTTCTTTGGGGGAAATACTAAGAAGCATGATTGCTGGATTGTATGCTAAGGGTGTGTTTAGTTTTGTAAGAATTTGCCAAACTGTCTTCCAAAGTGTCTGTACCATTTTGCATTCTTACCAGCAGTAAATGAGAGTTCCTCTTGCTTCAATATCTCTCCATTTATTTAGTTTTCTTATTTTTTCATCAGAATTTGTTGTTTTCCTCATGTACATCTTGTACATATTTTGTTAGATTTATAACTAAGTATTTCATTTCTTGGGATGCTAATGTAAATGGTATTGTGTTTTGAATTTTAAATTCCAATTGTTCACTATTTATACATGGGAAAGTGATTGACTTTTCTATAGTAATCTTGTATTCCCCAACCTTGCTATAATGATTTATTACTTTCAGAACTTTTTTTGTTGATATTTTTGACTTTCTAGATAGATAATCATGTCTTCTATGAACAAAGACTGTTTTATTTCTTCCTTCAAAACCTGTATACATTTTATTCCCTTTTATTGTCCTATTGCATTAACTAGTACAACGTTGAAAAAGACTAGGGGGAGAGGATATTATTGCTTTGTTCCTAATCTTAGTGGAAAAGCTTCTAGTTTTTCACCATTAAATATGATGATAGCCATAGGGTTTTTGTTGTTGCTGTTGTTGCTGTTTTTTTTTTTTTTTTTGAAACAGAGTCTCCCTCTTGTCACCCAGGCTGGAGTGCAGTGGCATGATCTCGGCTCACTGCAACCTCCGCCTCCTGGGTTCAAGTGATTCTCCTGGCTCAGCCTCCTGAGTAGCTACAGGCATGTGCCATCATATCTGGCTAATTTTTGTATTTTTAGTAGAGATGGGGTTTCACCATGTTGGCAAGGCTGGTCTTGAACTCTTGACCTCAGGTGATCCACCCGCCTTGGCCTCGCAAAGTGCTGGGATTAGAGGTGTGAGCCACAGTGCCTGGGCATCGTAGGTTTTTTTTTTTATATATAGCTATTCTTTAATAAGTTCAGGAAGTGCCCCTCTGTTTCTAGTTAAGAGGTTTTTTTTTAAATCATGAGTAGGTGTTGAATTTTATCAAATGTTTCTCTTCATTTATTAATATGATCATGTGATTTTTCTTCATTAGCCTGTTGATGTAATGGCTTATATTAATTGATTTTTGAATGTTGAGCCAGACTTGCACACCTACAATAAATCCAACTTGGTGGTGGTGTATAATTCATTTTATACATTGATGTATTTGATTTGCTAAGATTTTGTTGAGGATATTTGCATCTACATTCATGAGAGATATTGGTCTGTATTTTTCTTTTCTTGTAATGTCTTTGTCTTATTTTGATAGTAAGACAATGCCAGCATCATAGAGAGTGTATTAGTCCACTTTTTTCATGGCTACTAAGAAATACCCAAGACTGGGTAATTTATAAAGGAAAGAGTTTTAATTGACTCACAGTTCTGCATGGCTGGGAGGTCTCAGAAAACTTACAATCATGGTGAAAGGCAAAGGGGAAGCAAGGCACATCTTACATGGCAGCAAGACAGAGAGAGAGAAAGCAGGGGAAACTGCGACTTTTAAACCATAAGGTCTCGTGAGAACTCTCTATCATGAGAACAGCATGGGGGAAACTGTCCCCATGATCCAATCATTTCCCACCAGGTCCCTCTCTCAGCATGTGGGGATAACAATTCGAGATGAAATTTGGGTGGGGAAACACAGCCAAACCGTATCAGAGAGTTAGAGAATATTCTGCTATCTTCTGAAGGAAAATGTACAGAATTGATAGAAATTCTTCCTTAAATGTTTGGTAGAATTCACCACTGACTCCATCTGGGCCTGGTGCTTTCTGTTTTGGAAGCTTATTAATTATTGATTCAATTTTAAAAATAGATATATGTGTATTTAGATGATCTATTTCTTTTAGTGTGAATTTTAGCAGATTGTGTGTTTCGAGGAATTGCTTCATATTAAATTTGTGGGCATCTAGTTGCTCATAATATTTATTACCCTTTTAATATACATAGGATCTATAGTGATGTTCTGTCTCTTTCACTTCTGACATTAGTAATTTGTGTCTTCTCTCTCCCTCGTTTTTGTTTAATCAGCCTGCCTAGAAGCTTATCAACTTTACCAATCTTTTCAAAGTACCAGCTTTTGGTTTTGCTGATTTTCTCTATTGATTTCCTATTTTTAAATTTTATTGTTTTCTGTCCTAATTTTTATTACTTCTTTTCTTTTGCTTCCTTTGGCATTAATTTGCTCTTCTTTTTCTAGTTTTCTAAGGTGGAAGCTTTTATTATTAATTTTAGATCTTTCTTATTTTGTACTATATGCATTTAGTGCTATACATTTGCCCCTAGGCACTGCTTTGGTGCATTCTACAACTTTTGCTAAGCTGTATTTTCATTTTCATGTAGTTTAAAATAGTTTTAAATTTCTCTTGAGATTTCTTTTTCGACCCATGTGTTATTTATAAATGTGCTGTTTAGTTTCCACATATTTTAGGATTTTCCAGTTAACATTGATTTCTAGTTCAATTCCATTATGGTCTGAGACAGACATTGTATGGTTTCTATTCTTTTAAATTTGTTAAGGTATCTTGGTGAATGCTTCATGTGAGCTTCAGAAGGATGTGTATTCTGCTGTTGTTGGATGAAATAGTCTATAGATATCAATTATATTCAGTTGATTGATGGTGATGTTGAGTTCAACTATATCCTTACTAATTTTCTGCCTGCTGGAGGTATTTTTGATAGAGGGATATTAAAGTCTTGAACTATAATAGTGAATCCATTGATTTCTCCTTGCTGTCCTATCAGTTTTTGCCTCATATAGTTTGATGCTCGAAATGCGTTAGGCAGATACGCGTTAAAGATTGTAACATCTTGGAGAATTGACTGTTTTGCCTTTATGTAATGCCCCTCCTTATCTCTGATAACTTCTCTTGCTTTGAAGCCTGCTCTGTCAAAAATTATTACAGTCATGTGTCACTTAATGATGGAAAAAATGTTTCAAAAAATGCATCATTAGGCAATTTTATCATTGTGCAAATATCACAGGGTGTACACAAACCTAGATGGTATGGTCTATTGCTCTCAGGCTATAAACCTGTACAGCATGTTCACATACTAAATATTGTGGGCAGTTATAACAAAATGGTATTTGTGTATCTAAACATAGAAAAGGTACAGTAAATACAAGGTATTATAATCTTATGAGGCTACTGTTGTATATGTGGTTCATCATTGACCAAAATGTCACCAGGTGGCACATGACTGTATATCTACTACTGCTTTCTTTTGATTAGTGTTAGCCTGGTATATTTTTCTCCATCCATTTACTTTTAATCTAATATTTGTCTTTATATTAAAGTGGGTTCTTATAGACAACATATAGTTAGGTCTTGTTGTTTGATCCATATGACAAGCTCTAGTCTTTTAATTAGTATATTTAGATCACTGATATCCAATGTGATTATTTATATAGTTGGATTAACATTTACCATATTTGTTACTGTTTTCTATTTGCTACCTTGTCCTCTGTTTCTAATTTTGTCTTCCACTCTTTCTTTGATTTTTGTGGTTTAAATTTATCATTTTATATGATTACATTTTATCTCCTTTCTTAGCATATACATTATACTTCTTTTGAACTTCTTTTAGTGGATGTCCTAGAGTTTGCAAAATAAAATAACTTTTATTTTTTGTCCCATTACTGCTATTCATTTCTTGTATGTAAGCATTCTAAACACATATATACACATAAGATAATTGTATAATTGAATACATTGTTGCTATAATTTTGAACTATTATAGGCTAGATCAACTAAGAATAAGAAAGATAAAAGTTCTTAGTTTACCTTCACTTATTTATTTTTTGATGCTCTTCCTTTCTCTATGTAGATCTGAGTTTCTGATCTATATTATTTTTCTTCTTTCTGATAAACTTCTTTTAATATTTCTTGCCAGGTGGGTCTACTGGTAGCAAATTCCCTTGATTTAGTTTATCTGAGAAAGTTTGTACTTTTCCTTTAGTTTTGAAGGATAATTTCACAGGGTACAGAATTCTGTTGGTGGGTTTTTTTCCCCTCAACACTTTAAATATTTTACTTCACTTTCTTTTTGCTTGCCTGGATTCTGAGAAGTCAGGTGTAATTCTCATCTTTGTTCTTCTATGTAGAAGGTGTATTTTCCCTCTGGCTTTTTTCAGGATTTATTTGATTTTCTGTAGTTTGAAAATGATACACTCAGGTGTAGCATTTGTTTTGTTTGTGTTTTGCACTCATCCTGTTTAGTGTTCACTGAACTTCCTGGATCTGTGTTTTGGTGTCTGACATTAATTTCTGGAAATTGTATCATTATTATTTCAAATATTTCTTCTCTCCTTTCTTTCTTGTCCTTTTGGAACTCTCATTAAACATATTGATGCCTTCTGTAGTTTTCCCACAGCCCTTGGACATTCTTTATTTGTTTTTATTTTTTGAGACGGAGTCTCGCTCTGTCGCCCAGGCTGGAGTGCAGTGGCACATCTTGGCTTACTGCAAGCTCTGCCTCCCAGGTTCACACCATTCTCCTGCCTCAGTCTCCAAGTAGCTGGGACTACAGGCGCCCACCACCACGCCTGGCTAATTTTTTGTATTTTTTTAGTAGAGACGGGGTTTCACCATGTTAGCCAGGATGGTCTCAATCTCCTGACCATGATCCGCCAGCCTTGGCCTCCCAAAGTGCTGGGATTACAGGCGTGAGCCACTGTGCCCGGCCGGACATTCTGTTCTTTTTTATCAGTCTTTGTTCTCTTTGCTTTTTAGTTTTAGATGTTTCTATTGACATATTTTCAAGCTCAGAGACTCTTTCAGCCTCAGTTGTGTTCAGTCTACTAATAAGCCCATCAAAGGCATTCTTCATTTCTGTTATAGTGTTTTCTATATCTAGCATTTCTTTTGCTTCCTTTTTAGGATTTTCATCTCTCCACTTACATTGCCTATCTGCTCTTGCATGCTGTCTACTTCAGCCATTAGAGCTTTTAGCATATTGCTCATAGTTATTCCAAATTCTCAGTCTGATAATTCAACATCCCTGCCATGTCTGAGTTCTGATGCATGCTCTATCTGCAAATAGTGGGTTTCTCTTTCTTTTTTTTTTGTAACCTTTTAGTGTGCTTTGTAATTTTTTCTTGATAGCTGGACATGATGTGCCAGGTAAAAGGAACTGTTGAGGCCAGGCACAGTGGTTCACACCTGTAATCCCAGCACTTTGGGAGGCCGAGGTGGGTGGATTGTCTGAGCTCAGGAGTTCGAGAGCAGCCTGGGCAACATGGTGAAACCCCATCTCTACTAAAATACAAAAAATTAGCCAGGCATGGCAGCCTGTGCCTGTATTCCCAGCTACTCGGGAGGCTGAGACAGAATTGCTTGAACCCTGGAGGCAGAGGTTTCAGTGAACAAAGATCACGCCACTGCACTATTGCACTCCAGAGCAAGACTCTGTCCAAAAAGAAAGAAAAGAGAAGAGAAGAGAATAAAGAAAGAAAAGAAAAGAAAAGAAAAGAAAAGAAAAGAAAAGAAAAGAAAAAAAGAACAGTTAAAATAGGCCTTTAGAGGCATGGTGGTAAGGTGTGGGGGAAGGGAAGCATTCTGTAGTCCTGTGATTAGGTCTGTCTTTAAGTGAGCCTGTGCCTCTGACTGTGAACTTCACAAGTGTTTCTCAGTACCACTTTACCCCCCATTTAGGTGGGACAAGGATGGTTAGAGGGAACTGGAGTTGGGTATTTCCTTTCTCCCATGTAGAAGGCTGCAGCTGGCTGGAGTTGGGTATTTCCCTTCCCCTAGGACAGTTAGGCTCTGATAAAACCCCAGGAGGTTATACTCTAGTGAAATAATTTCTCTTGAAGCTAGGCCTTTTTAGGCAGCACACAATGCTCTGATGTATTTCAAAATGATTTCTTTTCCCCTCCCACTGCTGGAAGCATGAGGAGATTTTTCTGTGATATTTACTCTGAAAACCTAGATGAACTCCTAATGGTAAAACTCACAAAATGTAGAGGTCTCCCTGTGACTGAGTCCCCTGGAATTTTTAACTCTTAGACTCTCCATATGGAGCCTCCAGCAGTTCATCAATCAGAGTTCAGGGTTTTGTTGTTGTTCTTCCCCAGCATTGATTCCCTGGGCAGTTTCTACTTTTGAGTCTCTGCCCCAGTACCCCATGTCTCCCTGTATTCACTGTCTTTCTCTCCAATCTTGGGGGTAGAAGTTTGCCCTGTGCTCTTACTTCTCTTTTGAATCCAAAAAGAGTTGATTTTTCAGTCTTTTTAGCTTTGTTCTCATTGTTAGAACAGACTGGAAACTTCCAAACTCCTTATCAGCAGAAGCAGAAACCAGTTTATGTGTTTTTTTTGTTGTTGTTAATTCTGAACGGTAAAGTATGATATAGTTCAATAATGTTCTCATTTTACCTGCATTGATTACTTTGATGCATGTGTGTGTGTTTGCGTGTCTGTGTCCCTGCTTGGCTTGACCTTCATGCCAAGCTTGTTTGCTTGAGGGGTTACCCAGATCATTGTGACATGGGCATTGCCATTTCCATCTGAGACTTTCAAGGGGATGTAACTTGATTAGAAACCTAGGAGGTAACAGAGCTGGATTAGAAAGCCAGGACTTTCTAATACCAAAATCCATGAGTCTGTACTATCCCACTCCACCTGCGAATAAAAAGAGGCAGCAGAGACAAGTGTGAAACATGCCAACCCCTCCTATTTTAGTATTGATATTTATGAAAATCCTCAGCCTTGAGTATCATTTCATTTTCTGGTCAGAGTTCATAGTTATAAATAAGTAGGCATTATCAACAATAGCCACCTATAGTATCCTACTAATTCTAAGAGGTGTCTTTTATTTATGGTTAATATCTCTGAAATCAAGATGTAATTTATGATGGCATCTTACATTTGATGAAATCTAGTAATATTTTTGAGGTGTTTATTAAGCATTAGACACCATTCTAATTGTTTTAATACTCCCATTAACCCTACATGGTGGTGAGATTATTAACCTCATTTTAGAGGTAAAGAAGCTGAGTCATGGGAAGATTAAATAGCATGCTCAAGGCCACACAGCTCGTATGCAACAGCGATGAGATTTGTACCATAAGAGCGGGCTTCAGAGCTTGTGTTCTTAACCAAAAAAGACATGGAAGCTACTCATTGCTCTCAAGAAAGAAGGGAGACTGGGCCTACTCAAGACTGAAAAAAGACCTAAATTCAAAGGTTTAATAAAAGTTGACTGCATTACCTAATCATAACTTCCTTTTCTTGCTGTCATATCTTCCTTTCAAATGTTCTAGCAGTGCTTTCTCATCCAAGATGTCAGGTCATTTTCCACTGTGTTAAACACTATGGGAAGTAGGAAAGGAGAAAGAGTCAGGTGTCAGAAGAATGTAGTCCTGGAAAAGTTCTGACTCAGTGTTTTGCTACCTGAAGGCAACTTGGCAGCTTACCAATCGGCAACTTGGCAACTTACCTAGGATATGCTACAAGTCTGACTTCTAGAATTCTGAATTACTTTTCCTCCCATGCTTTTTGGTCCTGAATTCAGTGGAAAATTTATTTTTTGTTTCGTGCTGAAACCAGGGAAGGAGAACTGAATTAGGGAAGTTGAGAATTGTTCCAATCATCCTGCTATACTTTCCAAACTCTGGTTAGAATGAGCATTTAAAAAAAAAAAGCCTCTGCAGATGTAGTTCTCATGATAAATCACTTTTTAATCAGTCATAATTTTGCATTAAGTGCTGAATAAATGCCCTTTGTTTCATACTTAAACTGTCACTTACGAACATGGGGAGGGCAGACTAGTGCCTATCATTAGAGCAGAGAAAAATCAATACCATTTTTAATTAAAGGCAGGCACAGCCGGGCTTTAAGACAAGCAAATCTCCTTGTCAGATCATCTCCCCTTTAAACTCTTTCAGAAGTTCAGTTCAGAAGCTAAGAACGTCCAAATGTGGGAAGAGAGTGACACAAATGCTTTGGGGGAAGGGGTAGGCAAACAAATGAAGATGATAGAAGGAAACACTGGGAAATGTGTGCTTTTCACTCAGTCTGCCCTAAGGGGCAATCTTAAAGTATGATAAAATGTAGATGCTGGCTTATGCTGTTGAGGTGATCTTTTCACTTGCAGACTAAAAGAGGATGGAAGGACAGCCAAACAGACATTCTTGTCAGTCATATTTTATTATGGTTTAGAAGCCAGTACATTGCTTATTTTTAATGCTTCCCTTCACATTATATTTTACAGCTTGGAATTTTCTCACTTTGTAGAGCAAGAGTCCAGCAAGACAGAACTCAAAGTGTTTTATGACCTAATGGCAGAAGTGCCATTCCATCACTTTTGCTATATTCTATTTGTTAAAAGCAAGTCACTAGACCAGCCCACATTCAAGGGGAGAGGATTACACAAGGGTATGAGTACCATGAGGTAGCTCAGTGAGGGCGCCCTTAAAAGCTCCCTGCCACAGACCTTGATATCAAGAAGCATATAATCTATTTAGAGAGAAAATACAAATACATTTAGAGCAATATGAGAAAAAGAAAAGGTAATGTTTAATCACATTTCCAAATATGATAGAGTCAATGAGTTCTAGAGATAGGAAGGATGGAAATGACATGGAAAGAAGTTAATTAATGAAGGCTGATGGCACTTTGATAAAGGTACAAGGCTATTCAGAATAATATTACTTATTTCCTTCCGGTTATATAAGAATTACCATGTAAAGGACCCTCAGAGGCTCTTCCTAGTGTTCAGAGTTTTTATAGACCATGTGTCTACCTTCCAGTTATTGTTATGTTCTTCTTAGGATGAGAATTCCAACTAAGGCTGGTTTTGTAGGCAAAGAATGCTTTTACCAATCCTAATTTTACCAATCCTAATCTTTATGATTCTAAGTAATTTTTTTTTTTTTTTTGAGACAGAGTCTCGCTCTGTTGCCCAGGCTGGACTGTAGTGGCACAATCTCGGCTCATTGCAACCTCTGCCTCCCGGGTTCAAGTGATTCTCCTGCCTCAGCCTCCCGAGTAGCTGGGATTACAGGCAACTGCCACCACACCCACCTAATTTTTGTATTTTTAGTAGACACAGGGTTTCACCAAGTTGGCCAGGCTGGTCTTGAACTCCTGACCTCAAGTGATCTACTTGCCTCAGCCTCCCAAAGTGCTGGGATTACAGGTGTGAGCCACCATGCCTGGCCTAGTATTTTTTTTTTTAATTCATCTCAAAACAGCTTAAGGATGAGAATTCCAACTGAGGCTGGTTTTGTAGGCAATGAATGCTTTTACCAATCCTAATTTTACCAATCCTAATCTTTGTGATACTAAGTAATATTTTTTTTAAAAATCCATCTCAAGATAGCTTAAGAATAAAATATGGTCCAGCAGTTCACATAATTCAAAGGTCCACAGGTAAGTTAAACCTCAGATTCCGTGTGATCCGGAACCCAGCTCCTGATTCTGGGGTTTTCTGAGCTCTGCTCTCCTTAGTGTGTGGGCCTCATCTTCAGGTGGTTTCCATCCTGCAGTCAAGGCGGCTATTGACAGCAACCAGGGCAACATACAACCTTATTCACATCCAGAAGTTCCTGTATGCCCTTCACCACAAACTCCACATATTGTTTTCACATTAGCCACTAATTTCTGCCTTAATTCCAATGTTTCTGTGAAACCCAACAAAAATGAGTCCTATTTTAAATAACATCTTCATACAGAATGGAAGCAGGATGCATAAAATCCACTATACAATCCATAAGTCAACAGCATACTTTTGTTGTTGTTGTTGTTGTTTTTAAACCACTTTTTTAGTCCGGGCGCGGTGGCTCACGCCTGTAATCCCAGCACTTTGGGAGACCAAGGCAGGCGGATCACGAGGTCAGGAGATCGAGACCATCCTGGTTAACATGGTGAAACTTTGTCTCTACTAAAAATACAAAAAAATTAGCCAGGCGCAGTGGCGGGTGCCTGTAGTCCCAGCTACTTGGGAGGCTGAGGCAGGAGAATGGCATGAACCTGGGAGGTGGAGTTCGCAGTGAGCCAAGATCACGACACTGCACTCCAGCCTGGGCAATAGAGCAAGACTCTGTCTCAAACAAACAAACAAACAAAACACTTTTTAAAAAGACTGTTGCACATTTCATGCATACTGTCCTTAGATCCAAGCAGGAGGACCCTGCTCTGACTCAACATCCATAACCCCCATTCCTCCACCCATTTTGGTGACCTCTCCTCAAAATGTTGGAGGTCTATCCTATTGTCTGGAACCAAGCAGGGCACCCAGGGTTCCTGTTTCTGCCTTTTTTGGAGGCTCTCTGACCCCCCCACCCTGCCAGGTCAAGAGGATGCTGCAGAGACTGGCACCCAGAGTGGTGCCCACGTGCTAATTTTGGGTGACTCCCAGTCATGTCAGGCACATGGAAGAATTAAGGTGTCTGGACTACAACCCAGTTCTCTCTGTTAGAGCCGTGCCTCTCTTCCAACCACAGTGCTGCTTCCAAGGGCAGCAGGCTTCCTTGTCCCTTACCTCTGTGTGCCCTAGTGCTGGCACCTAAGGTGGTCACTCACCCTCTCCGCAGATGCCAGGGAACCCTGGGATGGCCACTGCTCCACCAGATCAACAGGCTCCTCCAGCTGAGTCAACAGATGCTCCTGATGCGGCTCTCCATGAGTGCCTTCCCTGAGCTTTTCTCAAAGGACAGACATTTCTTATGGGAATGTGCCTGCTTTGCTTGGGCCGCCCAGCAGATGTTGTATGGCAGGGGTGTGGTCAACAGTGAAGGATCACATTTTAGGAATGTAGAAGTTACAGCCCAGGATTCAGGAGAAGTCATGGCTGAAAGATTTATTTGTGTGTATAATTCTGATTAGTAAATTTGACCAGAAAATGAAATATTGTTTACATTTCCCTGCATACTCTGGATAAGTCTTGAATTTGCAGTCATCCTCAGTGAAACATAGTTAACAACTTTTGAGAGTCGTGAAGCCAGCATTCATTAGTGGCACCATGGATGATGTAAAGAGCATTGACTAAATGATATTAGAAAACTACAGAAACAGTCCGGGTGAGGTGGCTCACATCTGTAATCCCAGCACTTTGGGAGGCCAAGGCAGGCAGATCACCTGAGGTCAGGAGTTCAAGACCAGCCTGGCCAACATGGCGAAATCATGTCTCTACTAAAAATTCAAAAATTAGCTGGGTGTGGTGGCACACGCCTGTAATCCCAGCTACTCGGGAGGCTGAGGCAGGAGAATCTCTTGAACCCAGGAGATGGAGGTTGCAGAGAGCTGAGATCGTGCCACTGCCCTCCAGCCTGGGTAACGGGTATCTCAAAAAAAAAAAAAAAAAACAACAAACAAACTATAGAAACAAAGATCTACGTTGTTTCAGTGCAAGCAGATTCTGAAGAGCTATAGCATTTTAAGCCATAAAAGTAGCATTTCTACTTTTTTCTTATGAAGGGAGACATAAAATTAGCTGAGAAAGGAGCATTTGATGTTAAAGAACACAAAGAGATGGTTCCTGGACTTACACAGGCTTGATGATACCTATCCATGAAGAGAATTTCCATGTGCTCTGATTGAACAATAAACAAATATGTGTCTATTCTCTACCCATCTATTCTAAATCTTCATTAATATACCACTATATCTCACATGGGCTCATTTAATTTTTAATCCAATTGTTTATATAGACAAGAGCCCCATAAAAAACATTTGTCACAGGTCTCCTATACCCTAGGGACATCCTGATATCAGATTGCTAACTCTGGAATGGCTAGATGCCATGAAAGAGACGTATGTATAGACATATAGATAGATAATTTCTGAAGCTGGATTATCCAAATTGTGTAGTTTACAAAAGGTCAGAAATATGCATATATATATGTATATATATATACACATACACATACAAAATCATGACACAATTTGTCCTATGGGAAAGAAATTTGTCACTGACAATCTATTTAATTTTAATACATGCATAACTCAACCAAAGAATTTTAAGACAGGGTCTCTGTCAACTGTATCATCCAGGATGGAGTACAGTGGTACAATCATGCTCATTGCAGCCTCAATTTCCCTGGGCCCAAGCAATCCTCCCACCTCAGTCTCCCGAGTAGCTGGGATGACAGGCATGCACCACCACTCCCGGCTAATTTTTTTTGCATTTTGTAGAGTCAGTGTTTTGCCATGTTTCCCAAGCTGATCTTGAACTTCTAGACCCAAGTGATCCACCTGCCTTGGCCTCCCAAAGTGCTGGGATTACAGGCGTGAGCCATCACACCCAGCCAACCAAAGAATTAGTAATGGTATAGTGTTGATACGTAATCGATTGACCAACAAATTGTAATTGCCTATAAAATCACGAAAAATTCTTGGTGGCCTCCATAGTCTTCCCTCAACACCAGCTGTAGCTGCCCATTCTTGGACAGAGACCCTCCACTCTCTTCAAGTCTCTACACTCCTCCAAGGCCTGACTCAAGTTTGATATTTTAAGTGAAACTTTTGTTTAAGAAGTTGTAGTACATATCCCTGTACGGTCATCAGAAATGATAGGGTTTACTGTTAATACAAGTTATTTGGAGGTTTGGAGTTAACCACACAAATGTCATGTCGCAATTCCTGTTTTGTCTTACATATTTCTTTAGCTTTTGATGTTATGTTCTACTCTCTTTTGCATTGCCCTTAGCTACTGCACAAAGTTGATTGTCAGTATGTATCTATTGATTTGTAGATGAATGAACAACATGGAATTCCAGATAGGCCTTTGTCCCAGGAGGTGACTGGGTCAACTACAATTACCTTGGTAAGGTTGAGGGAAGGAGCTGGGGATAAAGTGTTACATGTGTGTATGAAAGGAAAGGGGAGAGACAAATGTAGGTGACCACAGGATTGTATATTTATTTAATATTAATAAATATATATATTTTACATATATAGGCCATTTATTGGTCTGTATGAAGAGTGTTTAATTAATAATTACACAGTGAAATAAGGTCTATCTCTAGATTAAAAAAAAAAATCCCTTAGTGGATTTTCTATACTTTTTCTTCTGCAATTATAGTATAAACAATACATTAGTAGTTTCGAATAATGTCAATAGTGATTCCTTAATTTTTTAATCTTAAAATTAAATTAAGTAGGTTCAATGTGGCAGTCCTCTAGTGGTTTGATTTCCTGATGAGCACAGGGAAAGGAATTTATTATAGAGGTCTCTAGATTATTTCTCACTTGATTGGAAGTTTTTTGAGAGTGGAGCTATAGTATTTACTTATTTTAACAGACTTTATCTTTTAGAACTTCTTTTGATTTACAGAAAAATTTAGAAGATAGTACAGTGTTCCCATATATCCAAGCATCCAGTTTCCCCTATTATGAATATCTTATATTGGTATGAATCATTGGTTACAGTTTAATGAACCAATATGCATACATTATTATTAGCTAAGGTCCATATTTTACTCAAACCTCTATAGTATAACCAAATAACATTTTTCTCCCCAGGACCCCATCTAGGACACCACATTGCCTTTATTCATCATGTCTCCTTAGGTTCCTCTTGGCTGTCACAGTTTCTCAGACTTTCCTTGTCTTTGTTGACCTTGGTAGTTTTGAGAAATACTGGTGGGGTATTTTGTAGAATGCTCATCTATTAGACATTATCTGAATTTTTTTTCTCATGATTGACTGGGGCTATGGGTTTTTAGGAGGCTAATCACAGAGGTAAAGTGGCATTTTTATTACATTCTCTCATATACATCACATACATATACATATATGTATACATATATCAGATACATCATATCAGCTTGACTTGTCACCTTTGTTGCAACCAGCAGAGGTAGTTTTTGTCAGTTTCCTCCACTGTGTAATCAGTCTTTTTTCCCCACTTTCCACACTGTGCTTTTTGGAAGGAAGTCACTCTGTGCAGCCCACACTTACAGAATGGGGAGTTTATGCTCCTCTTCTTTGAGGATGAAGGAAGTCCTTACATAAATTATTTGGAATTCTGCTACACAGAGTGTTGGTCTCACTTCCCCCAATTAATTAACTAATATCAGCATGGATTCATGAAAATTGAGATATATATTTTGTACTTTGAGTTATAATCTGATACTACTGTTTTTGTTGCTCAAATTGTTCCAGCTTTGACCGTTGGGATCTCTTTCAGTTGGCTCCTGGACCCCCATGAAAGACGCACATTATTGGGGGGTTTTGGTGTTTTGAGTTTTTATTTTTTGATTACTTACTTCCACTCTGGCACATGTCATCCCAACTCCTAGTAACTCAATTAACTAGTTGTTAAATAAATGTAGTATATATTAAGCCATAGTATGCCGTATTTTGCAATCATATTTAGCCAGTTTAATTTTCAAAAATGATAACACCTCTGGTTGTATTTCTGTCTTGTAAAAATGCCCACACCACCTGTTTTGTGACCAAATATGTTTATGTTCTTGCTTCCTGAACATTTCTTCCTCTGTGTTTCAGTTACGGTCCAGAAGTCTAGTGGCATTTCAGCAACATTTTTGGGTATTTACTTAATTCTAAGGGCTCTAAAATTTAAAGAGCCTGAAAGCAAAACTCTCAAAGCTGAAATGATTCTCCACAGCCAAGCTGAAGATGGGAGCTTTGCTTTCTCTCTTCTCGACTCAGGCCTCCCTGCTCCATCTCCCACGGCCAACATAAAACAAGACATCGACCCGGGAGTTGAAAAAGCTAAGAAAAGGGCCTAGCATGAGTGTGGGCAGATGTAGTAAATTTATGTCTCAGGTCAACCCAATTTACTCCTGCCTCCTCCCCCGAGTTCTTCCCTGTCCCTCGAGTCTTGCTTCAGACAATGAATTTCCAGGGAGTTTTTTGCCTTTTGATCTCCTCTCTGATCTAATGCAATTGTCCACTGGCAGAAGCGCTGTGAGGTGCAGAATAAAGTAATGAAGTTAATTTGATTTCCGCACCACCCCCACCCTTAACATCTACATGTCTTTATTGTATTAGATTCCTAATGAGATTCTCAGTCTGCACTCCAGCAAGAGACTTGGAGGGCAGTGTCTGTGGGAGGGGTTCATCTCAGGAGATTTTTCCCCATTTACATCCCATCTTTAATGGATATGGACCTGCCTGCCCTTGAGTCATAGGTGATCACATTTCCCTTCCTGGACTCTACTGGACAAGAAGTGAGAAAACAGCCACAGCTGCAGGGAAGCCTGGGACTTCTTTTCAATTCCAGCGGAAAGAATACAAAACTAAAGGTTTGCGCTGAGCTGAACAGCTCATGGAAAGAGCTTCATACAAATTTCCAGTCCCAAAGCATCTGTTTCAGAAGGAGATTTGCTCCTGTGTGGAGGCGCCTTTGTTTCTATTTTTGACACCAGCACTATAAATAGTGAACAACAAAAAATAACATTTCACAGGGCCTTCCCTAGGATATCAAATTATTCCCTGGACCATTTCAGTTGCACAGAGGTGATTCCATGGATTTCAGATTAACTCTCATCCAAAGTCTGGCTGGCCAGGGACCGTCTGAATGGGACATACATAGGAAGTCTGTTCTGGAGAAGTCTGTCCTTTTCAGCACAATGCTCATTCACTCCCTCAACTCTCCCCACCACCCACAATAATAGATTTAAACCATTTCATAAGTGTCAACCCTCCATTTATCTAGTCCGTCCTTGATCTACCAGGACTTTTGTGGTGATACTGATATTACCCCTTACCTATTTTCCAGATCCAAAATATTTAATTTACCTGTCTCAAATCATAATAGACACAAGGAATATAGTGTGATATAATTTTGCTGTTTTCAGTCCAAAAGCTGCTTTTGAACTGGTGACAATCTTGCTGGAAACTGATTTAATCAATATAATGCACTTATTTGTACAGCTTAGTGAATTATCTTAAGACCTAGTATGGGCAGGGTGGGGAGACAAACATCAATAATTAACAATTCACAAGTTGATTGTTACAGCTTAAAAGAGTTTTTTTACTATTTCAGTTAAATAAAAAGAGAGAAAGTAGAGTGCTGTCCTAGTAGTGGTTTTATAAAAGCAAACATTGCTCAGTTTGTTTTAGACCTCTCTCAAATCTTTGAAATCATGGGAGGAAAGGAAAGGAACGGTGATTGACATCATGACGACTTTTCTAGGGGGAAAAAGGTAGTTTATATCTAATCTAAGGTCTTTAAGAGGAATCTATCAGCTTTGGTTTGGCTCTCGGTGGACAGGTGTCTGTATCATAGAAGCACCATACATAATTCACCACCAGAGAGCCCCAGAACTTAGCAAGAAGGCTAAATTACCTGTCACTTCCAGAAAAGGTGTTCTCTTCAGGTCAAGGTTGAAAGCTCTGGTAAACCCGTGTGAGGAAGAGCACAGCAGTCCCTATTTAAATGTCAGCACTGCTTCTCAGCTGTGGGAAATGCAGGTTGGCTATTTACCCCATAAATTTGCCTTCCTCTTTTGCAGGGCCAGTTAACACGTTATCATTCTGAAGTCAGATTGGAAAGAAGTGAGGTTGTTTGTTTTAGTGACAAGAAACAACTTTGTTTATGTCAAATCAGTGGATGCTGGGAGAACTCTCTTCATAGAGGGGGTGGGCTGTGGGGGGTCTTGTCTGAGGTGTGAGCCATTAAAGCTTACACTGAATACAAAAACGTCTCATTATTACGTGGGGATAGAACACTGAGTCTAGTCCCAGGCCGACTCTGACTTAGGAACACAGTTCGTGAAAGGCAGGTGCCATCTGGCTGTCATTAAGCTGCTGATTGTGCCCCTTTCCTTGATTGACTGGTGATTGATTGGCAGGTGAGATGTGGAGTCGAATGTAGCCTGCATCGGGGAGGTGGGAGGGCTTGTGTTTCAACTCTGTAGTGTGGGGAACTAGTTTGAGGTATCACACATGAATTTCTCTTCAGATTTATCATCTATATTTCAGGAACTTTGTTTTTGAAGTAATATAATACAAAACAAAATAAAACAGAAAACATAGAGCCACCAGATTGAGAGAGAGAGAGAGAGAGTGTGTGCTTATTTCACTTAAAAGCTATTTCCTAGGGTGGGCGTAGTAGCTCACGCCTGTAATCCCAGCACTTTGGGAGGCCGAGGCAGGAGGATCACCTGAGGTTGGGAGTTCGAGACCAGCCTGACCAACATGGAGAAACACGATCTCTACTAAAAATACAAAATTAGCCCGGCATGGTGGCACATGCCTATAATCCCAGCTACTTGGAAGGCTGAGGCAGGAGAATCGCTTGAACCCGGGAGGCAGAGGTTGCGGTGAGCCAAGATAGTGCTATTGCACACCAGCCTGAGCAACAAGAACAAAACACCGTCTCAGAAAACAACAAACAAACAAACAAACAAAAAAAACCTGATATTTTCTGGGTTTAATTCTGAGGTCAGTGAGACAAGACCAGTTCTGTATTTTCAGCACTTTTGCTGCTTTATAATTTTTTATACTTACAAAACATTTTTAGTTTCAATTAAATAATTGGGTTTTATAAGTTCTTTATTTCTAATAAAAGAAAAAAATGACTGCTTAAGATTTCTGAAGGTGTTTGAAAAGATATTTTGTTATATGAAAACACTTTAATCAAATTTAAGTGTTAATCAAATTAATAAAATCAAAATTAAGAATCAACTCTGCAATACCTGAGAAGTTTATTGCACTTGGTAATGCAGAGGAGCAGGAAGGAGAAAAAATCACAGCCACAAAACTTTCTTTGCAACCTCCGCCTCTGGGCTTCAAGCAATTCTCCTGCCTCAACCTGCCAAGTAGCTGGGACTATAGGCACGTGCCACTATGCTCAGCTAATTTTTGTATTTTTTGGCAGAGATAGATTTAAACAATTTCATAAATGTCAACCCTCCATTTTGGAGGGTTTTACCATGTTGGCCAGGCTGCTCTCAAACTCCTGACCTCAAGTGCTCCACCCACCTAGCCCCCACAGGCTGGGATCACAGGCATGAGCCACCGCATACCACCACAGCCACAAAAATTTATAAAGGCAAGAAGCAAAATGCAAGACAACTGGGTGTCACTATTATCAGATGTTGCTAGATAAATATGTGCTCGAATAATTGAGAGCTTAAATTTGTCCCAGCTTTAAATATCTTCAGTGTTTAAATCTGTATGATCTTTTCGCTGAGAAAACTTTCTCGGTTATATCTCAGTAAAGCATAGTGGTTTCAAATTGTGTAAAAAAGTGTGTAAAATTGTGTAAAAAAGTATCATTTTAATTTTGTAAGCTCGAAAGAAGTATAAATGATTGATTCGACAAAGAGCATTTTGTATTTTTTATGGTAGAAATTAATACTCTCTTTAGAGTATTATTTTAGGATGATATACATAAAACTAAGGCACTTAAAAAGTAGCTTTTACAAACATATCTAATTTTATAAAAATAAATTAAATATGAAAATTTTTGCTAACTACTGACTCAGAACTAAAAAGTTATTTTTTCTGTTTCATAGGTATTATTTGTATAAATGTACATACAGTCACAGTGTTTATTTTTATATGCATATTCCAAGTTATTTATATATGTTTTACTTCTAAATAATTCTACATATAGCCAAAAGTAATATTTTTAAAGAATGAAATCAAACATCCCTTCAAAGTGTACATATAACACTTAGATGCTGCAAATTCCTAGGTGACCTCACTATAAAAGCCATGGCTGTGCCGCTGATACCATTAATATGGGATATATGCTTAACAGAGATTATTACAACATAAAATTCTGAGGTAGCAGGATATGAAAGAAGAAGTTTCTGTTGCTATTATTTCAAGCTGATTTTTGACTTTCAAGTTAAATGTTTGCAAAAGCTCACTTCATGCCTTTTGTTGAAATTTTTGGGGGGAGAGAAGCATGCTTAGTACATAGAAGCTTAGAGCTAACTTCTGTTCCACAAAGGTGTGAGCATTTGGATACACCTATGGGGCCTACAGCTCCTTTGGGAAATGACTCAAATGGATCCCATGATGTTAAATACCATCTACACATTGATGACTCTCAAATTTATATCTCCTCCTTGGATATCTCTCCTGAATTCCAAACTCAGTATATCAAACTGTCTACCAGATATCTCCACTTGGAAATTCATATTTAAAACAATAACAAGTTCAAAAATGAACTTATTTTTTGAATGCATGATTTTGACTTCTAGACTTGTTCTTCCTACAGTCTTCCCACATGATAGTTACAGCAAATCCATCTTTCTAGTTGATCAAACCCCAGACCTCAAATCCTCCTTGATTCTCCCTCCCCCTCACATTCTACATTCATTCTTTGATGAAATCCTGTTGTCTTTTACTTCCAGATTTGGAATCCAGTCACTCTTCACCAACTCCAGGGCTCCCCTCTTCTCATCCTGGATTGTGAGAGGCTTCTGGTTGGTTCCCCTCCATGATTCTCCCGAACCTGAGCCATACACTATTCTCACACAGCAAGCAGATTGATGTCAAAAAACTAAATAAAGGTGAGTAAGCTCATGCTGCTCCTCCACTTGGAACCCTCCAGTAGCACTCTTCACACCAAGTAAAGTCAAGTCCTTATGTCTGTTTAGGATTCTCTCAAGACCCACCTCCCTGCTCCTCTGATTGCATTTCCCACTGCTCTCCCTCTGGTCCCCTGCACCAGCCAGCCCTCCTCTCCCTCTCGGATTGTACCAAGCACATTTTTCCCTCTGGGCCTCAGGGCCTTTCTTTGGCTTCTTCCATATAGCCATCCTCTCATCTCCTTCAAGACTTTGCTCAAATATGACCTTCTCTGAGAGGCCCTTCTCTCTATTCCTCTTCTCTGATTTACTTTTCTCTGTGGCACTTACCACAATCTAGTATAACTTAGTTATTTTTGTTTACTATCTTCCTCCACTTGACTGTAAGCTCCCAAATGCAGGTGTTCCATCTCTTCACTGCTCTATCCCCAGAGCCTGCCAGTGCCTGGAATACAGTAGTACTCAATAAATAATTATCGAATGACTAAATACATTTTCTTAAGCCAGTGTAAAACTGAGACCTGACAACTTCCTTACTCTCTACTCCTTTGAAAAATATTTTTTAAATTCCCTTTTTTAATGTACAAAAAGTAGAAATTTATTCTTTTTGCTGTGCAGTTTTATGCATTTCCTAAATGTACATAAAGCCATGTAACCCCTACTTCAGTCAAGATTACAATTCCATCACCCTGGAAGGAACCCCTCATGCTATCTCTTTCAAGTCTAATTCTCTTCTCACCTGTAAGCCCTGGAAACTCGGTCTGCTCTTCATTCTACAGTTTTGCCTTTTCCAGAATGCCATATATATGCAACCATACAGTATGTAGTTTTTAGGTCTGGCTTCTTTTACTTAGTATAATGCATTTGAGATTCTTCCATATTGTTACGTATATTAATCATTCATTCTGTTTTATTGTTGTGTAATATTCCAGTATATGGATATACCAGTTGGAATTTTAGATATTTCCAGGAGACTATGAATAAAAGGAATATACTGTCAAGTTGTATATCACAAAAGCCATTCTTCACAAGAACACATACACTTTTGCAGAGATTATAGAACTAAATTTGTTTGTTTGTTTTTTACCTAAGTACGGAAAAAGATCTGAAGAAAATACACTGAAGTTATTAATAGTGGTTGTCATTAATTAGTAACAACTTTTCCTTTTTCTGTTCTTATTTGTCTGATTTGACATATGCTCTTTACAATAGAAAAACTTTAAAAAGATTATACATTTATATAGAAGTTAAAATATCCAGTGGATATGATTTTAGGAAATAAAAATTCCTCATTTCTTTTTGATTTAAATCATAACAGATAGTTACACTTTTATTGGAGGATGAGAAAAGCACCAGTTTCAGCAAAAAGTTTACTTAATCCAAAGGAGGAAAATAGATGCTAATTTTAAGGTTATAATTGACAATTTTATCAGTAACAATTTTATACCTTCAATCAAGAAGTCTGCTGCCTCTTTAAGAATGAGGGTCTCCAAACAGTTTATGAAGTAATAGATCATATATAAATAGGTTGTTTGCTCTCGGTACAGATGCCATCATTACTAACTACTTTCAGGCTGTTTGAGAGCTAAAGAATTCTGTAATGCATCATTGAACATTTAGTTGCTTCATAGCAGATGGTTTCAGGGGTCCATCTGCTCACAGCAATGTTTTCAACAAGCCCCCTTCACCTTCACCAAAAGGTTCTTAAGTATTAGAGTATTCATTCTCCAGTACAGGTGCATTTCCTTGGCTCCCTTTATTAGGGAAAGGGGCCACTGTCTTTTTTTAACCCCAGAAAGGAGATGCTGGCCTGTGTAAGTATAAGAAGGCTTACCATAGGTATCAGGGAACCTAGTAGAAGAGTTGCTTGATTTCAAGAATTTGTAAACTTATTCAAGTGTGTGTGTGTGTGTGTGTGTGTGTGTGTGTGTGTGTGTGAGATTGCTTTTCTTGGCTGCCTAGATTAAAAATAAGATATTAGGCAGTCACTTTGTTCTGTTACTCCTGCCCCTGATATGTGCAGAAGCAGTGTCAGCTTCTTTAGGGTTTGCTGGGAAAAATAATACATTCTCTCTACCTTTGAGGACATGGGGAAGTCCCTCAGGCAAGGTCGGGATGAACACACGAAATACATGAAGGAGCTCCAACTCAAACGATATGGATAAGAGCAGACTGAATATAATATCTGAATACTGAGGGGATCTAGGAGTAAGTGTTATGGGGACACAGCTAGTTTTATCCTAGAAATCCCAGATGCCCCGTTACCTATGTGATCACTGAAATTTGCAGTCAGACTGCTGAAGAAACAGAATAGTGGCATGCAATGAATAAGACATGGGCGGCAGCTGCTCTCTAAATATGTAGAGTTTTCTTTTCCAAACTGGAAAATAATAAGGAAAGACAAAGTTGGAGAAGAAGAAGCACAGAACATTCAGAGGAGGACTTTTCACAGATCACAAGAAACTAACAGCCAGTTTGCTTGTATTGCGTTAATGGATACCTCGACCCAAATACATCGAATGTGTGGATTCAACACTGTGAACTGTGTAAACCCCTTTCAGGTACTGAATAATTAGAAATGTCACTTTATCACCAATTTGTCAGCAAAGGGAATAGTGAAGAGACTGCTGTTTGAGAGAATAGTGTAAACGCTGATGATTGCTCCTCTCCGTGGCTGCAGAGAGTACAGAGAAGAGATTATTCTGTTTTCTGTTCAAGTGGCTGTATTTTAATTTGCCTTTCTAAAAGGAACAAATGGATTCAGACTAGGATATTGAAGAAAATTACTGTAGCTTTTAGAGTCATATTTCAGAGAGCTGTTTGAAGGCAATTTAATTATCTATTATCTTCTCTTAATATAAAAAAAAGGAAAAAATGAAAATCTCTGGCTTACTGGAATGAAAGGCACTAGTTCTGCAATTGTCATTGGTGGTGGCTCTAACCTTATATTAGTCCATTCATTTTTAATAGGCATTTATTAAATACCTACCAGTTGCACAGAATTGAACAAGGGTTATAATAGGGACCCTACTTCCAAGCTTCAGGATCTTCCTTGAGTCTAAGCTGAAACACCTTTGCTAAATGGTTTGTGTCAAAGGTGAATGATTTATTACTAACCACAAGTCTGAAGGAGTGGCGTCTGTTAGAAGCTGGAGATGTCAATGTCATCTTGATTATCCTGTCAGGGATATCCACTGAAATTGACTTGACCATCACTCTTACTTTTGCCGTCAAAGCAGAAATACTACTACTGACATGTTTTCTGTGTTTGTGAATGCTTTAGAACTCATTTAATTAAATCCAGTTTTCTTTTTTAGACATCAATTGAATACTTGTGAATGTTCTGCCCTATTAGCGCTATGAGAAACCTAAATTAAGTAAAAAGCTTGCTCTGTGTTCTCAAGTAGTTTATAATCTAGTTAGGGAAAGAAGATGGACATAACACTATAAGAAACAATTTAAGAAACTGTAGGAAGCATTTAAGGAGTGTACCACTAAACATTGAGGACATGATAACCAGAGAAAAAGGAACAGAGAGAGGGGTCACTGAGAAAGCCATTCATCTTCTTGTACTTCATGGACTCAGCCAAACATTTGACTTTTTAGAGAAACAAGAGGAGACAAAGAGGCTTGAGTTAACATTAAGGAATTTTAAAGGTGAAAGTGGCTAAAGGGCTGTGTGTTTAGACAAAGCACAGCCTGAGTAAATACACAAATGGAGTGGAATTAAGGAATAGTTGGGCATGGAGTTGGTGGGCACCTAGCTGAGGCTAAAGGGCTGTTTGGAAGAGGGGAAAAAGGAAGGTGGCTTGAAACCTTCTTAAGATCTACTCTCTTAGATAAGTTGGAACCTGAGGTTGATCAGCATCTGGGGAGATGTGCATATGGAAGCTGAACTCTATTGGACCCATGTCATGTGCAACTCAACATAGCGCAACTCAACATAGCACAGCTGTTGGTACATTCAAGACTGGCTGAGATTCAGACCTATTGAGTTGCAACCAGAGGTCTAGAAGCTCTAGAAGCTCTGATTATAATGAATATTTATTACACTGTCTTATAGCTTAAATGAAGATCACCAACTGGTCAGGATCTGACATTATACATCAGAAAATCGACTTGGTGTTTGAAGATACGAATATTACTTTAAACCTGAAAGGAGGACAACTTCTTATTAGAAAGCATTTTAATGAAAAGGATCATCAGAATGAGCAGAAGTATTTCAGAGCAGGGGGGGTCCTTACAGTTTTCAAATCAGAGAATAAAGATACCAGCAGACCGGGCATGGTGGCTCAGGCCTGTAATCCTAGCACTTCAGGAGGCTGAGGTGGGTGGATCACCCGAGGTCAGGAATTTGATACCAGCCTGGCCAACATGGTGAAACTCCGTCTCTATTAAAAATACAAAAATTAGCCGGGTGTTGTGGCGCATGCCTGTAATCCCAGCTATTGGAGAGGCTGAGGCAGGAGAATCGCTTGGACCTGGGAGGCAGAGGTTGCAGTGAGCCAAGATTGCACCACTGCACTCCAACCTGGGCGACAGAGGGAGACTGCACCTCAAAAAAAAAAAAAAAAAAAAAAGATGTCAGCAAACTAATTTAATTCTCTTAAAAGGTTTGAATTCACTAAAAACAAGTTATAATTAGAAGAGTCATTGATTCCTAAATGTGAATTTTAATATGCTCAGACATTCATCCAGTGATTTTAAGGGATATTGTGAAGTTGCGTGATCTCAAAAAACCCCAACTTTGAATTGCTTTATCTATCTACTTATCTACCTATTGCCTATAACACTGTAGGGTAGACAAGCTGGGAAGGTCATGTCAGGAAACAATGCCAAAGCAATGCTATTTTATTTATTTATTTATTTATTTATTTATTTATTTATTTATTTATTTATTTTGCAAGCAATGTGGCCCTGTTTTCACATAAAATCTTGCAGGAACCCATTATAACCATTAAAATCGAAGAAGCTTTTACTGAAGCAAAGGAGAGCTCAGCCTCCAGGCAGTTGATGCCTTGCCCTTGCATCTGCCCAGGACCCCTAGTGCCAATCACTAAACTGTTCTTCTTTTTCTTTTTTTTTTTTTCTGTGTGTTTTTATGTAACTCCTTTTAAAATTTTTAAATGACAAATTAGAATTGTATATATTTATTGTGTACCACAAGATGTTTTGTGTATACACTGTGGAATATCTAAATCAAGCTAACATATGCATTACCCCACATACATATAATTTTTTGTGGTGAGAACCCTTAAAATCTACTCTCAGCAATTTTTAAATATACAATACATTGTTAATTATAGTCACCATGTTGTACTCTAGATCTCTTGAATTTATTCCTCATGTCTAACTTGAAGCTTTGTACTCTTTGACCAACATCACCCCCACCACCACCCACAGCCTCTGATAACCAACATTCTACTCTCTACTTGTTAGTTGGATTCTTTTAGATTCCATATATAAGTGAGATCATGTGGTATTTGTCTTTCTGTGCCCACTCAGAAAGTTCCTACATGGCACCAATTTCTCATTTGCAATCAATTTCTTTAATGTGCAGAGGAAAATGGCATAGATAGTGTCACATTTGGATATTGACCAACTTCTATCTTCCTGTGTAGACATATCTGTATTTTCTCTTTACTTACCTGTGCAATAAATGAATGTCTTGTAAGCATCTCTAATAAAATATTCTGTTGTATACTATCCTTAGCATACAGTTTATTTGCATAGTAATTAGGAGATAATATGTCAAAATAACTTTGTTTTAAATACTCTATTTTCTTTTTCTTTTTTATTTTTTTGAGGCAGGGTCTTACTCTGTCGCCCATGCTGCATGGAGTGCAGTGGCACTGTCTCTGCTCACTGCAGCCTGAATTTCCTGGGCTCAAGTGATCCTCTCTCCTCAGCTTCCCAAGTAGCTGTGAATACAGGCAGGTATCACCATGCCCAGCTAATTTTTTTTATTGTTTTCTTGTAGAGACAAAGTTTCACCATGTTGCCCAGGCTGGTCTCAAACTCCTGGGCTCAAGTGATTCTCCTGCCTCGGGAGAATCCCAAAATGCTGGGATTACAGGTGTGAGCCATTGCGCCTGGCCTGTTTTAAGCACTATAAATAATATATTTCATTCACAAATTTGTGTATAATGACCCAGACATTTGAATTGCTGGGCTAAATTTAAAAAAAAAATCATGAAAAACATTATTTTTCTTGTAATTGTAAGTAGAGACAGAAGCTATTTAATTAAAGGCCATTGTCATTAAATCTTACTATAAGGCAAGCATATTTGGCTTCCTAGGGCTGTTGTAACACCAACTGAGTTGCTTAAACAATAGAAATGTATTCTCTTACAGTTTGGAAGGCTAGAAGTTTGAGGTCAAGGCCCTCAGCCTTGATTCATTCTGAGGACTGGGAGGGAAAATTTGTTCCATGTCTCTCTCTCCTGACTTCTAGCGGTTTGTTGGCAACCTTTGGCATTCATTGGCTTATAGAAGCATCACCCTGATCTTTACCTTAATCTTCACATGGTGTTTTCCTCCTTGCACATTCGTCGCTGTGTTCAAATTTCCCCTTTTTAAATAAGGACACCAGTCATATTAGGTTATATCCCATCCTAATAATCTCATTTTAACTTGACTACATCTGCAAAGACCCTGTTTCCAAATAAGGTCACATTCACAGGTACTTGAGTTTAGTACTTTAACATCTTGTGTGGGGGACACAATTCAACTCGTAAGAGCAAGTGTTATCTTATTTGCTGTTCTTTATAAGAATCACTGTGTGTGTGTCTCTCTCTGCCAAAGAGGCAAAGGCAGACACACAGGGTCATATCTGGTGCAACTTCCAGTGCCTGGAAGCTGTGGTAATTGCATGCACAGTTAGAGATACACTTATGTTTCTAGACTGGGAAGCAGCCTTAAAAAAAAAAAACAAACTTTAAGGAACAATATAATTGGCCAGGAAGCAAGCTAATATTAGTGATTCAATAAAAATGAAATACTTTCAGGGACTTTGTGAATGGCCACGTAAATTCTACCAAATCTCATGGGCCATTTACATCTACAATTATGGTATAGCATAAAGGTTATTATTTGTTGTAAAATCTCTATCACTTAAATGGAAAACTTAATCAGTCATTAGTGTTATGGATTTTCTACTGCTGAAGTTTTGTCTGTCCAGATACCATGGAGGATGGTGGTCTTCTCCTCTTTTGCCAACATTTGTACTCCTCTCTAATTGCCCTCCCCTAGCCTTGGATCCATTGATTACTGAGAGTTGGCCATGAGTTTGAAATCGGGAATACAATGATAAGTAAGATAAAACTCAACCACTTTATCTTAATCGTCTTTTTACCTGTGTGTCCCTGTCTTAAAAAGGTACAAACAGGTAAACAAATGATTAAGATAATGTAGTTGAGTTTTGCATAGACTGTCGGCCTAACTGGAGAGTATCTAGACATTACTGGATCACAGAGTACATAATAAATACTTTCCAGGAGCACAGCACCATGTGACTGAGGTGGTATAAAGAGGCATAATTTATTATGCTGGACTCAAGACACATACAGACTTGTGAGGTAAAAATTCCATGGGATAAGACATTATCCCTTATTGAATAATTAGGTCACTATACGCAAGTTATTTAATGTCTCTGAGCCTTCCTTCATTCCTCATTTGTGTAATGGGTATGATTTTGCTTTCCTCATCCCATTATGAGGATGATGTGGCATAGCATTCCTCAGTGCCTACCTGGGAGCCTGCTAGATTGCAAGTACTCAAAAGTGTTTTAATTTGATTAGGGGGATGAGAACAGTCCATATTGAAAGATAATGACTAGCCAGAGGTAGGGTGTATTTGAATAAAAAATGAGTGATCTTTAACTGCTATAGGATTCAGAGGAGGGAGATCACTAGGGTTTCAGTGATAAGTGGTGACCACCCAGAGGATCTGTATAGCTAGCTAGAAAGAAGACAGAACGGCAGTGCTTACTTATCTAGAACATTCAATTAACAATTAACAAGGATGCCCCATGGCACTTATTATGTTGGCTAAGAGACAATGAGTTATGAAGCATTGATAGAAATGAACCCTAGAATGTGAGAATTTAAAATTCTTATTGAAAAGATAGGCTATGTATTGCCACATAGAATTTTAATTATTTTTCACAAAATGAAGCAAAGAGAAACCCTTGGAACCAAGGTAAACCTACTGTCCTGAAAAAAATCTGTCTTTTAACCAACCCCAAATCTGTGAATTAGTCTTAATTTCAGAACTATCTAAGTTTAGCTTTCTTAAACATAAGATTTCTTCAAACGAATATCTCCAAAACAATACAAATTTGTATTTACAAAGCCATGAAACATGTGGAATGTAAACTACTCCATAAATATTTTATGCAATCAAAACCAAGATCAAGTTTGTTCACCAGCAAGTTTACTACCAGTGGAGTTTCCACTCCTTTTTTTCTCCAGGATATGCTGCTTGAAAGGCAGTACAGCCTCCAGCCCCCAAAGAAAGGAGTCATTCCTGGCCAGGTGCGGTCGCTCACACCTGTAATCCCAGCACTTTGTGCGGCTGAGGTGGGCGTATCATGAGGTCAGGAGATCAAGACCATCCTGGCCAACATGCTGAAACCCCATCTCTACTAAAGACACAAAAATTAGCCAGGTGTGGTGGTGCGCACCTGTAGTCCCAGCTACTTGGTAGGCTGAGGCAGGAGAATCACTTGAACCCGGGAGGCAGTGGTTGCAGTGGGCTGAGATCATGTCACTGCACTCCAGCCTGGTGACAGAGCAAGACTCTGTCTAAAAAAAAAAAAAAGAAAAGAAAAAGAAAGCAGTCATTCCTGTCTTTGCAGAGCTTAAGACTACATATGGAGAGCTGGTGACTTGATACTAAATATTTCTGCTTTTAAGGTGTGGTCAGAGGAAATGTAAAAAAAAAGAGTAATACAGGTGTTCACATTATAATTTATATTGTGAGACAGTAATTTCAATCTCCATTCTCAGTCTCCATGCTGAGGTTCTGTAACTTTGTATAGCTGCCCTTATAGACACAAAACCAAATTAATAGTTTTTAAAAAAAATGGCCAGATAATTATCCCAACATATACTTACTTAAACTATTCAGGTAATTATCACATTTCTACTCATTTTATTGTTGTTGCAGTGGTGGTAGTAGAGGTAACTTTTATGATATAGTTTGCTGATAATATAGGAAAAAGAAAATTACAGAGTGAAGGTAACAGGTTTTCACAATCAGTGCAAATACCTAAGTAATTTCTATTAAAAACCATCACTTTGGTCTCAATTACTAATGCAGTCACAAACTGTGAGGACTTGATCTAAAAATCAGGCTCAGGCAACTCTTTGTAGATAGTTTTATTTGTGCTCTATAGAAGGAAACTTAATTATCTTTATGCTTCATTGATAATTTTGTACTTCTTTCAAATAAATTGACTGAAAATTTGAAGGTTATTAGTGAAAAACTATGCCCTTTAAATAAAAAGCATTACTACCAACAAACGACTGACCTACATTCACAAAATGACTAAATTACTGTGATTAAATCTGAGGCAATCTAATCATTTTGTTACAATAGGAAATTGAGCTTCTTCCCACATTTATTTATGGGTACTAGCTGCTCATTTTAGCTTTTGGCTCAGTTTTACTCTCTAAAATTAGCAGTATTTGTTGTTTTAAAATAAGCAACAAGAAAGATATGCACAGCTGAATTAAAACAGTTTCCTCGTTCAGAACAGCTTGATTCAGTCAGATGGGTTCATTTCAAAGTACGAAAGCAGAAATCAGGAACCGACATTGACGTAGGGTGGTGATGTTTCCATATTTGGAATATTTTATTTGGGGTGTGGAGTCACTTGGTTTCTACAATTAAGCTTTGGGTCACTCTATAACTTTTTTCAGAGGCACGATAAAATGAACCCACCGCTGGACGCCAAATTAGGATTTCGCTCACAAAACCTTCTCCCTCGTCGCTGTTCCATTTCGTTTATATATAGCGAATGTCCAATAAGCTCTGACTGATGCCGCTTTCCTTCTTAACATTTCCAGTCTCCCAGCATTATTTCAGATGGAATCAGAGTCATTTACTTTTCAGTGTGCGGTGCCCCTGGTGCCAGACCAGCTGGAAAGGGTGACACTGCTGAGAAGGCTGCTAATCTCAATGGCCCTTGGGTCTTTCCTCTAAAAGACACAGGAAGTAAACAAGCCAAGTGCTATATATAAAAGGGTGGGATGTCATTGTCATTGCTGCGCAAAAGCACTCATGGTGTTGCGTGTCCAACACTAGGATTTTTTGAGATTATGTACAAGTTGAAAAAGCACCAGTGGCAAGAACAGTTGCCACTCTGAATCACAATTCCTTTTTTAAAATACTATGGGAGAAGGGCTAATAAAGCTTTCAATTCTTCTCTGCCAATGCGTGCCGACAGAGGTCTAAGATGCGACAATACAAAATGTTCCATCTTAATTATTGCCTAACTATAGAGACAGGTGAGTTCAGGAACAGGGAAAAGTCACTTTGGAAAAGACGGAGGCCCAGCTTCCTTTCCAAAAGCTGCGACAAAAATGAATTATCTTCTTGATGAGAAATACAACCCTTAAATAGGCAAAGTAAATAGAAAGCTTGTACTTGATCTAATAAAACCAAGTTGCTCTGAAATTCTCTGGATACCACTGATCTTCGGAAGTGTCATCTTTCTTTTAATGACTGTTTCTATGAAATTAAGCAGTTTTCATTTTTAAAAGGATGAAAACAAATAGCTATATTCTTAAAAAGTAATTAAATAGCTCTTGTAGTAACTTAGTTGTTCTAGGAGCTGCACCAGATCTTGTTTCAAATGAAACAAAAATAGATAAATTCTGACTTCTTCACCACATAAAGTATGTAAGTATTATTGTCTTGGCACTGTCACTTTTTTTCCCTAAAAATCACTTGTAATAAAATGTAAAGATTTTCGTCTAAGTGACACCTATCGTACTAAAAACAATATAAGATTCTGTATTTTTGCCTTCCTAGTATATTCACAAATTATCAAAAATGAAACATTTTAAATGAATTTAAGGTAAAAAATTATAGTTTATAAGGATAATGAATTAAATTTGGTTTGAGATTATAAACTTTAAAGGGCTAATATTGACTTTACAAGATATTTATTTTTAAAAATTATGAAAAATATTAACAAAAATTTTAATCTTTCAACATGTTTTTTAAATTAAAAAATATTTCTTTCTTGGAGAATTATATGATCATACCCAGAATTTCTGACTACTTTGACAAGAGAAGCACGTTAAATTTTATTTTTACCATAGCTAGTTGAAATTTTTTGTTATTATTTTGTGATCATTAAATTATTATTTTGTGATAATATAATGAGATATTATAGGACAGAATTACCAATCTCATAAAATCATTTCCATTTCAACTGGAAATAACATAATTTTGATTTTAAGAAGATTTTAAAAATATTTTATAATTAATTTTTTTACGGTGCTTTATGCTTATTTTCAGAGTAGAATTTCTAGTGAGAAGAGGACTATAATCTTAACTGAACTACTATTTCAGTTGCTTAAAATATTCAATAAGTTCCCTTTAAGAAAGAAAAATTATTTAAGGTTTTAGACACTAAAATTGTTGAAGTGCTCTTTTTCTCTTGAATGAATATATTTAAGGTTTCAGATCTTTGTAGTAGTAAAAAGATGATTTATCGCCAAGAAACAAACCATGGAAGCCAATGTTGGGGGTGGCAGAGGGAGAGGTGGAGGACTGAGGGAGCTCTGTTTTCATTTCTTTTTATTACCTGTGAAATGCTGTTCATCGTTAGTAGCCATCACTCTAGGTCTTAAATAGTTTGGCCCAACAGCATTTGAAACCCTATAACCTCAATTTTTAAGTGGTGTGCTTTCCTGGCCTAGTTGGGCTGTGACATTATTTCCTCTGCCTTCTGAGTTAAGAAAATTACTTTTAGCAGGTCATAGTAAGGGCAGGATTATTACATAATTGGAAGAAGCATGTTCCATTTTTCAGGAACCAGACAGTATTACTGGGGTATTGCGTGTATGTGTTTTCTTTCTTTTTCCACCATTTACACAAGTGCCCTGTGTTCCTTTTGGATAAAGACAAGACTTCTCAGCACCCATTTCACCTCCAATTTAATGAAGTTGTTAAAGTAGCAAGACTGACAGGTTAATTATCCTTTATAAAAGGGGGACAAATTGAACTGTGTCTTTCCATCATTTTTTGATATATCAAGAAGCTCCTGAGGTGCCCAGATGCGGCTCTGGTGAATAGAACAGCTAATCCACTCTGCAATTCTTTGCTGACCCCGCTCTCCCCACCGGGGCCTCACTATATTGCAGTTGGTTTTTGTTTCACATTCAACAGATTCCACTTTATTATAAATTCAGAAGGATTTTTTTCTCCCTCTCTCCATATGTTGGCTGACAGCTCCCCTGAAATAACTGATGGCTAAATTTAAACTCTGATGAAAATTAACCCAAGTGTTAAATGCAAACAGGAGCTGCTTGGAAGAGAAAAGAGTTATCATGGTAGATGCCAAACAGTGGAAAATCTGTGTAAATTAATGGATCCTCGCTGATGACAAGCCGTCAGGCAGTTTGATGGCTCTTGCTAGCGCTTTAGTCCCACTGAAGCTGGCCAGAGGGCAGAATGGACAAGTCCTGCTTTTCAAAAAGACCGCGGGAAGCTTGACAGTAACGCTAACTAGATCATCGAAAGTTCATGGTCAAATAAGAGATTTTTTCTTTTTTTTTTTTTTTTTTTTTTGCAGAGCTTTGCACTAACCAGAGTTTACAGACAGCAGAGCCATGAATGAGATATCAAATTGCAAGTGCAGCAAAATGATCAAAAAAAGAGAAGGAAGCCAGTGAGACATGATTTAAAAATCAAACAGACAAATTTGCCACTGATTTTAAAGTTAATATTGAGAAGCTGGTTCTTAATAATTAAAAATGATAAGCATTTGACTTGAAAGATTTTCCACTTAGAAAGTAATACTTCGCTCGCCCTAGGAATTTTTCAAGAAATTCCATTTGCACTTCTCATTTTTTTAGATTAAAATATGTAATTTTAATTACATATTTAAATTCATTGAAAGGAAATGGAAAACAAATCAAATATAGCTGTTTCCTATTATGATATATATGTGACAGTCATAAGACTCTAAGAAAAAAGTTCAACCACTCATTCAGTCATTCATTTTTTCTTCATGAATGAGGCAATCGTCTGCTTCTCTAAAAATATAACATTAATAATGTGCTATTATAACTTAATATTAGTAGGATAAAATGAATAGGGCATTGAATCCTGAAAAAGCAAAATTGCTTTCAGTCCGGGCTCAATCTCTTAACAGTCTCATGATCTTGAACAAGTGAGTATCAGTTTATTCATTTGTACAATGGGAGTAATAGTAATAAAATCAGGTGGGATTCTGAAGGTGAAAGCTAACCTTTACCAAATGAGCTAAAGGAAGCTTGCAAAACCAAAGACAAAAACTTTCAGACACTAAAGAAGTCTCCTGAGCATCGGACAGTGGAAAGAATATGTGATATCAAGTCACAAAAGTTCTGTCACTCTAATCTCTGCTGCTGATAAGCTGCATTTTCTTGCTCAGTAACAAAAAGGGATATTTACATTTTTTTCAAGATTATTGTGAGCATTGAGTGTGATAATATCCGTGAATATGGCTTCTGTGTAAGCTGTCATGCTCTATGTAACTATTAGTTCTTATTGTGTTGCCTCCCCTTCCTTCACCTGTGTAAATCCTGCCCATCAGATGAAGGTAGACCTCAAAGCACACCTTTCTCACCTCCAGGCACTCCAGCCTCCTTTATTTGGTGTGCTTTTCTTCAGCAGAGCTTAGCAGCTTGGGAATAAAAGCAGAGAATTTAAAAGATAAAAGTTTTGAAGAGTCAGCACATCAGAGAGACAATGAAGTGTGGTGGCAAGTACAAATTTAAGTTCCCAAAGCTGCTATGTGACAAGGTATGTATTTTTTTCCTATGACTAAATTCAACTGGTATCTTGAGCCCTCTGTTTGTTTTTCATGGTAGGAAACTTAATCTGATAATTCCAGGTAAATTTGATCAAATTCACTCATAGATCAGTCATAGTAGCAAACTAAGTCTAACTTAGGCAAATTCAGGATTCTTTGGTCCTCCTCTCTCTGGCTCCTAGGGATTTCATAGTGTCATGGCAGTTCTCCCGTGGCAGTATCTGGTCAACAGTTGGGATCTTCTGCCCATTGTTGTACTCCACTGAGATGTAACTCTTAGCATCCATTTTTCTGGTATGTCATCTTCATGAGACTTCTGTTGAGAGATAATAACTGATCTCCACAGGCTGGCCTATACTGTTTCTTCTTTTGCGGCTTCTCTGCAGACTGGTTGCAAATGCCTCTGCAGGTCTACCAGTTAGCTCAGCTACCTTTCACAGTTCCTTCTGAGACTAATAAGAGCATACAGAGTATTAAATGTTCTTTTTGCTATTCTGGAGTTGCTGGAGACTCCACCCTCTCACTACTCCCTAGAAATGCTTCACCCATCACTATTGTCCTGGTCCCTATGCCATTCTGGCTGCCAGGCACCTCTGCAAGGCTTGCTCCATCCCAGAACTCTAGACAGAAATTGGGTGCTTATCCTGTGCCTTCAGATTCTGAAATATTTGTGAAGTTATCCCTACCACTCCCAGGACACACTGACATCTCCTTTTTTCTCTTTTCCCACTCTCCTTCTCTTTGCTCTCCAACTGGAATTTTTTTTTTTTTTGGAATGGGGAGAAAGGAGATTAGTGAGAAAACAACAAATTCTGAAACATCACATATATTTTCCAGTCTTTTTTTTTGAGATGGAGTTTCACTGTTGATGCCCAGGCTGGAGTGCAATGGTGTGATCTCAGCTCACTGTAACCTCTGCCTCTTGGGTTCAAGCAATTCTCCTGCCTCAGCCTCCCGAGTAGCTGGGATTACAGGCACCTGCCACCATGTCTGGCTATTTTTTGCATTTTTTAAAATAAAGACAGGCTTTCTCCAAGTTGGCCAGGCTGCTCTTGAACTCCTGACCTCAGGTGATCCGCCTGCCTCAACTTCCCAAAGTACTGGGAATACAGGCGTGAGCCACCGTGCCTGGCTTTTCCAGTCTTTTTTATCTGATACATGGATTGAAGCTTTTGATGAAAAAAAGATATGAATTGTTGTCTTCATCCATCAACGCTTTCTAATGCAATGGTTGAACACTTGTCTGGCTGCTCAAATTGGAGGTCACAGGCAAGCCCATCAATTAAATACTTGAAGTTTTGGTGTTTCTGTATATGCAATAGGCAAGAGGGCAAGGCCATAGGTGAGAGAGTGGTTGAATGAAGGATGAGAAGAACTTGGTTAGAGAGAGGAAGAAGTAAAGACAAATTGGGGGGGAGGTGGAGTTATTGAGATATGGAGCTCTCTGTAAGAGTCATGTAGACTAAATGGAGTAAGGAAGGAAGAACACCAAATGGATTAGAGGTTGTATTGAGAGAGAGGTGAATTTTCATTAGTATTTCTAAGATTGAATCATTCTGAGTATTTCATGCAAAGTAGATTCCCAAAATGGAGGCCAAGGAATTGAGAAGACCAAAAATATGAAATTTGAATGTTAGAAAATTGGTAATCTTCTGGATTCTGAGCTTGCCTTATTCATTACCAAACTCCTATGGCACCAGTTCTATCAACACATACTTTTGAAACTTATTTCTTGTGTAGTTAGTGGCATTTCGTGTGAGTTAGGGAGTTAGAGTCCTGTTCCTTGGGGATAGAAACTATGCCTCTTCTTCTTCTTCAGAGAACAGAATAAGGGATATATCTTGCCAGGCAGAAAAGGAAAAGGCTATAAATATTGCATTCCAAGATGCAACAGGAAACATTGTATTTGGATGATGCACTACTTTAAGGCATTTATTTTCCTACTGTATTAACAAATTTAGAAGGTTCACTCTGCTACCATCCTTATTTTACTACCTGCATTTCCAAAATGCCTCACCTCCCAATACAGCTGAAATGTATTCATAAGTTTGCCATTGATTTAATCAAAGTTTACTGCTTGCCAAATCATGTAATATATTGTAGAACTTGAGAAAAGTATTTTGAATTAATGGCTTTGTCTGATTATATGTCCGTTTCTCAGTTCAAATGGAGTAACAGAATTAAGAGTTGATTAAAGAAAAAAACACATTATTAGCCGTTTTACTTATGTGGTTATTCACCTGTCAGGAAATATTATGGAGAGAATCTATTGTACAAAGCGAGCTCTACTTAAGACAATTTTTATATATGTGAAATATTTGCCATCTCTTATTGTACTCTGTAATTTGCAAGCAGTTTTGTGAGATCTGATCATCTCTCATATTGGGAGAGTTACAAAGCCATTTGTTTTTTATGTAATGAATTGGTGGATGGGCAAGCCTAAAACGTATGTCCACATATGTCCATTCTTTCATTCAGATGCTCTCAAAACAAGAGGCTCCTGATTATGTCAAGGGCATTTCCTTATTCTGCAAAATGGCCAGAAATCCAAATGTTTATTTTCTTAAAGTGCTTATCTTCACTTCGGAGTCCCACCTGGGATTAGAAGAGCCAAACATACTAATATCTGATGTATTCTACATCCAAGGAGGGATCCGAAGGCCTGGGAGGCAGGAGGGCTATGGGAACTCCGGTCAGCAATTCCCGCAGCTGGGCCAGGTGCCGGAAAGGCCCCGCGAGCCGGGCGGGCGTGATGGAAAGCCGTTGACATCTGACGGCCCTGCCAGTGGCCTCTGCCCAGAGAACAGGGAGGGGTGCTCATCCTGGCGAACCCATCTCCACATCACAGCTAGCACTAATTGGTCCTCTCGCTGGCTGTCACGGCGGGGAGGCCTGAGATTGGCATGCGTCTGTGCCGCCCGCCTGGGCCGAGCGCGCCCAGGGCCTGGGGTCCCGCCGGCCGCGGGCACACGGAGGGGTCGCGGAGCGCAGCGGAGCCGCGGCTGACTCAGCGCGCTCCGGAGCAGCAAGTGAAGGCGAGAACGGAGCCCTTCTGTGAGGCTGGCACCCAGAGCTGGTTATTTTTAAAACCACAGCAATGATTCATTGGAAAATGTAGAAATCTGCATCACCTATATTTTTTGGTAAAAAGCGTCTTTTTGTTATTGTCTTTTAAAGAGGCATGTTCTCTTTGTCTCAAGCTCAAAAGTTGGCGAGTTCAGACTTTCAGAAACCTTACAAACCCTCTTACTCTCAGGAACCTTGCAAACCCTCTTATCTGGTTAGAGCATGCATTATAAATTTCAAGTCGTATGTTCATTTCGGTTTTTCATGTGACCTCCATATATTGAGTGACATCAAAATGTAAGCTCTTAATGTGAACTCCTATGTCTGTCTTACACAAGATTCGGGATCTGATATAGATTCCCATCTCCTTCTGATGAGGACTAAGTCTAAGTCATGTGCTTTAAATGCTCGCTAGAGCCCATGGGTTGGCTGGTAATGTGATTCTAAGGTTGCCAAGGGGTCATGAATTCTGATGTTGTTTTTGCCTCAAGTGCATGGGCATTTTCTGATGACCTTAGATCATGTAAACATCCTTGTGCCCTTCCCACCTTGTGCACTTCAGTGCACACTTGCACACACATCACCCAGGGCCACAAATATGAGACAGAAACATACCTTTAATCAGTCACACTATAGTCCTTTCCTAAAGGCTCCATCCCATTCATTTAATTAATAAGATGATAGTTAAATAAAGTAAGAGGTGGTCACATAGTGAAATACTATGCAACCATTTTAAAAAGATTTATTAGTGTTGTATTTATTCACATCAATATAAAGTCCATGGTGTATTAGTAAGTTATTTTTTAAAGTATATAGTATAAACTATTTTGTAACAAAAACCTTTTTAAAAGGTCATATTATATATATTTTTGTATACAAAAAAAAAATCTGGGACGACTTGCCCCATGAGTATGGGTTATTTTTTCACGGTTTGCATTAATTGTCCCACTTGTTGGTTGCAGAATTCTCCTTTCCTAGGCTCACGTAGGGATGACTGCCCTCCTCAACCCCAGTCAGGAAAACATACACTTTGGCCTTGCTAGTCAGAGTATTCAGACAAGTTGGAGGTTTAACACAAGATCAAAGATGGGCTGTTCAGAGATTTCTCCGTATTTTGTGGGGAGTTATTAGAGGAGAAGCTCAATTTCCACTGGGATTGTTCCTCTAGAGGTGTGCCCATTTGTGGTCCTTGGCAGCTACTGTGTCCCCTGCAGCAAGACAGCTGGTTAGGAATGCTGAGAGTAGACCCTGGATGGCAAGGGATTTGCCTCTGGATCCAGCCATGCCTGAAGCAAGATCCAACCCTTGACTATTTCAGTTACATTATCTTTTTACTCAAGTTAGATTATGTAAACTACTTAATAGGTAACTTGTGTTCTATTCTCTATTCTCTATACCTCTTTATTTTCTAAATCTTTTGGATTTAGCAAAATTTAGCATTGAGTATGTGTACATTTATAACCAATATGTACATATGTACATACCTTCATAAACTATTTTAAAAGCTACATAAAATATTATTTTCTGAAGGTTTTACTATGTTCCAACAATAGACATATCTAATTCTCACAACAATCCTTTGAATTAAGTGTTATTAACCCCACTTTATAGATAAGGAAACTGAGACTTGGACAGGTTAAATATTCTAGCCAATACTCCTACTACACTGTTAGTAGGTGGTGAAATCCCTATGCAAACTCAGATTCTAAAGCCTATAACTATTATTCTTTACTGTGTTAGATTAATTGAAAGGAGAAATCAAGCCTGATTCTCATATGAAAAAGTAAGCATTCTGTTTTGTGTGGCAATCATATCTGTGTGCATTTATCTATATAGCTAGAGACATAGATGATATATATCATGCACATTTGTAAATGAATATATTAATATATATGTTTTTTGGACAGGTGATGATTTTCCCAAACCTTGCTGTGTCTCCTCAGTAAACTCCTGCCAATCCTACATCAATAAGTGCTCTTCAACCGTTCCTATTCCATTTGTTTTTCTTGTAAATATTTCCTCTGATCTATTCAGTTATTTGTAGATTGACCCTATGTTCTACTTTCTAAGGCTGTCCTGGCTTATGCCTATTGTCCTAGTATACTTATATTGACACTGATTTTTATACTCAGCAGTTGGGACAACAAGTGACATAGTTGCTGTAGTTACCTGTTCACATTTATTCCTCCAGGGTGGCTTCCTGGAAGAATGATACTGGAGTTGAATTTGAGATGTTCCTTCTCTGTACCCCACAACACCCTGCACAGCTTCCCTCATGGTGAGTCTGATTCTGTAATCACCCAGTTCTTCTCTGTCTCACCTCTAGACTTTGTGTCCAACAAGGACAAGGGCTATAGTTTCAGGTGTTTATTTTTTTCTGTGTTTATCTCTTGGACCTAGCATAGTGCCTCACACATACATGCCGCAGTGATTTTTTTGTTCACTTCTTTGCCTGTTTCCTGGACCGTGTATCCACAGTCAGCCCTGTGGGGAAATGCCGTTTTATTCATCATTGTACCACAGTGCCTGGAATGGCCCCTGCAATGTCAGGTTCTCAATATCTGTTGAGAATATGTTGAATATGTTATTAAAGAATGAGATTTTAAAATCAAAATCTCTGTTCTATCTATGAGCATACCTTTATTTTCTCCATTACTAAGCTTTTTGAGGAAGAGCTTGACTTCTGTATCTGACTCAGTGTTGCAGACCTCACAGTGCCTAGCACTGTATCTTGCCCACAGTCAGTAGGTAACATAAAAGTTGGAAAAAATGACGCAAGTCAAGTCCTGGCTCTACTAATTACTACTTGCATGACTACTGGAAAAGGCAGTCATGTGCACCCCATCTTTCGACCCCTGCATGGTTGCATAAGGATGTACCTTGGGCTGGCACATTTCCTTGCAAAGAGATAAGGAGTCCTCCCAACCTGAGCTGGGCATATCTCTTTGTTTGGGCATACCTTTCCCTGTTCAGACCTCGATGTGCACATTGTTGTTCTACTTAAGTGTGTGTGTCCTATGGCACTCAGTCAACTCCACTGCTCTATCTGTTCCCGGCAGGGAGGGAAGAGTTCTTTGCCTGCAGCATGAGAGAGGTATGTGCAGACCATCTCCCTACATCAGCCAGAGCAAGACTCACTGGCACTGTGGACTGATGCTCCCTATTGAAGCTAATCTTGCTCTGTTTATTTTCCATGTGTTAAAGCATCGCTCCATCAGTGTCTGCATGAGTCATGTCTTCCTTGGTGACCCTGCTTCCTGCAAACCCTGCAGCAGGTTGACATTCTGGGACTGCTGCTCCTGGTGGTAAGCATTGTTAAGCTTTCTGCTCTCCACCGTGCATTGGGACTCCTCACCCGGAGGTGGTAACAGGAGTCACTTGTTTGACAGTGACCTTCGGTAAGTTGCTTCCCTTCCATCCTCAGTTTATTCATCTTTAAAATGAGAAGATATATTCATGTCATCGATGATAATATTAATAGCTAACACTTTAAAATTCTTTATGTGTTATTATTTCTATCCTACAGATTAGAAAATGGAGGCACAGAGTGGTTGAGTTAGCCAGCATCACTTAGCAGGGAAGTGAGAGAGTGTGTGCACCTGGCATGCAGTTATTGCTTAACAAACAGCTGAGTCACTGTGGTGGTGACTATTGATGTCATTATTCTTGTTATTATTATTGTTGTTAAAATGGGCCTAGTAAAATCATATGCAGATAACATCACTACTGCATGCTCCTAATTCGAAGTCTGCATCACCTTGGGCTGGAGACAGAAGCAGAGACTTATTGTCTAAGCATTCAGGGGCTACTAGGATGCAGGAGGTGCCCATGGCATCCTTTCAAATTCCTTGCTATTCCAGTGTAGGCTAGTGTACATATAATTTGGCCAAAACTGTGCTTCTGCAAGTCCCACCTCCCTAGAGCTTCACAAGGGAACTCTAGGATTGTCCCTCCTTCAAGAGACTCTAGAAGAAAACCCATCCAATGAAGTGATCACTAGATCCCAGAGCTCTAGGGGTTTCGTAGATTCTTGGGGCTCCTTTCTTGGGGCTCCTTCAGAGGCTCCTTTGGGTGAGAAGAATGGGGAAAATGTGGGCATTTGTAGAATCTTAGGACTGACTTAACAAAGTACAACAAACGGAGTCATTTAAGCAACAGAAATTTATCATCTCACACCTCTGGAGGCTGGAAGTCTGAGGTCAGTGTCAGCGGGGCCACACACCCTCTGAAGGCTCTAGGGAAGGATCTGTTCCAAGCCTCTCTCCTGGCTTCTGGAAATGCCTTAGTTGTGGCTGAATAACTCCAGTCTTCACATGGTATTCTCCCTGTGTGTGTCTCTGCATCCACATTGTCCCTTTTTATAAGGACACCAGTCATGTTGGATTAGCGGCTCACTCAGCCTACTCCAATATGACCTCCACTTAACTAACTACCTCTTCAATGGACCTGTTTCCAAATAAGATCACATTCTGAGGTACTAGAGATTAGGATTTCAACATACAAATTGAGGGCAGTGGGGGGGCAGGAGGGGCATAATTCGTCTCCTAACAATATCAGACGCTGCAAGCTGACAGCCAGCAGCCGCTCAGCCTATGCTTCCAGCTCTGGGCAGAGCAGCAGACAAAGGGAACTAGTGGGCGCTTCCGCAGCCAGGCTGGAATGGTGAGGATCTGACTGCTGCTGAAACCAACAGTTCCATTCTCCCTCGGATAGCAGCATGAGAGGAAGCATAGCAATAACTAAACTTCAAAAACCACCGAGGGAGGCAGCAAGGGAGAAGTGAAGAAATAAATGGCCCAGCTGCCAAGTAATTCACTGAACGTGGCCGTCCTTGCAGGCATCACAGTAACTTCCGTATTGGAAAAGTGAATTAAATGAGAATGAGAACCCGCTAACGTGTTGTTAGCTCACTGTTACAATGCAGTGTGACATTTACTTTAAAAATCATGTGGAAGTGGTTAACAACTTCTATTACAGCATTTACAGAACTTCAGTGCAGCTGCTTTTCCCTGAAAGGGAGGCGTAAAGCCATTGAGCGGAGCTCAGCAACAGCGCCCAGAATGTGTAGCACAGGCAGCGGGCAGAGGGAAACGACACTGCATGCTGGGTCTGAGTGACTTAACCTTTCCGAGTTTCACCATCCTTACCTGGAAAAATAGGATAGCGACAATGCAATAACACATGTCAATGTGCACCACAGCCCACAGGGCAGACGGTGTGTAAATAGGAGAAAACATAGGAAAAAGTTTTAAAAGGTATATATAAACTGAGATAATTCACGTCAAAAATTCTACCTTTTTTCCATGTGTACTCATGATTTTTCCATGTGAACTCATGATATTGTGCCTCAGTTTCTCCTTCACCCTGAATATTATTAGAATTAGTAGAAATCAAAGCCTTTGGTGTGCTGAAGGGAGATAATTTCTGAAAAACTGCAATATGCAAATAAAGGCATTCTGCAAGCATTTATACTTTACTCTGCATATGCTCCCAAATGTTCAAAGAAATGGAATAATTTCTGCATAATTCCTATAAAAGGGAGAATAGTGCTAATGTTCAGCAGCCAGGTCAGTTTCTCAAAGGCCAGAGTCATTCAAAGCACATTCAGTAGATGGGAAGAACTAAGATCAACTCAACATGTGTTTGGGTCTCTTGGATCATGAGAACCTGATCATTTGGCTAGTCAGGGTGAGATAATATCATGCCTAGTTACGTACACACACAGTAGTGTACCAGGGAGAGGACAAAGTTTACTGGGCCCCCAAAGTGGGGTGGGACAGGGGAGGCAAGAAGTAAAAATGCAGGACAATGAGGAGACCTCGCTGAGCCCCTAAGGACTTCACTACTTACTTTTCATGTCTGCCTAGTTCCTCGCCTTTAAAACACCCCTATTTCACAGACGTATTGTGAATACAGAGCAAGATAATCAAAGCAAAAGTGTTATAAAATGTAAAAGGCCCAGTGCAATCGAAGGAATGATTACAAGGCTCCAGCGAGCCCTCTCCAGGCTTTCTGCAATCAGTGGAATGGTTCAAAGGCTGTGATTAAATCTGTGCATCCAACACCTCCTCCTTTCCCGTCTCCCTACTTTCTCAACAATGTGGTCCCTGCAGTTTAGGCAGCATTCAATATTGGCAGGATTTTAGGTGTTCGTGCTGCTATAAATCATCCCCACTCTGCTCCTCAGATCAGAATGTCACTTAGATCCCCCATGGGAGACATGAGGGACCCCTTAGATGGCTCATGGTTCCGGAGATTGTGCGGTGGACAGAGTGGCCTTACCCAACCCAAAACATCCCATCAGCTAACACAGTGTCTCAAAGAGAACCAAATCCCAGATTCATCCCAAATGGATTTGGCTGGAAGCCCCATTTTACATGCCCATCTTTTTAAAAGATAAGTACCTATCTTTGAAATACTAACTCCAGTTTGTTTGTTTGTTTGCTTGCTTGTTTGTTTTTCTTGCCTTTTCCTTGAGCTGAGGTCTAGATTGAGACCTTGGGAGAATGCAGAATGAGCAGAGACCAGGTTACTGCCCCAGACTAGATGAAGATTCTCAAAGGCGACTTAGCAGGCAAGGGAAGAGTGTGCAGGTGTTGGTATAACCTGCCTGCTGAGAAGGAGAAGCAGGAATAGAACAAACCTTATAAGCCTGAGTGTCGAAGGCTAGATGGAGCCTGAGATAGCCCACGAAGTTTCTCCAGGCTGGCACAGTCTTGGCACACTAGACTGTTAGCTGTGCATACCAGAAGGGCCTGGAATAATAATAAGAAATGGAGCAGCCAATGAAGCTCCCTTCAGCAGCAATCCATATGGACCAACCATCAAAGGGCTGAAGGGAATGATGGATACCCCAGCAGTGAGCAGTGTGGACAGATGACACAAGGGCTTCATGCCCCTCTCTTAGGACTTTCTAAGTCTCCTACTATTTCAGTGAATTCCAGAGGAACAGAGGATGCTGAACGAAATAAAGTTTCCATCACTCCAGCAGGGCATGATGAGAAAATGAAATTACAATAGAAAAATAAAGTTAGATGTCTCTCACACACTTGGGTTTGCAGACTGAGGCTCATTCAGAACGAAAGCAATATGCTCTCATTCCCCTTTCCTTTATTTTTATTATTTTTCTCTCTCTGTCATCGACGTCTCCTTTTTGGAAAAAAAGGATGTTGAGCATGCAGAAACAGAAAATGAAATGTAGGTGTGGCCATGGAGGTAAGAGCAGAGACATTGCCAATTGCCATTGGCAGACAGTGCCACCAAATGGAATTCCAGGGCTCCGCTGTCCTTTCAGAAGTGACGGTGTTCAAGGATTGCAAGTGCCCATCCCTGTCCTGTATGCTGCATCTGACTGCCCGGCGCCTGACACTCCACCTTTCCCCAGTCTCTCCAGCACTTTGGGCTTCTCCATCTTTTCCCCTCCTAGCCATCTGTTCCTGCTGCTCCAGCAGTCTCCCTGCTCTCTCCCCGCCAGGGCCTGTCTGAGCAGGAGGGTGTGAGGGCCTCTGATGAGGTGGGCCTCGGCCCCTCCATCACTCGCAGCCTCGAGGAGAGCACCAGCTGTCTGGCTTCATTTGCATTTTTCTCTCCCAAATAACGAAATTAGCCATGAGTTTCCTGAGGTGATGCAAGACGCAAATTTAGGCTAGATGTGTCAGTGTGTGATGGAGAGGGAAGGGGAAGGTCAGGGAAGTATTTTGATAACCAATTTGCAGCACTAAAACAGAAGGGGAAAGCAATACAAATGTTACTGGAGATGGACCTTTTAGCTCAGAGGAAAGTTAGATGAGGCTTTTAAAAGGTAATTTCCCACTCTCTGGGATGAAGGCACAAACATTTTATGAACAAACAGAAAGGGATGCCAACTAAGGCTGATGCAACTCTCAATTACTGAACATTTTTTGGCCACATACAGTAATTGTCCTAAAATGCCAACATTTGCTAAGCTGCATAGGCCAGGAAGCCAGACACTGCTGCAAAACCCCAGTGAGGTATAGAAGCTGACTGCCTTTTCCTCTGAACTAACATTTCAGCCTTCCTGTTTGCAAATAAAGCAGGACTCTGCTCATCCATCATGAAGATTCGGTTACCAGTTCAGTAAATGGTTCTCACATTTGTCATCTCTTTCTGATATTTTTGAACGAATTAATTGGTTATCATCTTTGAGGCAAATAAACAAACTCTTGGTTCTATTTTGAAGCAAGTTCATATATAAGGATTTTTAAAGATCCTGATATTATCCACAGGCTCACAAAGTTGTTCAAATGACCCTCTACAGTAGCAGAGAAAATTGGACCCTCAGATGGATAGACAATGAACTAAATACTTCACACAGGTTAGTTGCCATCCCTCTTCTACTTAGAATGAAATTTAAATTCCTTCCCAGAGTTTGAAAACCCATACATATCTGGCCCCTGACATCTCTTTAACCCTCTCTACTTCTCTTTCCCTCATTCATTCATCCATCCGTTCACCAATTTATCAAATATTTTGGAGTGCCTTCTGTGTTCTGGGCACTCTCCTAGGTACATGGAGTATAACAAAATAATGATTATTGTGCTATGAAGCTTAAACTTCACTGTGGGGGCAAGACAGACAATAGTCATTATACACCTAAGTAATTGAATTTTATAGTTTGTTAGATGCTGACTGCTATGGGAAAAAAAATTAAGCAGAGTAAGAGAGACTGAGCTTGACGGGGGTTGTTATTTAAGATAGGATGGTGGAAGTAAGTTGCATGGAGAAGGGGACTTTTGTGCAAAGTCTTGAAGGAAGTAAAGAGTGAGCCATGGGGAGCTCAGGGGAAGGCAGCAGCAAGCCTGAGATACTAAGGAGGAGGACAGAGGCCACTGTGGCCAGAGCAGAGTGAGAAAGGGGCAAGGTGGTAGGAGAAGAAATCCAAGAGGCCATGGGGCCAGATGGCATGGGGCTGTATGTGCTCCCATAGGGATTTTGGCTCTTACCCTGTGGAAGGTAGGGAGTCTATACAGTGTTTTGGTAAGGGGAATGGCCTGATCTTATTCAGTATTTTTTGTTTGTCATTTTTATCCTTTTGTTTATCTTCAAAAACACACAAAAGTAAAAGTGGCTTACAAAAATTCACTTTTAAAATACTTTTCAAAACATTTTTTGTAAGTGAGGAAACTAGAATAAAAGGAAAATCAAGGCAGGCAAAATAAAATTAAATCAAAGGTAAGCATAAATCACAAAATGAATGCAAATGTGAATTAATTTGGGAGCTAGAGGTGGGCTGCAATTTGCATCTGAGTTTCATAGCTGGTAAAGCAAAGTCAAGAACACAATCAGGTAAAAGATATATAATAAACGACTGTTCTGGGGAAACATAATCTGATTTTGGTCCTGAGACATGAAAAAATTTTCCCGAGGTTTTAAAAAGGGATGATCATGAGGTGTATCAGAAAGCATCCTTCATAACATCTTAATAGTAATAGTAGATACAATCATAAATTCCATGACCTCAGTAGAGAACAATGACACAAACTGAAGCAATATAACTTACATTTTAATAGGACCATTCTGTTTGAGGAGAACAGACTGTGAGGAGGTGAGGATAGAGTATTAGGAGGTGATTGCATTCATCCAGGGACATGATATCTTAGAGGGTTATGGCAATCGAGGTGGCAAGTGGTGGTTATATTCTTGGTATATTTTAAAAGGATGGTGTGTTAGTTTCCTTAGGGATGCCATAACAAATTGCCAAAAGCTTGATGGATTAAAATAAGAGAGATAGGCCAGGTGCAGTGGATCATGCTTGTAATCCCAGCACTTTGGAAGGCTGAGGTGGGCGGATCACTTGAGGCCAGGAGTTTGAGATCAGCCTGGCCAACATGACAAAACCCCATCTCTACTAAAAATACAAATAATAATAATAATAATAATAATAATAAGAGAAATGTATTCTCTCATAGTTCAGGAAGTTAGAGGTACTAATTAAGGTGTCAACAGGATTGATTCCTTCTAGAGGCTCTGAGAGAGAAACCATTCCTTGCCTTTCTCTTAGATTCTAGTGACTGCCATCAATCTTTGGCACTCCTCGCCTGGAGGCAGCATTACTCCAGTCCCCACCTCCGTCTTCATTGGCATTGCCTTTTTCTCTGCATCTCTATTTCTGCTCCTCTTCTTATAAGGACACCAGTCGTTGGATTTAGGGCCCACTCTAATCCATTAGGATCTCATCTCTATCCTTAACTAATTACATCTGCAAAGACGCTATTTCCAAATAAGGTCATATTCTGAGGTTCTGAGTGGGCATGGGTTTTGGAGGGGACACTATTCAAGCCACTTGACTGCTGCCATTGCTGCAGTCTCTAGAGGTAAAGGGTAAGCAGCAGACAGCAAAGTGAGATGGAGAAGGGGCAGAGAGCCGACAGGGTTTATATACAGGATTAATGAGAGGCATGAAGGAAAGAGAGGAATCAAAGATGACCTAGGGTTTTCAGCCTAAGCAACTGGAAAAATGGAGTTGTCACTTACTGAGAGGGTGTGGTTATAGGAGGAGCAGATTTGGGTTTGCAGTGGGAGTAGTATAAAAAGTTTTGTTTGGGGCATGTTCAATTCAAGATATCTTTAGACATCCAAGTAGAGATGACAAATACACAATTAGATATGCAGTTGTCTGAAACAGTTTGTCTTGGTGTCATCATGGACATATTTCATGTGGAATAGAACATTTTAAGTCTTTTTATGTTTTGGGAAGCCAAAAGTACAAGATGCCTGCAGAATGTCCCATAGATCATGCCAGCCTCTGTCATTTTCACAGACTGCCAAGCTTACCTGGGAAATTTAGGACCTTGCTACTGGCCACTTTCAAGTTCTGCCATGTACTATGTGGCTTCAGTCGAGTTACTAACCTTAGGCTCAGTTTTCTCATTCATAAAATGGGGATGAAAATAATACCAACCTTAGAAGAGTGCTGTAAGAATTATGTTAGCTAACATACGTAAAGTGCTAGTGGACACTAATAGAAGGTCATCTGGGGTGATAACTTTCTGACAGTGAGGGCCTCTGGATTTTGCTGACTTCTGCACTACTAGAGGGAAGGGCCTGGCCATTTTTACCTTCAGGACTCATTCCATGTTGTGGACCAGATTTCCAAGTGGAGCTAGAGTAAATTTCTTGGACATACAGGGAGGAGATACATATAGCTGACCTTTGTCTAGGCAGGGTCCCAACAGTCATTATGCCCAAATAAGGATATTCAGAAGGAATTGGTTTGCAAAGAGACTAATTACAAAGGTGTGGATGGGTCGAGAGGACTGCTTAGCAATACTTTGAGAATCAAAGGTTAGCTATAGCAGAGCAGCCATCACTTCTAGGCTCAAAAGGAGGAAAGACGGAGAAGTTCTTGGAATCTTGAAGAGAAAAGAGTTGTATAGAATTGCCCTCTTTACAGCACTTTGGGAGGCCGAGGCGGGTGGATCATGAGGTCAGGAGATCGAGACCATCCTGGCTAACAAGGTGAAACCCCGTCTCTACTAAAAATACAAAAAATTAGCCGGGCGCGGTGGCGGGCGCCTGTAGTCCCAGCTACTCGGGAGGCTGAGGCAGGAGAATGGCGTGAACCCGGGAAGCGGAGCTTGCAGTGAGCCGAGATTGCGCCACTGCAGTCCGCAGTCTGGCCTGGGCGACAGAGCGAGACTCCGTCTCAAAAAAAAAAAAAAAAAAGAATTGCCCTCTTTAGAGGGACGAGGACTTTCTGTAGAGGTGACTCATGGGGAACCAGGAAAATTCATACTGTGGTTCATTTTCCTCCTTCACTCGATTTGTGATAAGATTCTAGCACTGTTGTTGAGGGAAACCAACCAGACACTGGAGGACACTGGAACTCACTCCTGCAGTCTCTAGAGGTAAGGGTTGAGGAGCAGAGAGCATGGTGAGATGGAGAAGGAGAAATGGAAGCTATTCAGCACAAGCTTCTTCTACTTACCATAAACCCAATGCAGGGGCTTGCTTAAACTCCCTACATTTTTCAAGCCTGAAAACTATCCAGCTGTGTTCGACTCTTCTCACACTGCTATAAAGATACTATCTGAGACTGAGTAATTTATCAACAAAAAAGATTTAATTGACTCACAGTTCCACATGGCTGGGGAAGCCTCAGGAAACTTACAATCATGGCAGAAGGCAAAGAGGAAGCAGGCACCTTCCTCACAAGGTGACAGGAGAGAGACAGAGAGGAGGGGAAATACCAGACACTTATCAAACAACCAGATCTCATGAGAACTCACTCACTGTCATGAAAACAGCATGGGGAAACCGCCCCCATAATCCAATCACCTCCCACCAGGTCCCTCCCTTGACACTTGGGGATTAGAATTCCAGATGAGATTTGGTTGGGGACACAGAACCAAACCACTTTGCCAGCCTAGTCTTTTTTTTTTTTTTTTTTTGAGACAGAGTCTTGCTCTTGTCACCCAGGTTGGAGTGCAGTGGCACAATCTCTGCTAACTGCTACGTCCACCTCCCGGGTTCAAGCCATTTCCTGCCTCAGCCTCCCAAGTAGCTGGGAGTACAGGCGCCCGCCACCATGGCCGGCTAATTGTTGTAGTTTTAGTAGAGACAGGGTTTCACCATGTTGGCCAGGCAGGTCTCAAACTCCTGACCTCAGGTGATCCGCCCACCTTGACCTCCCAAAGTGCCGGGATTACAGGCGTGAGCCACCGCGCCTGGCCTTCTTTCCTCAAACTTTAGAAAAGGATAGCAAAGGCCTGAGGATTGGTGCAGTAGAAGCAGGATTCCACCCCTTCATCCCCAACTTTGCCCTCCCCTGTCCCCCGACCCCATGTCTGTCTCCAGATTGGTCTGTGCAGCTGCTTGCAGTACAGTGGCCTCCTGGGGGCAGCACCAGCCTTGTTCTTTTATATATAATTCCAATTTTACCAAAAAGCAAGTTTACCAGTGTCCTTGGGCAGGTTTCTTAATCTCTCTGGGCTATAGCTTCCTCACCTGTAAAGTAGTGGTCATAATACCGACCTCGCAAGGTTGTGGTGAGGATTGGAAGTCAGTGTGAGAGTCGGTTAACACAGTTTCTGGTTGGGAAGAGGCATCTCTGTGGAGCAATAGCAGCAGCCATCAAGCACAGGACAAGCCTGGATTTGGGTAGCATCACTATTTAATAATGGAATCCTGTTGTTTGTCAGGACACATCATCACAATGCAAAAGGAAAAATCTGGAATATAAAATGACAGCTTCTTGATATGCAAAGATATCTAAACTAACTTTGTGGATATTAGTAGTATTAAAATATAGGATAAGTGATATTGCAAAAATAGGATACGCTCTATAACATTCCCCTTGAAGAGGTCATTGCTAGATGCTAAAACAGGGATAGCACAGATTAGCGTGCTTCTGTACTTCTCTAACATTTTGGTGCATATTTCTATTCAAGGACATAACTTTCCTATGTGGTAGCATGGAAAAAATTTTGCTTTAAATTTCATGTTTCTCCTATAATCATTTTGGAATGTGGGTTACAGGTAATATTAATGATAAGGTTCTATTTGATCGAGACAAACTTTAGTATTTTTCCAAATCCCATTCATGGAATTCTTGGATTTAACTGTACTCCTCCAATCCTTTATCAAGCACAGGTGCTGAATGAACATCATAACTGAGCATGCAGTTTCCTGGGGTGCATCTAAGAGGACACTACTGTGTCTACCAGGCAGTGAGATCTTTCCCTGGTTTTCTCTTCCCTCCCTCTGCTCTCCTCCTGCCTTGTTGTCATCACTGGGAAAGATTTCTTCTTGACATCTCTTCATGTCAGTCAAAAGTCTAGGTCAGACACTTATCAATTGACCCAGTGTTAAGGGTAGACACTCATTTCAGCAACTGTCAATAGCTTCTTTTGATCCATTTAGACCAGAGCCTGCATTCCTGCCGTGATTTATATGGAAGCGTGCATAGACTTTTAAAGACAGGGAAACATTTCTAGAACTCCAGAAATCAGCTGATGTGTATGCTGCTGCTTCTGTTGCACTCAAACAAAGAAATCTAAGAGAGAAGATTATGCCTGGGGAATAATCCTGAGACCTTCAAAGATCCTGACCACAGTGTCTGACGTTGAAGTTGGGCACTCTCCAAGGCCAGAGTATGGAAGACTGGAGTTCATTCTGCACACCTTGCTTGTGGTCTCACACACTCAGAGGCCGGAAAGACCTCCACCAAGTTAGTTGAGCTAATTCCTGGGTTACCAGGCTGTGGAGCTGTGTTTCCAGGGGACAGAAACCACAGCTAACCTATAAACACCCTTGGAAGAGTGTGCAAAGTTACAGGAAGTGGGGCCAGTATGGGATGTCCCTGTGGACTAGTGTGGACTGCCCTCCTCTTTGATTTGGCAAAGGATAAGCAGAGACTTCCCCCTCAAGCTCAGATGTCTTTTCACCTCCACACCTCCCTGGTTCCTAACAGAGATAATGTACATTTTTCTTTCCCAGGTGTTTGTCACAAATCTGCCAATCCCTCCCTACTTGTGAGACAGGAAAAGAAATGTGAACATGTAAGAAATTCAGAGGGGCCGAGGAAATTTTCCTGACATGCTCCTGCTGTGACACCACGGCAGTTGAAGAAGGCCTGTCATTGGGCTGTCAACCTTTAACCTCCCCCAGACGTATTTTGAAATGATGTGAAAAGAATGGCTGTGCTGTACCACCAGCTCTTTCCAGCTCTGCATGTCTGTCCTTGATGTCAGTCAAAAGTAGTTAACTGGCACCCATGGTGCCTTAAAAAAAAAGCCTCTGCCAAATATCAGTAATGACTTTAGTTAGGAAGACTAGCTCTTGTCAAGTAATGACTTTTTGACATAAGGTATTGTTTACCTAGGCAACGTTCTCTTACTTGCATTTTAATGAGCCTAATTAATAATAAGTTAGGAGTCCTCAGCTATTTCTTCACAGCTGGACCATATGCACTAATTACACTGAATGTGCAAACCTAAAATAATCCATTTAGTCAGAAGAAATAGTTTAAATATGGAAAAAAGCTTGATTTATGTATATTTCTTCTTCCCCTTTATGATGTCAACTGTGATATCACAGCAATTTGCAAACAATTAAGGCAGATATCACCTCTAAAATGTAGGTTTTCTTTGTGGTTTTTGGTTGAAGTTTTCATTTGTGAAAGTTTCCAGAGTTTGTATGAGGAACTGATCGATAGACTTGCTTGGTCAAACCAGAGTAGTTCTCAGGTTGAAGAATAAACACCAGAGGTAGCAAAAGGTAGTTTCTTCATGACACTATTTTACTTATAACAAATAAATAACCTCCAAAGGGAAATTTTGGAGCTTATAAGAGTCTTTATGTATTATGTAAAACAGGCTTTTATGAGCTTCCCTTAATATTAAGTTTCTAGTTAGCTTTTAAGCAATCCTCAATATAATTTTAGGAACCAAAATAAGTATTTGGAATCAGGGCAAGACAACAACTCCAAAGAAAAAAAACCGCAAGTCACTAGACAAAATTTCCAAGGGTGACAGGACAACTCTGTTCTCACCATCTACCTGGCTCACAAAAGTACAGGGTACCCTTGCAGAAACATTCTTTCAGAAAGTGCAGGGAACACTATTGTTCCAGAGAGAGTTTAGTCTTATCAAAAACCGGTTGCAGAGAGGTGGAAACTTTAGTGTCATTATTTGACTCTTAAGTATTGGGACTGTCACAAGGATATGATGAGCTGAGGTGCAGCTGTTAAAGGAAAGATAATCTGTGATTAAATATATCATCGATCCCTTGAGCACGGTTTTTTTTTCCAAAATAAATTGTGCAGTTTTCTTTTAGGTTGTGGAAAGATCCTGGAGGAAATGTCGTAGGGAATGCTTCAGGGAAGGCATTGCTCCAAATCCCTACCAGGATTCTCTTAGAAGTCACACTGAAAACTAGAGCACTAAGACTGCTAACTACATTAAATGGAAGAGAGCGGAGTTTCTGGCATCAAAGCTGAATTAAGAGACTTCAGTTTTAGAATGACTTTTGGACTTCACCAGGTCCCCATCCACCCATGTTTTAACAAGACATAGTTCAAAGCAGTCAGAGACAATCTGAGCTAATTGGTTGATTCAGCAAGAAACCTGGGAAAAGGTGGTGCTGAGGTTGGAGGCATCAGGCTGGCAGGGTTAGCAGATGCTCTCCAGAAAGGGCCTTGGAGTGGAGGTGCACCCTGCCAGGCACCATATGTGTGACGGACATGACGGAGAGTGCAGGATGCCTGAACGAAGGTGACAGCCCAGCTCTCATTCGCAGAAAAAGAAACTTCTCTTGGAGTAAACACGAGTGAAAAAAGGTCCATAGAGTGGGCACATTTTCAGGCTGGTGGCCACTTTGCAGAATTTTCCCTGCTGTAATCTTCTTCACTAAGGAGGAAAACCTATACTATTTTCCATGAACAGGACACCTGTCCCAGTTGTCCGGCAAGGCTCTTCAAGACTGCAGAGGAATGACAGAATACAGAGATGCAATCACCAGGAACATTTGGGAGCACACTGCCAGCACATTCACAGGTATTCCCTCCTTGAATATGTTGAATTCTCACATTATCCCAGGTGAGACAGACATGGAGTTCGTTGACAGTGGAGCTGGAATTCAGACTCATGGCTTCCTGACTCTATAGCCAGTGTTGGTTTTATTGCCTTCTTGGGTTTAAGCCAGAAGAACTTGGGAAAACAGAATCACAATATATTATGTTGAAAATTGCCATTCCTTTCTAATGGAACAGATGTCATTCCCTGATAACATTTGCTGGTCCCCAAATATCCCAAGTTTCCCCCTCCCCGCCCCTGCTGGGAACTTCTTCCCTGCCACTGCGTTGAAAACCTGCTGTTTGAGACTGCCCCACTTGATTCTGTCTCCTATACCAAGAGAAGATTCTTAAAAATCTAAATGATATATAGATACATATTGTTTCAGTGCAGGTAGGCGGATGGAGGTCAGATACATGTTTTTGAAGACTGAACTCGCCAAAAAAACTTCAACTCCTTATTGGGTGTGACTTCCAAATAGAAACCATTATTGTCTTATTTATACTCAACACAACCACAAAACATTTGTAAAGCATAATTGATTGTAGATGGCAAGAGAGGTCTCAGAGGCAGGTTCTCTGACCCTATGAGCTCACGATCTTTACATCTGAAGAAATAGGCTTCTATGGGAGGTTTCTCAGTCTTCTCAACAAGGATGTTGAGTCATTGCAGTCACTGCAGATGATTGGACATCAGAAACACCTCCTGAGTCATCATTTCCATTGCTCAACATTGACTGTTGTCATCAAAACCATCTACCCATTTAGGCTTGCAAGTTGCCGAGTAGACAATTCTCACTTTATTCACTTTATTCCCCAGTATACTTTTCAAGGTAACAGAACTAGTAGATATGACTGGATGAGATGAATCTTATTTATTGACATGAAAGGTTGGCAGTCAGAGCTCTGGCACCCACCAATACTGCCCCCAACTCCGTCCCAAGCAGCCTGCAGCACCAGCTTCTCACCCAGCTTCCCTTGCCTTTGGGGTCAGTCTGAGTTAGCTCCAGGGTCAGTATTAACTCTGCATGGTCCTAGGATCTGCAACACACAGAGAGAACTTATCCTGGGATTGGGACCAAACTGGAATGTGTCTTCTTTAATCTCAGCTGGAGGCTTCAGGATGTCACTTAATTAACACCCAGGCTAGAATTTTCACTCTGGATTTGCAACCTTGGGCCAATCTGAACTGGAACAATTCCCCAGAATCTAGATGAGAAGGTTATGACCCTGGCTCTGTTTAGAGCATGTTCTGGTCCTGGGATAGAGCCTGAGCCCCACTCCCTGCCTTTATTCAGGCTGTTCCTTTCTCTGGGAATTTCTCCCCACCTCCACACTCACTTGCCCTATTTTATTTTGTTTTATTTTATTTTTTGAAATGGAGTCTCACTCTGTCACCAGGCTAGAGTGCAGTGGTGTGATCTTGGCTCACTGCAACCTCCACCTCCTGGGTTCAAGCAATTCTCATGCCTCAGTCTCCAGAGTAACTAGGACTACAGATGCGCACCACCATGCCTGGCTGATTTTTGTATTTTCAGTAGAGATGGGGTTTTACCATGTTGTCCAGGCTGGTCTTGAACTCCTGACCTCAGGTGATCCGTCTGCCTCAGCTTCCCAAATTGCTGGGATACAGGCGTGAGCCACCACACCTGGCCACTGCTGAATTTTTTATTTGAGACCTATCTTTTAAGATCCATGTTTAATTCTATCTCTTATCCAGAATCCTTCCCTGTCCCTTAGTTGCAAATGTAAGCTTATTTCTTTTTTTGAATGACATCCCTACCTGCTTCTGTATCTTTTATGACCCTTTCCTATTGTGTTAGTTGTGTAAGTGGCCACAAATTTAACAACTTAATGGAACACATATTTATTATTATCTCACAGTTCTGTAGGTCAGAAGTCTGCCCACGGTGTGGCTCATTTGGGTTCTCTGCTTACGGTCTCACTGGGTGAAAGCCAAGGTATCTACCAGGGCTACCCTTTTCACCTGGGGCTTAAGTCCTCTTCCAAGCTCACTAGTTGTTGGAAGAATTCATTTCCTTCTCACAGTATCTATATGTTTCCCTCCATCTTCAAGCCATCAGTGATGTTGAGTCTCTGTTGAGCTTCAAATCTCTGTGAGGTCTCCCTTCTGGTGCATCTCTCTGCCTCCCTTTCTTTTCCATTCTCATCAGGGGAAAAGCCCTCCTTTTAAGGGCTCATGTACTAACATTGGTATGGCCAGGGTAATCCAAGATAATCTCCCAACGCTAAGGTCCCTGATTAGTGACATCAATTACAATGGCAAAGTCCCTTTTGCCATGCAACATCACATACTCATAGGCATAGCCCCAGAGGGTGAAGGGCATAGGAAGCACAATTCTGCCTATCACACCTATCGAGCAGCCTCTGATATGGCACTACCTCAGAGAAGGTGGCAGTGAACTGCTATGGAAACATTGGATTTCCCTGATTGGCTGTCCTAGAAAATGTCATTTAAATTCTATAAGGGTGTCCCTCAGAGGTTCCCAAATGTCTGAATGTGATCCCAGAAGATTTTAGAACTTCTTAAGTATGAACTAAAGGAATCTTTACAAAAGCAAATAAGGCCTAGACTTGAGTACAGTTCAGCTTCTTAGTAGGCACAAGCTTTCAGGTTTGGGGTCTTCTAATCTCTCCCTCACCCAGAATTATAAAGATCATGCAGGGTCACATAGATGAAAGCATCTGAAAACACTAAAATGCCACACGAATATAGAAAGAGTTTCCTATTGATGCTGTAAGAAATTACTATGAATTTAGTGGCTTAACACAACACATGTTTATTCTCATACAGTTCTAAAGGTCAGCAGGCTGAAATCAGTCTTACTGAGCTAAAATCAAGGTCTCAGCAAAGATGCATTCCTTTCTGGAGGCTGGAGGGGAGACTGTTTCTTTGCATTCATCAGCATCTAGAAGTTGCCCGCATTCCTTGGATCATGACCCTCTTCCCTTTCCAAAGCCGGCAATGATGGCAAAGTCTTTCCCACATTGCAACGCTCTGACACTCACTCTTCTTCTGCCTCCTGCTTCCTTATAAGGATGCTGGCGATGACATTGGGCCCACCCAGAGAGATGATCCAGGATAATCTCCTGATTTTAAGGTCAGCTGATTAGCAAACTTAATTCCATTAGTAAACATAATTCCCCTTTCCCATATAACATAGTCATGGGTTCTGGGGATTAGGACATGGACATCTCTCAGGGGCCATTACCTATCTACCTACCATGATGATTATGAGAACAAATCAGCACTCATCTTCTTTAAGATTGATGTGCCTATCTGGCTCGGTGTTAGGGCTGGGACTACTTCTACAAGGTTTTAGAAGCTACTGATAGTAACTTTTTGCTTTCTGGCTCCACTCCCAAACCCCTCTCCTGTGGGCAGGCCAAAGTGACAGCTGCTTTGCAGGTCTTCCACCCTGGGTGTTGCCAGTTTGTTTTCTTGGGGATAGCCCTGTCACTGGGCCTCCAAGTTTCTCCGTAGCTGCTGGAGTCATGCAAAATGGGTACTTACCCTGCAACCTCTTCTCTGGGAGTCAGCTTCAGACTATTTCCTGCTATCTTGACCTGATTCTCTTCATTTCTCCATGTAGTTTGCATACATAACCAGTTAGCGTAAGTTCTATTTAATATCCTTGCCAACTTATAGAGTGTAAATCTTTTGGCTTCATTCACTCATTCACTAAAACATCTATTGAGTGTCTACTATGTGCCACACTAGCACCTACAGTCAACAGTCACCAGCAAGACTCTCATTAGACTATCTCTTAAAATGCACAGTTGATTCTCATTATGTGTGGTAGTTACATTTTATAAAGTTATTGTGAACACGAAATTAGCAAATACTTAACCTTTGCTCCTAGGAAAAATACAGGGTTAGGTTCCTGCAAGCCTCTGGTCATAACTTTTTTGTCAACTGATCAATGTACAACCTTGTTTTATGTGTGTTTCTGTTTAAAGATAACTTATGTAATATATATTGCTGATTCATTAAACTGATAGCTAATAACTATAACTCATGCCTGAAGAAACCTTATCTAACACACGTATTTTCTCTGTAAGCCTCATCTCAGCCTTCTTGGACTAACAAAACTAGGCAGCCCTTTAGCACTATACTTGGGAGCCATTTTCAAAAGCAAAATCACCACAAAATGTCTAAAAATGTGGAAAAGGTGGCACTTGATAGACTACAAAAAAGTTTACAATATATAAGACCTGAAACAAGAAGGTAGACCATCACTTTGACCTAAGCTAAGAATGTGCACTCCAATTTTTCACCACTCTGTATATGTCCTCAAAATTACGTAACAGCACCAAGCATATTGACTTAAGGATTACAAACACATTTTAGCAATCAGGGAAATTCATGCATGTGGAATTCACAAATAATGAGGATTGGCTGTATTTTATTAAAAAGATGGACTTGAACAAATCAATTTAGAGGCAATATTGTTACAGGTCTCCCCCAAATGTAATACTTTATTTTAAAAAAATAGTAGTAAGAAGTATCATTTGTGTTTATATAAAATAAACATTTTCAGAAACAGAATTAAACATGCCGCAGATTTGGGTTCTATAGCACTCAGATATCTGAAATCTATTGATTACTCGGCTAATTCATATCATTTCTCTTGGGCTTCTTAGCTAAAATTAGCTCGTTTGCCATCTGATCTGCCCTCAGTTATGCATTTTACATTCTCATTCTTTTAGCATCTCTCAATGCACGGAGGTCCCTGAGTTCGGTCCAACATACCCTGCTTTCTCAGGGTGGGTCTAGTGCAGGAGGTTGGACCCACCCCCTGCCTCATGCCTTCCTAGCTGGCCTGCCTGAAACTCACAGTGCTTTCCCAGTGGAAGAGCCCTGGCAAACTGCTCTTCAGAGGGTGACAAGCTGCAGAAGGAGGAAGAGTAAGCCCAAGCTGCTTTGGTTGGGCTTTTTAAGCATAATCCTCAATCGTTCTATTTCTGCATATATGAAATGGGAATTATGCTCACTGTCCTGCCCCGCTTATGGGGTGGCTCTTCTTAGACTGGAATAAGACAGAACATGTTGGAGAAACTTATACACTGTAAAGAGATATATTAAGATTATTAGAATTTATTTGAGCTTGTTGCTTCTTTTCTTACTTTCCTCTTCCTATCTCAGGCTTTGCACTCTCAGGAAATAGCTAAAACTCTAATAACCTTACAAGATTATTTGTGAGTGGTTCTAGCAAAATGGACATTAATATAAATCTTTGGACTAAACCATAGATTTAGGGGTTTTTCTTTCCCTTTTATTGTGCTCACATGTAAGGAAAGTTGTCTAGGTCTTGACTTCGTTTTCCTTAGTTGTCAAAATCAAGCTTTTAGGTCTTGAGTGTAAAAAGCAGTGCTCTTTTGGCAGCAATATTTCATAAAATAATAATTCAATGAAAGATTTGTCACATTAGGCACTTATTAAACACTCCCAGTATGCCGGACCCATGCCTTGCACTGCAGCAGACATAATGTGAATAAAATACCTTTTAAAAAGTTGGAAATCCTTCCTTTTTTTTTTTTTTTTTTTTTTATGAGACAGTTTCACTCTTGTTGCCCAGGCTGGAGTGCAATGGTGCAATCTAGGCTCACTGCAACCTCCGCCTCCCGGGTTCAAGCAATTCTCCTGCCTCAGCCTCCCCAGTAGCTGGGATTACAGGCATGCGCCACCACACCTGGCTAATTTTTTGTATTTTTAGTAGAGATGGGGTTTCACCATGTTGGTCAGGCTGGTCTCAAACTCCTGACCTCAGGTGATCCACCTGCCTTGACCTCCCAGAGTGCTAGGATTACAGGCCTGAGCCACCATGGCCAGCCAGAAATCCTTCTTAACTGCCAACTAATTTTACTTTTTAAAAAAGCATTTAGGCAAAGGCAAATTATTTAAGCAAAGTGTATGGTGCCTAAAGAACTCTTGGTAACTATTTATAGTGCACCTTTGTCAACCATGGGCACAACAGGCACACCTGCCCCTCAAGTATTTTCTAAGCACAGCATGGGGCCGTGAAAGGAGCTAAGTATGGGAGTCACGTAGACATGGATTTAAATCCCAAGTCTCCTACCCACTTAAATCTAGGCTCAGATAAGTTACTCAACCTCTTTGAGCTTTAGCTTTCTCACATACCAACTGAAGATACAGAAGTCCCCCATTATTACAAAAGCATATGTTCCAAGAACCCTGTGAATGCCTAAAAATGCAGACAGCACTAAACCCTATATATGCCCTGTTTTTTTTTTTCCTGTACAGTCATGTATCACTTAAGGATGGGGATAAGTTCTGAGAAATGCATTGTTAGGTGGTTTCTTCATCGTGTACACATCATAGAGTGTACTTCCACAAACCTAGATGGAATAGCTTACCACACACCCAGGCTATATGATATAGCCTATTACACACCCAAGGTATGTGGTATAGCCTATTGCTCCTAGGCTACAAACCTGTACAACATGTTATTGTACGGAATACTATAGGCAATTGTAACACAATTGGAAGTATTTGTGTATCTAAACAGAAAACATATAGTAAAAATACAGTATTATAATCTTATGGAACCACCTTCATGTATGAAGTTTGTCATTGACTGACATGTCATTATGTGACACACGACTGTGGTGAAAGGAAAATATCTTGGGCTCCTGAAATCATGAAGCTAAAGGGAAAAATCAAGCTGTGAACTGCCTAGAGCAAACCTGCCTCTCATTCTATTCAAAATTACCCCTCTGTTCACTGAGAGAAATGCATATCTGATTGCTTCCTTTGGAGAGGCTCATCAGAAACTCAAAAGAATGCAACCATGCCAGGTGAGGTGGCTCATGCCTGTAATCCCAGCACTTTGGGAGGCAAAGCTGGGCGGATCACCTGAGGTCAGGAGTTTGAGCCTGACCAACATGAAGAAACCCAGTCTCCATGAAAAATACAAAAATTAGCGGGGCGTGGTGGTGCATGCCTATAATCCCAGCTACTGGGGAGGCTGAGGCAGGAGAACAGCTTGAACCCAGGAGATGGAGGTTGCAGTGAGCCAAGATCGCACCATTGCACTCCAGCCTGGGCAACAAGAGTGAAACTCTGTCTCAAAAAAAAAAAAAAAAAAAAAGAATGCAACAATTTGTCTCTTATCTACCTATGACCTGGAATCCCCCTCCCCACTTCCAGTCCTTCTGCTTTTGCTTTTTGCTTTTGCTTGTCCTCCCTTTCTGCACAGAATCAGTGTTCATCTTTTGTATGTTAATTGATGTCTCATGTCTCCCTAAAATGTACAAAACCAAGCTGTGCTCTACCTTGGACACATGTCGTCAGAACCTCCCGAGGCTGTATCACGGGTGCGCATCCTCAACCATGGCAAAATAGACTTTCTAAATTAGCTGAGACCTGTCTCAAATTTTGGGGGTTCACACTGTACATACCTATGATAAAGTTTAATTTCTACATTAGGCATAGTAAGAGATCAGCAACAATAACTAATAATAGAACAGAACAGTTATAACAATATGCTATAATAAACTGTATGTAAATGTAGCCTGTCTCTCCCTCAGAATATCTTATTGTGGTGTACCATGGGCAACTGAAACAGCTAAAAGCAAAGACTCAGGTAAGGGGGGAAGCTACTGTCATTAGATGCCCTCCAGTGGGTTTTGTAAGGATTAAGTACAAATTTATCTTATTTTATTTTATCTTTTTTTGAGACAAAGCTTCACTCTGCTGCCCAGGCTGGAGTGCAGTGGTGTAATTAGAGCTCACTGCAGCCTTAAACTCCTAGGTTCATGCAATCCTCCCACCTCAGCCTCCTGAATAACTGGGACTACAGATGTGCGCCACCATGCCCAGCTATTTTTTGCAGAGATGGGGTCTCACTATGTTGCCCAGGCTGGTCTTTAACTCCTGGGCTCAAACAATCCTCCCCCCTCAGCCTCCCAAAGTCTGGGATTACAATTTTATATGTTAGAGCTCTGAGCTTAGTGACCAGCACATAGGAGATGACCAAATAGGCTCCCTTCCCCCCACGAACCCCCAAATGGAGCTATTCAGACTGAATTTGTTCATGTGGCCACATTCACTTACTATACATTTTTATGTAATAGGCACTCTACCTAGAGTTGGAGATAAAGATAAAGTAATATATACTTTCTACCTTTAAAGGAGCTCGCAATCTCGTGAATTTAATCAAAGAACAGGTCACAGTGATTGCAAATTAAATAAAACTTTATTCAGATAGAAATATCTGAATAAATACATACAGCCAATTTCAGAATTTCTTATTCCAATCTTTTGTCCACGGAGACTCTATGGTGATGGCAGGAGTTGTGCAGTACATTTATTTGTTTTCCCACAGAGATCTTTTTTTGAAAAATCTACTGAATTCTGCCAGAAGAAACTCATGACATGTTGTAAGTTTAATTATGTTCAATTCATTAACACAATTAGAGCTGTGAACAAATTTATTGACACAGCCAGAATCACTTAGTAACAGGCAGTAAGTCATAGATTAAAAAACTCATTCTTGTAGGCCTCTCAACTCTGGGAATGAGAAATGGCAAATTCATCTTTAGTTCTCTGAAACAGTTCTAAGAGACCTGACCAGAGGTTGCCACTAATAATTTATTGCAGGAATCGTTCATATTTTAAGAATGGTTCTTATGTCCCTTGGAACATAAATTGAATCCCTTTGAAATACTACTTTTCATTTTAACAAAATAAGTGATCCAAACAGGGAGATTTGATGAATATGGATTTGATTTTAGCTGAGCTGAGTTGGCCTCTCTTGCAAACAGGTGATGGAAACTGACTCTTGCTTTTTTAGTGAAGGCTAAAGGGATGCAGTAGGTTGAGATGAACCTAATGATCAATTGCCTTTCCTTCTGGATTAATCCTTTCTGGGTTAACTTCTGTCCTTCCTCTGAGGTTGATTTGCACAAACAGAAGGCAAGGAAACTTGATGTACATATATGAAGCAATGTTTCCGAGAAAGATTTTTAGTATCTGAGACCATTTTTAAGAATATGTTTTGGATGAAAGTTAATCTATCATTCAGCAAGTAAAAAATTTTTTTTCTTTTTTTTAAATTTATTATTATTATACTTTAAGTTTCAGGGTACATGTGCACAATGTGCAGGTTAGTTACATATGTATACAAGTGCCATGCTAAGAGGCATTAATAAATTATTAAGTTGGTTTTTTAAAATTACTAGTAAGAAGTTAACTAAAGGAAAACATTTTTAAAAGTCACATATAATTAGCAATTTATTTTTTCAGCCAGAGTTGTCTACTTCTCTAAACAATCCTTAGTTGATGTAATAGCCTTTGCAACTTGACTCTCAAAGCTTCACAAATATATATTTGATAACCAAGGCTGGGATGGATACATCACTGATCATCTACCTGAGTTTACCTAGATTTTTGAAGTGCAAGCATATTTCTGACACTAAGAAGTGATTAGGGGCCAGGCATGGTGGTTCACGCCTGTAGTCCCAGCTCTTTGGAAGGCTGAAGCAGGTGGATCGCTTAAGCCCAGAAGTTAGAGACCAGCCTGGGAAACATGGCGAGATCCCGTATCTACTAAAAATACAAAAAATTAGCCGAGTGTGGTGGCGCCCACCTGTAACCCCAGATACTACAAACAATCCCAGGATTGCTTGAACCCGGGAGGCAGAGGTTACAGTGAGCTGAGATTGCACCACTGTCTTTTTATTGAGACTTTGCCTCAATTTAAAAAAAAAAAAAAGACCAGGCACGGTGGCTCATGCCTATAACCCCAGTGCTTTGGGAGGCCGAGGCAGGTGGATCACTTAAGGACAAGAGTTCAAGACAAGCCTAGCCAACATGGTGGAACCGCGTCTCTCCTAAAAATACAAAGAAATTAGCCGGGCGTGGTGGCATGCACCTGTTATCCTAGCTACTCGGGAGACTGAGCAGGAGAATCGTTCGAATCCGGGAGGTGGATGTTTCAGTGAGCCGAGATCACACCACTGCACTGCAGCCCGGGTAACAGAGCAAAACTCTATCTTAAAAAAAAAAAAAAAATAGAAGGAAGAGGAAGTGATTAGGTCTGAGAGTTCTTAAGCATACTACCTAGGTTTGAGTCCTCCATTCAGATAATTTAGTTACTAGACTGACTTTGCACACATTTTTAGTGTTTTTATGCCTTTGCTTCTGCATCTATAAAAATGACCATAATAATTGTGTCTCTCACAGACATTTTAAGTTTAAATAAGATATATGAAAAAAACTTTAGAGTAGCACCTTGTAAGCACTCACAAAATGGTAGCAATTATCACGTACAGCCTATCATCAACACCACCCCCAACCCAGGGGTTCTTCTCATTTAAATTGTCCCTTCCCCAGGTCTAATAATGAACCTGGGACTCTCGTGTTACTTCCCAAGTTTTCCTAGTTGCTTCTCAGACAAATTATTTGCATGTACAACAAGCTTGCCACCTTTGCAAAATAAGGACTTTTTTATTAGAAAAAACATCTATATGTTATTCCTCTTCTAACACAGACTTACAATTTTCAGCCGACATGCAGTGCAGTTTAGTAAAAAGATGGAAAGTAGAATTAGACATGGAAAGTTAGATATGTGGCCCTAAAACTTCAGAGACATGACTTGAAAAATGCACCAAACACTAACTCACATTCATAGCAGAATCTTATTTAGAGAGAAAAAAAAAAAAAAAAACAGGAGACACAAAACATATGCAAGAAGCATGTCTTCAAGTTCCCATTATAATGTGTTTTTAGTCTCACAAAATGATGGGAAGTAGATGTCCTATGAGACAAAAATCAGCTGGCATCCTTCATACTATATGTTGTACCCAGCCGAAGCTGAATGTGGAATGGTGAGGATGAATAAAGCAGCAAATGCCTGTACTTCAGGAGAAGATAGGTGCCATCATATTAGAGAAAATTCAACAGAGATCAATAAAAATGATTAAGGGACTCAGAGAATTGATTTTTGAGAGAAGATTAAGAAAAATAAATGTGCAGTTTGACACATAGCCAAGGAGGAATATGAGAACTGGGTGGTCAAATGAGGTATGTAAGACACTGCCAAGAAGGCATTCCCTAGGTACGTGGAGACAAATTCCCTAACAAGGTCTCTGAGGATACATCTTCCCCAAGAACTGGTGGAGATCTCTGCCTCTACAAATATTGACGACCCAAGTGGCCAGATGATTCTTGAACTTGGCAGCAGGCAGTTAAAGTGGACAAGACAACCTTGTATGTCTTTTTTTAATGTAATAATTCCTGGGAACAAGAGAATGTATGATGGCAGAGTTACAATTTCAACCAAGCTCCTATTTTCAGGTTGGCGGCATCGTAGGAGAGTATTAACCTATTTCAGACACAAAATTAAAATAAAGGAATGAGAAATAACTATAGCATTCAATTTGATACATCTCTGCCCTTAAATGCATACACACCGTATGTGCATGTACAAACACATTTGTGTTATTATAAATATCTATATGTAAAATAGATGTGTACATGGCATACGCTTGCATATAGGTATATGTATATATAAATATATCAATTAAAATGTTTGTATTTAGTGATGTGCCATCTTTTTCCAAATTGGATTGGATGATGCTGGAGCTCCCTAGTGAATTGCCTCTGTCCTTTGTTCTGGCAGTTTCCAGAAATGGCTCCTAAGCCAAGTATGAATCATTTTTTCTGGCACTAGAAAAGCCATTTTCAGCAGAGCCACATTGCAGGGTCATTATTCTTAAGGCTGCATTACAGGGCATCAGGGGAAATGACATAATCCAACTCAATTCACAAAGAATGGCAAGTGGAGGGAGCTTAAGGCTACATCATGCCATCTATATATTCTCTTCCAAAAGTGGCAAAACTTCAAACAGTCCCTTAGGGAGAATATCTCTCTAAGGATAAATGCGGGAAAAGGGCCAGAGATACGCCCTTCTGCTACAAAAGTTTCTTAATATATTTGTTTAATAATGAATGTATATAATAATATACATATAATACTGTAGCGCACCTTTATTTATATTACAAAAATAACTATACAATGTTTGGCTGCAATTTTTCACCCTTTCCACAGAGTATATAAGACCCTTTAATAGCCATCATAATAATAAAATGCAGAGAGGATAAAATGACTGTAGAAAAATGTCAGGGAAGAATGTTGACCTATGTATTTTTGACGACGTAGCCTCACATTCATGGTACGGCGTTACTTAGATTTACTTCCCACATTATTGAAAGGATGCAGGGGGTTAATGTGCCACCTTTTCACTGCTCGAGGACTGAGAGAAAATTTGATTTTCCTCTCAAGTGAACTGTGTTGGACTCCACTGAACAGTTTTCCCAACAGGCCTCTTAGCGTTGTTATCCCTTGAAGAGGGCTTAGCACCACTCAGCATGAAAGAAGATTGGAGTAAGTGGCCATGCTATTATTGGTGTATGTTCCAATGCACAAAAGCCAAATTTTAACCCTGTGCATGCTCATGTCATTCACTGCAGATTTTCTGAAACTTTTTTTTTGGCTATTTCTTCAAGTGATATTATCACTGACTTATGCTGCCCTAAAAATGTCTAAATATTACTTGTAATTTTAAAAAATGGAAAAAAAAACACTCATTCCGATCTAAAGTATCTTGTACTCTGGGACATAAGCACACTCATTTTTCTGTGAATGAACGGAACTTGGGGAGGGCAGGGTAAGTATTTAAAGCAAAAAAAAAAAAAAATACAAAAACAAAAAACCAAAAAGTATTTCTATGTTAATAGGATATTTACATAAGAATTTTGACTGAGATAGTTGGGTAAGAACCCTCATCATAACCCCTAACTCTCTCACTCACATTGAGAGTATAAAAGGATCAGGTGTAGGAGATTAGAGGCAGATTTTGGAAGGAGGATTTCAGGGAAGAGTTGTTGCTGTGCTGTGAGTACCACCCCACCAAAGAGAACAGGTGATGGATTTTTCTTTTACCTCAAGCCAAAACAGTAAGACTCTAACAGACAACTTGGAGAAATTACTACATAAGCCACGCAGTGTTGGGTCACAGTAGACTGTAATAGGGGTCATTTCTGAGAAACAGAGAGTGATAGGCTGGCTAAGATGGCGGGTGGTAGCAAAACAGAAGGCTGAGGTTTGGAAGTAATTGTCCTCCCAGAAACTTTTAGTGCAAAAAATGCATAATTTTTTGTGAATTACGTAAGAGTCATTTACAATAGGGAGTAAATATGGGATTTTCTCATATCTTACCCTAGAAAACCACTTGGAGAGACAGAAAGACCTCAAAAGAAACAAACTGCAGGCCAGGCACGATGGCCCACGCCTATAATCCCAGCTCTTTGGGAGGCTGAGGCGGGCAGATCACTTGAGGTCAGGAGTTCCAGACAAGCCTGGCCAACACGGTGAGACCCCATATCTACAAAATTGGCCCGGGCGCGGTGGCTTATGCCTGTAATCCCAGCACTTTGGGAGGCCGAGGCGGGTGGAGCACGAGGTCAGGGCTTCAAGACCAGCCTGGACAACATGGTGAAACCCCATCTCTACTAAAAATACAAAAATTAGCTGGGTGTGGTGGCATGTATCTGTGATCCCAGCTACTCAGGAGGCTGAGGCAGGAGAATTGCTTGAACCCGGGCGGCAGAGGTTGCAGTGACCCGAGATCGAGCCACTGCACTCCAGCCTGGGTGATAGAGTGAGACTCCATCTCAAAAAACAAACAAACAAACAAAAACCCAAAAATTAGCCAGGCATGGTGGCGCAGGCCTCTAGTCCTAGCTACTAGAGGGGCTGAGGCAGGAGAAACCGGGAGGCGGAGCTTGCAGTGAGCTGAGATCGCGCCACTACACTCCAGCCTAGGCAACAGAGTGAGACTCCGTCTCAAAAAACAACAAGAAACAAACTAGAAGTGGCCCCGCAGATGACTAGCAGCTGTAGGAGTCACAGAAGATCAGCCAGAATAGAGGTGAATTCAAGAACACTGCAGGGATATATTTGTGATATTAAGTCATTAAAAAACCCATTAAGGATCCCAAGAGAGAATGGGCCATCTGAAGCATCTGCCAAGTCCCACAGCGTTAAGCTACATCACCCAACATGACCAATCAAGTGAGAACTTTCCTGTTCTTCCCTTTTCTTTCCCTTCTTTATGTTTTTCCTTAAATTAAAAAAATAATGAAATTTTACTCCCAGAATGTGCTTAATCTTTCCCGTCTTTAAAACTAGAAGGATCAGGCACTGCAGTTAACCAGGTACAGGAGGAGAAGAGTTGGAGGAGAAAAGCAAGAAGAAATCAACTAGAGAAGACCCAAGATAGGGAAATGGAGACACCTCAATTCTAAGTTTTAATTACTACAAGGAACGAGCCACTTTACTGAAATGAGACTGTGTTTTGTGGCTTAAAGGGTTACAGAAATTTTTAGTATCTAAACATGACTAAAGCAGTCAGGGGAACAACCTGCACTCTCACCCAAGGGCAGAAGATCTAGATCAGTGGAATACATTTACAGGGACAGTAGGAGATGAAAATAAAGTTGCTTGTGATTACATGCCATGACTTGTCTTATTCAATGGAATAGTTATATATACACATATATATATTGACATAGTTTTATATATGTATATCATTGTGTGCATCATCTGACCAGAATAACTTTGCCAATATATGCTGTATGTGGTTGTTGACTGTAGAGTTAGTTCCCTATTTATAGATTTCAGGCAAATTCTGAATGGCCTGTGTATTCCATGGCTTCATTGACTTCAATATTTCTATTTTTCTGAACCATATCAACACTTAGGCCTGTTAGGAAAAATTGCCTATTGTTTGTAGTTCTGAAGGTTTCCATTATCTTTACACTCTCATTTATTGTTTCTCTTCTACTCCTCATCTTCCTTTATATTTGCTTCTCCCCTTCCTAGATAACATCTAAAGTGGAGAAAAAGGGAATATAATTTGAGGAGCAAAGTTTATAGATTAAAGGGGATAATATTGATTTATTTCTCCCATTTTTCTAATCTCCCATGACATTACGACATATTTTTCTATTGTGTTTGAAAAACGAGCTATTAGTGATAACACTTTATATAATTGAGGTATGTATATATGTATGTATTTATTTAACTCTTTATTTTAGAACAATTTTAGATTTACAGAGTTGCTGAGTACAGAGAGCTCCCATAACACCCAGCTTCCCCTAATGTTAACATCTTACATAAATTGTACTACATTTGCCAAAACTAAGACATTAATACAGTAGTCCCTTCTTACCCAGGGTTTCACTTCCCATGGTTTCAGTTACCTGTGGTCACCTGCAGTCTGAAAATGCAAAATCGAAAATTCCAGAAATCAACAATGTATATATTTTAAATTGTGCACCATTCTGAGTAGCATGATAAAATCTCACACTGCCTCTCTCTGTCCCACACAGGACGTGAATCATCTCTTTGGCCAATGTATCCACACTGTCTAGGCTCCCTACCTGTTAGTCACTCAGTAGCCATCTCAGTATCAGATTGACTGTGGTGGTGTTACAGTGCCGGTGTTCAATAACCCTTATTTTACATCATAAAGGCCCCAAAGCACAAGAGTAGTGATGCTGGCAATTTGGAAATGCCAAAAAGAAGTGTTCCCTTTAAGTGAAAATCTTAAAGTTCTCTACTTAATAAGGAAAGAACAAAAATTGTATGCTGTAGTTGCTAAGATCTATGCTAAGAATGAATCTTCTATCCGTGAAATGGTGAAGAAGGAAAAAGAAATTCATGTTAGTTTTACTGTCACACCTCAAACTGCAAAAGTATATATAGTGTTCGTTTTCAGGCATCCACTAGGGATCTTGGAATATATCCCTTGCAGAAAAAGAGAAGACTACTCTACTTGCTGGTATAATACTTTAACTAAGCTATAGACTTTATTCACCAGTTCTCCACTAATGTCCTTCTGTTCCAGGATCCAATTCACATTGCATCTATTTGTTATGTCTCCCTTTTCTCCTCCAATCTGTAATAGTTTCTTAGTTTTCCCTTCTTTTTTCTTAATCAACATTTTGAAGAATGCTAGTCAGGAATTTTATAGAATACCCCTCAATTTTATTTTATAATGAGATTAAGGGTTTTAGAAAAAGGACCAGAGATGTGGACTATGCGTTGTATCATGGGTATGTGAGAACAACACGATTTATCACTGGTGATTTTAACTTTCATTATTTGGTTAAGGTGATGGTATCTGCCAAGTTTTTTTTCCTGTAAAGTTACTACTTTTCCCTTCCTACATTTTATTCTTTGGAGGTGAGTCACTAAGTCTAGCCCACATAGGAAAGTGGAATTAAGCTCTATGTCCTGGAAGGAATAATCTCTACCTATATTATTTGGAATGTTTCTGTAAAGAAGATTTGCTTGTTCTTCCCATTTACTTATTCATATCATTGTGTACTTGTGGGCTTGTGGGTTAATAATACTTTGGGGATTACAATCCAATGCTCTCATTATTATTTCTTGCTCAAATCATTCTAGCTTTGGCCCTGGGAGTTCTTTTGACATGTCTCCATCCTTCTTTTTTATTAACTTTTTTTTTTTTTTTTTTTTTTTTTTTACAATTTCTTTCTTTTGTCTAGAAACAGTTATTTCTCCAAGAAGCCCTGGTTCCTTTTATTGTAGAATGGTATTTAGAAATCAAGATCTGGGTACCAGGTGTGCTCATTGCTACTGAGGTATCAGTGCTCTCAGGTCATCTCAGGAGATAGGGCTAGACTAGATGTATATTAACCCATGTATAAACACATATCTACATTTACTTCATATTTATCTATTGGTATATATGTTAAAAGAAATCAAGCTGACATCTCCAAATTTAAGCCACCACAATGGGAATTATTCCAGCCTTCCCACACCCCCACCCCTGCACCTCTACCTGCTTATTTGCAACTTTTTTCTCTAATAGTAAGCAAGTGAGCTCCCTTTATCTACAAGTTATTTTACACATTTTTTCAACCATAGTGAACATGTAAATTAGTTTCAGAATTTATAACCCATACCCCTATGAGAAACAAATTTACCAATCAGAGTACAGTGTTTATGCACAGTTTTTTGTTTGTTTTTGTCTTTAGCTTTACAATGTCAGCCCAAACACCATTTTTACAAAGTTATTTAGATTGGCTCCTTTTTCCTCTCCTCTTCATTATGCTGTATATTTGTAATGTATTTGTAATTCAAAGATTGTATATTTAGATACAATCTTCATTCCATCCTGGGACCCCCAATATTCTGGTTGATTTTTTTAAATTTTGAATACAAAAACACTCACTCTTTGTAATGTATTGTTCTATGGGTTTTGACAAATCCATAGAGTCATGTATCCACCAAAACATTATCAGAAAGAATGGTTTCATCACCCTAAAAATTCTCCTCTGTTGCTGCTTTTTAGTTAACCCCCTCCTTCCTCCATCTCCTGGCAACCAGTGATCTGTTTTCTGTCCCTATAGTTTTCCTTTTTCCATAATATCACGCAAATGAAATTAATTATACACTATGTGGCCTTTTGGTTTTGCCTTCTTTCACACAGAAAAATATACTGAAGATTTTTCGTGCTATTGCATAAATCAATCAGCTCATCCTTTATTTGTTTTAGTATTCCATTAGATGGGTGTACCATTCACTCATCTGTTGAAAGACATCTTGATTTTTGTCACTTTTTAGTGGTTTTGAATAAACCATTAATGTACAGACTTGTGTGTAAACATAAGTTTTCAATTCACTTGGGTGAATCCCTAAGAGTGGAATTTGGGGTTATATGTTAGGTATATGTTTAACTATATTAGAAACAAACTGTCTACCAAAGTGGCTATATCATTTTGCATCCCTACCAGCAATGAATGAGAACTCCTGTTGCTCCGCATTCATGTCAGCATTTGCTATTGTCAATTTTTATGGTTTTAATAATTCTAATAGGTGTGTATGGTATCATTGTGGTTTTAAGTCACATTTATTTAATGGCAAAAGGTATAGAACATCTTTTCATATACACATTTGTCATCTTTATATCTTCTTTTGGGGAAGTGTCTGTTTATATATTTTTGCCAATTTTAGAATTGCATAGTTTTTCTTAAAAAAATCAATTTTAATAAATATTTTCCTTACCCTTATGGCTTTTTATGCAAATTTAAAAATATTTTGCATACCCATTTGCCAATGGGGAAGATACTACAATTGATTTTCATTACTCATGGGAGTTAAGTTCTATAAAGTCAGCACAAACACTGAATTAATTCCTACTGAACCATTGTTCCTAGGGGAAATACAGTATATGTACAGGCCTGGCCCAGTGGCTCACACCTGTAATCCCAGCACTTTGGGAGGCCAAGGTGGGTGGATCTGGAGCGCAGGAGTCCAAGACCAGCCTGGGCAACATGGTGAAACCCCTTCTCTACTAAAAATGTAAAAAAATTAGCCCGGAGTGGTGGTGAATGCCTATAAACCCAGCTACTAGGGAGGTTGAGGCACAAGAATCACTTGAACCCAGGAAGCGAAGGCTGCAGTGAGCCAAGATTGCCCCACTGAACTCCAGTTTCAAAAACAAAACAACAACAACAACAAATACATATATCTCACATAGCTTATTGTCTTATTGCCAAAAACCAACACATTCTGATATTAATAGATTCTATTTTCTTTATTTTACAAAAGACAACATGAGATCCAAAAGTGTTAGGTGGTTGGTCAGACGCCCTCCACTCACAGATGCCAGAGTTGGGATTCAAACCCCGCCAAATGGTCCCCAGAGCAGGACCTTCTTGCACTACCCTGCGCTGCCCCCTACCGTCCCTGTCCTCTGGCCAGCTTTGCATGAGATGGGAAAGAAGGTCCTTGCTGGACCTTAGCCGGAAGGTACTGGTAGAGCGACTCAAATTTTTCGCTACTCTGCGATGTCCGCGAATGATTACAAAAGCACTAGCAGTATTGATTTTGAAGTTGCAAATAACTTTTAGCAAGTACAGAATTTGTGAACAAGAGGATGGAATGTACTTTGAAAGTTTTGGAAACCTACACAGGAAAAAGATAAACAGTTGTTCTAACTTAGAGCCTTACCTTGAATAAGGAAGTTAAATGGAGGCAAAAGCATTAAAAATATACAGATGCTCCTCTACTTAGGATGGAGTTACATCACGGATAAACCCACCATAAGTTGAAAATATTGAGGGTCGAAGACAATCTACCGAACATTGTAGCTTAACCTAACCTACTTTAAACATGCTCAGAAGACTTTACATTAGCCTACAACTGGGCAAAATCATCTAACACAAAGGCTATTTTAAAAGAGTTGAATACTTTATATAATTTATTAAATGCTGCACTGAAAGTGAAAAACAGAATGGCCGCATGGGTACCATCATAAAGTCGAAAAATTGTTAAATCGAACCATCTTAAGTGAGGGACCATTTACATATCAATCTCATTCCTGTCCATGGCACTTTGCCTCCTGGTTTTCATATATCTTGCATTATGTCCTTTTTAAGTAATGCAAAACTTAGTTTGATCTATTATATACTGTTTAACACCAATATTAAAATGTTAATATTAACATCTGATCTATAGTCATCTGATCTAATGAATCAAAGCTTCTATCTTTGAAAAGTAGAGACATCATGTACTTGCCTCTGTAGTCAGTCAGTTTCATGTTTAAAGGAATTGCCACAGCAGTGCTCCCGCTGTCAGAATCATTATCTCCCTTGACTTTTGGAGCCAATATGCCCCAGATCTTTTATTTTTCCTAAAGCACAAGAACTACATCTATTAGCAATGGAGTGACTAGGGATGACTCGAATGCACAGAAGCTGATTGATGGAGCATGGTGCATCCCTTAATTAAGCAGAAGCTACTAATAAAAATGAACTTACTGGATGATTTGTGGGGTCCTAGCCATAGCCATATGTGTCTCACAGCAATAGGAAACAGGAGTGACACCAGGCTGCTACCAGCCATTAATGGAGATGAGCATTTTTTTGTAAAGGTGGTAGAACTTTGTGTCTGCTTTTGGCTTTGCAGAATGAAAATTGAAAGCACCTGGCATAACAGGTTGTCTTATTATTCTTCCCTGGCTTAGCAGCTCTGACATCTGCCCCTTACTTCTGCCCTCCCTCCACCAGGAAACATGGGACAGGTCTAAGTGAAGCTCTCCTTAGTTTCCCCAAGGCTTTGGAGTGGGGCTGGGTGGAAGGAGCAAAAGGGCTAGGGAGAGTGAGGAACTGGAAGGGTAAACTGGCTTGTGTGCACTCAATTAATATATTCCACGGAAGGGCACACTGCTTGTCCTGAGAAAATTATTATTCCAGAGAAATACTTCAGTGTAGTCAGATTACATTAGCCTTCTCTTCAAGGAGCTCCTCCAATCTCACTTCCTCTATGACATCATAATGCAGCACAAGCCCGATGCAGACACCTGCCCTTCGGCTAGCACCCCAGCTGACATTAGCACACAGTGCCAATGTCTGATGTCCTGCCCTCCACTCCTAAGTGTTCTTACTTTCTCCGTTGTCATATCTGGGGACCAGATAAGCTCATGCCTACCAATTCCTGCATCAGTCATTTCCATGGCGAGGTCTTAGATGGTAGGTTCCAGCATCAGCATTCTCAGGGAGACCTTCCCTGACTCCCTTATGTCAAATTCTAACCCTTCTCCCAATACCTCTCCTTACCCTTTAGCACTCTCTATATACATTTACTTAGAACTTCTTACTGTCTATGTACATTTTACTTTAGTTTTTATTCTCTCTCTCTCTCTCTCTCTGTCATCAAAATGTAAGCTCTGAGATTGGGGATTTGAGTTTGCTTTCACCTCTACTATATTCCTGGTTTATAGAACAGTGCCTGGCATAGAAGGGACTCAGTAAATATTTGTTGAATGTAATAAATAAATAAACTTTCCTTAGAGTAATTTTCCAAAGGAAGAAGATATATCTATTTAGTTCACATTATCTAAGCCCTTGAAATACATGAATTTTTATTAAAATGCCTACCCATTCCTGCCTCAGTCATCTCCACAGCAAGGTCTTAGATGGTGTTAGTACCTTTGGCACCTTAGATTTAGCCAATATGGGGATTTGACTTTCCTTTGTGGTAGGTGCTAAATATTTAGAATGGTAGGCCTGCTGCTGCTTCTAATGTCAGGAAGTTTAGCCATTGTGTTTTTTTTTTCCTATTCAGACCCTTTCTTCACAGTCAAATCTTCTAGAAAGCCCTTGATTGACTCTCAGGCATAAAGGTACATAGAAATCAAAATCCATCAATTTTTTTTTCCAACCTTAAGATCAGGATACCATCTGGCTGTTTAGAGCATTCTGTGTCTGTGTAAAGTCCTGAAGCTGAATTAATGTCAACATTCTTTGGAATGAAGCTTCTTTTGTTTTGTTTTTGTATACCGGTGGCTAATATAAACAATACATATTCATAAATGCTGATGAGGTGGTAGATCTGACATGGTCTCCAAAGAGCAGCAGGACAAGTGTGGGTTGGTTGGAAAATGGAGGGACAGTCGTAAATGTACGTGTCCTTCCATCAGGGATGACAGTGCTGTTCTCTGGGCCATTTTCTTTTTGAAGGCCACATTGCCTAGAGTGCATTGGTAGTGAAATTTAGGTCTTTTTGACTTTCATTGGACTTTGCTTTATTTATTTATTTTTTTTGCAAAGAAATCATATGACAAATGTTTCTTCACTGTTTATTATATAAAGGACACTGGATGAGGGACCAGGAACACAGAGCCACACACGGTCCTATTCTCTCAACCAAGAATCACATACTGAATTTTATTTGGGGTCCAGCAAGTATTAAAGAAGGATATTTGGAGAATGTTAATAAAATATCTCTGAGCGGCTTGTAGTCTTGGTAAGAAAGTGAAAAATTACATTCAGAAAATTACAGGTGAACAATGTAAGAAAAAATACAGATTGACTACTGTCTTTGGTAGCTCTAGTATTTAAATCTCAGGGTTTGGAGCAGGAAAAAAGACTATATGCATCACACTATGCAGGCAGGCCATTTTAGGAGATTTTTAAAAAGTGTAATCTCTGGTCTCTCCAATGGCTTACACTCCAATCCAGAAATAAAATGACCTGAATAGATTATTTTTACATAGCTTTTAATACAAAAACTCTCAAACTGCTTTTAATCTCTTCCATTTATCTTGAAACCTTTTTAAAAGAAGAAAGAGAAGAAAAGAGAAAGTCAGTGGTGCTTCTAGTATAAAAGCTGTGAAAAGCTTGCACCCTAAAGCCTATATTATTGCAGATACAGTAAGGGGCAGTTTTCTTCCTATCTCAGCAAAGCTAGAAAACAATATTCTAGACTCATAGCAGTCAGCAAACTTTTCCTGTAAAGGTCTATACAGTAAAAATTTCAGGCTTCGTGGGACATACAGTCTCTGCTGCAAGTACTGGTCTTGCCATTGCTGTGCAAAAGACGCCATAGACTTTAAGTAAATGCAAAAGCTTGACTCATAAAACTTTATTTACAAAAACAGGCAGCTGTCCAGATTTGCAAGCAGTGCCTCTCAAACTTGAATGGGCATAGGAATCACTCCAAGGATCTTGTGAAAATGCAGATTTAGATTCTGTAGGTGTGCACTGGGACCTGATTTTGCAACTCTAACAACCTTCCAGATGCAATGCTGATGTTGCTGGTAACTAGACTCAAGAGAGCACACAGATAAAGGCAACCAGGAAAATGTTTCTGATCCCCAAACTACTATACTTACATCATTTGACTGCTTAAATGGGGTGCTAGCTTCTCAAAAGCAGTCAACAAGCTCATACTAAGAATGTATTTAACGTTACTTCTTCCATGCATCTTTGATGATCTGTGTTTGTGTCCTGAAATTTAGTGAATTAAATGTTAATTTTGCTTAGACCAAGAGCAGTTCTTCCCTGGTGATCTTCTGTCATTCTCTGGTAATAAATGAGCTCTTAAATTAATGGGATTGGTCTAGAATTACACAAAGTATGAACTGGTCATCACATCTCACTTTCCATGATGATTTTTAATGATAAATTGTCTTAGTCTACTCCAGGAATAACGATTTCTGATGACAGCCTCCTATGCCATTTGTAAAGATGCCATTCTATAAAAGCAGTGACAGAGGCGGCAGTCAGCAGCAAGCAGTGGTAACATTAGTCGATATTAATTGGCCTTGCCCAATGCTGAATCAAGCTTACCTGCTCAACTAGGTACTGAATGCTTTGCTTTTTGAGTAGAAAATGTCTTTCTCTGAAGGCATGGCAATTGTGGCTTTCAAATTCATTTTAGCTTCCTGTGAGCAGAAGCCTACTCCTACAGAGAGCTGGAACCTAGCTCAAAACATAACTTTATGTTCTAGCATTTCTCATCCCAAATAACTCGGGTACAATACTCCAAAATTAATCCACCTTCAAGCTGAAGCTTAAACTGAAGTGCCATAAATACGCTGTGTCTACTAAAACATTCTAATCTGCTTTTGGAGCCTGAGCCACTGAGTTTATTTTGGATATGGTTTAATTTCTGAGCTTAGGGGTGTTACAACAAAAACGGCATCTTTGTAAGGTCAGCTCTAAACTTAAACTACCCAGAAAGATAAAGAAATGCACTTTCTGATTTTTTTCCTAGACAAGGAGACTCCATAAACCTTGATAACTATTTTAGTTTTCCATCTACTTCTTAGTTAGCAAATTGTCCTCAAATTGAACCTAAATTCTTCTTGCTGCAATAGAAACCCATGTCCCTTTTTTTCTTATTTCAAACAGCTGCTAAACACTACTTATCCAGTAGCATTTAGCCTGAACTAATTTTCAAAGTCTCCTGAGAGGCACTCATTTTCCAGAGATTTGGGTGGGGATTCTAGGCGGGGTAGAAGGGCCAGGAGCTGGTGGGAACGTGGCTTGAAAAACACCATTTGTCTTTACAAGCAGAATGCGGAGATAAAGAAAACTATTACCTGATTGTAAGAAATACACAAAAATGTGTCCTTGCTTTACACTCTGGTATTTCTTAAACATTTACTGAATTAGAATGTCTTTAGAGCTTACTCTTCTTCTTTGTTGTTTAATTAAAAATTTAAATTGCTGTAGCATTTTAAAGCTGGGAATTATTTTGGTCCATTTTTTGCCGTCACCTCAGTTTATAGATGAAGACAATCAGGAAAAGACAGAAGTTAAATGGTGAAGAGCAAAGGATTAACTCAGGGCTGTTCACACTCTGCATATTTCAAGGAAAGTTTGGGCCTTGCCAGGCTCCCGGGAGGCAACCTATAAGCCTTTAGAATGTCCTGCCTGATAAGAGTATCTTTGTTTACCTGGGGACTTTGACCATGCCACAGAGTCTGTGCTAATGATGTGATTTATGGTGGGGGCCTTGAACCATGCCAGAGAGCCAGAGATTCCATGCTAACAATGTGATTTATGGCAGGAGCCTTGGGCTATGTGCTATCAACTTGACCTCTGGTGGGCTGGAGAATAAGGTCAGCCACATAGGTGGTCAGCAATGCATATGTAACTGGCCCCCAGTAAAAACCCTGGACACTAAAGCTCAAGTGAATGTTCCTGGTTGACAATGCTTCCTAAGTGTTGTCACACATCTTTGCCAGGAGAAATAAGTGCTGTTCATTTAACTCCACTGGGAGAGGACAACTGTGTCTTCTGGACCCTAGTTTATGCTCCTCCTTTTTTTATGGTTTCTTTTAATCTGCATCCTTTTGCTGTAACAACCAACCCAAGGTATAATAACTTTGCTGAGTTCTGTGAGTCCTCCTAGTGAATCAGTGAACCTGAGGGTGGTCTTAGGGACCTTCCAACACAAGAGACTTTTTCAAGCTCGCAATTAGTGGCAGAATCTGAACAAATCAATTCTTCTCATTCATTTTTGCAACCCCACATAGATGGTTGGTTTTTCCTTGTGCATACTGGCAATCATCAAATGTATAGAGCGAGTCTACCATGACTGGGAGTTAGGAAGGTGATGACAAATATGGTGAGCCTCCTTCCTTATGGAGCTAACACTCTCATCCTTTGTGATCTTCTTATATGATTTTGATTATGAAATTCTATTTTTAACTAATTGATTTTTAGATCATAGAATTTATATCTCTCTTTAGTTTGCCATTGTGAACTTCTTTAAAACACCTATCATAGTCTCCTCCGCATCATAGCAATTGTACTATCTGTTTCTCTCTAGATTTTGAAGTGCTGTCCAGATGGGAAATCTGTCAAGCATTTTTGCATTCACCCCTTTTTCCATAACCACCCATGGAAAATTATATGCTCAATATATGTTTATATACTAAATGAATCAATGCATGAATGAATAACTGCAGAATGAATGGATTTTTGTTAGCAAAAAAATGCCTTCAAGTTCAGGTTGTAATAAAATGTTTTCCAAAATCTCTGTGGACTAAATATGGTGGATAGATCACTAAATGAATTAAATAAAGGTCTCCAGAGACTTAACAATGAAGATAACAAACACTATACATGCAAAGCATTTTCATTAATGTAACATGTTTTTACATATTTTTTTAAAATACAATAAATGCAAGAGCTTTTTGAAACTCTGGTCTGTACCTTTCAAAGTAAAAATAGCTCAACAGTCCTGAACTCCACTGAGTCTCTGTGTAAAACTATCTAAAGCAACATGGCCATCTTTGTAGGCAAAGAAAGGCAGAGTGTACATTTTTGAGACTCAGGATCACTCCAGAAAATGAGTCAGGACAAGTGCAATATCATACTGTCTATCTACATCCTCAAACACCAGAATGCTTGGATATATTTGCCCATGAGAAGAAAGCTCAGAGTGGTAGAGGTATAAGCTCACTCAGGAATAATTTCAACAAGGAGAAAAAAAGGTATTATCTTCTTTGAGAGAGAGGAATGTGAAGAGTTGGGTGGAGTCACAGCATGTTATAAATACAAAGATTATTGTATCTATTGATCCCCAAGATGTAAACATTCTCAAGAATTGGAGGTAGTAGAAGGGAATAAAATCCCAAGTAGTCGAGTCCAAGTATCAGAATTGCTTCACAGATAAAACAAACAAACAAACAAAACAACAACAACAACAACAACAAAAGTTATACTAGCTATAGAGATTGCATTAAAGAAAGTACTCTCTTTGCCAGTTACCAATTCATTACCTCTCAGCTCCAACTCCACCCTCAATGCCTAATCTGTGAAAATAGGTTTGGGGCCTTGAAATGTTTCCCTTTTGTCAGTTGGCGTGATACATTCTATCAGTAGAGGACACTAGAGAGACATTTCGGGAGGTTTTCTCCCTGGTTCCAGTGTGCTCAATCAGCAGGCTCTTGCAGCACAACCCACTTCTCCAGCAAGGGCCACTTCTTCAACATCTGTCCCTTGTGACTGCAGAACCAGGCTTCTGCAACATATGTAACTTCTCCAGCGCCAGACTCCTAAAATGTAGGTGGCTTTTCCAGCATCTGGTTCTTGAAGTATGAGTAGCATCTTCAGTGCCTGACTCCTGCAAAGTGTAGCAGACAGCAGCACCCCCAGCCAGCCAAGGAGAAGGGAATGAGATCACTTTCCCAAGGCTGTTACATGCTCTCTGATATATAGCTTCCTCCAGTAACCCCCTTGGGCAGTTTTGTAGCAGACTGGCTCCAGTGAGGCATCTCCAGTGAAAAGGTTTTCCCGGCACCCTAACGGGTGGATATACAAGTTCTGCTGGTCCAGCAACACAGTGACTTCTCTGACATTCAGCAAGCCAAAGCCAAGTCCACCAGCTGACCTAGGGGGTGGGAGCTCTTCCTTGGATGCTCTATCTCAGCCCTAGGGGTATTATCTGCTTCTTTTATCTGTATTCTTGCATTCTTTAGAGTTCCCTGTACTTCTTCCTGGACAATCCCTTGGTATGCCAATCTTGTGTTACAGTTATCAATTCTTTATGTGAAACTGTCCCTGTTCAAATTACTGTGTGGTTTTGTATCCTGATTTGACCCTGACAGAAACATTCTGGCTTCTATGAATCATTGCAAAATAACTTATATTGGAAGGATTAGGGCTTTCATAATTTTTTTCCCTATGAAATAAAGCAGCATGTAATCTGTAATTTTTTTTCTCTCTCCAATGCTGCTAGTAAAAATGCTACTCTTGATGATAGATTTGATTTATTGCATGTATTACCACAGAGCTATTCAGAAAGTTCCTTCAAATCCATGGCTTTCACTAAACATAATGCCAAAGCCAAAATTACTTCACTATACAAGCCTTTATGGAGAGCATTATATCAAGGAGCATATAACAGCTTTGGGAAAGTGATCTCATTCCCTTCTCATTTCTCCTTCTAAACACTTATCTCACTAGACAAACTCTAGAAGGACTTTTCATTGCCCTGTTCCATCTTCTGCCTCTGAGGAGGGGATGTCATCCTGGGCTTTTTTTTTTTTTTTCCAGTTGAGCAACTCTAAGGTGAAGTAAAGGTGTCTAAATTCAACCTCTCAAAGCCCAAACATGATAGAGAGATTAAAAATGTGAAAAAATGTTAAATTTCCTTGACATTAGTAATAAAGGTTTGAAAAGGTGGGAATGGCAGGAATGACATGGTCACATCCCCCCAAAACATCCTGTTGGTGAGATTACGAGATCTCATGTCTTACAAACTTACAAGATTGAGATGTAGTTATTATTCGCAGAAAGGAGAAATAGATGACCTCTTCCAGACTTTGGGTTCATTTGAAATCTTCTTAAATGGCTTTATATGTTGTTTATTTGTAAACTGCTACATGAACAGATAGTTCGTTTGAGCAGATATCCATTTAACTGTATAAAACCTCTTCTCAATAACTTATTTATGGAGAGAACTTAATGCTTACTTGGGAATGTGTTCTATAATTTACTACTCTAAGCAGAGTATTCTCTTTCACATGGTAATCTTATGCTCACATTATTCAAGAAATTAGAGAGTATTATGTGTTTAAATGCCAAAAATCCAAGAAATATGTTGAAACATAGGTACACTGCCAGGAAAGAATGTGAATGGCTTGGAAGTCAACTTATTTAGTGTTAGGGAGTCCAGTACTATAGCTGGTTTCCTGTCTCTCAATTAGACAGACACTAGCTTAAACTGATAATATTTCTGGTACATAACCATTATTTGGCTGTGTCCATAATAATTAACACAGACTTTTTGTTATCATACCTCAAGGCAAACATGATATTAGTTGCCTATTGCTGTGTAACAAATTACCACAAATTAAGGGGCTTGAAACAACATCCCTTTATTAGCTCATAGTTCTGTAAGATAGAAGGTATGGTGTCTGGGTTCTCTTCTCAGGGAATCACAGTGTTGATTCCCTTTCAGGGAATGCTGAAATCAAAGTGTTGCCTAGAATGAGTTTTCTTCCAGAGTCCCTAGAGAATAATCCACTGTTAAGCCCATTTTTGTGGCTGGCAGAATTTAGTTCCTTGCAGTTATAGGACTAGAGCTCTCATTGTTTTGCTGGCTGTCAGTGGCTCTCAGTTCCTAGAGGCCATCCACATTCCTTGCCACATGGTTCCCTCCATCTTCAAGCCAGCAAGAGTACATTCAAGTCTTCTCAGGCTTCGGACTGCCGATTCAGCTCTGTGACCAGCCAGAGAAAAGCTTTGTTTTAAAGGGCTTACGATATTAGGTCAGGCTCACCTGGGTAATCTTCCTACCTGTGCCATATACAACTTAGTCTCATCATAGGAGTAAATCTGCACTAATTTGCTCTGCTGGGGAGTATGGAGGATGTGAACAGAGGGGGCTATCTTAGAATTCTGCCCACCATACACCTCAGCCAGAAAACAAAGTTCATGATTCAGAGTATCTTCTGTGTGGACTGAGGTTCAAAAAAGACAGAAATGATGAGATTTGAACATCTGAATTAAAAATAAATAAGAGCATAGATGTAGTAGATTAGGATTGTTCACCAAACGCTAGAATAATTGAACCAGAAGGCATATTATGAAACTGAAAGTAAGAAAACTCAGTATAGAATAAATGTATGCAAGGAGTAGAAAAATTGAAAATTCATTAAAGCAAAAGGTAACAGACGTTGGACATAGTAGATTTTGTTAAAGTAGATCAATATTTGAGCTCCTATAATATGTCAGAATATAATATGTCAGATTTCTGAGGATAAATGCAAATCATGAACAGGTAATGGTCATTTGGCCATTCACTGTAACATATATTCCCATTTCACCTTTTTTTTTTTTTACTCAGGAGTATTGAGTATAAATATGTTGTTTATTTTCAGAGAGAACCTACTATTTCAGTTCATCCACATTGTTGCCTTTAATTAGATTTTCTAATCAATCATCTCTGTGTATTGCTCCATGTTCAGAAGTCCATATTAATAAAACGTCTGCTTACTTATAAGAATTTGGTGAAAAGTTTAATTTCAGGAAGTTAATCCATCTGGCCTTGCCACCTGCAGAACTAGAGAAGGATAAGCTGGTGGTAAAGAGAACACCATCTGTTCTGAGAACAAGTTGATCTCTGCATGATGAACATGAAGTCAATCACATGATAGAAGAGCCAAGATGGTAAAAAGGGAGTAAAGAGTTTATTGGGTCTTCTATTTCATTCATGAGCACAATTTTCATCAAATAAATCAACACCACAACCAATGAGCAAAAGGTTTATGTTGTTTAGCTAGTCACTTGGAAGAAATTACTTCCCACATATTTGCCCTTTCTTTCTTTCTCTTTGGTGGCAACAAATTATTTAAAAGAATTATATCATTTCTAATGAAATATATGTTTCTTTGAATCGATCAGGCAATACACAATGCAACTTGAATCAAATGTCTAGGCTGGTTAGCTCAGTTGATCATAATAATATATCGGTGATCCAATGTCATAAACTTTACTTTTATACTGTCAAGTTAGTGTTACACAGAGACAGACTTCATTCCATAACCAGAATGCCACCTTCATCCTTAGCTAAGTAGCTGAAAGATGCCATCAGGGGATAAAGGATGACATACAACCTGTTACATTTATTCAACAAAAGTACTTCAAAGTTCATGCCCTAGTGATGGTGACCTGGTTGAATTGTAACTATGCAGAGCAGCACATTTACAAATCTCAGAGAGAATGATTTGTTTACTGGATGAAACTGGGAGCAACTGGAAGAATCAATGATAAGGAAAAACAGTTCACCTGTACTTTTTCTCACTAATTATTTGACATCTTCCTAGGCAGCATTCGAAGCTGATGACCATTTGAAATCTCTTTGAATTCTCTTTTCCCTAGGCTTTTGTGACAGTTAAAAAGATTTCTACTGTAATTCAACTTCTTTTCTCCTCTGGATCCTCTTCTCCTACGCTCGATTCTCAGGCTCTCTATTCACGTTTAAACATTTCAGTGAACTAATCCCCTGTCATTGATTCAAACATAACCTATAATCAGACTGATGCCTAACTTTATATTTTTGGTCCTGACTTTTACAAGAACTACACTTTCATAATTTTACATTCTTCAAGACATTTTCATGTAAATACCACACAGTCCCTTCAAAGTAAATTATATTTCAGACTGAATCATCTTCCTTCCTAAACCAGGCCATAGTCCAAGATTCACATGGTACCAACATTCTCTAAGTCAACAAGACTCTTCATCAGGGGTTCTTACTCATTTCACCCCAAGGATTTGTTTTACCCACCCAACCACCTCCCTGGAGCTCACTTTAAAAATATATTTTCACCAAAAAACCCATTTAAGTAGGCATTTTTCCATTTTTATTAAGCAAAGGCATTTGGGTCTTCATTCAGGAGTCCTAAGCAAACAAACTGCTATCACACTGAATTCCAGCCATAAGCAGGGATACATATTATTTTATTTTATTTTAAGTTCTGGGATACATATGCAGGATGTGCAGGGTTGTTACATAGGTAAACGTGTGGCATGGTGATTTGATGCACATGTCAACCCATCATCACCTAGGTATTATGTCCAGCATGCATTAGCTATTTTTCCTAATCAGCAGAGATATTTGATGTTTATTTAGTTTGTGTCACCAGCATATATAGAGTATATAGGTCAAGTGAGGAGAAATTAAGTGCTCTGTTGCTATTTGAAAGCAACCTATTAACAAAATAATCAAACCCAAGAAGTTCTATACTGATTTGTCTCAGATAGTCACCGTATTTGCATGCCTAACTTTTTCACAAAAACTTACACCCAAAGAAAGAACTACAAAATTGTATTGATGATTATTCATTCATCCATAAATTTCAATGGTTTCCTGGTGCTGACAGATAGAGAAATACGTACTTTAGGTGGCCTCTCTGAAGTTTGGCAGTAGATGTGTATGATCTCATGCAAGAAAGACAGAACATTCCCCAGTCCCCTTGGCAGAAGATGATGATGAGTGTAAAAGGAGATTAAACTTCTAAGCAATATTTTTTTTCTAAAAACCTTCTATAAGTACTTTATAAGAAAATAGCACTCATAAATGAAACCTGTCACGAACTTGTGATATACGTTACCGTCAAACAAGAATATTCTAGATTTTAGATGTTTGACACAAGCCGTGAAATACATGGACTTGAATAAAAATGAATAAAAGCTAACTGATAATTTCTTAAACTAAACCAAACCCAAATTCTGGCATAATTTTTCCAGATAGCACTCATTCACTTTTATTGCTTTGTTCTCTTAATAATCTAGCACTGAGGATCTTGTCAAAATATGGGTATTTTGGTCCCAATGATATGCTCAAAAACAGTCCTTTTTAATGGAACCTGTATCAAGGACACAGTTGACATCCTATATAATTCCTTAATTGAATTTAGAATAGAGGAAACTCTGACATCAACCTTGGACCAGTACCCAAACTAGAGCATGTTCAAATTATTAAAGAGCTTTAAGCCATTCCCTATCTCCATCTTCACTGAACTTTATTATATCGAAACCAGAAATACCAAGGATAGAAAATAGGTTTCAGCTTGCATCTCAATTCAAATGGAATAGTGGCTGCCTGGAGAGCCATGTGGAGAAGGATTCTGAGATCAAGTCAGTAGAAATGAGGCTTGTGATGAACAATGCCATGGAAAGTTAGTGGTAGAAACATCTAGAGGACAAAGTTGTGGAACCTAAAGATGTTTACCACAGGGAAATCTCAGGTATCTTTTCTAAATGCTTGACAGACAGACATATGAAAAAGGGAATCAACTTGTTCTAAATCACCAAATTAGGACGAGTAAGTGAAATCACAAACTCCATATAACAAAATAACTTTTAAATAATTAGAAATGCTCTAAATGGAACATACACTTTTGAGAGGCAAAGTAACTTCCAAGAATTAGAAGTACTCAAGCAGGAGCAGTGGATATTTTAGAAAGGATTCTATCATGAGTGGGGAATTAGAATAAATGAATTCTTAGGGATCTTGTCATATGCTGCCAAGCCTCCAACAATAAAAAACATCAACTTCTGTATAGTAGGGTCATTTGTTTTGTAATAAAAACAAACATATAAAAATACTGAACTATTTCAGATCAAGTAATATCTTTAGTACTTCCAGTGAAATTCTATCTCAATATGAGGCAATGTCTACATTCTGCCATGTATTTTAAGAAATGTTTTTATTAAACTAAAAAAATACACTTGAAGTTGAATGCCTTTTAAAATCTCAAAATTCGATTCTAATTTAGGAACATGGATATACTTGAACTAACGGTCCTTGCCAAAATGAAACTTATCACGATTATTTGTGCCATAGATTTGAAACCAATTGGTTGCCCTGGAAGGTTAGGTATATGATACGTTATTGTCCCATCAGCAATCAGCATCTTTGCCACAGAGTAAAAGAGATGGGGAGAATATCACAGAAGACAGAGATGAAAGCTGTGTAGTCAGAAGAAAAAAGCCTTCTTGATTATGCTGTGGACTTTCTGAAGTCTTTAATTCTCCCTCTAGCCCATCTTCACACTGGCATGTGGGATGTGCTGTAGATGGATGGTGATTCTCATCAGGAGAAGCACACACATATATCTTGTGGGTTGATTTTTTTATTTGCCAGCTCAAGAGGAGCAGGGAGATTTATTTGGAAGGATGGTAATGAAGGTGGGGAGGCACTAGTTAGACTGCAGTTTCTGTTCCAAATATGTTATTCTCACTTTTTTCTCTTCTTGATGCTGAGTTGCTCTCTTTATTTCTACTTATTTTGTCTTAAAGGGGAGAATATTTTGCTGTAATAAGCCAGTGGCTTAAGAGAGCATAGCAGTTAAGATGTGGGCACATATAATTTCTCTGTGTACTATTTGCTGGGTTATTTCAAGGGTTTTAATTACACTTTACATTTATAGTATGTGTGCATACATATACATTTACTTATACAAAATCACATACTATTGAAATAACTGTTGTCTTCATCCCAAAGTAAGATTTCATGTTCCCTTTCTTGCTCTCCTTCTTTTACTCAGCCTTATAAGAATCAAATGAATGCAATGCTGTGAATTGCATTAACTACAACAGTAACCAAAAAAAAATCACTTTCTTCATAACAATGGCGCAAATAAATGGGTTGACATCGCTGGACCTTAAAAAGTACAGCAAAAGGGATCATCAGCACCATCCTGATTCTAGCCAAAGACAAAATTATTCACTAAAAAGAAGGAGTAAATTGGCATACTCCTGGTTTCCAGAATGCCATCTCATGCCAAGGAGACAGCACAGCCCTTGGAGTCCTGTTAACAGTCAGATCAGGAGCGATATTCTACTGCAACAACAAAGGACCTACCTGAGCTCAAGGCTTGTGCCAGACCTGGTCCAATCCTCTGATCCCAATTTTACTATTTACCCTTTGGCATCGGTGGAGTTACTGATCCTGCCTCAATTTCCTCATCTGAGGAAAGTATGGGTGCTCTCTCCAGGGTTTTGGGTTTTGTTTGTCCCACTCTTCTTACACTCCTGATTTCATCACTTTATAAATGAAGTAAATCGTGCCTTGTACACTAAGGTGCATAATTCATGAAAAATACAGCTCCTCGAATTCTCAAAAACGGCACATAAATGTATCCAGAAACTTCATAAAGAAATAAAGCCCTGCACACCCCCTGCCCCAGGAGATCTTTTGTGTTTTCTTGTATGGCCTTTCACTATGGCCTCATTCCAAATTGCCAAAGATTAGCTGTCCCTATTTTTAACTTTAAATAAATGGAATCATTATTCACATGTATGTTCTACATCCAGTAGCTTGTACTCGACATTATATTTTGAGACTCTTCCATGTTATCGAGTGTTGTGGTGATGTAGTTAGCTGTTTTCTGTTGTTGCATTTTACTTCATGATTCTACCTCCTACATAAGCCCTTGAACTCCAGTTTATATCTCTGTAGCCCCATAAGACTATAGAAGATTGGCTCTGCTTTTCAGCCTCTTAGCTGTCACTTGGTTTCTTGGTTTCTTAATTCTGCAGTGTTTAAAAAAACAGAAATGCCTCAAGAGGAAAAGCAGTGGAGCCTGTTAGGCATTTGTGACTTCTTTTTAGTGTCTTGGGCCTCAAGGTGTGACAGCATTGTTAGCTCTTCTGATGTATTTTAACAGGTGGTCTTATATAGTTTTTCTAGTTGTTTTTGGTAGGAAGATGATTTCAGTAAAATCTATTCCTTTGTAGCAGGAAACAAGAGAGGGAAAAATCCACTCAGTATAGTTATCTATTTGGACATTCAGGTGTCACTTTCACTGCCATGTCCTGATACTTCTGACCAAAGTCTCTCTGAACTACTTAGAAGCAAACAAATCCTCATGGATTTTCTTCTTTCTGTTAAGTAGATCTTTAGATCTTTAAATATTCGTGCTATTAGCGTGCATGCGAATATATTCTAAAGATAGAAGGGCCCCATCTAGGCCTCCTTACTCTTTTCTTTAATCTCTATTACTGCCTAATACTGTGTAGGAGAAGTGTGGTCTTATCTGTATGATAGAAGAATAATATTTTGAAACAAAAGTATTATCTGTGGAAGTGTTGTTTTCTCTGTGGATATATTATATATGTGTCTCTACAATGGTAAAAATAAAAATGGAAACATTTTTAGTATCATAAATATTTCAAAATATTTGGATATTTCAAGGCCATTGAGTGAATGAGTAAATGAAAAACTAATAGTTTGCTAAAGCTGATTTACCTTGATATCAACTGAATATTTGCTCTAGTTTAATCCCCCTGAAGCTTACTTCAAGTCAAACTACTTTAATCTATTTTTTTGCTGAGTGTCCAATTAAGACTTTAAAAAATTTCCTTATGCACACATCTTGATCATTTTTATTTCTGTGCTTTTGCTTATGTAATTCTTTTTGTCAGATAACCTCTCTCACTCATATTTTCAATTCAATCAACTCAAGATCCTAACTACTATTAAGGACTCGACGTTTGCCTCCTCTAAGAAATTTGCCTTAACTATTTACATCCGTCTCCCATCCTATTTGCTGAACTTTTAGGTAGGCAGCAAACTTAAACACACACACACACACACACACACACACACACACACATATGCACACATTAAGTAACCATTTTTTCACTTTTAATTTCTCTTCAGATTCTAGTGATTTCATCTTCTATTTACTAAAAATAATTATCTGTTCATATTACTTTTAATACAGTAATGTTCACAAATGAAATATTCTGTGTTGAATCCTTGTTGAGAAGTGAATGAACAAGTTACCCAGGCTTCAAAAATGACAAAATGATTTTGTGTGTGTTCCCTTCTCCTGGTCAGTGATGTTAATAGTTTACAATAGTGAGTAAGAATAAAGAACTAGTCTTTTTGTTTTTTTTTTTAACTTAGTTTTCAGGTTTCCTTTATTCAAATGGATTATTTCCACATTGAGAGAGGTACGAAAACTAATTTCTGTTAGGTAGTTTGGAATGAAATATAAATGCCTTGAAAATACATTAAACAGCACAGACTAATTTCGAGCTGGAAAATAGGTTAACTATGGAACAATTCAAGCCTAGTAAATAATCATTATTTGATTTCATAGAGCTTAGGCTTCACTTGCAATTTGTATGGTCTTATAATCCCCCCTACAAAGCAGCAAATTAATTTTTCAACTTAACTTGAAACACACACTCTATGTTTCCCCTTTACCTGCTTAAGTGATTTATTCTGACCAGTATGTGCAGTTTCGTCATTTCTTAGTATAAGGATTCTTTAATGAACAGACATGTCACTTTGTAGCAAGGATTGCTTAAAGTCACAGTGTGCTAATGAATTGCCTCACTGCATCCCATGATCATGACTATGAAGCTGAGAACTATAAACTCAACTCAATATACTGGTAAGTGACTGTATCTGCCAGTACCAGCAGCAAGGTGATTCCCGCATTAATGAGTTGAAATATTTAGAAATGGAAGAGTGCTTAGCAGTCCCTACTGTGCCCTGTGAGGGAGCCTGCTGGGGACACTGAGACTCAAAAGGAGCAGTCAAGGTCCAAGCCCCAGATCAAGTTGGATTTCACTCCATTCCCACAGGAAAAAGCTTTGAATTACAAAACGAGAGTCATGAACATGTATGTGCTTGTCATGGTGCACTCTTCACTCTTTCTAGGACACGCTAAATAACTATTCCCATGTCAGTCAAAATTAACGCTATTATTCTCATTTGAAATTTTTCATTGGCTGTAGTAAACTACTGCAAGGTAGCTGAAGATGTAACACAAAAGATCTGATGAGTTGTGGTTTTAAATAAGCTCAGAGACGGTAGATACATAGAATTTAATTTAATCCGTGGAAAATAGAACAACCTAAACAGCATTACCCAGCGATTTGTTCAGTCATTCACTCAATTTTCAATAAAAATTTATCCTAATGCTTTGCACAGTGGTTTATTAAAATCTGTAACTTGGAAAAAGTGAATTCTGATCCAGCAATACTGCTCCTTCCCAGGCATCATCATTACCTCAAATAGGTTCATATAATTCAGTAACTTATTGTTCCTAAAAGGCTTTGAGCCAGCTTAAAATGGAAGTGAAAATAAAATGGAAGAGAAAATCAGGGCAAAGTTAAAAGCTGAGGTTGAAAAAAAATAATAAATTAAAGATGAATTTAGCACAGAAAATGGATACCGTGCAGCTGTAACAGGTAGGCCATAAATGTGAAAAAACAGAGCAAAAAAGGGGATAAAATAACAAGATTCATAATGTCCCCAGATGAGAATACAATCTTGAGTTGACAACCACAACAATACATTGCATAAATAACCAATTATACCAAAGTTTACAGATATGAAAGATTATTTATTTCCCAAAAGGAACACTTTACGCAAGCAGCAATCATAGCTTGATCTCAGGATCAACCCACTTAGTGTACATCACAATCTAGATCTACATCATATATAACTATAAATTAGTGAGACTAGTTAAAAGTAACAGGCCACAATGCACGCATTCAAATGACAAATGGTGTTTTATGAGAATGACTTAGCTTATCTGCTATTTTATAGCTTCTATTAAAAGATTTTTTTGAACTTCTTTATTTATCATTAGCACATTCGATGGATTTCACTTTATGCCAGGTATTCTGTTAGATGTTGGGTCCAGGGCATTTATCAAGAAAGACAATATTTGCCCTCAAGGAAATTAGAGAGTAGTGGAGAAGAAAGGTATTACCTGATTAACTACAGCAAAGCTGGTGTGACTTTTGATTTCAGAAGAATTGAAGCGTCTAATTCTGAAGGCTCTTAGGGTGTATGTTTTTAAACATCCACAGTGGTACTCTTAGTGTTTTTAGTGGTCAGTAGTCATTCAGAATCAAGTTTGGAGAATAAGATCAAGGAATTACCAGCTTTGGTCAAACATAAAGTCTCATTAATTTTCTTAAGTGGCTCATATTGAGAATATAGAAAAGAAGTAGTATATAAGTTGATGTAGTCTAGTAGTTTTCCAGGAGAAACAGACAAACTGCTTTCCCCAGTTATATTTTCTAATAAGATTTCATCTCGGTCTTCTCTCACCTTAATGCAAAGGCAGTTTTTACTCATCTGGACACCTCTGTAGTTATCATAAACTTATGTGTGTCTGGGGGGAGAGGCAGATGGTGGTTAAGGACAATGATATTACTTACATACACTAGCGATAAAGAGCCTTAAGCATTCAAAAACTTGAGTCTTATGAGAAGATCAAAGTCATATTCTGAACAATAAAATGCTTCAAAGTTTTTATCTGAGTACCACCTTCTCTGGAAGAACAGAGAAGGTCAGGGTCTACAAAATCAATGAAGGCCATTCATACCTGGGTTCAGTCAGGGGCCATGGCTACCATTTTTACGAACATGTGGGAGGAAATGGCTTCACAATCCAATGAAGATGGCCAATTATTTATTTTGTTATAAGTTTAGAAACAACCAAGAACTTACAAAAGTACACAAAATTGTATAGTAAATCTTCATACAGCCAATCATCAGCTTTAACAATAACCAAGTCTTGGTTCATCTTCTTTCAGATATACAGATGGTCCGCTATTTATGGTGGCTTGACTTATGATGTTTTTACTTTATGATAGTGCAAAAGCAATATGCTGTAATCTAAAAATAAAGCTTTAAGACCCCCCCCTCCAAACATCTGCATGGACCCCTCTTCTTGGCCAAGGGTATTCCAAAGTTAACCTGAAAAACTAGTTCAGGCCATTATAGGATGTGGGGGTGGGGGTGGGGCATGGGGAATTGGACATGCTTCATTATACCCTCCTCCCTTTGGAATTCAGGCACCAGTGACCAGCATTAACATTAAAATAGAGATCTTAAGATTTTTCATAGCAATAAGATGCCAAGTTTCAGCCTGACTGTAGTATAGCATCACATGACAAATATCAGGCCTTGAAATAAATTGAGGCATTTTACCCTAAAATATATATTTTTGACATATTTTGCAATGGCCCTGCGAAGCTATCTCTTATGGGGAAAATCTACATTCTGTAGAGAACCTTTTTTCACATCTTTTCACTGATCCAGGAGATAATTTACTAAGAGTCTGACACCTTTTTAAGTCAGATAAGAAACATTTACAATCTATGCTCTCTGAAGTCTGCCACCTGGAGGCTTCATCTGCATGAGAACCTTGGTCCCCTTATTTTAATCCAGGTAAAGCCTTCTATGGATTCCAGGTCTTTAGATAAATTCTTTGAACCAATTGCCAATTGGAAAGTCTTTGACTCCAACTATGACCTGGAAGCATCTCCCACATCCTCCCACCCCCCATTCTCTTGTTTCAAGTTTGAGGCATCCTGCCTTTCCAGACTGAACCAATGTACATCTTCCATGTATTTATTGATGTCTTATGTCTCCTTAAAATGTATAAAACCAAGTTGTATAGCTTGACCACCTTGGACACATGTTGTCAGGACCTGTACTGACAGGTGCAGTGTCAAGGGCATGTCCTTAACCTTGGCCAAATAAACTTCTAAACTAATTGAGACATGTCTCAGGGCTGGGTTCAGTGACTCATGCCTGTAATCCCAGTACTTTGGGAGGCCGAGGCAGGCAGATCACTTGAGCTCAGGCGTTCAAGACCAGCCTGCACAACATGGTAAAAACCCGTGTCTACCAAAAGTACAAAATATTTAGCCAGGCTTGTTGGCCCATGCCTGTGGTCCCAGCTACTTGGGAGGCTGAGATGGGAGGACTGCTTGAGCCTGGGAGGTGAAGGTTGCAGTGAGCTGAGTTCATGCCACTGCACTCCAACCTGGGTGACAGAATGAGACTCTGTCTCAGAAATTAAAAAAAAAAAAAAAAAAAAAAAAAACATTGTCTCAGATACTTTCTGGTTTACAATGCATTCAGTAGAAACCATACTTTGAGTATGCATACAACTATTCAGTTTTTCACTTTTAGTACAATATTCAATAAATTACATGGGCTGTTCAATATTATAAAATAGGCTTTGTGTTAGATGATTTTGCCCAACTATAGGCTAACGTATGTGTTCTGAGCATATTTAAGGTAGGTGAGGCTAAGCTAAGCTGTCTGGTAAGTTAGCTGTATTAAATGCATTTTTAACTTACAATATTTTCAACTTAGGATATTTTCAATTTACAATGGATTTATTGGCACATAACCGATTATAAGAGGAGGAGTATATGTATTTTAACTCACTTCTTTGACTTTCAAATTAAATCCCAGCCAACATATCACTGCATCTGTAAATATTTCAACATTTATATCTATAACTTTGTAAACCAAAACAATACCATGACACCTAAAAAAAACCAATAATTCTTTTATACCACCAATATCCAATCAGTGTTCAAACTTCCAATTGTTTCAAAAGATCTTTTATTTTACAATTTGTTTATTTAAATCAGGAGCTCAAAACTGTACACACACAGTGATTGATAGATAATGTCTTTTTAATAGGTTCCTTTTTTTCCCCTCAGTTTTGTAATTTATTTGTTGAAGAAACAGATCATTTGGCCTATAACATTTCCCAGAGTCTGGATTTCGCTGGCCAGCAATTTTAAATTAAAGCTTTTATGGTCAATAAATCACATTTCCTGTCCCTCTGTGCTATCATTGGATCCAACCCCCAAATCATATGCAATAAGTTTAGTGTTATTCTCTTCAGATGCAAGAAACAAAGATTCCCTCAGGATACCTCTAGCAGGAAGTTTTATTGTAAAGATACACATGGGATGGGATTAAAGGATATAGGAACCTCAAATGTTGAGTTAACTTCCAAGGATTCCAGGAAAATCTAAGCATCGCATAAAAAACAGAAACCTCACAAAAGCCCAGCTTTTTGGAAACCAACTGTAGTTCAGAGCCATGCAGGATCTGACACAGCCCTGGCATCGAGATTATCTCTTTGCTCCCTTGGCAGCAGAGACTTGCAAATGTCTTCTCTATTTGAGAGTGCCTATGCTTCTGCTCCCACACCCACTAGTCTGTGTCTGTTGTGTCTGTGTGTCTCAAGTTCAACAGTCTGAAGGGTTTCTAACTGGTATAATCAGTCATTATTTCTCAGGGCAGAGCTTTCATGCTGAACTATTTCACACAATTTACACTTCAAACCATTCATCATCCTACTTACATGTTAGTCGCCCTTAATTTGGGTACCCAGCACTGGTGTCATCATTTGTGACCCGGGTGATGGGGTCAGAATATGGGTATTTCAGGGGAACCATTTATGGCACTGTTGGTCACCAGGGGCTGTGATTGTGACAGACATTCTCAGAGGTAACAGACTCAAGTTTAAGTATTTGTTTGAAAAGATATGTCTAAGAGATTTCAAATACATACACACAATAATTAATTCATGACTAGAGCTACAAAATTTTATAGTTTATTGAATCATAGCAAGTATATTTCCTACAGGATCTTCATCTGTGTTTTCCTTTCAGAACTGTTAAGTTTTAAAATGCAGATGGCTTCAGTTTCTTCTTCTGACGCCTAAGAGAGAGAAAACTAGAGAGATTAAGAGATCCAAGGTCACTCATCAGACGTGGAAGAATCCAGGACTCCAGGCAGTGTGGGGTCTTCTATTCACACTCACTTCACACCTTAATCTCAGTTTTACATTTCATCTTCTGTTTTCTAAAAACAAAACAGTAAAATGAAAAAAAAAAAAAAAGGAACTTCAGAAACATGAGTTCTTAAATTCTCTATTTAAGTCTTCCTCTCTTAGCTTCAGTTCAGTTAATGTTAGGAGGTCCTAGCCCCGGACTTGAATCATTTTTAGCCCTGTTCTCTGCTCTCCGTCTACACTACTGCAGATCTTCATGAACAGTCATGATCAAGTCTGGGTAACACAGCAAGATCCCATTTTTACAAAAAAATTAAAAAGTTAGCTGGGCATGAGGGCATGTACCTGTAATCCCAGCTACTCAAGAGGCTGAGGCAGGAGGATCACTTGAACCCAGGAGTTCGAGGTTGCAGTGAGCTATGATCACGCCACTGCATTCCACCCTGGGCAACAGAGTGAGACCCTGTCTCTCTGAAAAAAACAAAAACAAACAAACTAAAAACCATAAACAAAAAAGCCTATCTTGATTATGTGTGCCACTAGACATATGGAATGTCTAGCAAATCTGCCTCTATTATGGAAAAACATAGCAAAACATCTTCACACAGGTAGGTGGGGTGGTTATAATATTTTTAGTCAAAGACAATTTAACCAAGAGAAGGATGCTGAAGATACCTTTATTCTTTTCTCTTTGCCAATTCACTATGCCAAAACTTGAAAGGGTTATAAGTTCACATGATGCCAAACTGAATGACAAAATTTAATAATTTTTCTTATTAAACTAAAATTTTAACTCCTAACAGGCACACATATAACTTATATGCTTAATTATTACTCTCCCCTCATAGAACTTTTTTCCATACACAGTTGCTAAGATCTTATTCCCTCTGGAAAAAAGACGATGGCATTTAACCCCTTTCCCAGTCCAGGTGCTAACTATACTTATTTTTCATTTCATTGATTTATTTGTTTTAGCTGAGTTGTTCATATGCCAAATTCCTATGGAAAAGGAGAAAAAGTACATTGTTTTTCAAACCTAACAAATAATTTAATTAAAACTCATCTTATCGGGCCTCAAAATTGAACCACTTTTTAGCAGACAGACAGCCTGGACCAAAGCCCATTTTGCAAAGACAAACTGGAGGAAGTTGGGAAGCCTGTAATGCATGAAAACTCACACTGATGCCAGACTGAATCGGGTACATTATACAATTCATAAAATTACAACCAATGATTTTAACCTTATCTTGCTAATTTTTCTCCACAACAATGTTTAAAGAGACTCTGCCTGGAAAGATAAATGGAGCTAAAAGGATGGCAAAACACTCTTGACAGGACACAACACACTGATTTAGACCAAACTGCTTTTGGGAAACTATTGAAAGTTACAAATAGTGACCATTTAAAAAGACAAATTAAAGACACTAAAAGGAGTAATGTTATCCTAGTCAGACAGTAGATTTTAAAATATGTGTGTGTTTAAGATCTAGTTCCGTGTATTTTTCAGTGGTTTAAATCTTAGAGCATTAATGATAACAGCTAGGTACAGGCAGTGTTTATCCTAAACTTAGACATGCTAAAAGAGAGAAAGATTAATCTGATAAAGGCATCACTATTTCTAATCGGACTGATGGGAAAATGTAGTATTGGGTGTAAAAGGCGATGTCGGGTGAATTATAGTGAAGTGATGAACTACCTTGGAGCTGAAGCAATCAAATAGATAGCTCTAAAAATTACTATGGCATCTTTATTCAACAGTTTGGTGCAGGTGTCCCCATCTTGGCCTTTTTTTACAAACAGCAGAAGCACTTTGTTGTATTTGGTGAAATGAAATCTTAATAGGAGAGCCTCAGCTAAGGCTGCTGCCCTTCACTTACCAAAATTAAACACTAGACATTCATTTCCTATCAAAGAAAAGGAGATGACGTTTTTATAATATTGTCAATTCACAAAATTGTTAAAAATTGAAAAGAAGAGCTGGCAAATATTAAAAAAAACCATAACATATTTGAGCCTTTGCATTGCACATTCTTTTTAATTAAAAATAATCTACACCATTTGTTACTCATCTTTGTCTTTCTGTATAAATAATTTAGCAAGTAATTATTTCATATTCAGAAAAAAAGATAATTGCCTCTAAATTATTATGATTAAATAGAATAAAGTCAAGATGTTTTTGTAATTGATAGAGTAGAGCAAACAGTCCCTACTGGAGTGTTTTGTTTTAATACTTGGCTTTCGTCTGGTTGCATTAAAACATCAAAAAATAGAACTAAAAAGAAGTATCCCACAGAAAGTACTCATAATCTCACCACCCAGAGATAACCACCATTAACAGTTTTGCAACATACAAATGTATACATATACATATTAAATATAATAGTGGGTGCAAGTGTGTTTTTATACATACACACATGTATATATGTATACACACATATGTATATATGTATACACACATACATATGTATATATTTAAGTGAAATAAGACTACACAGCGTACTTTGAATCCCGTCTTCTTTTCCTAGAAATATATTGTAGGCATTTTTAAAAATTAATGGGTAAAGACTTATAACATTTTACTGTCTGCATAGTACTGCCTTATATGTGTTTTATTATTTAACTAACATATATTAATGAGTGTTCAAGTTATTTTCAATCTTTCATTATCATAAACAGGACTGATATATCTTTGAGTTAAAAGCTGAAGTCATACACAAATATGAGACATTTTATTTACATTACTTCATACTCTGGCTCTCAAATACCAGATAAATGCTCCAATGGGTAATGATACTTTATAAACCTTTGAAACAGCAATTCCACTTGGTATTATATATACATTTCCTATTAGCTCAGAATATTTCATATTTCCCCTCATGTATTCCTTCAGAGTAGCTAAAAGATAGACATTGGTATCTGCATTTAACATATTAACTTCCAAATTGAAGCACTCAGTGGGGAGAGAGGAAAGAGTAACATAAAATCGAAGGAACTTTGCCTGGAATCTACCCTGTGCTCTAACAGCCTAGTGCTTTCTCCTTGGTTCTTGGTCTGAGAGGATAGCTGGGGGATTCTAACTAGCATGATTTCTCATTTCTGCCCCTTTCCTCCAACTGCAGTGATCTTTGCTGTCTTCACCCAATACATTCTTTAAATTTGGCTGAAAATGTCACAATAGCTCCTATTAGACACACTTCAATTGTAACCACTGCTCTATTCTAAAATGCCTTAGAAATGGAATACAGTATTCATTGAGAGTTTATTTTTTGTTCTTGAATTTTATATGGTTCTCTTTATTCTTATATATCTTCTAAACATTGATAATCAGGATTCTATATTCCATTTCTTTGGTATTGTAAGACACTTCATACTTCAAATAATGTACATTATTTAGTATAATATTTGAAATGATACTGTATCAACACAGCACTGAGAAGTATTTTGGCTTTGGAGCACCAACAGTATTTTTTCACCGTATTGTGTAAAACTATTTATTGTATTAGTTAAAGGGTATCTAAGGGCCGCGCATGGTGGCTCACGCCTGTAATCTGGCATTTTGGGAGGCCACGGAGGGCAGATCACTTGAGGCCAGGAGTTCGAGACCAGCCTGGCCATCATGGTGAAACCTCATCTCTACTAAAAATACTAAAAATACAAAAATTAGCCAGGTGTGGTGGCACTGACTGTAGTCCCAGACACTCTGGAGGCTGAGGCAGGAGAATCACTTGAACCTGGGAGGTGGAGGTTGCAGTGAGCCAAGATCACGCCACTGCATTCCAGCCTGGGCAACAGAGTAAGACTCTGTCTCAAAAAAAAAAAAAAAAAAAAAGAAAGAGTATTTTAGATTTTTAATGTTCTATTTCTTAATGTATTTTTGGCTCATTTTGGAGAAGAGATCTGAAAAGTAAAATTCATGATCTTTTAAATGTTGAAAACCATTACACTACAATGAAGGAAATTTATGGAGTCTTATTACATAAAATATTATTATAGCATGGTTTTTAAAATGCTTGATAGTTAAGTCAACCCCATTTGATTTTTTAAGTGTTATTTAATATACTTTTTGAATTACTTCTTAGCAAAAAGTCATACCTTTATACAATCTGTCCAGCTTTTGAATATAATTTTCCATACTTTGAGAAGAGCTCAAATGATGGTAATACAGTCTGGAAATCCTAGGAGGAAAAAGTTCAAAGATTACCACAGAGATCTTCATGATTTTATGTTATTACCATTATTGTTATTATTTAGATTAAATTGCTAGACAGATGTCTTTCAACTGCACTTCAAATTTCCCATTATACTCTCAAAACAAAATTAGCAGGTAAATTTTTGAAGTTTTATCAGTTGAAAATCAGGCATACTGAATTTCCTGGCACATAGTCTTTAACAGTTATGGGTGTCACCTGCAAGCAAGTCTGGGCAATGCAAACCTCAGGCATATCCACCTGTCTTCAATGAGTCGCAATCTAAATTTTTTACCTTGGCTTCATAGGGATTGGTACTTTGTTTTCTGCATAATAAATATTTGTTAACTGAATGAATGGAAATGGAAAGGTGATACAGCCAAATCACTATCATAGAGGGCAGACTATTTTTATTACCTCAGAAGTGATTCAAATGAATGGTAAAGGACTCCAGAAGGAAGAGGAAAGAAATCATTTTTTGTTGTGTAACCAGTGAAACAGCATTTGACTGAGCATAAAAATGGATGCTTTTCATGTATGTTAAAACAGGTGAAGTCATTAAAAGGGTAAGATACACTAAATCAACAATGAATGCTGTAAACAAATGACCAGACTATATAAAGGTGTATGTTTCTTCTTGGAAAGGAGGTCTATTGTTAATGAAGGTAATTTTGGCTGAGTTTTTTTTTTTTTCTTAAGAAAACATAGGAGAAAAGACCTATGCCCTGAGTGCAGCTCTTTATAGGGCCCATATATAACAAACACATGTGAAAATAAATGTATTAAAGAACATGTGGACATGAGGGTGTCTCTGTCACTAGAGATCACGGTCTCCACTCTGGTACAGCAAAGCCTCTAACCCTAAATATCTGCTTCTACAATTAATGCTTTTTCAAGCCCCAGGGAAAAGCTTCACATCTGTTGCTCTGTGTTTGTCATGGCCAAGTGACATGAAGGATGGTGGGTTGTGACAGACACTGCTTTTGAGTGCAAAGAGAATTTGAGTGATAAAAATGCTTAGATAAAAGGCAAATTAATTAATATGAATGAAATCCTTCTTGGATAGCATAAATGCAATAAAATTTTACATAATGAAATATCATTTTCCTGTGGGGCTGAGCATCTATATTCTTGCCTTCTTTTTGTTACAAATTACAATTCTGGAGGTAATCAGAAATCAACACATATTTGCAACAATGCAAGTGACATCTTTACTTTTTGCAATAGTAAATTGTTCATATCACTCTTAAATTTGAGCATATAGAGTTTAGACATCTGCATGAAGCATCAGTGACTTTTTTTGTTGGCAACTTGATAACACTGAAACTCAGAACTGTGAATACCTTTATTTTTATAAATATATATATATATATAATATTTTATTTAATTTTCAAAAAAGTAGACCTGCCTTGCAAGATATGTTAAAAGAAGTTTTCAGTGAGAGGCAAATGATATGGGTTAGAAATTCAGCTCTACATAAAGAAATAAAGAGAAGGAATAAATGAAGATGAAATAAAACCTTTTATTTTTCTTATTCTTAGTTGACCTAAAAGATAACAGTCTTTGTTCTAAATAATAATAACAACAATGCCATTCATCATTATCGCTTGTGAACAAGGGAAATAAATGACAGCAATGTTATAAGAAATGGGAGGAAGGAATCAGGAATAATCTGTTATAAGGTAACTGCACTACCCCTGAAGCAGTATAGTGTTATTTGAAAGTGGACTGGGATTAGTCATAAATGTATACTCCAAACTCTAGAACAATCGCTACAGAAAAATTTTGATATGCTGAGTGAAAGAAAATTAAATAATATAAAATGTTTAAAACTAGAGAAGACTAGGAGTGGGAGACAAAAGCAAAACAAATAAGAAAATGAAGACCAAGTTACAAATTTGGTATATATTGATCAACTATATTAATAATCACTTTAAATGTGGATAGTTTAAATGCATCAATAAAAGAACAAGACTGGATAAAAAAGAAGAACCAACTATATGTCGTCGACATGAAACTCACTTTTAATGTGAAAACACAGGGTAAAAGTAAAGAGATGCAGAAAGATATACCATGCTAACACTAGTCAAAATATAGCTGGAGTAGCTATATTAATTTCAGACAAAATAGATTTCAGAATAAGGAAAATTATTAGGAATAAAGAGGAGCATTATATAGTAATAAAGTGCCTAGCAATAGAGTGTGAAAATCTATGAGGCAAAAATTGATAGAACTGCAAGAAGAAATAGACAAATTCATTATTGTAGTTGGAGACTTCAACACCCCTTTATCCATAATTGGCAGATCCAGCAGGCAGAATATAATTGAAGAGTACTACCATAAAACTGTATATAATTGACATCTATAGACTGCTTAATCCAACAACAGCAGAATACTCATTCTTACAGAGCTCACACTGAACATTCACCAAGATAGACCACATCTTGGGCCATAAAACACAACTTAACAAATTTAAAAGAAGAGAAATCATACAACGTCTGCTCTTGGACCACAGTGGAATTAAATTAGAAATCAGTAACAGAAAGATTGCTGGAAAATCTCAAAGTGTTTAGCGATTAAACAATGCACTTCTAAATAACACATGGGTCAAAGGAAAAGTCTCAAGAGAAATAAAAAATATTTTTAACTAAATAAAAATGAAAATACAACCCATCAGATTTGTGAGATGCAGCAAAAGCAGTGCCTAGAGGAAAATGGATAGCACTAAATGCATATACTAGAAAAGAAGAAAAATCTAAAGTCAATAATCAAAGCTTCCACTTTAGAAAACTATATTAAAAAGAGCAAATTAATTACAAAGTAAGCAGAAGCAAAGAAATAATAAAATCAGAGCAAAAATCAACAAAATTATGAACAGGAAAACAATAGAGAAAACCAACAAAATCAAAAGCCTGCTCTTGAAATCATCAACAGAATTGATAAACTCATAACCAGGTGAACCAAGACAAAAGAGAGAAGACACAAATTACTAATATCAGGACTGAAAAATGGGCCATCACTTCTAATCCTATGAGTGTTAAAAAGATAAATATTATGGCCAGACATGGTGACTCATGCCTATAATCCAGCACTTCAGGAGGCCAAGGTGGGAGGGTTGTTTTAGCTCAGGAGTTTGAGACCAGCCTAGGCCACATAGTGAGACTCCATCTCCCAAAAAGTTTAAAAATTGGCTGGGTATTGTGGTGTACACCTGTAGTCCCAGCTACTTAGGAAGCTGAGGTGGGAGGATTGCTTGAGTCTGGGAGTTTGAGGTTGCAGTGAGCCATGGTTGTGCCACTGCACTCCAGGATGGATGACAGAGTTCCTCGTAATATTCCTTTATATATATACGTAGCAAGACCCCTTCTCTTAAAAAATAATAAAATAACATTATAAACCTATAGAAATTATATATATAGAAAATTACATATATAGAGAAGAATAAATGTATACACATAGAAAATTATATATGGAGAATTTTTAGATATAACTTTTACATATATTATTTATATACATAATATATAAAATTTTATATATTATATATTATGTATATAAATATTTTAAAATATATTTATAATTTTATATTATATAAAATTTTATATATTATATATAAAATTATGTTTTAATTATATATAAATTTATGTATAATATAAACATTTCTCTCTATATAATTTTCTACATATATAAATTTATACACATATATAATTTTATTTTATTTTATTTATTTATTTTTTGAGACGGAGTCTCGCTTTGTCACCCAGGCTGGAGTGCAGTAGCATGATTTCAGCTCACTGCAAACTCCGTCTCCCTGGGTTCAGTGATTCTCTTGCCTCAGCCTCCCAAGAGGCTGGGATTACAGGCACACATCACCACGCCTGGCTAATTTTTGTATTTTTAGTAGAAACGGGGTTTCACCATATTGGCCAGGCTGGTCTCGAACTCCCGACCTTGTGATCCACCCGCCTTGGCCTCCCAAAGTGCTGGGATTACAGGCATGAGCCACCACGCCCGGCTATAATTTTATTTTATTATTTTTTTAAGAGAAGTTGTCTTGCTATGTCGCCCAGGCTGGCCTTGAACTCCTGGGCTCAAGGGATCCTCCCACCTCAGCCTCCCAAGTAGCTGGGACTACTGCCACCATGCCCAGCTTTATTTTAAAAAACTGAATCAATAATAAATAAGCTTCCAAAAAGGAAAAGATGGTTTCACTGGTGAATTCTACCCAATAAGGAAGAAATGATATCTATTTTCTGTAATTTGTTCTAGAAAATAGAAGCACAGGAAACACTTGCTAACTCATTCTGTTTTGTAATCTGTAACATGGGGATATCTACCTCACAGGATTGTGATTAAACAAGACAAACTATCTGGCTCTTAACACTAGTATTTTCCTCTCTCATTCCTTAAATAATAGAAGTCTATTCATATTATACCTACCATGTTCTTTCAAAAATTAAATCAATTCCATTGGCACTTACAGGAGACTAATTTTGGGGCAATAATGTGGTGAAACAGGACTTTGATGATACCATGTCATCAGCAGAACTATTTTCAATAAGCACATTCAATACATGCCTATTCATTTGTGTTAAATTATCCATGTGTAATATTGTGGGAATATAATATAATGCTAAATATATATACAAATGAGATAAAAATAAACATAAATAGAAGTTCTAATATTTTCTTCATTTCTGTGGATCTTCTTGTGTACTTAATTTTGGACTCATCTGATATAATGAAGCATCACTTAATTCTGAGTTAGACCTTCTTTTGTGCATTCAAGTAACATTTTGGTGTCTGCAATGTGTCTGACACTATGCTAGCTTCCAACCAATGGTAACCAAAACTTGGTCTTATCTGGTGTCAGACAATAGTACAGATAAACAAGGACTGACCGCTTCAAGTATGCACCTTCTATGTCCTCCAAAACAAAATCTTTCAGAAACTCTTTATTGCTCTTATTTTTAAATCTAAAATCTCACATTCTTACATAGCTCTAGTCAACCAATAGCTGTGACCTCTGGTACAGGAAGAGGTGAAGATACCATCAGGAGAACTTTGGTTTTGGGAGAAATCTGGTGTTGATTAGCATTTGTTTAAAATTTGCCTCTGATATGATAAAACATGTCATCCGATCATGGGAAACTATGAGCTCAAGAAAACCACCTGCACACTTGCACAGTGTCACTTTTTAAATGGGGGTTGGGGAACTGCTTTTCTGAAAAATAACCTCATCAAGAAAAAACACTAGGGATGGTAATTTTAAATGCTGCCATAGCCCTTGCTTGCCAAAGCAGACGGCTTCTGCTATTAGGATGCCCAGCCAAACACAAATAATCCACTGCCAAAATGAGCTCCTTGGGACAATTTAGGAGTCTTTGGAAGTGAACGGCTCTCTGAGCTGGAATGCAGCCCAGGTCCTTTTTCAAACCCAAGTCAAAATGATAAAGAGCACATTTCCTGGGCCACTCACCCACTAAGTGTAAGATTACTTTAGGTTGGCAGCTGCACTGTTTCTCTAGTTATTTAAGGCTTTTCACCAGATACTCACAACTGAGTGCTTAAATACTTCGATGTTAGTAAGCGGGACAGCGCTGTTACACCATAGGAGACAAAACTTTTGAGATTAGAGAGATAAGATGAAAATCAAGGGTTATGCACATATTTTTCAGCCAGCTTATAATGTCTTACATATTCAGCTTTAAAATATGGCAAAGATTTTTCTACTAGAGTTAGAAAAAAGGAGCATGGCAAGAACTTCTCGCTACGTATAAATACTATTTTAATCAAAAATATTTCCTTATATCCTGAACGAGACTTCAACTAAGTCTGGTTAGCACTGGAGACTTTTCAGACTCTAAATGAGAGTTTACAGGCAGGTTTAAAAGATCACCCGGCATTATTCCTGCAAGATCAAACTTTGCTCTCATTGCATGTAGAAAACTGTGATGACATGAGGATCTCTACAGTTCTGACAAAAGAATATACAGGAAACTGTTACAGTTGTAGGACTTCTCCCCTTTTTTCTGTTCACTGTTTTCAGGAAAATATCCTCAAGTATTCAATCTTAGTTATTTGTGTTGTTCTAAAGCTCAGAGATTTAGGATTTATTATGCATTCTTCAATCAAACCATGTGTACATGTTCCCAGAGAAAAAAATTTTAGCTGATGAGTGGATGATGCATTATCAGTCTGAATCTAAACAGGAAACGAAGTTCCTTTGCATATTGTGTGATGGCCAGAGTCTCACTGGTGATTACAGGGGTCATGTGAAAACTTTCTTATTACTTCTGCTCAGAGGCAATACTGCTTTGGAGTCAAGCTGCCTGAGTTTGAAATCCAGGTTTATCTTTAAGGACTTTGTGATCTTGGAAAAGTTATTTAGCCTCTGCCGTGTTTGTTTCCTAATTTGAAAACAGATAAAATAACCTGAAAGTATGAATACATGAGTTTATCCATGTGAAGCAATTAAAACAGTGTCCAGCACATAGCAAGTACTTAACAAGTGTTAGCTATTCTCTAACTAAGAAACTCAAATACACTTTTAAAAAACTGTAGATGAATAATCCTAAATAGTTGCTAATCAAAGGTCATTTATATTTGACTTTAGTATACACATTCCTGCTTTTATTTCAATGTGGGTATATCTAAATTGTAAACTTATCCTCGAGTTTCTACTGATTCTTTTCCTGTTTTTATATACTGTATCTTCCTTCTTAATAGTTCCATCTGTCGGCCAGGTGCAGTGGCTCACACCTGTTATCCCAGCACTTTGGGGGGTTCAGGGGGGCAGAACACGAGGTCAAGGGATCGAGACCATCCTGGCCAACATGGTGAAACCCCATCTCTACTAAAAATACAAAAATTAGCTGGACTTGGTGGCACGCACCTGTAGTCTCAGTTACTTGGGAGGCTAAGGCAGGAGAATAGCTTGAACCCAGGAGACGGAGGTTGCAGTGAGCTGAGATCATGCCAGTGCACTCCAGCCTGGCGACACAGCGAGACTCCATCTCAAAAAAAAAAAAAAAATAGTTCCTTCTGTCTTTCTCTTATTTAGTTCTCATATTTAGTCCTTTCCCCATCTTTATGGACTTGACAGGCCCACATGACAGACATGCAAACTGAAGGATAAATGATCGAGTTCCTTGTTTGACCAGTTCATTGTATTCAGTGGCATATGTATTAGGCCATGATAAAAGTAATACAAGATATAAAGATATGTCAGAAGGAAGAGATTTAATTATAGAAACAGATGTAGGTATAGAAAGGCAGATGTACATGAAAATTTGGTTTCAACTATTTAATTACAACCAAAAACACAAAAACATGTCATCTAAATAAAAGTACCTGAAATTGAACATCTAACTAGATACAATGTGTTAGTTAGAATGATCTGTAGCCTGTTAGTGGTTTTATCATAGAGCTAGTGATACCATGGTAAGATATTCCAGCAACATTATTTTCATATACAAAGATGTGTCAATTTAAAAAGGAGAAAGGCTATATGAAACTGGCACTAAAGGGAACATTTGGCTTGCATGTAGTTAATCTGTGGGAAAATATGCTGCAAAAACGTTCAGAGACAGTATCAGAATGGTTTAAGAAGAACCAAATGAAATGGGGAATAACAATTGAAACTGAGATTGTAGCATCCTAAGTTTTCTCCTGCTACAACACTAAGTGTTTCTTACTAGGAGAAAAACTGAATGCATCCAAATAATGAGGTACTGCAAGAAAATGCTCAAGAAGGGGAGTAACTGCTAAAAGCCAGGTTACATTTTGTTCACAGTTGTATTCCCAGGATTTAGCACAGTGTCTACTACAAAGTAGGGACTTGACAAATGTTATTTAGCTGAAAGAATGACTAAATAAATGAATAAACAGATGTGGCCCTGGGGAAACCGTGAACTTGTTAAAAGTTTGAGACTTCTGGAGTAGCACATCCTTACTCTCTCACTCAACCCTGTCACTCTAGAAACCAAGTGAAGGAAATGGAAGTCGCATGCCCTGGACATCATCAGGGTCCTCCCAAAGTACACACATGGAAAACTTTTTTTTTCCAGCTAGTAGATGCTGTGCCAGGTCTCTCCGTACATTCAATTACCTGGGTTTCAAAGTATTTGGGGGAATGATAGAAATCAGGGAAGAGAGAAAGAATAGAGAAAAGTTAGTGACAGATTTATCTATGGGGGAGAAGGAAGTTGTATCAGTCTTGTTTGTTGTGTTCCCAGTACCATCACAGGGCCTGAAACATATCATATTAAATTTTATTTAAATAGAAATACAGGACTTCTCAGAGTGACCCTATTTTGAGAGGAAGATAATGCCTAGATTTATCCTTAATATGATGGTGTGTTCAGTGATGACTTCTTTATAAGAACACTGCTACTGGAGATCCTCACTATTCACAGGTTCCTTATTTGAAATTTGCCAACTTGCTAAAATTTATTTGTAACCTCAAAATCAATATTCGCAGTGTTTTTGTGGATGAACTGCAACCTAACTTAATAGGTAGACAAGATTGAAAACCTGACGTAAGAGTATGTGCCTGTAACAATTGCTGAGTCTTGGCCAATCCCAGCAGCCATACTTCAACCACTCACATACTGCTGAGTGTTCAAACTGTTCAAATAAGGCAAATGCTGAGCTCTAACCAATCCAGCTGTTTCTGTACCTCACTTCCAATTTCTGTATGTCACTTTACTTTTTTTGCCTATAAATTTGTTCTGACCATGAGGCACCCCTGGAGTCTCTCTGAATCTGCTATGATTCTGGGGGCTGCCCGATTCACGAATCGTTCATTGCTCAATTAAACTCCTTTAAATTTAATTTGGCTGAAGTTTTTCTTTTAATAACCCTAAGTGTACTGCTGAAATTCTGCCTAGTGTTCCTTAAGTGTAATGTAGAGAACATACATGCTAGATAAGCTTCATTCAAGCATGAGTTATAGTGCTATTGGCCACAAGTTCAATGCTAATGAGTCAAAATATATGTCAGTTAGGGTGTTTTTAAATGGAAGCACACATAAAACACTATTATGCACTGATTGGTTGGCAAAAATGTTGACCAAAGTCTAGCAGAAACGTAATCCTATTTTCTCTGTAGGAACAATGGTTCGTTATTCACCAATTCAGTGTTTGAGGTGACTTTATAGAACATAACTACTGCAGATAACAAGAATTGATTGCTATAAGACAGTCAAGCTCTTTCATGACACACTCACTATGGCATAAACTTGTACATTCTACCAGAATATCACAGATACAATGACTCCTGGGATACGAGTAACATTGAACAAGCCACTAAATGAATGAGAACATGAATACATAAAATGAACTAATGAGTTGAAAATATTGTCTACTATTATTTAAGGGGTGAATTGTAAATAATTCTTTATGAACACTAACACTAACCATATATAGATTATAACCTGATGTTTAGTTTAATATGAAATAATTTTCATTTAAGTGTAATTTCACTGACATAAAAAATAAGGTAATGAATAAGCGAAGCATTATAAACATTACTCTCATGATCCTCTACTAAACCTAGATGTTCATATTACCATCAGGAATAATCATGTTTGTTAGACTAATTTCTTTCTGCTCTTTTTGAAGGATTTGTTTATAAACATTCATTTATTCATTCACTCTTTCTTTTAAAAAATATTAATCAAGTGCCTACTTAAGCCAAGCAGTATTCTAGGCAGTGAGAATACAGCAATGAACCAGTCATGCAAAAATTCCTGACTTCATGGAACTTAAATCTCCAGTGAGGAGACACAGAGAAGAAACAAGTAAGTTATATGATAATAAGTGCTGTGAACATAAGACAGGGTAGTGGAGAAGGACTGAGGGAATTGGGAAAGGGCTTTGAATTTCAAATCAGGTGGTCAGGAAAGGCTACTCTGAGGTATCATTTGAGGACAAACCCAAAGGAGGTGAGAGTGTAATCATGCAACCTCAGCTCATAGTTACACCCACCAATTTGTCACTGTAACACTAGGATCACTTCAAGTTACCAAAACCTTATAAACCATGCTAGAAAGATTGATTTATTTGCTCTATGATTTTTTGGGGGGGAAAGTTTTCCAACATCTGAAACCTGTTAATGCATTTGGGATTTGCAATGCAGAATGTAGGGCCACAGCATCAAGCAATGAAACAGCGTGCCTTTTCTCTGTTGGTGGCAAGAGAAGGGCACCATAGCTTTGCATGTGGAAAGAGTTCTGTTAATTTCACTTCTTTCAAAAGGCACTGTCAAATCCTGATGTTGTCATCACACAACATGCATTGATTTCATCACTGCCCCCAAAGAAGAAGTATATAATAATCCAGCCAGTGAATGATACCTAGCCCATAATTTCTAATTCCCATTGGTGTATTTATATTCTTTAGGCAGCAATGCCCAAGAGAGACATTGCAGAAGTAAAGAGAACTATTAATAATGATTACCTATTTCTTTCATTGATGCCACAAATAGTATCTAAGGTTAAAAAGTAATTAGAAAAAATTCACATAGAAATAACACTTGATGCATTGTCTGGGCAGGTAGCAGCTGGCAATTTTTTTAAAGATGGCAATAACTAACTTTTGTCAATGTCAGGTATTCTTTTCGTAACTGTGGGCTCTGGTGAGGAAAAGTGATCGTTCTCCAAGAGGAGAGCTAACAGGGTACATGTTTCATTCATTTTCCTTGAAATTGTTCACCCTTCAGTTTTTTGATGGGATTTATTATTATTTCTTGGTTAGCTGGAGGGGAGGCCGTTGCATAACATGTCTTGTTCATTTTCTAATTACCTCCTGAAAAGGCAAATACTCCTGAAACAGTCAGCTGGCTAATTTAAAAGGCATAGCTAACAAATGAAGGGCAACTTTAGACTTATCTTAAAGTCTTTAAATGTGCAAATGATAGCCTTCGAATCAACTAGTCATCAAATCTCAAAATAAAAAGCAATATTGCCTTGTCTTCATAAAAGGCAGTCTATCTCCTTCTGTATACCATTTTCATCAGACAGTGTTTTCTACTTATTAGTTTACTCTTTTACTGTGAGAATGTGTTTGATACTGTGTGGTATAAAAATCAAGAAATTAGTCTCACAGCAGGGAGTCTGCTAACAACACCATTTTAATCTTACCCTTCAAGCAGTCACAGAAAACATATTAATTGCAGTTTAATTTATGCAACAAATATTTCACTTTAATTATGCTTAATTTTTGTCAAGCTATAAAAATGTCAATAGTTCTGTCACAGTTTTTTCTTACAAGGTTTTTTAAATGAAAGAATTAAAATCAAATGCTGTTTCTAAAAGGAATTATGAAAGATTTCTAATTACTGCTTATGTTTTTGAAAAATTGCTAATCTAGTAGCCCCATCTGGGAACATCTGGGAACATGTGAACCTGGAGCTTTCTTACTCAATATTTATAATTCTTGATAGTATACATGCATCATTAATATGATGGAATTCTCACAGGAAACTTTTTTTTGTAATTATAGGATATATCAATAACTGTCATTGAATGGTGCATTTTCTCTATAGAAGTGTTTTTGTTAATTTCTCTCAGGAAAACTGAGACAAGAATAAGATAAACTGATTGCTGCTGACACACCACACTGAAGAATATTCACTAGTAACAGAAGTAAAAAGAAAAATGTCAAACCACCAAAGCTGAACAGCATTAATTATATTCAGCAAATATTTATTAAGTTCTTAGTAGGTGCAAATCCTACCCAAACATTAAGTCTCAAGTAAAAATGCTACTTCCTCCAGGAAATCCTTCTCTCTTCAGACGTAAATTAAATTTCCCTACCCTGAATGCCTATGGTGCATAATCATACCTTTCTCACAGTCCTTTTATATTTTTTTTGTTTTGCATCACAGTAATTCCCCCTGCAAATTTCATCTCATCCACTAGATGGTAAGGTTCCTGGGGGAAGAATTCAGGCTTTTGTGTTTATATCCTACATCTACCACATTCAAATATACATAAAAATAAAAACTATATGTATGAATAAAATATTCTGGAGGGGTGAATGGCTTTGTCGGGTGAGCGTGTGGAGGTGTTCCTGTGGCTGGACATGACTGGCGATTCGCAGCATCCTCGTATCTGCTAACAGGTCAAAATGCAGATCTTCGTGAAGACCCTGACTGGCAAGACCATCACCCTTGAAGTGGAGCCCAGTGACACCATCGAAAATGTGAAGGCCAATATCCAGGATAAGGAAGGCATCCTCCCCGACCAGCAGAGGCTCATCTTTGCAGGCATGCAGCTAGAAGAGGCTGTACTCTTTCTGACTACAACATCCAGAAAGAGTTGACCCTGTACCTGGTCCAGCGTCTGAGATGTGGCTGTTAGTTCTTCAGTCTTGCATTTGCAGTGCTCAGTGATGGCATTACACTGCACTATAGCCATCTGCCCCCACTTAAGTTTAGAAATTACAAGTTTCAGTAATAGTTGAACCTGTTCAAAATGTTAATAAAGGTTTTGTTGCATGGTAGCATTAAAGAAAATTCTGGATGCCATACTTTTGGAAAAACATTATTTCAAAAGTCCTTCTATAAAAGTTGTACACGACTGTACTTTGAAATTATTCATTAGAAGACTTCCAGTTTTAGGATAGTGGTGAATTTCTTGCCCTGTCTCATCCTCTCAGAAATGCATCCCACCTCCCCGCATTCAAAAAAATGTGGACAATTGTAAACATCCAGTAAGCTACATATTCAGTGAAACCAGCAGACAGCAGCGACCCCAAATTATAACTTATATTGGGAAACAGACAGGGAGTGGTACTAGACTTACAAGGAATGAAGAACAGTGACCTGTTCAGAGGGGGACACCAGTGACATCCCATCCTATTTTTCCTACTTAAACCCAGAAACCGTCAGGCATTAGAATCTTCAGATATCTCAGAAGGCATAGATGATGCACAGGGCTTGCTTAAAAGCCTACATATAAAACACTCTCCAAGCTCCCTCCAGGTTCTAACACTCCAGGAAAATCTTCCTCCCCTCCTCCCCTCAGGTTCAGGAAGTTTATGATCTGGGGGATTTGGGTGGATGGGTGAACAGCAGGCACCAGGCACAAAGTATGACACTATACTGAAAATTAAGTGAAAGGTTTCATACTGAACGGTGAGAACAGCATCCTACTCACCACCTCAATTACCAATTCCCAGATACTTGCACTCCTGGCAAGAGATTAGAGAATTTTTTTTTATTTCTTAATTATATATATTTAGTTTTCATTTCTACAGAGAAAGAGGTCAACAAAGTTTTGTGAACTAAATTGTATAAGTTTGTTTTTTTAGGAAAGGACTTCACAGAGAACAAGGCAAAGAATAAGTAACACAACAGCAAATTTCCAAAAAATTCAAGTAGAATCAAACTTTGACTACAGATTTGGTCAAATTAGTGCTATTTTGTTGGAAACACTGAATGGCCATAGGTAGTGGCCCATCCACAGAAAGTCACTTCTACAGTAAAAACCACCAGTCAACCTGGCTCAGGCAGGACAAGGAATTAAACTAACATTTCTGTGCCTTATTTTAAAATATGAATAAAACAGCAAAAGATCAACAGATGTCTGAGGAAAGCATCTAACATAAAAGATGGAGAGATAAGTAAACAAACAAAAAACCAATTTAGATGAAGTTGAGATGATGCAAAAAGCAGAACCAAGCATCACTAAAATCTAAAATAAACTTTCTAAGAAGTATTAGAAAGGATATTGCATCCATTAAACAAGTACAAGCTGCTATTTTAAAAAGAAAAAAGCTTTAGTGAAGTAAAAATATGAGAGCAGAAAACACAAGTTGATAGAAAAACTGGAACTTAATACCAAAGAACTCTCCTAGAAAGTAAAACAAAAGGACAATAAAATGGAAATAAGGAATATAAAATTCAAAAAGAAGTTGAAGAGCTATTAGAGAATTTGATTTCTGACTAGAGGAGCTCCAGTAAAAAAGATCTGAGAAAACAAAGAAAAAAGAATTAGGAAAGGAATAATGCAAAGAAAATTTTTCACAAAGCAGAATGACAGATAACAATGGCTTAAAACAGAATAGAAATAACTTTTAACATACAATTACACATCAAAACAATTTATCAATTACTTGTAGGATGAAATTTTCAGACAGAAAGATTATATTGAAAGATTTTTACAGGGTGTGGAGAAACTTCGACAAGAGATGTGAAGAAAATTATGCAAATGGAGAAGAAGGTAAGTAATAACTCCAGGGAATATAAAAAGTTACACAGAAGAAACATCATCATGGAACATTTATTGATTTAATAAGAAACAATCTTTACATAGTAAAAAAAAGTAAAAGCTGAATATTTGCTTACTCAAGACATATTCTAAGAAAACATGGAGATGATAGTATAAGAGAGCTAAATACTCATCTACCATAGTTGAAGGTCAATGGCTAACACAGAAATTGATAAATCAAGAGATAGCCTATTTTTTGGAAGATGAAAGAGCTGAAAGTGGTGGCCTCTGAAAAGGAGGACTGGACATGTAGGGAAAGAGTGAGTTAGCAGTCTGCCACTTTTCATTACAAATCTTTGAACATATTTTTCTTTATGCATGTTTTAACTTTTATATCAATAAAGTAAAAAAGAAGTGCACCAAATATTTACTGTTCTTAGAATTATATTTCCTTTCTACTTGGACACTTATTTATCAGCTGTATTCCTCTTGGTAATTTATGTCCTTTTTTTTTGAGACAGCGTCTCACTCTGTTGCACAGGCTGGAGAGCAGTAGTACCATCGATCAAGGCTTACTGCAGCCTCAACTTCCCATGCTCAAACAATTCTCCCACATCGGCCTCCCACATAGCTAGGACTATAGGTGTGTGCCACCATGCCCAACTAATTTTTTTATTTTTTGTAGGGATGGGGTCTCACTGTGTTGCCCAGGCTGGTCCTGAACTCCAAGAGATCTGCTCACCTCTGCCTCCCAGTGGGCTGGAATTACAGGCACCTGGCCTGATGTCATATTTTTAATGTCATTTATACAAAATATGTAGTTACATTTACCTTAAATACCTAAATATGTGGTTTATCTTCTGTTATTAATTTTTACCTACATCTGAACATTTTTACATTTCCCATAAGCAAGTCTAGATACTAAAACATATTAGAATGCAGATAAGATAGTCAACGGAAATTAGTATACTTTAATACCAACCCCCTCTACAAGCTTTGGGAAAATTATGTACACATTTACTAATCTATGTACAATATTTAATGTCTATATTTCAACCAAAATTATTCTAAAAGCTCTATTTTCTGAACCAGTGTCCTTTCCCCCAACTAAATCAAATTAAGAAAGCAATGTGAATTTCCTCACAAGCTATTTCATACTTGGATGCCCTTGAACTTCACTGAATCTGAAACAAAAGACATGTGTAGGTAAATTTTGGTTTTCAAAATCCTAAGGAATGTCTATATGTTATTACCATTCAAAGCACACATAAATATAACTAATTTATTTAGACTTTATGAATGAAAGTCAACTGCAAGAATATGATTTAATACATACAAAAATTTAGTCTTAATATTAATATATTATTTCATTATTATTTTTTGAACAATAAAAAATTAAAGATTGAGAGGATAGAATAGAACAATTTAAACGATTGTTGCCTCCTTAAAACTCTATGATAGACATAGTCACACAATCTAGGAGAAAAATAATTTCTTGAATAAAGTGAAATTCAACTGTGTATGTATTGTTTTGACTTACACTACTTTTGTTCTGCAAATAAGAATTTATCAGAAATAAAATAAAGAGCAAGTATATTTTTGCTGACCAATGTATAATAACTGCTAATTAGTTGATATCACTTTTTAAATTGCACTTGTAAAACTAAATAATTTATGTTATATTCTTAGTAAATGAATTATATGTAAGTTGCTACACTTCAGAAACTTTGACCTGTTAAGTAAATTAACCACTCTTATAATGTTGCTTAAACTATTATCTTATTTAATAAAGCCCTTTTTATAAAAACTTAAAAGTAATTCAATAAAAGAATAAATAAATCAGGTACAAAAGTAGCAAGTATATATAACATGACGTTCTGATGTGGACAGGCAAAAATAGTTTACTAGAGCATTAACATGTTCTTCTATCCATTAGCAGCTTGAAGATAAACATGAATTACTAGTAGGAAAAGTCTTTCAGTTAAGCTTGATAGGTTAAAAGTGCTTGAAAGGAATGAAAATCCCCCACAGGTAATTCATAGCATCTTTATTAACAAATAAGAGGTAGAAAGTTCTTGATTTTATCTAATTTTACTAAGTAAAATGTTGACAAATATATATTCACTTAAGACAGGAAAAGACATGTAAGAATTGTTTCATATTGAAATCACATTGAAACTCTACTTTATCATGAACATATTAATATGCTAGACTGAAATAATTATGAGTTGTAGATTTCTTTTATGAAAACATTCTTTAGCAATGTAGGTTAGGATATTAATGCATAATACTTTATATATCCCTTATGTTGACATATTTTTACCTGATATAGATTACGATATAGGTGTTAACTACCATTAATGATATATCTAGAATCCCATTAGTTTCCAAGAGCTTGGATATTAATGGTAAAGTATTTCAATTAGTTTTGTCTGGTCTCCAACTATATGGGTAGGGCCTATCCAAATTTTCAAAACTGTTAGTCTGTTAATGTGATTACCTCACAATATTCCATTAAGTTCTTTTCTATCATAGAGGCTAGTTAATTGGGCTAGCAGAAGAATTTCCTCTTCCAAGAAATCTTATATTAATGTTTAGACCCCTAAAACACTCTTTTCCATCTTTAATAAGCACATGGAAGAACTGGCAGAGGAGAGTGGGGGGAAATTGTAAACAACTACTACTAATGTCTACATGTTTATGGGTAGAACTGAAAAAGTGATCAAATAATTATCTCCACCAGAGATCTGGTACTCACACAATTTATACCAGCAAGTCTTTTGATGCTTTACAATGGAAGATAATTCTTAGTCTAAGTAAACTGCTCTGGAACTTCTCCTTACTTTCTTTTGACCCCACCACGAGCGTTAAAATTGAATTTCTTATAGGGCACATTTTTTTAAGAGAAATTTTAATCTCTTCAAGAAAGTTCAGGGTAACGAATGAAAAACATAAAATTGCTGAGCTGCAGAAACCAAGCAGTAGTCTGGGTTTTATACAGGTCAAGCAACCCACTCTCACAGAGACTCACTACATGCAGGGTCTCTGTGCCATGCAGAGAGAGCTGTAAAGGCAGTACCAGTTAGAACTATAATTTCCCATCTCTTCCATCAATTATTAGTGTTGGAGAACTAGGAAATGGGGCAAGTGAGTTGGGCTGCCTTCCACCTGGAGCCTAGAAAGAGGCTTCGATCCAAAGAGACAGAAGCACTAAAACCACAGGCCTTCTATGTTGGCAAATAGTGAATGCATCTAGTGCTCTTAAAATAGGAGAGGGATAAGAGGGAAAAAATTATATAGGCCTATGGAAGAAAAATTGGTCCACATGTTAAAAGACATGGATGAAAAGCAGGCACTGAAAGTCATCCTCTGCAGGAACCTAAAGAAAAGTTAAGTGTTAGAGAATATTTGCCAGCTTCAACCAACTTATGAAAACAGAGTCAAAGACTAAAGAATAAAAGAGGCTAAAATAAGAGGACCAGATATACATAGAAACAATAAGGTCAGAGATGTTAGGCAAAAAGAGAAAAAAAGCTAAGATTACAATAGAAGAATTAAAATTCATTATGCATGTAGTATTTGGCTATTTCAAGTTGAATTAGTGATGAACATCATACTTTAGAATAAAAAAAAATTCAAAAAGCACAGCCTCCCCCACCCACACAAATCAAAGAATTAGTCTGATCTCAGATATTTAATTTGTAATACTAATTGATAATCATGACTTAATAACTATTAAGAGAAAAAGGTTGTGAACCTGGTATTCTAGACATACTCTAGTTGTCACTTACATATGAAAGCAACAGAAAGGCATTCCTAGATTTTGTATTAATGGGGATTAGCTTAGAAAGCCCAGAGTAACAGTGACTTAACAAGAAAGAAGTTTACTCAAAATTCCAGAGTTAATGTGATACTTTATAGTGTAAGTTCCCCGTTTCTTCTATGTTATTGCTTTATCTTTTGTGGTCTACATTGATTCAAGGACTGTATCATGATTGAAGATGTCAGTCCATCCGTAGTTCTCAAATACCCCATTCCAGACAGCCACAAGGAGGAAAGAAGGACACTCATTTTTTTAAAACACACTAGGAGTAAGAAGTCCATCTTGGGACTCCAGTCCCACGAGCCTTGGTGCATGTGCCAAAATCATAAAGTCTTCATCATTCTTTTACCTGGGCCACTCCTCAGAATTCTTTATGCAACTGGCAATCCTGTAACATCTTCCCAGTACATATCACTTAGTCCTGTGATGTGCCTGGTCTCCCTCTGGGCAGAGAAACCTTGCTTACTGCTTCCTATAAAAGTCGTAAATTTCCTATACTAGGGGTTGTTTGCCTATGATATACTTGCATATGCAGGCCTTCCTGACTCTCTGCATCACTATGTACGATTTGAGGCTATTGCTTTTGCTGTGAGGGATAAAATCTCTGACCTAGGAAGCTTCTGTCTTCTACCAGTATCTACGAAACTGCGTCAGACTAATGTACTAGCTTGAATAGTTCTTTTGGTGAAAGTTCTGCTTTTAGCTGGCCTCCACACCATCAGACTTACTAACATAGGGAAAAATCCTGATAAATACTTCTTAGAAGCTGGATCCACACTTTTTACTTATATTCCATTTTCCAGCACTGTCACAGTGCTATACACAGTGTAAAAAAGTGGCTGATAAATGTAGTTTTAATTTCAGCATGCATGTACACACTATAAATCAAAGGTTCTATTCTATAGAAAAGGGATTAGAAAACCACAGCTTGCAGGCCCAAGCCAGCCCACTGCCTAACTTGTATATAAAGTTTTATTGGAACGTAGTCATGCCCACTTATTTATGTATAATCTATGGCTGCTTTTGCGCTACAATGCAGAGTTGAGTAGTGGTAACATAAACCCGTAGCCATCAAAACTTAAAATAATTAGTCCCTGGCCATTAAAAAAAAGTTTGCTGACCCCTGGTTCAGAGAAAGGGAAAAACTGATACTGAGGGACAATGAACTCTCTGCCATAGACATTCAAGGCCTCAAAAAATGTACTGTCCATGTCCTTCTTTAAATAAAGCTTCATGATATATTCCATGTATCAAAAAAATTTCATTTTTTTTTGTAGAGATGGGGGTTCTTGCTCTCTTGTCCAGGCTGACCTTGAACTCCTGGACTCAGGATCCTCCCACCTCAGCCTCCCAAAGTGCTGAGATTACAGGCATGAGCCACCGTGCTTGGACAAAATGATTCATTTTAGTGTTTCAGGAAGAAGAATAAGTAATACTGGTATCAATAATACCAACATGATATCAAAACTCAGTAAGGCTGCAGAAGATATGAACAATATTAGCAAACCGCTGGAAATGGATGAATGTAGAATGCTGTGCCCAAGAACTGTATTCTTTTTAATGTACTTGAAACATTTACCAGAATTGACCAGATCCTGGGACATAAAGCATTTCTCAACACATTTCAGTAGATTAAAATCACAGACTCTGTTGTTTTAACATGGAGGACATAAATTAGTACATTAATAAAAATATAACTGGGAAATCTCCAAATGTTATATAATTCAGTAATATACTTCTAAACAAGATATGAGTCAATATAGAAAAAAAAAAGAAAACATTTTGAAATGTATGATGAAAACTTGTGGATGTCACTAAGCACATGTTCTGAGGGAAATTTATAGCCTTATATACATAGATTAAAAATAAAGGGTGAAAATAAATCATTTAAATATCCATTTTAAGAAGTAACAGAAAAATCAGCAAATTAAACCCCAAAAATTGAAGAAACAAAGAGCAGATGTGAATAAAATAGGAAATGATCATTCCATGAAAAAACTAACAAAGCGAAAATTCAGTTTTCTAGATTGATGAAATTTAAAAATCCTTAACAAAACTGATTAGCAACATTTATCAATATCCATGAATAAAAAGGTGACATCACTGCATATGCTATCGAATTAAATATTAATATATAATAAAATGGATCATGAGCAATTTTTTGCCAATAAATTTGAAAATTTAGTTGAATAGGTCAAATGAAAAAAACACAACAAACAAAATAAGAAATAGAAATCTGAATTGTCCTTTATGTATTAAAAGAACTGAATTAATAAATAAAAAGAATACACCACAACTCAATAGGCTCACTAGTGAGTTCTTCCAAATGTTTAAGGAAGAAAGAACAATGTCACACAAACTCTTCCAAAAATTGAAAAAGAGGGAAAACTACCCAAATTGTTTTATGAGTTCAGCATAATCTCGATACTAAAACTTGACAAGGACTGTCTAAGAAAGGAAAACTAGAGACCAATCTATCTTACAAACATAGATATAAAAAACAATAAAGTATTAGCAAATTGAATGCAGGAATATGTAAAAATAAAAGTATCTCATGATTAGAGTTCATTCTAGGAAGAGAAGTTTGAGTAATTTAAAAAAACAGCATAATTCACTATAACAGAATAAAAAAGTAATCACATGATCATCTCATAGATGCAGAAGAATTTGATAAAGTTTAATACCTACTTATGATTTTAAAAATAATAATCTCCTAGCAAAACAAAAACATAGGAACCATCTTTAACATGATAAAGTATGATAAAACATTATACTTAATTGAAAAATAGATTAGAAATAATTGAAAATGGAAGAAATAAAACTTTTGTGAGTTTATAATATACATATTATATGGTTATATATATTTATCATATACATAATATGTATATGAAAAATTATGTATATCAGATTTAATTTAATTTAATATGTAGGAAAGTATGGCAAAATATATTGGTTGAAACTAGGTGGTGAGTGCATGACATGTGTATTATTCATAACATGGTCTTGAACTCCTGGACCCAAAGGATCCTCCCACCTCAATCCTCTCAAAGTGTTGAGGTTACAGGCATGAGCCACCGTGCTTGGACAAAATGATTCATTTTAGTGTTTCAGGAAGAAGAATCAGTAATATTGGAATCAATAATACCAACATGATATCAAAACTCAGTAAGGCTCTAGAAGAAATGAACAATATTAGCAAACCTCAGGAAACGGGTGAATGTAGAACATTGTGCCCAAAAACTGTATTCTGAATAATATATATGTCATGCACCCACCATCTAGTTTCAACCAATATATTTTGCCATACTTTTCTAGGTATTAAAAATGTTTCATAATTCAAACTGTGATATAATTTTTAGCAAGAAAATAAATACTAAAATTTATCAAATATTGATAAAACTCTTCTCAGAGGTGTATTTATTACTATGTTTTCATCCCTATTGTTTCAGTCCCTATTGATGTCCCAAAATTTCTTTATCCCTGAAAATAATTTAATGTTTGACTAAAAAATAAATGTAAGTAACTAGAAATTTCAGAAACTTCATATCATACCTTACTTCATTTCTGCATATTGTTTCATAGATGCTTCATGGTAAATATCATGGTTAAGTGAAACATTTTACCACTTAAACATATATATATAAGTATTCTATTGTAAGAATTATGAAAACCAAAAGAAATTTTTTAATTTACCAAATTTAAAGTAACATTTTTTTATTTTCTGAATATATGTATGTTCATATATGCACGATATGTACATGTCTATACATATCATTATATAAGTATATATCCACATATATTTCCTCAATTTCTAAAGCAGAGCTAAATTATTGTTACTATTATTATTATTTTATTTATTTATTTTTTTGAGACAGGGTCTCACTGTGTCACTCAGGCTGGAGTGCAATGATGCAATCACAGCTCACTGAAGCCTTAACCTTCTGGGCTCAAGCAATCCTCCTGCCTAAGCCCTCCAAATAGCTGGGACTCCAGGTGCACCCCACCACACTCAGCTAATTTTTGTATTTTTTGTAGAGATGGGGTTTTGCCATGTTGCCCAGGCCTGGTCTCTAACTCCTGGGCTCAATCGATCTGCCCTCCTCAGCCTCCCAAAGTCCTGGGATTACAGGCATGAGCCAGGCGTCTTCCAAGTATCTACAAAGAATTTATAAAATCTTAGAAGCTGATCTACACTAGGAGAAAGTAAGTTTAAAGAGCTAGTTGAGATACTATAGTGTAATGGTTAATAGGCCAGATAGCAGTGATGAACTTTATTTAGCTTTTAATCTACACAGAGGAATGATAATATCAATATCCTAGGTTAGTTAGTTCTGAGGCTTAAAAGTGATAATGCACCTAAAGCTCTTTCTCAATATGTGTCAGTTTACTAGGAATAATTTTAACTCTGGGATAATTTATCAATAAAAAGGAAAGGACTGAAATGTGTAGAAACTGTTGCTTATGCAGCCTGACTCCAAAGGAAACAGCAATAGCAAAAAGACATCTAAAAGTCTTTTGCTTATTATTTTCAAGGACATTATCTGTACGAATGGAATTAAATACCTTTGTTTTATCTAGCTGTCTTACAAATTGAGACATTACTGTGCACATAGTGGGTGTCCAATAGTTATTAACTCTTAGTAACATTAATAACAAAATGTACCAATAATTGTATAGAGATTGCAGTCATGCCTGCAAAATGACTGATTCCTTTTTTTCGACAAGATTAAACCTTTAAACACGATTTTCCGAGTTGCACTTCAGGTTTATTGCAGAGCAACTTCACTGGAAATCTATAGATAAACTTTAGGTCCTAATGCCTCAAAATGTTTGGCTCAGTGCAAAATGTGGACATCATAAAATGATGTTGATTGATAAATGGGAGGTATCACTATTGCCTTCTCAAAATAAGCTAACATCTGTATATTAATTTCATAAAAACTCTTAGTGGAATTTTAGTCACCTAACCACCAACTATGGTTCCCCTATGTTGTATTATACATACATTTGAAAAAAAAAAGATATATATGGATATGCTTTATTGCTACCTTTAGCAAGATTGAAACAGTGTATCAAATTTTATTTTGGTAGTGGTTTTATTAGCTTTCTACCACTTGATCAGCTGATATCACTAATAATAAATATTTTTTATAAACTAGAGTTTGCAAGTCCTGTCCCGAGACTGTAATATTTCAAAAAACAGTCTAAGCTTTAGGGAAAAAACCAATTACAGAAACAGCATTAAAAATGCCAAGCACCGGGCAGAAGCAATTCTGGATCAGTTTAAAAAAGTGATTGATGAAACTCTAATCCAAGCTGAAGGAACAGTTTCACGACAAGCTGTGACCATTCCACACACTTCATTAGCTGCCATAATTAGCCTGGTGTTTCAATTTGTTAGAACTGGTGGGGACAATTTTCCTCAGAATGCAAACATCAAAAAACAGGGTCCCTCAGACTTCAGAAGAGGCTGATGAGAGGCTTCTCTAGTCTCTGTTAACTAAAAGATTAATTATTGCTGATGGGAGGCTGTGCTGTGATTGTCACTCTGTCTATGTGCATTACTTTTAGCATTAGAAGAAAGATATGGTTGACACTGCACTACTCAATCAATTTGAGTAGTGGGCTTCACATTAGAGCCCAAAGTCGCTTTTAATATCCAGGGTGTTTTTGATTGATTTTTCTTCCTGTTTCTAGGTCCAAGAGTCACACCTATTTATTTATATTAGAATTTTTAAATAGCCTCTAAAATACTGAGAGGCTTGGTTAATGTACTTTGTCCCAAGTCAGAGCTTTCTTCTTACTTTAGATCAGCAAAACAGTGATTTCATATACTTCTATGATTGTATAATGATTTCTCTCAACTATGTTTATAAACCTTCTAAGATGACAAATGTTTGAACCAACCTAGAAAGCTACTTCAATTTTACCTACATATTTAGAAATATAGAACTATAATCTTATCTCTCGATTAAGAGAATGTTCTCTGATTTTTTCACAACATAAATTTATGAAATCTAATCAAAAGGGATGGGAGGAAGGGACTCCTGCTTAATTTCCTTAGAACAAAAGTGATTTCTTTTTGTCTTTGGGCCACAGGCAAAACTAATCCAAAATAGATAGTATATATCTATAACAATTTCATTTAAAATGTCACCAGGGCCTTAATTTTTAATCCATTTGGATTTACTATTAGTTAATTATTTTCATTAAAATATTTTTAAAAGAAAAAAATTCACTTTATATATCTTTATGTATCATTTCTTTAATGGACCTATAATGAGCGAACTGGAAAATAGTTTAGTGAGATGTAGAAAACGCAGACATAGCTGAAGAAACTGGTGGTATTTTCAAGTTCTCTACAACACTAGAGGGCAAAAGTCTTAAAGCGAAAAAACATAACATCAGAGAAAAATGCTTGACTAAATTTCCAGAGGGAAATTTTCCACAGATTCTGCTAAAATCAAGTCCCTTCTATCCCCCAAAATTGGGCAAATATATCATCTAGAGCAGTGCTGTCTAATAGAAATACTATGTGGGCCGCAAATGAAATTTATTTTTCTAGTAGCCACATTAAAAATAGTAACAAGAAACAGAGAACATTAATTGTATGCTAATAAAATATTTTAACCCAAGATATCTATAATATCAGGGTAACATGCCACTAATATAAAAATATTAATATGTTACTTTTTAACTAAGGCTTCAAAATCCAATGTGTATTTTACACTTACAACACATCTCAATTCAGAACTCAATGTTTCAAGTGCTCAATAGCTTTATGACTATTATACCTGACCACACAGAATGTGTTTAGAGAATGTGGAGCTTTCTTTCTCCGGGAGCAGCTGTCTGCTATTTAGTAAACAGAGCAATTCTGGAATTCTACGGAGTTACATACTCAACAAATGGGACAAAGAGAAATAAAAGTACTTCTTTCTTAATAAATGTGCCCTGAAGAAATGCATATAGATTATGAGCACCCCCAAAATCAGTGAAGATAATGTAAGACTTAAGAAATAAACAGGCCCAAAAGGGAAAATGCAGATGGTAAAGGACCATGCACACCACTGAGACTGAGTATAGCTACACGCAGGGCCAGAAAGACAGCACCAATTCCCAGAGCAAAGCTGTAATGGTTAAACAAAAAAGACCATTTTCCTTAACTTTCATCAGAGTGCAAAATTCATCCAACATGCAACAGTATGGTTATATTGGTTTCCAAATGGAAATGCTTTCACTATTTTCAAATCTGTTAGTAAACAGCTGTTAACTCAAGCACCACCCCCAAATTACCCCACAGTGCAGCAATTAAAGAGTTAATATGTATCCCTGCAGGGAACCCCAGTATTACTGTCCATTCTGATTGTTTAGTACTTGGATATTATATTTAGCAAATATTTTAAATATGACTTGTGACTATAATACATACACAATTAGCTGGGCATATTGACCACAGTTAATTATCTAGCAAAGTTGTGGCTAATTTAGCCATATTACTGTTTTTAATCTCATCAATTTGCTTCTTCCCCAAATCTCAAGAAACATACTGAGAACCAAAATATCTAGATTCAGGAGCTCTAAACATTCATGCAGAAGACATATAGAAACTAGTCACATTTGAGTAGGCCAAGCCATTTGATATCCAAAAAATATTACAGGGATTACTTCTATTTGGGTACTGCACTGTGGGGAAGGCTTTACTCCCACAATTCTACATCTCTACTTTTTAATCTTTAATTTTTTTAAAGAGTGGAACATATACCCAAAATAACTCTTGTGGTTCATACATAATTTTCAAAATTATTGTTGAATAATTCATCTTAGTATTGTTAAATACAGAGAGAGAATCTTGAGGTTTAAATTATAAGATAGTAAAATAACTTCTTGAGTAGTGAAAATTGTACCATTAAAAACAAAATAATACAGCTGGAGCACTTCTGTCCTTTGTGAAAATACTTGAGAGGTCATAGCTCTTTGTCACAAAATATGGGAGGAGCCGAGAAGGCTGGAAATTAACCCAAATTTTGATTTGCTCCATCCAAAGACCTTTGCTTGGAAACATCTCATAATACAAACAAGAGAAGCCATAGGCCACTAGGGAGAAATCATGTGGCATGAAAATAAATGCTAGAGTTGATTTGTCACTTGGAAGAGTACAGTGGACATAGTACTTCTTTTTCTTCCAAATAGTTGATGTTTTGTAGCACGTCATAGAGTAAATGACAGAGTTAACATTTCCCTTCAGCATTCCCCGGAATGTATCTGACAGCAAACAACTCACAGCTTTTGTCCGTTTCTACTGGCATCATGACAGACAAATTCTTATTTTGTGAGCTCCTTTTAGAAACTATATAGGCTGTTTTCTTATTTTCAAAATGATTAAAAGTTATTTTGTTGAGCATAACTTCAGATGGAAGAAAAATCTTGAAACTTTATATCCAAGTAGAGTATCTGCAACCTTGGAAACACATTTGGTTTTGCTGTTTGGTGAAAAAAGTTTCACATGCCATTTTGACCATTCTATAACTGCCCGACAGATTCTTCCTGCTCACTGCACAAAGACCACAGCATTACAGTAAAGAGAGTTTAATTCACGCAAGGCCAGCCATGTGAAATGGGAGACAGAGTTAGCACTCAACCTCCTTGAAGGTTCCTAGGTTAGGCATTTTTCAAAGGTAGTTTAGGGGTGGCTAGGCAATGGGTGCTTGCTGCTGATTAGGTGGGGAGTACAATCATAGGGGTGTAGGAAATGATCCTCCAGTGAGCTGAATCGCTCTGGGTGGGGAAACAGGAGAGGCTGGAACCATTGGTCAGTGGGTCCAGGTGGAGCCATGGGTTGTCAGACATGCAACAACTTGAAAAGATATCTCAAAATGCCAGTCATAGCTTCTACAATAGTGATGTTATCTACAGGAGTAATCGGAGAAGTTGCATATTTTGTGACCTCTGGAATAGTGGTTGGCAATCATTTATGCCTACACCTTAACAGAATTCAGGCTCCTCTCCTGCTCCTAGCCTGGTAGTCTCTCATTAGCTTCACAAAGGCAGTTGAGTTTTGGAGAAGGTCTATTATAATTTATCAGGACAGCATGGTAAGAAGAGTTCATCCATGTATTGACTTACTTAGAAAATTTTATTGTTATTCAATGCACTATGGTTATTCAATGCACTACGGTTATTCAATGCACTAGGGTCACGTTATGCCTTGTGCTACAAATTCACAAATCCTTTTGAACAAATTCTTAATCTAGAAAATAAGATTAGAGATAGATAAATACGCCAGCTAATTCTGGAGGAAGTCCTTTGTAGGCTAAAGTGCAAAATGAAAATTTGTTAATTTCTATATAAGCAGAAATCTCTGAACATCCTATTGAAATTAACTCCAGCTTCAAGGTCCCTAAAATGATACATGGATTCACTAACTTTCAGCTGTTACAGACTACATCAACAATGCAGACCCCGAAACACATAAATGCAATGACTTAAGTACAAAGGAAATGAAATGACATGAGTTCAACCAAGAGATTTCTTGGAAAACTCATATAGTCACATGGTCCTTAACAACAGGGATACATTCTGAGAAATTTGTCACTAGGCAATTTACTCATTATGTGAACATCATAGAGTACACTTTCACAAAGCTAGATGGTATAATCTACTACACACCTGGGCTATACGGTATAGCCTATTTCTCCTAAGCTATATACCTGTATGGCATGTTCCTGTACCGAATACTGTAGGCAACTGTAACACTATTATAAGTATCTATGTATCTAAACATATAAAAGGTACAGTAAAAATACAGTGTGAAAGATAAAAAGTGGTACACTTGTATAAGGCACTTACTATGAATGGAGCTTACAGGACTGGAAGTTGCTCTGAGTGAGTGGTAAGTGAATGTGAAGGCCTAGGACGTTAACGTAGACTTCATATATAAACACTGTACACTTAGACTACACTAAATTTATAAAAATATTTATCTTTCTTTAATATTATAATAAACTAGACTTACCTTACTGTAACTTTTTTACTTTATACACTTTTGAATTTTTTTAACTTTTCACTCTTTTCTAATAACAGCTTAAAACATGAACACACTGTACAGCTGTACAAAAACATTTTTCCTTTATATCCTTATTCTATAAGCTTTTTCCTGTTTTATTTTTAACTTTTTAAAATTTTTGTTAAAAAATAAGACATAAATACACACATTAGCCTAGGCCTACACAGGGTCATGATCATCTACGTCACCATCTTCCACCTCCATAGCTTGTCCCACTAGAAGGTATCTTGGGGCAATAACACACATGGAGCTGTCATCTCCTAAGATAATAATGCCTTCTGGATACCTCCTGAAAGACCTGCCTGATGCTGTTTTCAGTTAACTTTTTTCTAAATAGAAGCAATACACGCTAAAATAACAATAAAAATTCTATTATAGTAAATATGTAACCCAATAACATAGTCATTTATTATCGTTATCAAGTATTATGTATTGTACATAATCATATGTGCTATACTTTTATATGGCTGGTAAAGCAATAGGTTTATTTACACCAGCATCACCCCAGATGTGTGAGTAATGCAATGTGGCACGACATCTCTACGTGATGTTTAAGCTTCCTTATAATCTTATGGGACTGCCCTTGTATTTGCAGTCTATTGTTGACTGAAACGTCATTATGTGGCGGGTGACAATATTTCTTAACTTTAGCTTCTGCTCTCTGATAAAGCAAGTTATTGGAGTTCTAATTCCATTTGACACTACATACCTAAGTAAATTATTATTTTTAGCCCTTGTTGCCATTAGAGCAAAAACACTGAAATCAAATTAATGTTAGAGATAAATGCATTGTTGTACAAAATGGTTACTACAACATTTCAACTTTTTATTCAAGTAAACAATAGCAGTGTTCTCATTAAATTTTACTTTTATACAATTTCATGTCTTTACTTGCAAAATTTGAATTTTCTAAAAGGTCAGATGTCAAAATCTATCTATTAATTTGACATTTTTAAGATTATTTCTGAAGAAAATAGCAGTTTCCTGAATTAAACTGAAAACCCACTTTGCCACTCTGTATATTAAATCAAACTCCGCATATAAAATAAGTACCAGAACTAAAGTCGGCAAAAAGATTTCCAACAAAGGAAAATGAAACCAAATGGTTAAGTGAAGGAAGGTAGTGACTTGACTTATACTAGTGATCTGGTGTGTCCATATAGGTGGGCAAGCCTTGAACACAAAAGCCCAAGCCCATAGGCATGCACTCGTAATATCTGATTTATCTGACTTGCATCACTCTTATTAACGCTATCCCTCCTTAGAGAATATAATTACACTGTAGAGAATCATTTTTACATGTAAGTTTCAATATGAGAGAGATGGTTCTTTGGTTACTTCTTCTCCAGTTGATGACAACTTTCCTGAATGTGGGTGTGTGTTTATACTTGTGCATGAAAAGACTAGCAAGCTCTATGGGACAAAGGCAGACAACATGTATAGCCGATATACTTTTTGCTAATGAGTTCTGAAGGTAAGCAGCTTTTTGATTCTGACTTTTAAAAACCAAAACTAAGCATACTGTCATCTCTTATGAGGTCATGATATATAATAATGATGAAAATTATTATCTACAGAAATTTAAAATATATATTGAAAAAACAGGCAGTTGAAACTGTCTTTGCTTTGAAATAATAGACTTTTCTGAAGCAGTGTGTTATAAGTACTCAACAGCAGAAAGAAGCTTTTTTGAAAGTAAACTTTTTTTTTTTTCTTTGAGACGGGGTCTCACTCTGTTACACAGGCTGGAATGCAGTGGTACAATCCCAGCTCACTGCAGCCTCGATCTCCCCAGGATCAGGTGATCCTCCCATGTCGGCCTCTCAAGTAGCTGGGACTACAGATGCGCACTGCCACAGCCAGCTGACTTTTCTATTTTTTGTAGAGACAGAGTTTTGCAATGTTGCCCAGGCTGGTCTCAAACTCCTGGGCTCAAGTGGTCCACCCACCTCGACCTACAAAAGTGCTGGGATTACAGACATGAGCAACTGTGCCCAGCCAAAAGTAAACTTTATTTTTATGTGAGAATGTCATAAAAAGTCAATCCTTAAAGCCACTATTGATTACTTTAATGCTACTAAGCCAAACTTTATATTAATATGGTAGCTACATTCTGTGATGATTTTCATCATAGAACACCAAATGCTTAACATTTGATACCTGAAAATCTCCCAATCTGACAAATTAATGTAACTTCAGATCCATTTTTATTGTCAGCATTTATGTCTATTATAGATCAATAAGATGAGAATTAGAAAGTTAAAGCATGTGAAATTTTATCTGTCATGTTTTGGGGTAAAAAGAAAATATGTTAGTTGTGAACATATCTAATATAGTCTACCACTGTTTTCTGGTATATTTTTAGAATTTTTAATGTACTTTGAATTTTAGGGAACACTAGCCATGAACATGGAAACTTACTTTATAAACTAAGCATACATTTTATATGTGGTATTTTGTACTTCTTTAATTATGTTATTAGAACTGGAAAGTAGATAAGGATTTTTCAGATTAAATTACTTCTACCCTTTGGACATTATTTATGTATATTAAATGTCAAAACTAAAATGACACATGATTTCTAAATGCAATTAGCAAAACAATATCCACTGCCTCAAAAATTACAAAGATAAATGAAGCTTCAGATTCAAACAGGTATAATTTCAAATTCTATTTATTTCTTTTAAAAGTACTATTTTCAAGAAAATGTTAACCTTTTAAAATGGTTTATAGGATTCAGTCATATGAATTTCTACTGAATATGTTGACAAATAAAATAGAAATAGTTTTTAAAGGTAATACACATATGACATAAAAGTGAAGGAAACAAGTATATGGTAAATGCTAATTGTTCTTCATTACTGCCATAATAAATGTCATCCTGATCTATAGCTTTAGGTGGGTGAGCCACAAAGAAATTTGGACAGACATGCTTCCAGTCTTCTAATGGCAAATCATTAGATTCATACACAAACAAATGCAGAAGGAATACATAATAAAAATAATTAAAACACTGAATAAATGTACATCAATTATATTTTATTTGCCATAAGAAAATATATTTTTGGAGTAGGCCTTTTTATAAAGGGATTTGATCTTTTAAATACTAATTAAACTTGCTAGTCATATATAGCTTGAGCAAGATGCAGTTAGGAGAGGCATTCCTAAGGAAGGAGATAGAGAAAATGAGTATGCTTCCCTAGTATTTGGCATAATTTGACCAACTGTGTCGATGCAAGGAATTTAGAAGAGACCAGGTGTCAGGGAGGAGATGAAGAGTTCTATATTGAGCATATTAAGAGTGAACGTCTCTGGGATAAGCAAAGAAAACAGCTGAAAGAGTAATATGGCAACATTCTTTTCTCTAATGCTGCTTACAGGCAAGTTACATGATTAAATGAAGAAGGTAGGCAAAGTAAGACATTTGTAACACAATGGACAAATGACAATGCATTGCTAGTTAGACAGCATAATAACTACCATCTAATTTTCTCTTTAGAATCCATTTCTTCTTCAAAGCCCTAGATCATCATCAAAGGACTACATTTTCTAACTGAGGAATTACAGGAGAGGAAAAGCCAATTTTATTAAATACTCCAATTGTTATGAGCAAACCCTTTGCAAATAGCTCCTGGAATAGATTTAATAAGAAAGTAAGGTAAACATTTGTATCCTTAAAACCAATAGTGCAAACTATTTTCACTATTTTTATTCCTTTATAATATTTAATTAATATTCTTAAAGTCACTTGCTGCCCAAGCTATCAAATTATCACTTCCTAGTCATTTGGCAATTCACATTTGTTAACCTTTTAACTTGTAAACAGATTTAAATTTTTCTCTAATAGCTTAACCTTACAACAGTCACCTAAAAAGTAACTTGTAAATTAATTCAGAGTTAATAACACCGTTATCAATCTGGCATTTATATGACAGATGTTACAAATGGCAGCATTCTCTAATCAGCCTGGAAGTATGGCCTGGAAGTATGGCTTCCAGGCTCTTCTAAGAATAAATATGAATGTGTAACTAAATAATTCCATGAAGAACTTGTTTAGGAGAAAATATATTGCATTTAGGCAGAATTTGGAAAATACTCAGTTAAGTATATCACAATAAAATGAATCTATGAGAATAATTTTTTGCACTGGAACACTTCCTTCAAGGGAATTTTTAAGCAGGAAGCCCAGGATTTGACACAGATGAATGGAGCCCTGTTTGAGTCGAGGAGATGTTCAGTACAGGGCTCAGGATGCTGAGTGCTTGTTGGTGCACATTATGTAAAGTGATATGAAGTGATCAAGCAATGCAAAATTTAAAAAAGAATTTGACTGTCATTTTTATGGTCTATATACTACTGGATTCCTTTGCCTTTTTGTAGAAGGTTAAAAAAATATTACACACCAACTTGGGGATTTACCAAAAATAATTTTCAAAGAGTTGCTTGTTACATTCTGATATAAAATTGAATGGAAGATACAAAATGATATGAGATGAATCTATAAATTCACATCTGACTTGCAAATAAGCTTTCACATATTTGCCTTAGAAGTAATAAAAGTTGGATGTTTTATAGATTTAAATATCAATATTTAATTTTTTGAATAAATTTTATTGTGTATATTTGAGGTTTACAACATTAGTTTAGGGGATACATATAGATAGTAAAATGTTTACTATAGTGAGTAGATTAATATATCTCTCATCTGACAGTTACTTTTTTATTTTTGTGACAAGGGCAGCTAAAATCTACTTATTTAAGAACACTCCCTAATATAATTTTATTAACTTTAGCCCTTATGTTGTACATTGGCTCGCTGGACTTTCATCCTATATATCTGCTATTTTGTATCTTTTGACCTATATATAAATATATATGACCTATATTTCTCTCGCCACCCCAATCCCCTCCCCATGCCCATGTTAATCATTTTCTTTCATGCTCTATGTGTATTTGAGCTCGTTTTAAAATATATCTTTTTTTCACATAAGTGAGTAAATGCAGTATTTTTTTTTTTTTTTTTTTTTTTTTTTGAGATGGAGTCTCGCTCTGTCACCCAGGCTGGAGTGCAATGGTGCAATCTCGGCTCACTGCAACCTCCACCTGCTGGGTTCAAGTGATTTTCCTGTCTCAGCCTCCCAAGTAGCTGGGATTACAGGTGTGGGCCACCATGCCCGGCTAATTTTTGTATTTTTAGTAGAGACGGGGTTTCACCATTTTGGCCAGGCTGGTCTTGAACTCCTGACCTCAGATGATCCAGCCTCCTTGGCCTCCCAAAGCACTGGGATTACAGGCGTGAACCACCATGCCCGACCGAATGCAGTATTTTCTTTCTGTGTCTGGCTTAGCATGGACTTCAGGTTCATTTATGTTGTGCTAAATGGCAGGATCTTTTTCTTTTATAAAGCTTTTTAAAATAATAATATATATCTCACATTTTCTTTATCTATTCATCCTTTGATGAACATTTAGGTTGTTTCCATATCTTGGCTATTGTGAATAATGCTGCAATGAATGTAGAAATGCAGATACCTTTACAATGTGGTAATATCTTCTCCTTTGAGTATATACACAGAAGAGAAATTGCTGGGTTATATGGTAGTTCTATTTTTAATTTACTTAGGAATCTCTGTGTTGTTTTCCATAATGGCTGTTCCAATTGGCATTCCATCAACAGTGTACTAGGGTTCCCTTTTCTCTACACCCTCACCAACATTTGTTATCTCTTATCTTTTTGATAACGGCCATCCTTAGAGATGTGAGGTGATATCTCAGTGATTTGAATTTGCATTTTACTGATGATTAGTAATACTGAGCATCTTTTAATGTACCTGTTGACATTTTTATATCTTCTTTAGAGAAATGTCTGTTCATATTCTTTGCCCACTTTTTAATTGGCTTATTTTTCTTGCTGTTGAGTTGTAAATGTTCTTTATAAAATCTGAATATTGACCCTTATCAGATGAGTGGTTTGCAATTTTTTTCCCCAGTTTGTAGGTTGCCTTTTCATGTTGTTGATTGTTTCCTTTGCTGTGCAGAAGCTTTTTAGTTTAGATTTAGTTTAGTTTGAAGCTTTTTAGTCCCATTTTATTTATTTTTGTTTTGGTAGCCTTTTTTTTTTGGTGTGATATTCAAAAAATCATTTCCAATGTCAATATCAAAGAAGTTCTACCTATATCCTCTTCTAGGATTTGTATAAATTCAGATGTTACATTTAGGTCTTTGATCCATTTTAAGTTGGTTTTTATGTATGGTAAAAAATAGCATCCAATTTCATTCTTTTGCATTTGGAAATCCAGTTTCCTTGCATCATTTGTCAAAGAGACTATCAGTTCCCCACAGTGTCCTCTTGGTGCCCTTGTCAAAAATTAGTTGACCACATATGTTTCAATTTATTTCTGGGTTCTCTATTCTGTTCTGTTGGTCTATGTTTCTGTTTTTATGCTAGTACCATACTGTTTTGATTATTGTAGTTTTGTAATATAACTTTAAATCAGAAAGTATGATGTCTCTAACATTGTTTTTATTCATACTGCCTTGAATATTCAGGTTTCTTTTGTGGTTCCATACAAATTTTAGGATTTTTGTTTTCTCTTTATGTGAAGAATGTCATTATAATTTTTTTAAGTTCCCAGGTACGTGTGCCAAATGTGCACATTTGTTACATAGGTAAACGTGTGCCCTGTGGTTTGCTGCACCTATCAATCCATCAACTAGGTATTAAGCCCAGCATGCATTAGCTTTTTTCCCTAATGCTCTACCCTCTCCCTGCTCTCTCCCAACAGGCCCCAGAGTGTGTTGTTCCCCTCCCTGTGTCCATGTGTTCTCATTGTTCAGCTATCACTTATGAGTGAGAACATGTGGTGTTTGGTTTTCTGTTCCTGCATTAGTTTGCTGAAGATAATGGCTTCCAGCTTCATCCATGTCCCTGCAAAGGACATGATCTCATTCCTTTTTATGGCTGCATGGTATTCCATGGTGTATATATACCACATTTTCTTTATCCAGTCTATCACTGATGGGCATTTGGGTTGATTCCATGTCTTTGCTATTGTGAGTAGTGCTGCAATGAACAGACACATGCATGTATCTTTATAACAGAATGATTTATATTCCTTTGGGTATATGCCCAGCAATGGGATTGCTGGGTTAAATCCTGGATGTGTTTCCGGTTCTAAATCTTGGATGAATTGCCATGTTGTCTTCCACAATGGTTGAACTAATTTACATTCCCTCCAACAGTGTAAAAGCATTCCTATTTCTCTGCAGGCATTATAATTTTAATAGAAATTGTCTTAAATGTGTATATTGCTTTGGGTAGTATGGACATTTTAACAATATTAATTCTTCCTTTGCATAAACATAGGATACCTTTCCAATTATTTGTTTCTTCTTCAATTTCTTCCATTAATGTTTTATAGTTTTAGTAAAAATATTTAATTTTTATATTAAAGCATAAACTTTAATATAGAAAATGAATTCATGTTAATAAAGGGCAAATTAATCTTTTAAATATCAGTTTTTCCAAATGGCTTTTATTCTAATACACCATGAAAACAGAGCTAATAATGTATAAATTTTAAATGAGATACAGAGAGCATTAGAGATTTAGAATATCACTATAACATAAGTAATCAAAATATACCAGTAGACTAGAAAAAGACATAAAAAAGATCACTAAATATAATAAAAGCTAAAGCGTATGCTGTTTACCATGTTGAGTATAGTTTATATAGTCCTCCATCATCAGAAAAACACTGTAAGGGAAGTAAAATATTTTCCCCTTTCCACAAATTAGAAAATTAAGGTACAGAGAATTTAAATAACTTGCTTAAAATTATGTACCTATCTGGAATTTGAACCATAAAATCTCACTTCGGAATGCAATTTCATAATTATTATGTTTTAATGCCTTGAGTTTCACATGTAGTGATTTTAATGACTGCTTTGAAATTGACTATTGGGTTGAAAAGATAAATCTTTCTCTAATTGGTAAAATATCATATTTAGAAGTTAGTTATAAGTAATAAGCCCATAAAAATACCAACCCTCACTATGACTATTTAAAATCATTCTGGATATATTAGTTAATGGAATTAACCAAAACACTAAAGTAGAATATAAATATCAGAAATAAAGAAACAAAATTATCTTGAGTTTCAGATAATTATATACTTGGAAAACCCAAGAAAATCAACAGATAAATAATTAGACCTATTAAAAATGTTCAAGAATCTTTACAGTAACTGTTACAGACTAAATTGTGTACTCCCCAAATTCATATAATAAAGCTCTATACTCCAATGTGACTATATTTGGGCCTACAAAGAGATGATAATAATGGTTAAGTGAGGTCATAAAGCTGGAACTTTAAGTTGATTGGGCTGCTTCTTAATAAGAAGAGGAAGCAACACCAGAGATATTTCTGTCTCCATTTGTACATACAAAAGAGGCCATGTGAGGACACAGGTGAGAAGACTTCATCCACAAGTCGGGGAAGAGAGACCTCACCAGAAACTGACCCTGAGCTTGGAGTTAGAGCCTGCACAATTGTGGTAAAATAGATGTCTTGTTAAAGCCACCCATCTGTAGTATATTGTTACAGCAGCCTGAGCAGACTCATATAGTAACAAAAATACATATAAATAATGAAAGTTACTATATAACAAAAGCCAGCTAGAAAATAAATAAGAGCTTTCCCACAATAACAATAAAATATAAATTACTTAGGAATAAATCTAACAACAAATGTGTAGAATCTACATGAAGAAGACTACAATTTTTATTGAGAAACATAGTGTGTTCTTGGAAAACAAAGCTCAATTCACTAAAATCAAGGAAATGTTAGTTCAATTATTAATTTCATACTTATGTGATTGGTAAAACTTTTAGGTTAATAATAAATGTTAGAAAGAATGTAGACTATATCCCTGCTGTAGACTAAATATGTACTTTGGAAAATGGATATGAAACAAATTTAAAGATGTAAATATCCTAAAATCCAATAATACTTTTCTTTCATACATACACCAGGAGATATGTAACATAACATATATGTATATGTTATATAATTACATATAACCAACATAATATTCATATTAGCGTGATTTATCAGAGTAAAAGGCTGATTACCAAACCAGATTAATCTTTAGTAAAATTGATAAATTGTGGCAAATTCATGTGTAGAATATTTTACACGAGTGAAAAAGAATGAAATGCAGCTACACACAATGAGTGTTCTGTATAAAAAGTTTTTATAAAAACAAAACAAAAAAATGACATGGCATGATTTACACATTCACATAAATACTTTTACATGTATATTACTTGTTCTGTATATTTTAGGAACTTTTAATATATTTCTATTTATATGAATACAAAAAAGAACAGTTTTATTCTTCTGAATTCTTTTGGCATTCTTATTGATTCCACCTTTTCTGTTCTTAATTAGAGACAGCCACTATCCTGAATTTTTTAAATGATTTCTTTGCTTTTCTCTATACTTTTACTGCATATGTTTTTATTCCTAAATAATAGTTTGTTTTGTATATTTTAGGAATTTTTAATGTATTTGTATTTATATGAATATATGTATTCATATAAATAAATACATTTGTATATGTATTGAATTTATATGAATGCAAATATTCATATGTATATAAATGTATTTATATTTGAATTGTATGTATATGTATGTGTATTTTATACATATGCATATGAAAGAAAATTATACATATGCATATGAAAGAAAAGTATTATTGTATTGTAGGATATTTACATCTTTAAATTTGTTTCATATCTGTTTTCCAAAGTACAAATTTAGTCTACAGCAGGGATACATTCTTTCTAACATATATTATTAACCTAAAAGTTTTACCAATCACATAGGTATGAAATTAATGACTGAACTAACATTTCCTTAATTTTAATGAATTAAGCTTTGTTTTCCAAGAACACATTATAAAATATATATACATATGAATTTATACATATTTGTATAAAGTACATGAATATATGAATACAAATACATTAAAAGTTCCTAAAATATACAAAACAAACTATTATTTAGGAATAAAAACATATACAATAACAGTATAGAGAAAACCAAAGAAATCATTTAAAAAATTGAGGATAGTGGCTATCTCTAATTAAGAACAGAAAAGATGGAATCAATAAAAATGCCAAAATACTTTGGAAGAATAGAACTGTTCTTTTTCTAAACTGATGGAGAATTTATTGTACAATTATTTTTTAAGTAATATTCTGGTATTCTATACCTACTTGACTCATAATGAAGATAATTTTAAGTATATATAGTATACAAAACTGTGAACATAATATATAAAAGAACAGAGTTAATCAACATAAAATACTAAAAATTCAACAAAATATCCCAAAGTAAATAAAATAGTAACTAAGTGAAATGAATAATAAAATAATGGAATTGCTAATTATGGGGAAATGACAGAACAAATGATATCAAGAAAACTTAGTAGCTATTTGGAAAATAGCACTAGTAAGTCCTTACCTATCAATAATTACCTTGACTGTAAATGGATTAAATTCTCCAGTTAAAAGACCACAGAGTGGCTGAATGGATTTTAAAAAAGAGACCCAACTATATGCTGCCTACAACTATGAGCTGCTTACAAGAGACTTACTTTACCTGTAAGGAAACAAACTGAAAGTGAAGGCATGGAAAAAGTTATTCCGTGAAAATGGAAACCCAAAGAAAGCAGGAGTATTGATACTTGTATCAGATAAAATAGTAAAACAGTAAAAAGAGACGAAGAAGTTCATCATGTAATGATAAAGGGGTTAATTCAGCAAAATGATATGACCATCAAAAAATATATGCACCCGACAACAGAGCACTTAAATATATAAAGCAAATATTAAAAGATCTAAAGAGAGAGATACACTGCAATACAATAACAACAGGAGACTTCAGCACCCCATTTTCAGCAATGAACACATCATCTAGGCAGAAAATCAACTAAGAAATATTAGATTTAAACTGTACTATAGACCAAATGCATACATGACCTTGAGAAGAAATGAGGAGATTCCTTGGAAGAAAGAATTGACAAGGAAGTACAAGTCCAGTGAGGGTAGTGGTTAGCATTTTTCCCATGGCATTTCCTTGTCCACAGAGTCCTGAGTCTGGGTATAACCTGCCACATGCTAAAAAAATAGATGCTTAGAACTAGAGCAGAGTGAAAAATTAAACTAGAGAGCCCTATATAAAACTGGAACTCCTAAAAAACAACATTCTCAGTTGGTGAACTAGAAAAAGAAAAAGACTTTTGTAGGGAGAATTTGAGCATATCTACCCATTCCGTTCTTAGTTCTGGACTGAGTAAAGGGCAGGAAAGAAGTCTTTCCTGAGAGTTCCTAACCACGAACTTGTACTCTTGTAGGTTTGGACCCTGATTCATATAACCAGGTAAAAATATCAGATCAAAATTTAGTTTTCTATGTTCCTAGGTGGGGAGTGTCACAAGGCACTTAGCAGAACCAAACAAAAAATGTCTCTGAAAAAATGCACTTTAAAGCTGGTTTCAAAAAATTCCCACATATAAAGTTCCAATGAACAAAAACTCACAAACATTTTAAGACAAAAAATGATAAAAACAAAAATTGAAACATAACAAAAAGAAGGGAACAGGTTAAAATCAATTATGCATGAGAGTTGATGGAAAAACTTTAAAATTAGATAAATAAATACTTGGGATTATTGACAGTGAATATATAACATCATATATTTAAAGAAAAAGGGAATTAAAAGTATGAAAACTAAACAAGCAACTATCAGTTGAGCAGGCTGACTTGAAAAAGAATGAGGTAGAACTTTCATATACATATATAAAAAAAATAGAAAACAGAAACCCATACATTAAAAAACATAGTACAAACAACTGAATTTTAAAAAGGAAAATAGTTCTAATAAAAGTATATAAAAATCAGCAAAAAGAGACAAAGAAATGAAAAATATAAAATATATATTTATTTTATATATATATATAGATATACATCATATCATTATATATCATATATAGAAGATATGGCTAATTCGAGCAAATATTAGAGAAGAGCACTATTTGAAGATATAGTGGCTAAGATTTTTCCAGTTTGGTGAAAGACACCACAGATTAAGCAACCCAAGGAATCCTAGGCAGGATAAATAAAAACAAAATCTATACCTAAAGGAAGAGTTCATATAGTAATTAGAAAAATAGTAAGAAAAAGACAAACTCGTGAACAGAAATATGAGCAAAAGATATAAAAAAACATGTCTTTTAGAAAAGAGCAAGTGGTCAATAAATGTCTAAAAAGATTTTTAGAATAAATTGTTATCAAAACAATGTAAGTTTTTAAAAGAATTTTACCTATTATAAAATTAATGATAATAAAAAATATTCAGTGTTGATGAGAATGTAGAGAAATAAAAATTCACACAAATGGTTGAAAATGCAAATTAGTTTAATCTTTCTGCAAGACATTTGGGAAGATGGATCAAAAGTCTTAAAAACGTGCATACTCATTAACCCAGGGTTTCTCACAGGTGGCATAATTGACATTTTAGGTAGATAATTCTTCACTGCAGGGGGCTACCCTATGCATTGTAGAAAGTTTAGCAATCCCTAGTCTCTCTCTATCCTTTAGATTGCTGTAGCCTCCTTCATTAAGTTGTGACAATCAAAAATACATTGCCAAAATCACAAAATCACCCCTTGTAGAGAGCCACTCATTTAACCTGTTATTCCCATTTCTAGGAACTCATTTCTAAGGACATACATTTTGTGGCAGAGTTTGCGCCCCTTGCATGAGTGCTCCCCTTAGCATTACTTCTGAATCTGAAATTTTGGGAAATTAATTTAAAAGACAAATTAATATAAAATCGGAGGATACCAGTTAAATAGTGATATCCACATAACAGCATAATTAATGCTAAACATCTTCTATCTTAAAAAATAAAAGATACATTACCCCATATCTCCCTACAGCTATTCCTCTCTCTTCTCCCACTCACAGCCAAACTTATTCGAATTTTTATCTACACTTGGTATCTCCTTTAAAATTTACCTAATCGAACCAACTCTAGTCTCCCATATTGTCATTGAATCAACTCCTGCTAAGTAACCAGTGACCTTCATTTTGCTAAATCTATGGGGCTTTTTCACTGTTCATTTTATTTGACTTCACAGCACCATTTAACATGGCTCATCACTCCTTTATTCTTATTGCATTATCTTTCCTTGACTTTTTTGATAAGCATATTCTCTTAGCCTTCCTCACATTTACCTGCCTCCTTTACAGGCTCATCCCACTTCGGATGGCCATTAGATATTGGCATTCCTCAAAACTTCTCCTAGCGCTCCTCTTTTCTTATTCTGTGTTCCCACTCTAGGAAATTTCATCCAGGCTATTGTTTGGATATAATCTCTTTATCTCCACAAAATTTCATGTTGAAATTTGATCCCAGTGTGGCGATGTTGAGAGATGGGGCCTACTGGGAGGTGTTTGGATCATGGGGACAGATCCCTCATGAATGGCTTGGTGCCACTGCATTCTAGCAGTAGTGAATGAATTCTTGCTCTCATGAGATGGGATTGGTTCTGGGGGATTGGATTAATTGGGATGCCCCTCAAGCTTGGTCCCTCTTTGCACATGCCTGCTTTGCCCTTAACCTTCTCTGCCATGTTTTAATGCAGCACAAAATCCCTCACGAGAAGCTGAGCAGATGCCAGCAGCATGCTTCTTGTGCAGCCTACAGAACTATGAGCTAAATAAGCGTCTTTAAAAACTACCCGGCTTCAGGTATTCCTGTAGATAGCAACAAAAAAATAGACTAAGACAATCTGCTTTCATGGTTTCAATTATTATTTATGAACCAAATATATTCAATTTTGTGATTCTAGTAAAGGCTGTTGTTCCAAGCAATGCACCTCTATATTCAGTTATATTCTATTCTATATTTTATTTGACATATCTAATTGGATGAGTTAAAGTCATTTCAAACTCAAACATGTTCAAGATTGAACTCAAGGATTCTTCTCTGTAACTGACTTCCAATTTTAGCCCTTTTCTTCTTTTCCCAGTCTCAATGAGTAATACCATTCATCTAGTAGCCTTTTGCAGAAAGTTAAAAGTAATCAGAAAACATCATACTCAATCCATTTTCAAGTTTTAACATTATCTGCATTCTTAATACTTCTAAAGTTAATTCATATCTCTCCAAATCCACTGCCATTCTTGTAGAACAAACTACATTAAATATAATTTGGACTACTGCTCACAAACTTGTCTCTTCTCCATTCATTCTGGCCTCTCTAAAATTCAGTATCCACATTGTATCCAGAGAAAACTTCTTAAAAACATAAACCTCACTTTTTCAATCCTTGCTTAAAACCTTTTAACTCTCCTAGCCTAAAGACTAATTGTTTAGGATAGTCTAGCGGGTACCTGCATATTCTATATCCGGCCAGATCTCCAGTCTTATCATCTAACATCTTTTTCCTTATTCTCTCAACTTCAGCCCTGATAACCTTTTGAAATTGGAAAGCTCATGTTCCTTGAGAATTGAAAGTCCATATTGTCTGCAATCACAGGTGTTTAGCACTTACTGATCCTTAGGGTTCTTTACTATCCAGTCTTATCGATATATGACCTTTTTCTCTGGGGTATTTAAAACAGTGATTAATTTACATTCTAAATTGTCTAGCATACTTCCTGCCTCATAGAAGGTGTTCAGTATTTGTTGAATGACTAAAGACAACTGTTGCTAAATATGACCTTCAAGGAGTTTTAGCTGGCCTTAAGAAAATGGAAGCTGCCTAAATCCAAATCTCTCCATACATCATAATATTATCAAGGAACACAAAAAAACTATACATGACACATACCTTCAGCCTTACTAGGAAATAAAGAATAGAAATCTCAAGTTACTTATAATTAAAGAAAGAAGCATCAAATTCTAAGAGTTAATACAGTAGCTTTCCTCATTGTTGCAAACCTTTGGGTGTAAAATGCAAGGGGAGAGAAAGCTTACTAAAGGTTATAGGAGGAGGTGAGGGGCACAGAGAACACTGATAAAATAACCTCCAGGAAGATAAATTTCAAAACTAAGTGTTAAAAGGCTAAACACAGGCCTGTGACTTGATAGTTCATGGCATCAACTATAGAGAAGAGCATTGAATCTGAAGCTATTGCTTCTAGGGAAGAGAGAGATAGAGAGAGAAAGATGCACCTTTGAGTCAGAAATGAAAGAAGGAAGTAAAAGTGGAAAAAAAAGGATCCTGCAGGAATAAAACCACAAGACATCAACTCCCTCTTCTTCCCTACAACATTATTTTATTAAAGAAACCAAATTTACCATACTAACAGAAAAGTATGTACTTGACCTAGGAACTCTGTCCATAAAATAAAGAAAATAAGCAAAATAGAACCTCATTAAAAAGTCACTGTGAGAAAAAAAAAATCAAAGTGAGAATTCAAATGTTTCAGCAAATGAAAATTCCAGAAAACAATAAGAAAACATTTCAAATTGAATTAAATATTCTCAAACAAAAATTAAGAAATAGTTTATATAAAAGCTCACAAACTAAGAACAGAAATGTACCCAAAACCAGAAAGACATGCAGGAAACTTATTTAAAGCCAGGAAAGAAATTGAGGAAAAAGACAAAACCATATCAGATATGAAAAGTAAATTCTATATGGCCCAAAGGAAATAGATTTGAATACAAATTTAAAAGAAAGCCAAAAAAAAAAAAAAAGGAAAATGAAATAAGTAATATGGGTGAGAGAGAAAAGGGTTAAAGTGGAAGATAGGCAAAGAAAGATTCAACATTAAATATAATTAGAGTCTTTAAGATGATAAACAAAACAGTAAAAAAGAATATTTAAAACTATAATCTAATAAATATTTCCAGAAATACAGGAAAGCTTTAAATCTACATATTGAAAGGAACCACTATGTACCTGAAAAATTTTAAACTAAAATGATAAACTGTAAGCCATCAAACTAACACATATATGATGATGTTCCCATAAGATTATACTTTACAGTATGGTTTTTAACTGTATTTTTACTGTAATTTTTCTATATTTAGATACATTTATATACACACTTATCATTGTATTACAACTGTCTACAATATTCAGTACAGTAACATGTACAGGTTTTTAGCTTAGGAGCAGTAGGCTATACCATATACCGTAGGTCTGTAGTAGGCTATACCATTTAGGTTTGTGTAAGTACACTTTATGATGTTCACACAACTAAATTATCTAATGACACATTTCTCTGAACATATCCCCATTAAAGTGATGATTGACTGTATAAATGTTTAAAGACAAAGAAAATTAGTCAGAGCATTCCCGTAAATTGTGATGTCCAAGGATGGTAACTGAATACAACAGGCTATGAAAGAATATATCAAGTGCAAACTTACTTTCTGTATGTGTCTGGGTGGTAGGTTATATGTACAAAAGTGAGACTGAAATAGTACTGTAAGAATAATAAAATACTGGCAATGAATAATAGGTGGTTTTATTTTCTCTATTTGCTTCTCTCTTTTCTAAATTTTCTAAAATTAAAGTGAATTCTTGCAATCTAATCATATAAAATATAATTTTCAGAAAAGCATGATAAATTCAATTTAATTGAGATTCCCTTTACTGAATGAGAATAATGACTGGGGACTGTACCAGAAATGCTAAAACTAAGAGGACAATCAGCATGCAGAGATACATGGGAAGCTGAAGTTCAGTAATACAAAATGCTTCATAAAGTTACAGGGAAATTATTGGCCATGCCTGTACACTAAGCATGTGTGGTCCTAGTCATTAACCTATAGACGTACGGCAAGATGTGGCCAACAGCAGATCAGAAAATTGTACCTAGAAGAAAAATATTAGACTTACGTAATATAGCCCATTTAAAGGTAGCTTTTGAAACCACGTAAGGTAAATTATGCTGCAATTTCAGGGCAACATGTTGAGGGTAAAATTGATTTGGTATGTTTCCACTCAGTCGAGGATCTTACTTTGGATAGACACACACACCATCATCACCATCTGTATTAGTTCATTCTCACACTGCTATAAAGAACTGCCTGAGACTAGGTAAATTATAAAGGAAAGAGGTTTAATTGACTCAGATCCACAGGGCTGGGGAGGCCTCAGGAAACTTACAATCATGGCAGAAGGGGAAGCAAACATGTCCTTCTTCACATGATGGCAGGAAGGAGAAGGAGAGCTGAATGAAGGGGAAAACCTCTTATAAAACTGTCAGATCTTATGAGAACTTGTTTGCTATTATGAGAATAGCATGGGGGAAACTGACCCCTTGATTCAATTACCTCCAGTAGGTCTCTCCCACCACAGTTGAGGATTATGGGAACTACAATTCAAGATGCGATTTGGGCGGAGACATAGCCAAACCATATCACCACCTGGAAGATTTGTTCACAAGAAAACTGGGAGAAATGAGAGGATACACTTATTAAATATCCTCCAGTTTGACATCTTTTAATGGTATTTAAACAGGCTTCAGATTTCACTAAAATACAACTTCTATAATATTTACTAAAAAGTACTCATTTTTTCTTCTAATTTTTTAAAGCCCCATTCCCTGTAAGACTAATTCATGAGCTGAACCCAAAGGAAGTAAAAACAGATAAGAATAGCTGAGTTATGAGAAAACTAGATACATAGAATAGATTTATTTGATCAATAGTATGTATAAAAACTAGATCAATTTTAGCATCATGCTGAGAGAATAACACTTTATAAACTAGAGAGAGTTTATGCCAGGAATACAAGGATGGTTCAACATTACAGCTTATATTGATGTAGTACATTGTTTTAAAAGGTTAGAAAGGAAAAACATATTGATCTTTTTAGATACTAAGAAATTATTTAATAGACTTCAATAATTACCTCACTCAAAAAGATAGTAACTTCTTAATATTTCAATATCATTTTTTAACTAGTTATATGTATATATGACACTATCAAGTAGTTACAATTGTGTGTATGTATATTATGTATCCAATAGCAAACTTTATATTCAGAAGTGAATGATGACCATTTTTATCTATTTTTCATTATGCTATGTGTTAGTTAATATGACCAGAAAGTTTTTAAATGAAGTAAAAAGATTATAAAGTAAAAGATAGAAGGTTGAATATATAAATATGTGCAGATGATATAATTATCTACCTAGTAAACCTAAGTGCTAGAATTAGTAGAAAAATTCATAAAGCAACCATTAAAACATAGCACATTAAGGTAATAGTCTTTAAAAATTAATAAATAATAAGGTAAAAGAAAATCCTAATCAGACTAAAAATATAAAATAATTAGAAATATGCTTAGCCAATAACTGGAAACTGGAAAAGTTACAAAACTCTTCTTAAGGTCAATTAAAAATTTTTTAATAAATTGAGAGACAAAGCATGTTCTTGAATGCTAAGACTCAGTATATTAAAAGTCAATTCCCCCTATATTAATCTATAAATTTTTTCAGTAGCAAATAAAATTTCAGTTGAATTAAGACTGAAGATGTGTGTACATCTTTTGTAAAAACCACTGAGAATAACCAGTGTTAATGACAATGAAAGGATATGTATATATGGAATAAGGTACTTTTTTGTTCATTCTGCTTCAGAGCAGTTCGATAATACATAATGGAAGTATTAATACTATGCAATCACTCTATGTAAGTCAGGGTTCTCCAAGGAAAGAGAACCAATGAGATAGATGTTGGGGGAAGGGTGAATTTATTTTAAAGAACTGGCTTACGCAATTTTGGAAACTGGCAGGTGTTAAATCTGTAGAGCAGTCCACTCCAGTAAACCGAAAACACAAACAGGAATTGATGTTGCAGTCTTGAGGAAGAATATCTTCTCTGGGAACCCTCTGTTTTTGTTCTTAAAACCACTAACTTATTGAATGAGACCCACCCACATTATGGAGGATAATCTGCTTTACATAAAGTTAACTGATTATGGTTCTTAAGCACATCCGCAAAACACCTTCACAACGTCACCTAGACAGTGTTCCATTAAATAATGGTATTATAGCCTAGTCAAACTGACATAACATAAAACTACCCATCACATTCTTTGACTCAGAAGTTTTACTTTCAGGAAATCTTTAGGGCAAAGATATATGTATATGCATAAAAATGTTCATCTCAGTGGCAGTACCCAAAACACGCTGCTGCTAAATGGTTTGATAGGGGCCTACCTAGAAGTACACATAAATATCCATTCGAATTCTCCAGGCCAAACCTCCAGATATAGCCAGAAGGACACTTGACTAAGTACTATTAGCTAACTTTTGTGTTCATGTTATGTTTCAAGTATTTCCTGATTCTTAAGACCAAAGTTGGCCTCTTTCTAAGGCATAATGTATATTTCCTATTCATATTTCCAGTCATTTGGGGTCCCCTTATTCTAGTAAAACCTCCTCTTGTCTGAGTCAAATCAAGACCAGAAAGTCACAGAAAGATACTTAAGCAATAATCTTATACTTGGGAGTGAAGGCAATAGGTTTGGAGGCCACAATTCACACTGATATCTTGGCTCAGTTTCCTACAACAGCAAGAAAAACATAAATTGAGGCCTTCAAATTTAAAAACATAAGGTTACGAGTTTAATTGTAGAAAAATGCAGAGATAACATATTCCATGATCTTTGTCAGATGAAGAATTTAACTCTCATTCTAGATGAGTAACAATGCAGAGAAGACTAGCATATGTTGAATTTTTAGAGACTTACAAACTTCTTATTTTATTTTTTTAAGAGATGAGGTATTTCTTTGTCACCCAGGCTGGAGTGCAATGGTGCCATCATAGCTCACTGCAGCCTCCAACTCATGGGCTCACACAATCCTCCCACATCAGCCTCTCAAGTAGCTGGAACTACAGACATGTGCCACCATGTCCAGATAATTTTTAATTTTTTTGCGGAGACAGGGTCTCTCTATGTTGCCCAGGCTGGTCTCAAACTCCTAGGCTTAAGACATCCTCCTGCCTCAGCCTCCCAAAGTGCTGGGATTACAGGAGTGAGCCATTGCACCTGGTCTGAGACTTAGAAACTTCAGGAGAAACTTTTCATAAAGTTCAGGGATCACATTGGGACTAAAAACTTCCAGAAAGAAAATTTCATAGGCAAACTATTAAACCTCTCACTGTCAGAAAAAGATTTTGTCCTCCACCACAGTGTACAGCTGCACATCTAGGGCAAACATCTTACCTGGGATAATGTGAATCTTACAGACCTCCGACGGAAATGTTAACCATAGTCTCTTCAGAGCTGTACAGCTATTAATAATCTAATGGAGAGATCTCTCAGTTTCAAGCTTTATTGCAGTTACAAAATATAAAGATTTTAAAAATGGCTTACCATGCTTCTTTGTAAAAATTTGTTCCATTATGTTTGTTCATCACTTAAATGAAATATTTTAGAATCAAATGCAAATTGTGCCCTTAGGTTAATGATTATAACTAATATGCTCAGATTTAATCTTTTGAGAATCTTAGACACATCATTGCACATATTATTTTCATTCACAAGTTAAAATTCAAATCAGGAACCCTGTTGTATCATTTTTAAAAGCATAATTGGAAATCACTAAACAATGTATCAAATTAATCAGAAACAAACCAGATTAAAAAGCAAAGGTAGCATAAATATATATATCTTAATATAATACATTTAAAGTATTCTATAAGCTAAATATTATTTTACTAAGTAATACAATACAGTATTTGGCTCTGCCCAATTTTCTGAAATGCATAGTAGACTAGAGTATACATATACATATATAAATATATGCATATACAAATGCATCTATAGATTTATAATAAAAATTCATGTAAATTTATACTTTTCCTGAAGCCTACTGTCCTTAGAAAGACTAGACAAGGGTAATCAGAGGAAGAAAACTGAAAAAATTCAGTCTCTAATATATTGTTAAAGAGGGAGAGAAAGAAAAAGCACTTAAACTGAGTATTTGATTATTGAAGGCCATCCTCATAAGCAAAATATTTTCCCTCAATTACACCTAATTATTTGTTTACATTTACTAATGAAATGAAACAACACAAAACAAACAACTGTAAGGGGCTGTTTTTCAGCAAGTGCATAATCATCAATCAGCATGTATGGAAAGATTCTTAAAATTATATGAAGCTGGTCTGTTTAAATAGAAAGGCATATTTTATCCCAATCAATGCATAAAAGTAAAATTATCCATAACTGAGGCATGTTTCTCTGCTGTACAGTTCAGCTGTAATGATCCCCACACACTGCACTTGCACATCAATTATGATAATCATAATCACGGTCGTTAAGCTGAATGTTCATTATTATCAGGATGCTGGTGACAGCAGATTCAATCACCGGGTGCAATGGGCAAGCAGTCACAGTCCCACCCAAGTTTCTGCAGACAACGATGTGCCACATTAAATCTATGATGTGTTCTACATCCCACTCCATTCCAAAAGCCGTAGACAGCAAAGGTCAACTTTATGTTCTGTGCAATATGCTTAGGAGGTTCTCTAAATTAATTCTTTAGAGTACTGGATATTTTTATGCTTTGTAGCTTATAAAATCCTGTTTAGGACCAAAATGCATGTGAAAATAACAACAAAGGACTTCTCTACTGTTGTAATTCACCTGTAATAAGACGTATGAGGAAAAGCTCTATCAACATGAACCATCTTGAAAGAGTCTCTTTCTGAATTTTTCAAACAAGGGAAAACATCAAATGGTTCCATTAAAATCAGTTGTCTAAAATGCCTATGGAAACTCATTCCAATTCAGATAAAGGCTTTAGAATATCATTTCTGCTTCAGTAAATATGAACATATGTGAATGTTTTGACAACCAAAAGGATGTTTTTAGTACACTGAATTTTTTATTGTCCAACTCTTTTAGATCTACCCAAATAGATTAAATTAATAATGACTGACGGGTAGATTCTCCTTATTTAATTTCACATCTAGTTTAAATATGGAGATCAGTACAATAAAGAATTTATGAATACAAAGAATTTACCTGATCTTAAAAGGTTCGACCATTTAAGACACAGACTTAGAATCTAACAACTTAACTTGCGCAGTTTGCAAATAGATTAAAAAAATGAGTAAATTATATGGTATGCACATTATCCTATTATTGATTTTCACACTTTCAAAAATTATATATATGCTACTTTTCATTATTGATTTTCATACTTTTGAGAAAAATAGTATTATTTGCTCTAAATTTGCTGACTTTGATTTCTTTGTATAGTGCTCTTCAGTTCAATAGCATTAAAAATAAAACAAAAATTTAAATAATATTTGATACATTAAATTGATTTAATATGAATGTGATGAGAGGAAGAGTATTTACTTACCTTTGATTTTCTGCCAACTGACACCTTTTAACACAATTGGTTAATAAATCATTTGAAAAGTATGACTTCTATGTTTAAAAATAATATAAGTGAATGAAAGATTTCTACATAGACAATCTTAAAATATAATGGGAAGAGTAAAGGACAGAAGCCAAATATACTTGCTTGAGCCTTCTTGGCTAAAGTCAATCTACTGCATTCAACTCCATCTTGCCATAGAAGAACCATAAGATCATGTCAGCCCTTTCTTTCTTCAACATTTTGAACGTGACGTCTCTAGTCTCCCTAAGATTTTCTCTAATCCACCAATAATTAATAAATTGAAGCCTAAAATTTCCAATATCAAGAAACAAAGTTTTATAAAAGTATAGAAAAAAGTATTTTAGCAACCTATTGAATGCAAGTCCCATCCAAGTTGCTTAATATCAAATCAAATTGTAAAGTATTTCTAATAATTCTAAGATTTTATGTTTAGCCAATAAAATGACTAACTATGTATTGTACAGATTATGCTAGCCACCACACAGAGACATAGTTTTTTTTTTTTTTTCTCGAGGTGGAGTCTCACTCTGTTGCCCAGGCTGGAGTGCAATGGCACAATTTCTGTTCACTCCAACCTCCGCCGCCCAAGTTCAAGTGATTCTCCTGACTCAGCCTCCTGAGCAGCTGGGATTACAGGTGTGCACCACCATGCCCAGCTAATTTTTGTAAGTTTGTTTATTTAATGTTGTTGTTTATTTTAAGAGATAAGAAGATGGGGAGAAATAAGGAAGGCAGGGAGGAGAGGAGGAAGAAAAAAAAGAAAGGAAGGTAAGGAAGGAGGGAGAAATGTAAAGTTGTTTTGAATAATTTTCTACATGGTTTTGTATGGAGTAGGAGGGACTGATGATTTATTATGATTTAAAGAATACCTACAATCTCTGGGTGTGGTGGCTCACGCCTGTAATCCCAGCACTTTGGGAAGCCTTGGCTTGAGTTCGAGCCAGGAGTTCGAGACCAGCCTGGCCAGCATGGTTAAACCCCATCTCTACAAAAAATACAAAAATTAGCTGAGTGTGGTGGTGCATGCCTGTAATCCCAGCTATTTGGGAGGCTGAGGTATGAGAATCACTTGAGCTTGGGAGGCAGAGGTTGCAGTGAGCTGAGATTGCACCACTGCACTCCAGCCTCAGCAACAGAGCAAGACTCTGTCTCAAAAAATAAATAAATAAATAAATAAAGAATACCTACAATTTTTCTTTTAATTTTTAGGGTGATATGGTTTGGCTCTGTGTACCCACCAAAATCTCATCTAAAATTTTAATCCCCATGTGTCAAGGGAGGGATCTGGCAGGAGGTGATTGGATTATAGGGGTGGTTTCCCCTATGCTGTTCTTGTGACAGTGAGTGAGTTCTCATGAGATCTGATTGTTTTAAAAAAGTGTTTGGCAGTTCCCCCTTGCACTCTTCTCTCTCACCTGCTGCCATGTAAGACATGCCTGCTTCCCCTTCCCCTTCTACCATCTGCCATGATTGTAAGTTTCCTGAGGCTTCCCCGGCCATGCAGAACTTTGAGTCAATTAAACCTCTTTCTTTTAAAAATAACCGAGTCTCAGATTCTCAGGTACCTCTTTCTTTCTTTTTTTTTTGAGACAGAGTCTCACTCTGTCACCCAGGCTGAAGTGCAGTGGCATGGTCTTGGCTCATGCCTCTGCCTCCTGGGTTCAAGTGATTCTTCTGCCTCAGCCCCCCAAGTAGCTGAGATTACAGGTGTGTGCCACCTCATCCATTTAATTTTTGTATTTTTAGTAGAGATGGGGTTTCACTATGTTGGCCAGGCTGGTCTCGAACTCCTGACTCTGTGATCCGCCTGCCTTGGCCAGGTAGTTTCTTTATAGCAGCGTGAAAACAGACTAATACATGAGACCAACAAGAATAATAATGTGTGATTATTTTTCTTAAGTATGTATGCCTTCTAAAAGTATATGGAGGCATATAATTATTCCTCTAAAATAAAAAATATACTACTTTTCTTTTTACTGTGTATCCAAAAGTTTCTATATTTCCATAAAGTTGCTTACTTTATGGTTAAATAAATGCATATTCTCAAAAAATACCTCAGAATATATGAAGTGAATCTGTTGTATAAAACCAAAAGGAAGTACTACATTATTTTAGGAAACACATTTTGCACAAGAAGATGTCTTACTCTGAAGCAGCTTAATGTCACAAGTCATTTATATTTTAAAGAAATGAACACCTCCTTGAATTAAATAGAACAGTGAGATGGTATAAAAACAACAAATGTTTATGTCAAAGAGAAAATGGGATACAGATCACATTACACATGTTTAAAATATGAAATTAGATAAATAGTTAAAAAGCATATTTAGCTTACATTCTGAATGGTTGCATATCAGTTAAAAGCATGTGCTTAGAACAGGTTGATTGCTGAATTTTATGAAATGACATTGTTATGGCTTGAGTTTGTTCTCACCAAAACTCATGTTGAAATTTGATCCCCAGTGTGGCAGTTTTGGGAGGTGGGACCTAGTGGGAGGTGTTTGGGTCATGGCAACAGATACCTCGTAAATTGCTTGGTGCCATTCTAGTAGTTGTGAGTGAGTTCTCTGATTAGATTAGATTCTTATGAGGATGGATTCATTCCCTCAAGGGTTTGTTATTATAAATCCAATGCGCCTCTTGGGTTTTACCTCCTCATGTGCCTGCTTCCCCTTTGACCTTCTCCACCATGTTATGACACAGCACAAAAGCCCTCACCAGAAGCCAGGAAGATGCCAGTGTCAGCCTTATTGTACTTCTCAGACTCCATAACCGTGAGCTAAATAAGCTTCTTGTCTTTATAAATTACTTAGTCTCAGGTATTCTGTTATAGCAACACAAAACAGACCAAGACAGATATTATCATCAACATTTAGGTTTGTCCATCAGTTCTAAGGGTGAACTAGGCTAAATGACTCACTGTATACATTCTTTATGCCTTGGAATTACTAGTGTTTCTGAAGGCCATTTTTAATTAAGATGTCTTAGCTGCAAACAAAAAAAAAATTGCTTTCTGAAGTATCCAATTTACTTTCCAGCATGTCTTACCCCTTGGCAATCCCATATTTATAATGTCCTTAAAAAATAATGTTTCTTAGAGTTTAGTAAAGAAACATCTTATTTTTCTTTTCGGTCTAACGTTTCTTCCTTTTGAGTAAGGAAGATCCATCTGTAACTTGTGTCTTCCTTTTTATGTTGGATGCCAGGAAGCTGAAATTCTTAAATCACCACCACCATGATGCTTTCCCTTTATGTTGCAGGCATATAAACTCTTCTCATCTTAGACCATTTCCCCTTATCCTTACTTCAATAATATGACCCTTATTGCATTTTACTTTTTTTTTTTTTTTGAGACAGAGTCTCGCTCTGTCACCAGACTGGAGTGCAGTGGCGCGATCTCAGCTCACTGCAACCTCTGCTTCCCAGGTTCAAGCGATTCTCCTGCCTCAGCCTCCCAAGTAGCTGGGGCTACAGGTGTGCACCACCACACCCAGCTGCTAATTTTTGTATTTTTAGTAGAGACAGGGTTTCACCATGTTGGCCAGGATGGTCTCGATCTCTTGACCTTGGGATCTGCCCACCTCGGCCTCCCAAAGTGCTGGGATTACAGGCGTGGGCCACTGTGCCAAGCTGCATTTTGCTTTTAGAAAGATGCCTTAAATCCCTTCAGGAAGGAGGCGGTATGCAAATGAATGAATCCTCACTGATAGACTATTAATAGAATCATTAGATCTGGTAGTATGTGGAACCCATACCCTTTCCAGTGGCCCCAATTCCTTTCCAGAAAGTCACTACTTCATTCTGTATAAATTCTGAGGGGGGTGTGTGTGTGTGTGTGTGTGTGTGTGTGTGTGTGTATTTTTTAATTGTTAGTGAAGGAAACCAAAATATTCCTCTCTGAAATACTGGGGATCACTGAGCTAAAGAAGGTTAAAATGCAGGGGCACATTCTGCCCTTCTCTTTGCCTTTCCCACCTGAAGGCAGGCACTTGTACAACACTTGCTTATCTCAGAAACAGAGTCAGAAGATCCTGGAGGAGACTTTGTTCTTTCCATGAATGTATCTTCCCATATTTTCCTGCTTTTTGGAAGGCTGGAGATACTCTATTCTTTGTTTTGTCACTATATAGAACGTATGGCTCTTTATTAAAGTGCTGTTTATGCAAGGCTCCTGTGCCATGCCTTGAGAGAGAAATACTTTTGAACTGAGGCCTCTTCCATGTGATAGGTATGGCATGTGTTAATACACTTTGACTGGGTTTTTCTCTTGTTAATCTGACTTTTCAGGAAAGTATCTCAACTAAGAATGTATGAGGGAAAGAAAAGAAATTGTATTTTCTCCCTACAAGAAACAACAGGTTAAACGCATAGTAAGAACCTTCCCTTTTCATCTCTTATAGTCTAAGACATGTTTTCCCAATTCAGACATTTTTATTTAAGAGGTAAAAAATATTTTGAAATCAGATAAAAAAATATTTTTTTCTTTCTTCCTTTATATATCATGTTTTTTGACTAATGTTCTTAATTCTGAAGCCCTTATTGAATTGTAATATGGGCAATAAATATACATATACATTATCCTGTTCATTCAGATATATTGAAAGTTTTACTCTAAGCCAAAAATTAAATTAAAAAGCTATAGATATAAAACATAATACGATGAGCCATAACATTTAAATTTTGCAGAATATGTAGTGTTATGATGTTTACACTAAATGTTTTCAGAAAAGCAAACTCTCTTAGGAATGTCCTTAGAGAGTAATATGGGTTTCCTTTTATATGTGATTTTTTTTTCATTTCAGGGTGTACATATACAGGTTTGTTATATGAATATATTATGTAATACTGGGGTTTGGACTTTTATTGATCCCATCACCCAAATAGTGAACCTAGCATTCAATAGGTAGTTTTTCAACCCTTGCCCCACTTCCTCCCTCCCTCCCTCCCCTCTTTTGGAGACCCCAGTATCTATTGTTTCCATCTTTATGTCCATGTGTACTCATCGTTTAGCTCCCACTTATAAGTCAGAACATGCAGTATTTGATTTTCTATGTTTGCATTAATTCACTTAGAATAATGGCCTCCAGCTGCATCCATGTTGCTGCAAAGGACATGACTTCATTTTTTATGGCTGTATAGTATTCCATGGTATATATGGGTCACACAATTTTTTTCCCTATCTATAAGTGCAGCACAAAGATAAGTATGTATATGTATGTTTGTATACAAGTATACATTATTATTAACTATAATCACCATGCTGTATGTGCGCTGCATATATAACTTGTATGTTACATGGTATAGCCTGAATTTTGTAGCCACCCCCACCACCACTCATGTGGTCACATTGAAGCCTAACTCTCAATGTGACTATATTGGAGACAGAGCTTTTAAGAAGGTGATTAAGATTAAATGATGTCATAACAGTCTGTGAGTGCTGGGTTTTGAGCTAGAGTAGGAACATATTGCTAAAAAAATGCATAACATGGTAGAAACAATACCTTATATTTCCAGTGCCTAGAAAAAGTTCTTGACTAATAGATAAAGAGATGATGGGACTCAGGGACTTCATCAGCTCTATTGACAGAAGCCAGGAACAGAGATGAGATTATACCAGCTAAGATGCCAAGAGTTTGAAGTAAATAGTGCAGAGAAAGCAGAAAAGAATTAAGGCCGATTGTGGGACTTCTTGGGTTCTACAGGGACTGGACCACTATTCAAGGAAAGGGACGAATGACCCCTAAGGGGATTCAGAGATCACTGGGGCTGCTACTCCTGCAAGAGGCCCAGGGAGCAGGACCGTTTCCTTCTAGGTTTCAAAGAGTGGGGCCGCCTCTCTAGATTCTGTGGGGCAGGATGACCCTGTTCAGTTCCTCTAGGGCAGGGCCCACCCTTACACGGAGCTATGTGGGCAGGACCCTTGCAGAGAGACTCTACCTCACCCACAGAGCCATCAGGGTGACCCTGCCATCCCAGAGGAACTGGAGAGCAAAATATTGAACCAAAAAGGATTATTTTCAAGTCTTAACATGAAATAGAATTTGCCTTGTTAGGTTTTAGACTTCACTGAGACATATCATCCATTCCTTTCTTCCAATTTTTCCCTTTTGGCATAGAAATATCACCCCTTTGCTTGTCCTACCATTGCATTTTGGAAGCACGTAACTTGTCTGGTTTCACAGGTTCACAGCTACACAGGAAGTTTGCCTCAGGATGAGGCAAGTTTCTCCCATATCTGATTATATGGTATTTCTTGGTAGTTCTTGTTTGTTTTCCCACAGCTTTACTGAGGTATAATTGACAAATTAAATACACCTGCAGTAACTCAACAGATTACTTTGGTTGTATGGACATTTTAACAATATTAAATTCTTTCAGTCCATGAACACAGCATATCCTTGCCAATACATGTTATCTTTTGTCTTTTTGTTAATAGCCATTCTAACATGTGTGAGGTTATATGCCATTGTGGTTTCTATTTGCATTTCCCTGATGATTAATAATGCAGAGCATCTTCTCATATACTTGTTGGCCATTTGTAAAAACTGTATATATTTACAGTGTACAACATGATCTTCTGCTATACATATACATTAGGAAATGATTACCACAATCATGCTAATTAACATATCCATAAGATTTAGCACAGTTATTTCTATTTTGTGACAAGAACATTTAAGATCTATGCTGAGTCATTTTCAAGTATACAATACATTATTAATTTTAGTCACCATGCTGTATAATAGATCTCCAGAACTATTCATCCTAACTGAAACTTTGTACATTTTGACAAACATCCCCTTCTCATTTCTCACCCCTACCTCCTGCCTCAAGTTCCTAGTAACCACCATTCTACTCTGTACTTCTGAGTTTGATTTTTTTCAGATTTCACATATAAATGAGACCATGCAGTATTTGTATTTCTGTGCCTAACATTTCAGTTAGTGTAAGATCCTCCAGGGTTGTCCATGTTATCACAAATGACAGAATGTCCTTCTTTTTAAAAGCTGAATAGTATTCCAATGTGTACATCTAGCACATTTTCTTTATCCATTTGTCATTCAGTGAATAATTTGTTTGATTCCATATCTTGGCGATTTTGAAAATGCTGCAGTAAACATGGGGCTGCAGATATCTCTTCAATATATGGATTTCACTTCCTTTGATCTATACCCAGAAATAGGATTGCTGGATTTTACAGTAGTTCTATTTTTAATTTTTTGAAGAACCTCCATTTTCCATAATGACTGTACTAATTTGTATTCCCACCAATAGTGTACAAGTGTTCCATTTTCTCCACATCCTTGCCAATACATTATCTTTTGTCTTTTTGGTAATAGCCATTCTAACATGTGTGAAGTTATAGCTCATTGTGGTTTCTGTTTGCATTTCCCTGATGATTAGTGATGTTGAGCATCTTCTCATATACTTGTTGGCCATTTGCATGTCTTCTTTTGAGAAATGTCTATTCCAGTCTTTTGCCCATTTTTAAAAGAGGTTATTTGTTTTCTTGCTATTGAGTTGTATGAGTTCCTTATATATTTCAGATATTAACTCTATCAAATGTATGGTTGGCAAATTTTTTTTCCTATTCCATAGTTTGTCTCTTTACGCTGTTGATCATTTCCTTTGCTGTGCAAAGCTTTTTGGTTTGATGCAATTCTATTTGTCTATTTTTGCTTTTGTTGCCTATACTTTTGGGGTCATATCCAAAAAATAATTGCTTAGACCAATGTCAAGAAGCTTTTTTCCTATATTTCCTTCTAGTAGTTTTACAGTTTCAGGTCTTAATCTAGTTTTAGTTGATATTTGCATATGGTGTGAGATAAGGATCCACTTTCATTCTTCTGCAGTGGATATACAGTTTTCTCATCACTATTTGTTGAAGAGACCATCCTGTCCCCACTGTGTGTATTTGGGACCTTTGTCAAAGATCAATTGAGCACAAATGTGTGCATTTATTTCTGGGTTCTGTATCCTATTCCATTGTTTGATGTGTCTATTTTTTATGCTAGGACCATGTTGTATTGATTACTATGACTTTGTAATATAATTTGAAATCAGATAGTGTGATGCTTCCATCTTTAGTCTTTTTGCTCAAGATTGCTTTGGCTGTTCAGGGTCTTTTGTGGTTCAGGAATTTTAGGATTGTTTTTTCTTTTCTTCTTCTTTTTTTTTTTCCTCTTTTGAGACAGTCTTACTGTTTTACCCAGGCTGGAGTGCAGTGGCACGATCTCAGCTCACTGCAACCTCTGCCTCCAAGGTTTGAGTGATCCTCCTGCCTCAGCCTCCCAAGTAGCTGGGACTACAGGCAGGCACCACCACACCCGGCTACCTTTTGTATTTTTAGTAAAGGCAGGGTTTCACCAAGTTGGCCATGCTGGTCTCGAACTCCTGATCTCAAGTGATCTGCCCACCTTGGCCTCCCAAAGTGCTGGGATTACAGGCATGAGCCACCCTGCCTGGCCAAGGATTATTTTTTCTATTTCTGTGAAAAATGACATTGGGATTTTGATAGGGATTGTATTGACTCAGTTGATCACTTTGTTTATATGGACATTTTAACAATATTAAATTTTTCCAGTCCATGAACACAGAATACCTTTCCATTTATTTGTGTCTTCTTTAATTTATATCATCAGTATTTTATAGTTTTCAATGTACAGATCTTTTACTTCCTTAGTTAAATTCATTCCTATGTGGGATTATTATCTTGATTTCTTTTTGGAACAGTTCGTTGTTAGTATATGGAAATGCTACTAATATTTGTATGTTAATTTTGTATGCTGAAACATTATTGCATTTGTTTATTAGTTCTAACAGTCTTTTGGTGGAGTCTTTAGGGTTTTTAATATTTAAGATCATGTCATTTGCAAACAATTTTATGTCTTCCTTTCCAGTGTGGATGCCTTTTCTTTCTTTCTCTTGCCTAACTGCTCTGGCTAGGACTTCCAGTACTATACTGAATGCCTCAAGGACTGGGCATCCTTGAGGCTGGGTGCGGTGGCTCATGCCTATAATCCCAGAACTTTGGGAGGCTGAGGCGGGCAGATCACCAGGTCAGGAGAAGGAGACCATCGTGGCTAACAGGGTGAAACCCTGTCTCTACTGAAAATACAAAAAATTAGCCAGGTGTGGTGGCATGCGCCTGTAGTCCCAGCTGCTTGGGAGGTTGAGGCAGGAGAATCACTTGAATCTGAGGGGCGGAGGTTGCAGTGAGCCAAGATTGCGCCATTGCACTCCAGCCTGAGCGACAGAGCGAGACTTCATCTCAAAAACAGAAAAAAAAGAGTGGGCACCCTTGTCATGTTCCTATGATTTAGATATGACTTTAGACTTTAGAGTGGGTACTAAATGTATTAAGATTCTTGTGGCTTTTGAGATGGAAAGAATGTATTTGCATTCAAGAGTGCATGAGTTTGGGGGCCAGGAATGGAAGGCTATGAACTGAATTGTGTTTCCCTAGAATTCATATGTTGAATATCTAATCTGTAATGTGACTGTATTAGAGACGGAACCTGTAAGGAGGTGATTGAGGTTAAATAAGGTCATGAAGGTAGAGTCCTGGTCCCTTGGGATTAGTGCCCTTACAGGGAGAGATACAAGACAGCCTGCTCTCTCTCTGCCCAGAGAGAAGAGGTCATATGAGCAAACAGGGAGATGGTAGCTGTCTACAAGCCAGGAAGAAAGGCCTCACCAGAAACTATGTTGGCAGGAATCTCAGACTTCCAGCCTCCAGAATTGTAAGAAAATAAATGTCTGTGCTTGAAGCCACATAGTCTATAGTACTTTGTTGTGGCAGTCTGAGTATAGACTAATATATCACATAAGTGCCACATATACGTGCTGTACCTGTTATGAAAGTGCATATGACACTCAGGAGTTGCACATATACATATATGCAGGTTAAATGTATGTTATACATTTATACATCATGTTTTATATAATGCTTGTCTTCTCTCCCCTCCTCTTTATTTAGCTATCTATAAACATACATACATAGATTGAGAGAGAGCAAACAAGCCCTGATCTCCATGCCTGAGAGTTAGCTTAACTCCATTCTGTGACCTCATACTCAAGCCCTGACCACCTGGTCATATGCCAAAGCCAATGATCCATGCCTTTGATCCTAGGGCAGCTAAGTTATAGCTAAGTCATAAAACTTAAGAATACAATACTGAAAAAAAAAAATCTTACATAGGTCAGCAGCACCATCTTTACCTAAAACAGCTATAAAAAATGTTGTTACCATAAAGGTCTTAATTGTAATAAGAATATTTATATTTGCTCTAATTAATGTATATTTCTAGCTTTTAAAAAGGAATAACTTTTTAAAATGTTTTGTTAACTCACCTTGTCACAGATCCATTTCTTAGGATTTTCACTTCGGAATTGTTCTTTGTAAGAAATAGGACCATACTTGCTTGATAAATGCATTGATGGGATGTACTTTTCATTTTTATGGTATGAAGAAAATGGCAAAAACCTGAAAGAAATATTTAAGAGCTATTCTTAACTTGATTTCTAGAGACATTTGATTTTTAAAATAAGGCTTTGTAGAAGTACTATAGTACAGTGAAAATGATACAAGATTTAGAATCAGAATACCTAGATTCCATTTCAACCTCTGCCACTGATTATCTGTGTTAATTACTTCTATTAATCTTTATTTTCTATTCTGCAAATAGAGATACTAAAATGTTCTTCACAGAATTTTTGTGAGTCTCAAGTATTTTATATATAGAGATAATGTTAAATAATACATTTATGAATTAATTATGCCAAAAACTCAAAATTCATCATATAAATGAAAATGTTCTTAATTTTAAAATAGTATCCCTAAATCAAAAGGACAGCCAGTACAGTCAATTCTTACTGAAGTAGGCTTTCTTCAATTTTAAGTCACTTCAATAATGGTGGCATTATTGGTAGTGGTAGCAGTTATGAATAATGGGGTCTTCAAGCCAGCCAGACCTGTAATCACATCTTAGCTTTGCTTTGCTAGCTGTATTACCCTATGCAAGTTACCTGAATGAGCCTTGACTTCCATATAGGGTTATTACAATGAATGAACAACTTAATTTATGTAAGGTATTTAACATGGAGGCTGAAAAAAATGTGTCCAATAAATAATGTTGGTGCTAAAAGCAGATGTAAAAATCGAAGGAACCTGTTGCAGCAACCATTATCATTACCATCATCATTATTACTTTAGATATTTTTATGATCAACAGAAAAGACCAAACTTTTAAAACCCATATAAACTCTCACAGAACATCTAAGATTGTGATATGCTTTCAGTATAACCCAGATCCCTCACCAAAACACACTGAAATAAGAGTAAATAAATCTTTTTAAAAAGTTATAAACCTATAAGAAGAAATAGGACAGAAAATAAGAAAGAGCAATTGAAAATACCAATTAATTTTAGCAGGTGGAAGGAAGATAGAAAATTCATAAATGACACAAAAGAGTTAAGAAAACTGAAATCTAAGTGCCAGAAGAATGAGATGTCAAAGAGAAACAGGGCAATTTGTCCTGCAGAACCATGGAAAAGCTCAGGAACTAAATCTACAGTTATTGCAGAAAGTGAGAGAAGGAATGAAGCTGAAAACAGCTGAAAGTCTATGTAAGGAGTAATGAAATCCCCAGGTTCATGTCCCAGTCCATGTATCCATAAGAGCCTATTCTCAGAAAAATTTACACCAAAAAGCTCTAGTCTCAAGGAAAGCACGTACAGAGGAATGCTAAGGGGAGGCACCAAATGGAATATGTAGATTTTAATCCAAAGACTGGCCATTGAACTCTTTCCCTGCTCGTCTCTTAAGTGCACTGGCAGCTTGGACTTATATCCTTCAGAAGACTGATTGCATCTTCTGAAAAGACATGACAGTTCTCAGAGAAACGAGTTCAAATATCAACAATTTGGGGATGTTTTGATTAAAAAGCTGTATCAGAGTATAATAAAATCTATCAAAAAGCCACTCTTTTACACCCATAGAGTTTCTAATCTAATTTTTATATTTTCCCTTTTAATATAAACTTAAGAATGAATTACCAGTGGGAAAATAATCAACGTGGAAGAAGGACAGAAATCCAAACATAAGGAATAAGCTAGAGGAAACAGACATCATAATGCAGCAAACAGGAGTAAATTCAGAAATTTTTAACACATATAATCAAAGGAGATACGGTATTAATGAAATAAAAGTTGGATGCTTTTTTAAATAAAAGAAACATTTAGAGAAAAGTGGAAGCTCTGGGAAATAAAAACTATAAATAGCAAAATAAAATATTCTCCTGAGAAAAATATTCTGAAATTCAGACTTAAAAAAAAAGTTGAGGTTCAACATATATTTATTGAGCCATTACTATATGCCAAAATTTTCACACAGATGATCTAATTTAGTTAAGATAAAGAAGGGTGTTCTTAAAAGTCTAAATTCAATGGAAAATTATTATTTTTGCCATTTAATAAACTTAGAAAAAGTAGAATTCTTTCATCAATTTTAATACCTCTCTGCAATTTCTTTTTAATATTTATTAATAAATTAATTCTTAATATTTTTCCTAAGAATATATTTTCTAACACTATTTAAAATAAAAAATAAACAGAATACAGAGCTTTGAATTATACAAAGTTACAGAAGCATGTATTACGTATGCTCTTGGGAAAAGAGCTCTCATATAAGATAGATTATGGTCCTTCCAGTGCTAATTTGCATGTGGGATGGACATCACACACAAACAAACTAATGTGGCCCCAATGTCCCTGAGTATACAAAGGAGGTGCTGCGAGCCGGCTGCTGCACTTACAGTTTTTATCACTTCTGAATTGCATTTTAATAGTACATTTTTCTTTTGTGTCTGAACAAAATTTGCCTTCTCAAGGGAATGAATGGCCGAGACGACAAGGCTGGAAGACTGGGTATTTCCCTGCTCGTGAATTAACTCTACTTTCATTTAGCCATCATGTTTCATGAAAGTAACATATATACATATTCTTAATTGTACATATATATGTGCATGTATGTATACTCAAAAATATTTAGATATTTTATAATCTTTAAATAACATTTATCTTCAAATTAGGAAAAAATTATTTAATTCTCAAATCAGATTTGCTCTATAAAGTATAAATAGCTACTAACATTAAAAAATCACTTTGATTTATAGTAAAATTTTACATAATTATCAATTACTTTAAAACGATATTCTTTTACCAGTTTTTAATATATATTCAGTTGTGCTTATGCTTACAGATCGAGCCACTGCTCTCCAGCCTAGGCGACAGAGTGAGACTCCGTCTCAGAAAAAAAAAAAAAAAAAGACAGAAAATAGAATGCTGTTGCCAGGGTGCTTATATTGTCTCCTATCAGTACAGGTCAAGTTTCAGCAGTTTCGTATTGTCTTACTTAACTTCTCTATGATGGATGTTGCATCTCCATGCAACTGAGAATATTATCCCAGTTGCAGATACTCCTGTCACACCCTGTAACCATCACTGAGGTGCTACACTGGCTCTCTCTTTGGAGGGCTGACTTGGCCACAGTATTACAAAGGCTGATTAAGACTGAGGATCAAGGTGGACACCCATTATCACATTCCTCTCTCTAAACTCTGTTGCTAAATTACATGCCTTATGATCATTTGATGCCCACAGAAGTCTGACATTTTCCACCTTCTATTGGAAGAGATTTCATATTTATGAATTATAAAATAAATACAAGACTCTTAAACAATAAGTGACTATTGACACATACACTTTTTCAGGTGGGAAAAGAGAAACACATACTTTTTCTTATTCTCAAAGTAGGTATAAAATTATTTACTTTTCAAGTTTGAAAACCTCCTATCCTTTACAGACAAGAAAATATAATGAGATAACAGAATAGCAAATAAGGTCTTATGAATTTTATTGTTGCAATATTTGAGTAATTGAACATCATACGTTCAAGTAGTAGTTTACTTCTAATAAGAGTGACTGTAAGATGCTATTATTTCTTTAGCATGCACTACTGGGGTAATAAATGACAAAGAATCTCTTAGAAAATCAATAGTTTTATCTTTTAAATTACATAAAGTAGGAATTATGTCAATTGCTTTTTGTTCTTATAGCAAAATTTTAGCACATTCTCAAAAGATCACAAGCTTCATTAATAAAGATGTTAGTCTATGAGCAGCCTCCTCATGCCAATCATTAACAACACTGGAAGGACAGGAACTCCTAAATAGGGATATAGGATGGGCTGCTAGGGGTCATCCCAGAATATCTGCTTAAAAGGTCTATCTAAAATACTTTCTAAAGAAGTCTCAAGGAGTAAGAGCTTAGTAATGTTCAAAACAGAACAGTTATTTAAATTGGGATGAAGAAAATAAGAATAGAAAAATTCCACTCCAGACGTATTAAGGGAAGGGAATCTGTACTCTGTTCTACAAAACTTGATTTGACAAGCAAAGACACCTACGTTTAAAAGTTGGGAAAGAATTGATGCAAGAATGTAAAGAGGAAATATGGGTAAATGACATTGATTTAATTTAATAAATGAATCAACAAACAGCAAATGTTTATGTTATAAAAGTACACCTGCTCAAAAATTAATCTTAACTCTAATATTTTAACCATTATTATAATATAGAAAGCAGTAAATTTAGGCCGGGTGCTGTGGCTAATGCCTGTAATCCCAGCACTTTGGGAGGCTGAGGTGGGTGGATCACTTGAGTTCAGATGTTCAAGACCAGCCTGGACAACATGGCAAAACCTCATCTCTACTAAAAATATAAAAAATAGCCAGATGTGATGGTATGGGGCTGTAATCCCAGCTACTCAAGAGGCTAAGGCAGGAGAATCATCTGAACCCGGGAGGTGGAGGCTGCACTGAGCCGAGATCACACTACTGCACTGCAGCCTGGGCAACAGAGTGAGACTCCATCTCAAAAAAAAAAAAAAAAGAAAGAAAGAAAGAAAATAGTAAATTTAATGTTTTGAGGGCTGAGGGGCTGAGTTATAACCAGTTCGTGCCTGATCTCATTATCAGATGACCCGGTTCTCATAAACCAATCACAAGCTTTTTTAAGGCAAAGCATTTCGAAAGAACGTGTAATTGGAAATATACAAATTATTTGGCAACAATATTTGAAATAGGATGAGACATGTTTTACAATTGTAGTAAGTATAGTTAATAATGAATAATTTTGCTCCTTCTAGAAAAACAAACCATGTTATGGCCCATTAAAAAGGGCCATAAGTTGTTGAATATTTGTCCTTTATGACACAGAATAGTTTGAGTTTTACTAAAAGGTCAGCAAATAAATAACAGTCTATTTTTCATTACCTTCAACATGAAAAATAAAAAGCATCTTTACCGTATGTATTAACCACCTAAATGTCCAGGTAAACCTAATATATAGCTCATTAGTATGAACAGAAAGATTTCAAAACATAGATTAGTGGAGTTTTTGTTGAAGAGATATTAATAAAATGAGCAACAATCTGGAATAGAAATTAGACAGACTTCCTTTATGGTTGAGGACAAACCATAGCTATAAGCGCTTAATACACACAGTATTTTATACTTAGAGTAGAATTCATAGTACAAATTTAAAACTCATGAACTATTTAGGCAGCAATATCTTCCCCCCAGGGTGGAGACAGAAATGTAATGTTTAAATATAAAGAATGCAAGTGGCAAAACTATCTGTTCAACTAAACAGTAAGCTTATATTGCAAGCTTCTAAATTTAACTGGAAAGATATTTTTCCCTTTTCCTTACATTTTTCTTAGCTTCAGAGGAATACATTTCCCTGGATTTATTATTATTATTATTATTAACAATCTCAAATCACCTTGGCTCAGTAATTTCATTACATCTATGCAACAAATTTCTGATATATATTTTGCAGAGTTCACTTTATTTTCTTCTGATTGTGAAAAATATTTTTAAAAATCTCTGCTAAAAGATACTAAAGTTAAAGGCCGCAACTAAATAGCATTCACATAGGCTCTTCTTTTAGGCCATTTACATCAAATGTTTTAAACTAACAAAGTTTCAAAAATGGCTAAAAATGATGAACTTAGATATTTTACGGACTTATATAAATCACTTAAAGAACATAAACTTCTCACGCCTGTAGTCTTAGCACTTTGGGAGGCCAAGGTGTGTGGATCACTTGAGCCCAGGAGTTTGAGACCAGCTTCGGCAACGTGGTGAAACCCCATCTCTACAAAAAATACAAAAATCAGCTGGGCGTGGTGGTGAGAAGGTGTAGTCTCAGCTACTAGAGAGGCTGAGGTGGGAGGATCACCTGAGCCTGGAGGTCAAAGCTGCCGTGAGTCACGATCATGCCACTGCACTCCAGCCTGGGTGACAGACTGAGACCCTGTCTCAAAATAAATAAATAAATAAATAGAAGGTGTCAAGAAATACAAACAACTATATCCAGAGCACCGTATTCCAAACTATGGTCTGGGGATGAGATGAGGGGACTCATGGCCAACTAGGCCATTTGCTCCATGAAGTCAATAGACTTTTGTCACTGGGGGCGGTGGCTCATGTCTGTAATCCCAGCACTTTGGGAGGCCGAGGTGGGTGGATCACCTAAGGTCAGGAGTGCAAGACCAGCCTGGCCAACATGGTGAAACCCTGTCTCTACTAAAAATACAAAAATTAGCCAGGTGTAGTGGTGGGCACATGCAGTCCCAGCTACTTGGGAGACTGAGGCAGAAGAATCAATTGAACGCCAGAGGCGGAGTTTGCAGCGAGCCGAGATCACACCACTGCACCCCAGCCTGGGCGACAGAGCAAGACTCTGTCTCGAAAAAAAAAAAAAAAAAAAAAAAAGAGACTTTTGTCTGTCTTGCTCACTGCTATGTTCTCAATGCCTAATGTAGTGCCTGGCATATAGTCAGCATGCAATATTTGTTGAGTGAATACACTTGCAAAATGCTATATACTGTATTATATTTCCCCTCTTTGATAGTCACATCAAATAAAAGTATATTTAAGACTGAGAAGCCCTGTAAGTGCCAAAAATCCATTTAAGTGTTTTCAATGTAATTTTTCCCCAAATTTATTTGAAAGAAACTCATTAACATTAGTCTTAAGACTAGTTTTTTAAGAGACATAATTTGGAAAATCATGTTCATAGTAAGAACAACAAAAGAAAATACAAGCCTATTACTGAGACTGTTAGCGTAGTATTAATAAACATCAAAGAGAAATCATAATTGACTTCATTTTTTGGCTTGACTTGTTTTTAATGAGAATGATTTTTGTGATCTGATATGTTAGGCTAAAACAAGCAAAATCTAGTTCAAGCTCAAGAGTCAAAATTCAATCTTAAAAAACCTCTTAGCACTTACTGTTTGTGAACGATTGTGCTAAGTGTAGTGCATAAGTCAGGGGCTCTGTTGTTGAGAAGCTTATCGTCCAGAACAAGGCTCTCTTATTTTTCTGTTAAAGGGCCAGGCAGGTAACATAAACGAGTCAGATGTAAACCAAAGAGTCCAAGTTTTAATCAATTGTTGCCATGTCAGACTGTGAGTCTGCTCCTTCTAGATCTCCTGATTTTTGCTATAAGCGGTAAAATCTGGAGTTTTAAATAATTTAATTGCCATTTTTAATTACTTTTCAATTTATCTAATTTTTAGAATATTGTGGGATCCAAATACAACACACCCAGGAGGCCATATGCAGCTCACAAGCTACTAGTTTGCAATCTCTGGTTTAGAATTTTAAAGTGAGTAGCTCCGTCAATGATTTTAAGGTCCCTGACAAGATAAATTAAATCTTAAATTACTGTGCAAGCTTTTGTATGAGATCACCAAATCACCATTAGTTATTCTTAATAAATTGTGAATGTACCAAAGATGTAACAAAACGATTTTTAAACAGAAGACTATAGATTCTACAGTATATAGAGGGCTTAATGTGATGTTAATTCCCAAAGAAAATACAGGAGAAGTAACAACTAGGTGATAGTCACAGGGGAAAGTAAAATCTACTAATGAATGACTCCCCAATAGCCAAATCCTAGATATCCTTTTTAGTTTTCTTTCTTTTTCTTTCTTTCTTTTTTTTTTTTTTTTGTGACGGAGTCTCGCTCTGTTACCCAGGCTGGAGTGCAGTGGCGCGATCTTGGCTCACTGCAAGCTCCGCCTCCCGGGTTCACGCCATTCTCCTGCCTTACCCTCCAGAGTAGCTGGGACTACAGGCGCCCGCCACCACACCCAACTAATTTTTTGCGTTTTTTAGTAAAGACGGGGTTTCACCGTGATAGCCAGGATGGTCTCGATCTCCTGACCTCGTGATCTGCCAACCGCGGCCTTCCAAAGTGCTGAGATTACAGGCGTGAGCCACCGCACCCGGCCTCCTTTTCAGTTTTCACTGAATTTGAACTTGCATCAAGCTGTTCATTCACTTCTTGTAGCCAGTCCTCTTTTATTTGCACAATCGCTCCTGGTTCTCTTTCTTGCTGTCTCTGTTTCTTGACTGACTCGTATTCTGCCAATATCTGAAAGTAATGACTCTTAACCAGAACTGTGCATTTGAATCACCTGGGCATATTTTGCAAATATATATGCCTACTGAACCAAACTAACTGTGATTGAGACTTGGGAATTCATATGCATATATTTTTAAACCTCAAGGTGATGCAGTTAAGCAATCCTGACTAAAACTGTCCTGCCGGGCACGGTGGCGCACGCCTGTAATCCCAGCACTTTGGGAGGCCGAGGCGGGCGGATCACGAGGTCAAGAGATCGAGACCATCCTGGCTAACACGGTGAAACCCCGTCTCTACTAAAAGTACAAAAAATTAGCCGGGTGTGGTGGTGGGTGCCTTTAGTCCCGGCTACTCAGGAGGCTGAGGCGGGAGAATGGCATCAACCCGGAAGGCGGAGCTTGCAGTGAGCCGAGATCGTGCCACTGCACTCCAGCCTGGGCAACAGAGCAAGACTCCGTCTCAAAAAAAAAAAAAAAAACAAAAACCACTGCCCTAACATTAAAGCAATTCCTAGAAATCTGTAATCTTCTCTCTATATAGTTTCTCCTGAGGGATTATTCCACCACCAAGGTTTTAACTATCACCTCTAAACTGATGATTTCTAAATCTTTATCTCAATACACAATATCTTTCTTTAACTGAAGAACAGTGTTTTCAAATGTTCACTATGGATATTTCCCTTGATACACTAGAGGAACCTCAAATAGAGCTGCCTCCAAATTAAACTCATATCCAAATCCTCCATGCTATCAAATTTGCAATGCTTCTTATATATTTTTTCTTAGATAAGTCAGAACATCATCCTCTAGCCAGTCACCTAAGTCAGAAGCCATCAAGTCAGGGCATGAGAGGACGTTCCTGCCTCTGCTCTCCTCAATCTGAGGAGATTCTTGCTTGTGGCTCTACTCTCACAAAAAAAACTGTATTTGATATAATGGGACACCCCTCCCCGAGACCACAGTCGTGGTCTATTAGTACGTTAATAGACCTTTAACTTAACCCTTATTTATTGTCTATTTTGTTCCAAGCCTATGGGGTATGTGAGCAAATTTGTTAACACAAATTGAGCAAAACAGATTCTCTCTCAGAAATTTGAACTGAAAAACAGAAGTAGCTGTGGGTTCTAGAGCTGGAAGGTTATATTGAATTAGGCCTGGGTGGTAACTAAGTGAAAGCTAAAGATTTATGGGAAAGAAAGTTTATGATTTACAAGTCATCAGTTAAGCTAGTCAGTAGAAAGAAGCAGATGAAGGTGCAGAGGAAGGAAGAGATGCCACTAGAAGGAGAACGCCATGTCTTTACAGCCCCCTACTCATCTTAGTCCAGTTTTTCTTTGGGTCTTTATATCTCTATAAAATTCCTCAATATATCTTTTAAACACCCCCTTAGTTTCTTGAGTTTCCTTGAATGGATCTTTGTTCTTTGCGAGTAAGAAAGCTCTGAGACAGTGATCCTAAATGCATCTGTGCCTCTGACCACACCATCCAGACCATATCAGGCTCACCCCTAAATCTGATTTAGGGTTTATAGCAAACTTGTCTAACCCATGCGCCGTGGGCCACATGCAGCCTAACACAAATTTGTAAACTTTCTTCAAACATTTAAAAATTATTTGTTGTGATTTTTTTTTAAAGTTTATCAGCTATCATTAGTGTATTTTATGTGTGGCCCAAGACAATTCTTCTTCTTCTTCCAGTGTGGCCCAGGGAAGCCAAAAAACTGGACACCCCTGGTTACAGGATCCTACCTATAAAGCAGCTTCTCAACCTTTCTCTACCCTCCATTACCAACGTCTCAGTTCTATGGCAAGTCCTCTTCATCTCTGACCTGGACTGTGGCCCCAGTGACTCTGGCCTCTGACCCCATTGACTCCCATTTCTAAAACATCTCCATAGCTAACAGAGTGATAACTGCAAGCTATCTGATCTTTCACTCAGGGCCTAAAACACTGTGCTGGTCTTATGAATGTCTCTACCACATAAAGTCCAAATATTAAAATTGTCTTTTTATGACTTGTCTGATGATATATACTAAAAGTACATATTCTCAAGCATATCACTGAAAGTATTCCAAATTATCAAACTGTATAGATTTTTAAAATCTTAAGCTTCTTTAGACGCAGGTGTCTGTAAGAATAGAATTCTAGTATTCTGTGGTCATTTACTTAAAATAAACTTTTTTTTTTCTTTCAGAGAAACAGTGGACAAAAAGAGAGCACAGTTCTCACTATACAGCCAAAGTAATACAGGGCTCTTTTGTAGACAAATTCTAGAACTTCTTAATTATACACAGGCTTATTATCTATATCCCCAGTGTTATAAAGTACCAGAACTTCATTAGAAAAATTAAGCTGGAAAAATGAAGGCAGCACTTTGTAAATTTCCACTGGAAATTAGCTGGGAGAGGCAGAGGAATACTGGATCAAAAGAGGGTAATCATGCTTAACTGTGCCCTAGAGCACCCGCATGTATAATACGATTTGCACAGTAACTACCTCTCCTATTACTGCTTGTTTGGAGTATTCTGTGTTAATGGGGTTAGCTAATTTAGTATTTTAACTTAAAAAGGCTCTGCTGATTAATAAATGTTGCACACTGTGCTAGTAATTAAAATAAATGGAAGAGTTACAAATAAAAGTTGAATTGTTAAAACATTATCTGAAAATATATGATAATCTCTATCATAATACAGTAATAGTTCAGAAAATATGCAAATTTTAAAGGTCTAAAGTGTCTGAAAAAACTACACAAGTCAAAAAAGTTTTGAGATATGTTAAATTTTCTTTTCACTATTCTTTAATGATAAATAGAACCAGTGCTTACCCGTGTATGCCACATTGTAAAATGTCCTTTCTAAAAACTGTTATTTAGATCTTGTTTCTTAACCTTTCCCACAACATTTTTCTTTTAGTAATGTCTACGAAATCATACTTAATTAGAAATTATATTTAAAGTTTTAAAAGTGAGTAATTTGGCCGGGCGCGGTGGCTCACGCCTGTAATCCCAGCACTTTGGGAGGCCGAGGCGGGCGGATCACGAGGTCAGGAGATTGAGACCACGGTGAAACCCCGTCTCTACTAAAAATACAAAAAATTAGCCGGGCACGGTGGCGGACGCCTGTAGTCCCAGCTACTCAGGAGGCTGAGGCAGGAGAATGGCGTGAACCCGGGAGGCAGAGCTTGCAGTGAGCCGAGATCGTGCCACTGCACTCCAGCCTGGGCAACAGAGCAAGACTCTGTCTCAAAAAAAAAATAAAAGTGAGTAATTTACTTACTTTTTACTGATATTTACTACAATGGAGCATGGTTCCCCCTTTTTTAGGGGTCTGTGGACACCAAGCACAGAAATAAAGGAAAATCCCGAGTCCCTTCAAGGGAAATTCCAGCCCCAGAAGTAAATAAGTAACTTGTTCTAGAGCTATTTATTTCCCTGTAGGAGCTAAAGATAACGTTTTACCATAGGTCCCCGAGTTGTCTTTCATGGGCTCAGACTCTCACTGAATGGATCTGTTGGCACTTAGACCCCAGATAAGGGGGAAGTGAAGACTAAACTTTAACTATCACCCTTTGTTGTAAGTTACTTCGTAAGGGGCTTGGGGGAAGTCATTCCCCCTAACCGGTTAACATTTTTTTATTCACCTCCAATTTTACTTTTTTAAATTTTGAGACAGCGTCTCGCTCTGTCACCCAGGCTGGAGTTGCAGTGGTGCGATCTGGGCTCACTGCCACCTCCGCCTCTCAGATTCAAGCGATTCTTGTGCCTCAGCCTCCCGAGTAGCTGGGACTACAGGTGCCCACCACCACACTTGGCTAATTTTTTTGTATTTTTAGTAGAGATGGGCTTTCACTATGTTGGCCTGGCTGGTCTCGAACTCCTGACCTCAAGTGATCCACGTGGCTCAGCCTCCCAAAGTGCTAGGATCACAGGTGTCAGCCACCACACCCAGCCATGATCCCAAATTTTTGAAAAGAGTTTCTCTTTCTTAGCCAATTGCCAATCAGAAGATCTTTAAATCTACCTACCATCTGTAAGCTCCTGCTTCAAGATATCTCACCCTTTTAGGCCAAAACTAATGTGTGACCTCCATGTATTGATTTATGATTTTGCCTGTAGCTTCTGCTCTCCTGAAATTTGCTCCTGCCTTTAAAAACTCTTACCTGCAGGCCACTGGGGAGGTTGGGTCTTAAGCATGAGCTTCCTTGAATCTTTTTGCTTGGCGCCCTGCAATAAACACCTTCCTTTCTGTCACTGCAAAAACCTCTGAGTTTTACTGTGGTGGGTGAATGGACCCCATTTCGGTTTTATAATATTACCAAATCCAATATTTACCAAGGCCCCTATCTAAGCTAGGTTGCAAATTTGAGAGAAATGAAGGCACATTAGATTCATAGCTATTAGTTCCAGCAAGTGGAGGAGCTCAAGAAATAGAGTTATTAGTTCTGCTATGCTACTAAATGTTTATGGGATGTCTCTCATTTCACCTACTCTGAATAACTATCAGTAAATTAATACTTTTTTGTTTTTCTAAAAGATGTAGAGACAGCTGTTGAGCTGTCTATACAGTTTCTTAAATGAAAGCCTATATAAGTTAAAATACAGCTACAATATACTTTAATCATGAACTCCTCTTCATAGGGAAACTCCAGTCACTGTTACATTTTTTTAAATCCTCGATGTCTATACCTTAAACTTGTGGAAGACTCTTGAATCCCTAGGGATTTGAGGAGTTCCTTCAAATTTAGCTCAGGATTATAATTAATCTAAACACCAAAGTCTGACCTAGCAAGGTAGCTTCTTGATTTGAAAACCTTTAGGAAGAACACTTGCATTTATTTTCTTTTGCTGTTATAACAAATCACCACAAAATTGGTGGTGGCTTAAACAATATTATTAACTTATCATTCTTGAGGTCAGAAGTGCAAAATAGGTCTTACTGGGCTAAAATCAAGGTGTGGCAGGACTTCGTTCCTTCTAGAGGATCTAGAAGAGAATCAATTTCCTCGCCTTTTGTGACTTCTAGAGGCAGCCTACATTCCTTGACGTGGTGCTCATGCCCCATCTTTAAAGCTAGGAAAGGTAAATTGAACCCTCCTCACATTGCATCACTCTGACCTCCTTTCATGTAGTCAAATTTCTTTCTGCCTCCCTCTTCCATTTTTAAGGACCTTTGAATTACAAAACTGGCCGCACTCTGATAATCTAGGATAATCTCCCCACCTAAAAGTCCCTAATTTAATCAAATCTGCAAAGACCTTTTTATTATATAAGGTAACAATCACAGGTTGCGAGGATTAGGACATGTAGACTCTTTGGCAGGGCAATAGGGATTGGGGAAGCATTATTATGCCTAACAGAAAATTAATTGAAACTAATTGGTTCTCATTTCTATTGCAATATCCTAAACCTATTGTATTTTGGATATAATTATAGTCTCCTGTATTAAGCCAGAATGTTTACAATTAACAGAAGATATCAATGTATAGGACTTTTACACCTCTCATAATACCTTAGTGAAGCCCATATCATAGCACACCTCTCATAATACCTTAGTGAAGCCCATATCATAGCCTATATCATCTGATTTATGATTGTCGACTCCATTCCATTTCTGCTGTCTTGATGGGTAAATTAAACATTGAATAGCTCTGGTACCATTATGGCCTCCCTTTTGCTCCACCTGTTAATAACATTTTTCCCCATTTCATCTAAGCAACTTTCATGGTCCCATTTCATGTTTGGAAATATTCCTTGAAATGTTCCCCTCTGAAATTTTAAAGCCTAAAATTCTCTGTGATCACCATATCCCATAAATAAGAAGTACAGTATATATAACATTCTGTCTTATTTTAATAAGGAAATAATAAATATACATATAATTGCACATGTAACCAAAAATTCCTGGACAGATACACAAGAAAGGGTTGACAATAGATACCTCTGCAAAACATAACTGAAGATCAGTGAAGAGCGTTTAATAATTGCACATGTAACCAAAAATTCCTGGACAGATACACAAAAAAGGGTTGACAATAGATACCCCTGGAAAACATAACTGAGGATCAGTTAATAGTGTTTAAGGTTTTTACAATAAATATGTGTTGTAGTTTTAATGTTTAAAAAGGTAAACAAAAATTCTTCTTTATTTTTTTAAATGGATTTGAGGAGATTCATAAATCAAAGGAAGTAGAAAATTTTTAACAGAAACAAGAGAGAACCAGGGACATACAGAAGAATGAAAACAGCTCCGTATCTCTGGAGCACAAAGTTCTTTACAGAATATGACAAAAATTAGCTAGAGAAATAAGCTTGGATCAGATCCTGAGGAAACTGTGTCTCGAAATAAGAAATTAAACTTTATCCTAGAGGCAATAAAAAGCCATTGAAAGGCATTTTAGCTGAATAATAATCGCATAATCGAATCTCTTTAGTGCTTGTCTGGTAAAATGCACTGAGTGAGAGTAAGACTAGGTAGACCAGGTTGAAGGGATTTTATGGCAATTAAAGTTAAGGAATTTTAAGGTGCCTAAATTAAGACAGTGATAGTATAAAGGGGAAGAGAGGCTGAATTTGAGAAAAACTTAAAAGGTAGAATAAACAGGACTTGAGGACTCATAGGATATGGATGATGCTGGAGGAGAAGGTAACTCACAAGTCTCTAGCTTGTGCAGATAGTTGGTGATGCAATTCACACTCAAGAAAAGATGCAGGAAAGTGTGTTATATACTGCGTTTAGGACATCTGGTGGAGATACAAACAAAGATGGCAGTTGAAAATGTAAACCTGAAATGTAGGATCAAGATTGTACAGATTTAAAATGGAAATCATTGGCATAGAGGTGGTAGTTAAAATCTTTCAAGTAGAAGCATCCATTCAAAGATTATACAGAGGAAGAAGAAGAAGAAGAAGAAGAAGAAGAAGAAGAAGAAGAAGAAGAAGAAGAAGAAGAAGAAAGAGAATATCAAATCCTTCTATCATTTTAGTTCTAACCTATTACCAAAGTTTCTGCAATATTTATCCTAATGGGTTTCACTGCATCTATCATATTCTTCTGAAATACATTTGTCTCACAATCAAATTTATATTCTTTTTATACCATCCACTTTCTCTAAGAAAACAATAAATAATTTTCCATTACCTATAGGATAAACCACCAACTACTTGGTCTTGAACTTTTTTGCAATTTTTCTTTCTCCTGCTCTCTAACATAAATAGTAGCCTGTCAAATTGGTCTTGTCATTGTTCTGTCAACTTTTCCTACCATCGTTTTCCTTTTCACATCATCAGCCTACTTTTATCTATTTTCTTCTTTCCTCTATCAAAATCTCAATCATCTTTTGCAGGATCCAACTCAGTTCCTTATCTGTCAAGAACGCTTTCCTAGATTATCAGAGACCAGAGAAAACTCGACATTTAAAAATATATACATTGTCTCTTACACACACTTGACCATTTATCAAGTACTTGGTAAATGTTACTAAAAATTTTGTTAGGTTTCCTGGTTAGTTTCAGCTATATAAGTTTCACGAGAGTAGAGGCTATGTCTGATTTATTCACCACTATGTCCCTAGAGCTTGGAACTATTCCTGACATGTAAACATCTGTTGAATCAATAAATAATCCTTTTTATTTCTCACAATATCTAGATGAGACCTTCCCATATAAAGGTTCCTTCATAATTATTTATTAATTGCTTATTTGGCTTCCTGGCTTCATAAGGATAGACATATGAGTGAGGGAAATAATTTTCTTTGAGATGGCATGAGAAAATTGAATGAGTTCCTTTAAAAACAAGAACAAAGAAAGCTTTAAAATGACTTCCAAAAAAACTTCCGTAATCTATTTTCCATGTCTTTATTATTATTGTCCTATTTGCTATGTTTATTTTAAAGAAGATATGTGACTAACAGCTATAACCTACCAGCCTGTGATTATTAAGAAGCATTTTGTCATTCCTAATAACTAGGAATGCAATGCTATGAATTGTGTTCTCTCAAAATTTATATGCTGAATTCCTAACACCCAGTACCTCAACATGTTACCTTATTTTGAAATAGGGTCTGATATAGTTTGACTCTGTGTTTGCACCCAAATCTCATGTTGAGTTATAATTCCCATTGTTGGTGGAGGGATCTGGTGGGAGGTGATTGGATCATGCGGGCAGATTTTTGCCTTGCTGTTCTCATGATAGTGAGTGAGTTCTCATGAGATCTGGTTGTTTAAAAGTGTGGCACTTCCCCCTTTGCTCTCTGTCTCCTGCCACGATGTGAAGATGTGCTTGCTTCCTCTTCACCCTTCCACCATGACTGTAAGTTTCCTGAAGTCTCCTAGCCATGCTTCCTGTACAGCGTTTGGAACTGTGAGTCAATTAAACCGCTTTTCTTCATAAATTACCCAGTCTCAGGTAGCTCTTCATAGCAGTGTGAGAACGGACTAATACAGGGTCACTGCAGATGTAACAAATGAAGATGAGGTCATACTGGAGTAGGGTAAGCACCTACTCTAATATGTATGGTGTCCCTATAGCAAAGAAAAATTTGGACACAGACATAGACATTGGGAGAACACCACGTGAGGAAGGCAGAGATCAGAGGAATGCTTCTAGAAACTGAAAAACATAAAGATTAATAGCAAACCACCAGAAGTTAATGAAGAGGCATGAAGAGATTCTTTCTCACAGAGAAGGAACCAACTCCGCTGACCCCTCCATCTTGGACTTCTAGCCTCCAAAATTGTGATACAGTACATTTCTATGTTTTTAAGCCATCCGTTTGTGGTACTTTGCTATGGCAGCCCTAGCAAACAAATACACTTAGAAAAATTGTCTTTTAGATGCACAAAGAGAGGCCTTTAACGAGGTTAGGATGCTGTGGTGTAGGCAGAGCTGTGCTCATTGTCCTCCTCAACTTCTGGTTCTCCAGGCTAGGGGATAAAATCCAGCCCATCTTTGGAATCTCTGATTTCTTACAACTTTTTTGATGTCTTAAATGCAGAATTACATTTGTAGTAATACAAAGCATGTTAATAATTCTCTTTTATTAAGACCCTACTATGTTCCTGACACTTTATACTCATTTTCTCTATCAATCCTCATTACAACCTTTTAAGGTAACATTTCTGCTTCATCTTACAGACAGGAAAATAGAGTTTCAGGTGGGCTAAATTACTAACCGAAGATTATACTGCTGTTTAATGGAACTAAGATTTGAGTTCATATAGCTCTAGTTTCAAAGTTCATACTACTTCTACTATAACACACTGCAATTTTCATAATGATATGAAAACAAAAGAGCTAAATGTATTAAACTCTCAGATATAATGCTACCCTTTGAGTCCTTAACATTAGAAATAAAAAGCTGTACCTTTCTAGGTCTAGATAGCAGGTTCCTGATATACTACTTTTAACTCCTTATAGGTAAAGTTGGTTTTGTGGTAAAAGGACCCTCTGCATTAACAAACCATGAATCTTTGTGACAGGACTATACTTCACGGAATTATTATCTGCAATGATATAAAACCTATATTTCTAACATTTCTTTTGTCACATAGGATAAAATAATGCATTAACCAGTATACAAAAAGCAAAATGGTTCAGAAGAAGCTATGAAAAAAAATCAGTGTTTCAATTCTAATAATGGAATTATCCTTAGGTTAAAGACCAATTACTTAGCCTAGTTGCAAAAAAAAAATAATAGATTTGAATCTATAAGAAATTTTTTTTAGCATCTGCAACTTGGTTTTTTTCTGATTGGTTGAAAATCTTAGAAAGACTTTGCAATCTCGGAAAGCCTCAGAGCAAAGGGTCATCAGCAACACTGTGGAAGTTGAAGATATGTACAAGTATTCCATGGAAAATACAAATCGAGCAACTTTCTTTGGGGATAACATTGATAGCTGATCTTTCTAGGCTTACTAAGGAAAATAGTAAGAAATGATATCACAGTATGTTTAATATACAATGATTTCTGTAGAAATATCAATCAGATAATCAATAATCATCTCAATTATTTGTTTGAGCAATTAGTCATGCTATTTTGTAAACCTTTGCATCATTGGAAATAGGAAAAGAATTCTGAGTAATATAACTCTTTAGATAATCATCACTAAATTTTATATTTTGCTTGGCTAAGTCTGAGAAGCTTTAATCTTCTACGATATGTGTGGTAAAATGAATCTACCTCCTCAAAACTAATTGGAAAAAAAGTTCCTTATTTTCTTACTCATCATATGTTGGGTTAAGCCAATCAATTATTGAAAGAATCTGCTAAACACTCTACAGCTAATTATTTCACTTCAAGTAATTGCTATAAAGTGAAAAACTTTATAAAAATTACTTGAGATGCCTGCCAATTTTGTCTTTGATATGTTTGTGTAAAGGTATAATTCAAATAACATATTTTATGTGTACATGTATATATAACTTATAACTGTTAAAATAATCCAAAATCCACTAAAATGGATAAGAGGTAATTCTAATTTCCTTCTATATCAAAACACACTTTTAAAATATTTTATAATTATCATATAAATTATTATGTAACAATTAGCACATGATTATGTAAATGCAATAAATGATTATAATTTTATATTTTGTATAATTTATAGTATACCAATATTATCATTAATATTTAGTATTATAATGTAATAATGTCTTACTTAGCATATAAATAATATTAAAATACATTATAAGATACATTGCAAAGATAATTGTGAGACATTACAGAATAATGACAATCATAAAAATAAAGCCATTTTAGATTTGAAATGGTCTATTTATAAGTTATCTATGACTCTATTGATGACAAAGTGTCTTAAGAGAGAGAAAGTGCCTGAGAGAAAGATGTCTGAATTAAGACCCAAATCCATGATGCTAAAAAAAATTTAAAATTACATATGCTATTAAATGATTCTTCATCTTTTTCAGTCATCTTCCTCAGTCATAAAGAAGCTAACTTCTTTCATTATATCTGACTTATTAAAACTACAATGTTATGTCAATAGATCAAAATGATATTTAGTCCACGTTAAGAAAAATGTTTCTTCCATCTTACTGGATCTTATTTTAGGCGTTTCATAAATATGTATGCTTTCACTATAGATAATTAAGAAAATTATCTTCACAGATACATAGATAGTGATCATTTATCCTCAAAATGCCGATCTTTTTTTTGTCTTTTGAGTTGTCAAAAGAGTTTTTGCCATCAATACTGACCTCATTTAAATCATTTGCATGCTGAAAAATTATTGCTTTGGAACAGGTCAGGGGTGGCTTTACCTTTTCTCACAAATAAAAGATTTTTTACAGTATTAGAAAATAAAAAAATTAGAAAATTTAAGGCACCAAATATGTCACAGCTATTTTTGTTAAGCTAAGAACTCACATATTGTCATTTACATTTTGCAGCCATTCCTCTCTTCTGAGCTCCTCTCTGGCCAACTTTAACTCATCGATTGGTTCTGCCACCCGCAACGTTGGCTCCAAAGGCCTGTAGCGTTGTTCTAATACTTCGGTGATATCTCGGAAGGGCCCCTGACAAGACAGGATGAGGAACATATTTTATATGGAAGATTTTTTTGAGGTATTACTGATGACCAAGGCTAGTGAACATCTACAAAGTATAGCAGGTTTACTAAGTTATTTTTAAAACACCATTTGTTCTTCGCTGAGTTAGAATATGCATGACATAATATCACTTATTTTCAAGCAATGTTCTCTCAAGTAAAATTGATTACATTAAAAAACTTTAAAATTAAACAGAAGTTTCCCCACTTACATCAAAAGATCTTCATGTTATAACTGATAAACTTGTTATAGGTTGCTTTGTTTTCTAATTTTACAAAGCACATTTTGTTCAGTATAATTAAAAAAAGGATTGTCTCCCTTTTTGAGTAAATACAAATATTAGGAAAAAATTCTAAGCATAGCTTTCCAACAGCCCTTCTATAAATAGAAATAGGAGAGCATTTGTTTTTTCATTAAGTTAAAATTTTTTGGTGAATTTCAAATGTCACACTTAATAGGCAGCCTCCTAAACACAGAAGAACCATAACTTTTATTTATTTTAAATGTTATTTATTTAAAATTCTAAACTCTATTGTTCAATTACTCTGATACCAATAGCAACCTTTTGATGACACAAATACTTAGCAGAGGAAAGTCCACAGCTGCACTGTGAAAAGTAACTTACAACATATCCTGCTTTCAAGTTAGTTGTTATTTATACTAGTTACTAAAATCCACTGGTTGTCTAATTAGTATCGTATTAGGCACAATACAAATCAAAGGCAGCTCAAGATTTTGCTGTGCCATTAATTGCATATTGGTTTTTTTCATCACTGTCGTATAGGAGAGAAGTAATATTAAATGGACAAAGATTTCTAATCATATTCCTTATTCTTAAAAATATCTTCTTTAAATAGGTTATCACTAACAAGACACAGCTGGAGTTACTGCAAGCACTGAGTGAAGACTGTGGGGCTAATAAAAAGAAATGATTCACGCCTCATTTATGTTCACTTATGCTTTACATTAATAGAAACCAATAATAGGAACCAGTTACCATAAAAGTCATGGACCGTAAATAACACAAATGGCAAATAAGTATCATCTAGTACTTTTCACAGCTGGACAGGAGGATTGCTATATTTGAAAGTAGTTAATGGATTTCTATTGGAATTTTACTTTTTAAAGATACAGTAACATGATTCCAAGTCCACTATTAAGAAATCAAATGGGACTTCTTTTTTTTTTCTTATTCTTATTCTTATACTTTGACAGAGTCTATGACTTAAAAAATTAATATTTGGTTTTATGACAAGGAGCAAAGTATTTCTCTATGCCGATGTTCATCATTTGTAAAATGGAATAACTACATCACAGAATTTCTCTTAAGATGTGTACGATAATGTGACACCCTTACCATGTACCTAGAACACAGTAAACACTCAAAATGGTTCCCACTACATTGTTATTGTTATTACCATCATAATTATTAGTTTCAAGAAGAGTTTTTAAAAGGTTTTGAGCAATAGTAGCATCAAAGAAATACACAATGGCCCAAGGCTATGACTTTGAAGAGACCAGCATTCACATGGAGCAATGGTCTTCTTGGTGGCCATGTTATGCCTTCTAACCTTTGTTGATAAGCAAACATAACACATATCTACTTGTAGGCTTACTCTACTGTTGTTCTGGAACTTATTAGTTCCAATGAGACTACAAAATGAAAGAGAAGAAGCCCTGCTTAGGATTAGAATGAAAGTAAACTCAGTCTTCCTTTTGGGTTCACTCCCACCTTCATGATCCCTGACTTTTGTGCAGTCATGTCCATGCCCCTATGTCTTTGCAATGCCTGGTACATACATTTATACCTCAGACAATTAGCATCTTGTCTTTGAGCTCAATAGTCTTCCAGCTCCTTGGTTAGTGAACTTGACACCAGCTATCAAGTTTCTCTTACGTCAAATTTTTGTTGATTTATATTTCTTTTGAAAAACTGCCTTTTTTGGATATCAGGCAATCATCTATCCCAGTCATGCCTAGAGTGACATGGGAACCCAGGTTTTGTAAATATATATCTATATTTATATATCTATATATCTATGTGTATCTTTCACCTATCAAACTTTAGATCTGCTGATTGTACTTATTTCCAATTAATCCCTAGAATACCTAGATCATCCAAGACTTAACTTGACACTACAGGTATTTCTGGACTCTTAGCTATGGTTTTTTAATGTTTAGTTTACATTGCCTCCACCTAAGCCCTGGTTAGGAGAGTCAAATATATTTATGTTCTGCTGTATTTTCCATAATTCATGTTATTTATAGTCATTTTATATGTTTAAGCCATTATTAAAACCATAAAATTGTCCTAGATGTTTAAAAAATTCACCTGGCAAGTAAAGCTACTCTGATTAGAGTACAAATATTATCATTTGGGCATAATCTTAAATGTCACCAATGAGGTATATACTTTTTTATTATTGGTAACACACAGGAATATGGCTCAGAAAAAACAAACAAACAAAACAAAATGTAAAACAATCCCATTTTGGGAAAAAAAAAGGAAGAAGGGAAAGAGAAAAGAAAAAAGAAGAATGGTGAAGAAAAGAGGCAAAGGAAGTAAAGAGAGGAGAAGGTGTTAAGAAAAGATGACAGAAGGAAGACTGAGAAGGAAGGAAACAAGAGAATGAAGAATAGGGCAGTGGGGATGACATGGCCAGAGGAAAAGGAGGAGGAGTTTAAAATAGGGAAGGAAGGAGACAGAAGAAGAAGGAAAGAAAAAACACTGAAAGAGAAAATAAATAATAGAAGAGAAGAGAATAAAAAAGAGAGAACGAAGAAAAGAGAATAGATTAGTAGGGATCATTATTTTGTAGCATGCTAGATAAATGTAATTCAGGAGTATATGTGTGTATATATATGTAAGTATACATATATACATATATAAATACATATTTTTTAATTCTGCCATGTGTTTATATATTCTCTATATAAACATAAATATTTCTCTCTCTCCATACACAGACACACACACACACACACACACACACACAAGTTGTTTTACAAATGTGTGTATTTTTCTATTTTTATACTTATACCATATATATATATATCTTCCATATGGGCTGATATACCATTTATACATATATATTTTCCATATACCTATACATCATCCATACATTATTTCTATATATGTACCTTCTGCCTATGCATTCCATACATACTAAATACACTTATGTATATAGGTATATGTGTACATAGAATGGTATGGAGGAAGAAAGCCATGTAGGGAATGAAGATGGTTGTACAGAGGTTGTATTGAGAAACAGAGATGAAGAATGAACACTGACAAGTGTAGAAGAAGACACATCATTAAAAGTATATTAAAAGCAGGGCAATAAAGCAAATGTAATAACATTATAAAACACCTATACCATAATATTACATGTTTAATGGTTAATGTTGTGAATATTGTATAGTGTGGTAGTTTGGTTCAGATGACCTTCATGGTGTTTCCAGCTCAGAAATATTTACATGCCCTTATTTTATTCATGCCATGTAATTTTCACATTTCCTAAAAAGTTGTATGCAAAATTACTCTATGAATTCCATGTAGTACCAATAGCTATACAAATGAATATAGCATGCAACGTGGTTTATTATTATTATTATTTTTTGGGATGGAGTCTTGCTCTCTCACCCAGGCTGGAGTGCAATGGTGTGATCTCGGCTCACTGCAACCTCCACCTCCCAGGTTCAAGCGATTCTCCTGCCTCAGCCTCCCAAATAGCTGGGATTACAGGCATGTGCCACCATGCCCGGCTAATTTTTGTATTTTTAGTAGAGGCAGGGTTTCACCATGTTGGCCAGTCTGGTCTCGAACTCCTGACCTCGTAGGTGATCCACCCACTCCAGCCTGTAATCCACCCAAAGTGCTGGGATTACAGGTGTGAGCCACCGCGCCCACCAGCAGTGTGGATTATTAAAAATTTAAATATGCAATGTTACATCTACCTTAACTGCTTTTGAGTAGTTAATACATTTAACACACTGAACACTTAATATACATGCAGTGGAAATGCTGGAGTTATTATTTTCTTGATAGAATAATTAATAAATTTAATTGCTTGTTGATGCAAAGTTATATGTTATATATGCAATGTGATGATTACTTACACTAATAGAAAAATAGTAATGTACATAATTCAAAATAGCAAAAATTCAATTATTCATAATATAAAATTCATTTTATATTTACATTTAAAACTATTTTAAATGCTTTCACTAGAATATTGATATAACTCTTATTTAAAAAGGAATAATGAAACCATACTCTGAAGACATATCCCCCTAAAAAACTGAAAATTTTCCTACTATCTCTCTTTTGTCCCCTTGCTCACTCCACTATGCTTGTCACTCCAGTTTAGTAAAGGAACGAATGATCAGATTCAGATAAATGGATTAGTTTACTAGGTAATTGAGAATGCTGATACATGGGCCTGGCGTGATGGCTTATTCCTGTAATCCCAGCACTTTAGGAGGCCGAGACAGGCAGATCACCTGAGGTCAGGAGTTGGAGACCGGCCTGGCCAACATGGTGAAACCCTATATCTACTAAAAATACAAAACTTAGCAGGGCATGGTGGCAGGTGCCTGTAATACCAGCTACTTGGGAGGCTGAGGCAGGAGAATCGCTTGAACCAGGGAGGCAGAAGTGGTAGTGTGCTGAGATCCCTCCACTGCACTCCAGCATGGGCAACACAGCGAGACACCATCTCAAAAAAAGAATACGGATATAAATAGAATATCACAGGAACTGAATCAGAGATGAAGAAAAGGAGAAAGCGGTCCAAGGGGGAAACTGACTATAGATTTTCAATTATATTTTATAGCTCTTTCTCTAAGACAGTATAAACCATCAGTTAATAGTATTAATTATCAGTTAGTAGTTTTGAGAGAGTAAAAAAAAAGATACAAATAATGGGAATTAAGGACGTAATTATAGAGAATGGAAACACAACATATATCACAAATAATTACAGTAAAGTGGGAGATTTTTAATGAAATAGAATGCAGGGCTGTCTTATTGCAAGGATGATTCAATGGTTGAGGGTATAAAAGGCAGGCTCTAGGATGACTCCCAAGGGCCCCTGCCTCCTGGTATCCACACCGTCGGGTAGTCTTTTGCCCTTGAATATAAAATAGACTTACTCATTTCGAACATGGCAGAAGTGATGGGATGTCACTTCTAGCATTAGTTTTATAAGCCTGTGGCTTCTGTTTTGAAAGCTGTCTCTCTCTCTCCCTAGGATCACTCACCCAGAGGGAAATGAGTTACCATGTTGTGAGGCAGCTCTGTGAAGATGCCAATGTGAGGAGGGGCTGAGGCATGACAACACCCAACCATGTGAGTGAGGGAACCAACCAAGAGGATCTCACTGCCCTCCTATCCCCACCCTCCGTCTGAGCCTTCATATGAGATCACGGTCATGGTTGACATCTTTTTTTTTTTTTTTTTTTTAATAGAGACAGGCTCTCGCTATGTTGCCCAGGCTGGTTGTGAACTCCTGGGCTCAAGTGATCCTCCCACCTCACCCTCCCAAAGTGCTGGGATTATAGGCATGAGCCACTGTGCCTCACCTGGCTGACATCTGGACTACAACATCATGAGAGAACTTGAGTAAGAGGAACTCACCAAAGGCTGTACCTAGAATGGCAAACCCATAGAAACTGTGAAGTAACAAATGTATGTTGGTTTAACCCATTAGATTTTGGAGTAATTTATTATACAGCAATATAGATACACAAGGGCACGCCTATTCAGGGAGTTAATGGTCAGGAGTTCTGGGAGTTTAATTGTGTGAGCCAAATCTAACACAAGGTAGTTGATACTACATGGTGGCAGCTTAATTATTGATTGGGATGATAGACCTGTGGCTCTCCGGGACTTTTAGGATGGTGACAATCATCATTCACCCCACCCCACTCTACCCTTTAGCCTCAGGAAGTCATTTGCCAAACCTGTTGTACTACAATCTAGTTATAGGGAAGATTTCCCATCTCTACTATGAGTATTGCTTTGTTTTGAGCTGTCTCAAATTCTCAAATTTACATTTGTAAAATTACTCAAACCCAAGTTTTGTTTAAAATGGCATATAAAGACATATAGCATCAAATGAGAGGTTAAATTCAATAAAATTGATAATACATGTATTCCCAGCAACAACAGGTTATAACAAGTAGTGGTATAACAATATTTTTACATAAAAAATCTAGATTCTAGGAAATAATCCATGTTTTAACTTCTTATTCAATATAACAAGATTTAATGCCAAAGAAGTGTTTGTTCACTTCTTTGGTATATATTTGTAAATTACTTTATGTTTATTATTTAAAATTAGAGTTGCAAAAAATAATTTTCCTCTGGTCAAAAAAATGGAACAAAACAATAATCTATATATATATAGATAGATAGATAGATTATAGACTCTCTCTATATATATATATATAGATCGGTCGCCAGGCTGGAGGGCAGTGGCACGATCTCGGCTCACTGCAACCTCCGCCTCCCGAGTTCAAGTGATTCTCCTGCCTCAGCCTCCCGAGTAGCTGGGACCACAGGGTGCACCACCATGTCCAGCTAATTTTTGTATTTTTAGTAGAGATGGGGTTTCACCATGTTGTCCAGGATGGTCTTGATCTCTTGACCTTGTGATCTGTCCGCCTTGGCCTCCCAAAGTGCTGGAATTACAGGCGTGAACCACTGTGCCCAGCCCTGTATTTTTAAAAAGCAAGACACTGTAACAGAGTAGAGAAGGAGCCCATAGAATGGGAGAAAATATTTGCAAACCATGTATCTGATAAGGCATGAATACCCAGAATATATAGAGAACTCCTAAAACTCAACATCAAAAAACAGCCCAATTCAAAAATGGGCAAAGGACTTAGAATAGACATTTCTTCAAAGAAGACACACAAATGGCCAATAGGCACATAAAAAGATTCTCAACATCGCTAACAATTAGAAAAATGCAAATCAAAACTGCAACAAGAATGTGGAGAAATTGGAACCCTTGTGCCCTGTTGATGGGAATGGAAAATGTGTATAGATGCTATGAGAAACAGTATGGCAGTTTCTCAAATAATTAAAAATATAATTACCATATAATCTGGCAATTCCACTTCTGAGTATATTCTTAAAAGAAATGAAAACAGTCTCAAGAAGATCTTTTACACCCATGTTCACAGCAGCATTATTCACAATACATAAAGTGTGGTCGCAACTCAAATGCCAAATGCAGATAAATGGATAAACAAAATGTGGTATGTACATAAAATAGAATATTATTCAGCCTTAAGAAAGAAGGAAATTCGGACATATTCTGCAACATAGATGAACTTTAAGAACATCGTGCTAAGTGAAACAAGTCATGTCAGGGGATGGGGCAAAGGGAAATGGAGAGTTGTTTAGTGGGTATAGTTTTAATTCTCCAAGATGAAAAGAGTTCTAGCGACAGCTGATTGCACAAAAATATGAATGTACTTAATCCCACTAAACTATATAATTAAAAATGGTTAAATTAAGATAGTGTTATATAAAAAGTGCAAAAAATAGCAAGAATAAAATTAATGACAGAATTCTTATACAGCAAACTAGTACCTGACATTGCTTTCTATTAATAGGTGGTAGAATTTCAGACCGAGGAAAAGAACGGGCGCTTGTACAAGCTAGCCAATCAGTAAGGCTGGTGGAGTCCTTCTGCTTAACTTTAGGTCTTCGGTGTGTTAAAGGCTTTGCCTTCTGTAATTGCAGCTCCCATGGATCAGGCTCTTTTCTGAAGGGTGAATTGTATATTCCTGGAATCTAAAGAAGAAGAAAGCAATTTTGATTTTTTCTTTAATTTTCAGATGAAATAAAGGAAAGAGTTGTACCATGAAATTTTTTCTTATGTTTAAAGAATATTTTAAACTACAACTGTGGTTCTTAACCAGAGGTGGACTTCAGATTTACCTAAAGAGATTTTACAAAATACTCATACTTGTCCTTACTCTAGACCAACAATTTCAATATCTTTCAGAATTGAGCACTAAACATTTTAAAAACTAGTGAGCTCAAGTTCCTATCTGTCACACAGCCTTTTTACATCACTATACTTAAGAAAAAATTACAGTAAGACTCTAAGCCATTCATTTTGTATTCTAACTGTATGCTATGTATATTTAACTATACGTGTAAGTCATACATTCACTCACAGGAAGTCAAATATACAATGCTTGATCAAGTTTCAGGTACAAAATATGTACTCAAATATTTGACTGATTATTTTAATTATTATTCATTACGTAAACTAAGGGCAACTATCTTGACTTTTGTACTTTAATAATCAAATTGGTATCACCTATAATGCTACAGGTATCACCTATAATATAGGCTATAATACTATATTATATATCACTCAAAATAACATCCTGTATTTCATGAGTTGTATTCACGTGGTTAGGTGCTATGCTTCTGTAGTATTATCCTTGCTGTTCTATCAATGACTTTGTCATGTACTGCATAAAATAGTCAAGAGTACCTTCCACACAATAGAGTTTCAATAGATGTATGTGTGACAAATGTTAAGTCAAATTTAGCGTGTCTATTTTTGAAAATTTAATGTTGTTTGAATATACAAACTGCATAGAACGAAATTTTGATGGTATTATATTTTAATGGTATTAGATACCAATCTTTGATATATGGTTCCATGAAGCCTTATATCAAAACATATACACATATGTGTATATGTAAATATCATACACAAATGCATATTTAAAAGGAGAAGTTACATTTTAAAGGGCAATATGACTTATTTGGTGTCTTTGTAGACACTCTGGACTATATATTAAATGTATCCATTCTTACTAAAAATGTGATTTCTCTTATGCCATCAACATATCTATAAACATTCCTTTTTGCTACATTTACTTCATGGAATCAGCAGTTCCAAAGCATTAACTAAGATAGCTGTCTTCGAAAACCTAAGAAAAGTGTAAATTTCCAGCCTAACTCAGCAATAAGTGTTAACCTCTATCAAATACCTACCCAGGCTGGAGTCAACGTCCTATCCCAAATGCAATATCCTATTCCAAATGCAACGTCCTATCCCAAATGCAACATCCTATCCCAAATGCAATGTCCTATCCCAAATGCAACATCCTATACCAAATGCAACGTCCCATCCCAAATGCAACATCCCATCCCAAATGCAACGTCCTATCCCAAATGCAACATCCTATCCCAAACGCAGTGTCCTATACCAAATGCTTCCTTACTATGGGGATAACCACCACAATACCTATCACATTACACTGTTTCAAAATTATATTTGCATGTATGTCTTCCACAAGCTAGAAGCTGGAGCACAGAGAGTCTGTTCCAGGTATTTTTGCAACCCCAGGGCCTAGCAGGGTACATGGCACTTAGTAGGCACTCAATAAATGAATGTTAAATGCTTATCTAGAATAACAACGCACAGTTCAGAAAGGCCCGTGAAAACCTCTATTTCACTCTTGCTTTCCAAAGCAACATAAATATCTTAATAAAAAGTTTGAGACTTATTTCAGAATTGTATTGACTGCTTTCAAAGAATATACAGATTATACCATTTTTCTTTTTTTTAACAGAACAGTTTCAATTTGCTTTAAAACACATTGTCAAAGACCTATTTGAGTCACCTCCAACTCAAATTTTTCTATTTTTTAATTGGAGACTAAATTTTATTGGATACAAAGCAGTTAATGTAAATGCATTTAAACATTTAAAAATATTTTTGTACTGGCTCTTCTTTGAGATTTATTCTCTATTACAATTGATACAAGAAAAACACTGTGTGGAAAAACATTAAAGGCAGTTATATAAACCATTTTTAATGTCATGTTAACATGTTCTCACTATAACAGTAAATATAGACAAGGTAAATACACAGACAATAGCTTTCCATGGACAGTAATTTTTAAGTGGATGGCAATTATAAAGATAATTTCTAGGGTGATTTTCTAAGATTAGAATTTATTGATTGTACTAAGAAAAAAATAAATGTTATATTTTTAAAAGACTATTGTGACATAAAGTGTAACTAAATCTACAGTCTATAAAAATGATATGAGAATACCATTCTCATCAGTGATGATCTAATAAACTGAAGTCTGTTAGTTTTTTATGAACATTGCTACAACCTTACAGATTAAAATGGTAAAATACATACAATTTAGCTAGATTAAAATTTATCATTTGAAAATATCTACCTACCTGAATAACCGCTACCAGCTATTAACTTTACTCCATTAGAAATCCTCTTTGATCTTGCACATTTGCATGCACGTGTATACATAGGCTAGATGGGAAATGCAAATGGATCAGTAGACATGATAGCTTTCTTAAATTATATTTTGCAACCTATATGGAGACCTCCTCATGTGTATTCTCTTTGCAATTTAAATCAAATATAGATCGAAAATATATTTTAATTGAATTTCAAATGTATCATTTAAAGTCTTCAAGGTGTCAGTATTTTAGAAATTAATTTAATACATTTGCTAAGTTATGTCAATAAAAACAGTCCAGCACTCCCACAATCCCTAGAGCAGGCAAATACCCTATTTATTTATATTGATGCAGTATTCATTTACTTATTATTTCTTTAAATAAATACAACAACCTTAACATACTATTGTCTCAATTGCCATATTTCATCATTAGTAAGCCACTTATGAATAATGGTTTCTTGTTGATTTTTAAAAATATTACTATGAGTCACAAAAGACAGGGTTAATCCTCAGGGACTATGGTATATTTTTCAGTTTTCACATTTTTCACAACTTAGAAGGGCTACTGCCAAGCTAGCTTTGGGGACTTCATTTTCAGCAATAATTTTCTAGAGTGACCAACACTATGGGGAAATCTGTGCTAACTGTTTAAAAAAAAAAAGAAAAAGCCTACAACTGAGTTATTTGCAGTACTGTCATGCTAACATTCAACTCAATAAGACCCAGGAAATCTCAGGAGAGGACTCTGCTAATAGCTTCTTACTGACCTCCTTGCATCAGGCCCGGCTGCTGACTGGTGGCCCAGTGGTGAATGTGGCAAATGAGGTGTGAAAGCACTGATTTTTTTTAAAGGCTACGATTCTGACTCGTCAAAAGGCAAAAAAAAAAAAAAAAAAAAAAAAAAAAAATGCAATGAGTTATATAATAGATACATATTTTTCTTGAATTCCCCCCTTCAGACTCTCCATCATGGGAACTTAAGCATGACCTAGAATATTAATTATGTCAGGTTGAGCAACGAGCAAACGTACCATTTGTTACCCAGTCACCCCTAGCATTACATTAATACTTTGAACCATTCCGTATTTCTAATAATCTATCAATTGGCTCTTTTCTTCTCAGTTTTTATTCTTATACTTAAGTATTATGTGGAAAAGTGTTAAAACGGTACAATTGATTTGAAAAGAAATGGATATACTTGTTTTATTTGGAGCACCTACTATTTTATTCCATGAAAAATGTTTTTTATGGCCATTTTCCACTCATACACTGACCTTTACTTTGTAATTGCCTGGGGGAAGCTATAGTCTAATTTTTTTCTCTTCTCTTTGTTACCAAGGTGTACTTTTAAAACAAGTTTCTATGAAATAGGAAGAATAAGACACAGGATAGTGTACACCTACAATTCCCAGATCACAATTACTAATGTTCTAATTTCATATTTTACCATAACAGAAATAACAATTTCTCATGATTTCCAAGGAACTGTTTATTCCGGGTATGAAGAATGATTAAGTATTCAGGATAGGTGGAAGAATTCAAGTTTTACTTTCACAAATGACAATTACGCAGCAAAAAAGAGTGGCTGACCACAAATAGGAATAAAATTTAAAACTATTTTCTTGCCTCTTGATTAAAAATTTCTGAATACCACGAGAGAGAAACAGTTCTTAAAGGAGGTGTGTCTAAAATATGTTTGGGTTCTATGTTTTAAATCACATTTGCTTTTAAAAAATGATATACTAAGCCAGTAGGGAAGAGTAGTAAAGATCTCTCTCTAATAACTAGTAAAGTACAAGTGGCCAAAGAACTGTGAATGAAATATTTGCTAGGGTAGGGACTGCTGAATCTACACTGACCAATGTACTTCATCATAATTATCAGGACATACTACTGCCAGAGGATTTATAAAAATCCCACTCAGCAAATAATTGCCCTGCTGTTAGGAGATAGTCAGAGTGTTAACACACTGTCACAATCTAGCATTTAGTAAGATATTCTACATTCAATTACTCTTGCTAAGAACTAAAAGGAAACATGGTCATTTCTCAGCTACAGCAGTTATTTCAGACAATAGTTAACCCTCAGATATAGTACCCCAGAAGGAATAGGAATTTCATGGAAACATTAGGGATTCACAAAGGATACATCTGGTCAGAACTTATCTATATAAAGAAATATTTTAAAAAACTATTACTGATGTCAAATGCTTTTAGTCTTCTTTGTTTTACTTTAGTTAAGAAGGAATTTTTAAATGTTTTGAGCCATACTACTGAGTGGGGTCACATTAAATGCGGATCCCAGAAAGTTGAAAAAGTAACTTGAAGAGATCATTTGGAGCTCTTCCAAGAACTCCAGCCCTAAAGAACACCATCAAAAGGGGCATTTCAGCCAAGATCATGAGGTTGTTTATATGCTTATTCTAAGACCATTCTTCCTGAGTTCCTCAGGGGTGCAGATAAGAGGGTATTTCAAAAATAATAACTGCATTCAGCTTGAGTTTGTTTGGAGAAGTCTAGAACCCCTCAGAGGGATATAGTGCAAGGGGAAAGCAGATCTATTGGAAAATTCACCTTTAGAAGGTTCCCCTAACTATAGTGCTATACCATCTTCATTCTGGAACACATTCGTTTTTCCTCATGTATTTCATATACGAAAGGTACACTTTGATTTTTTTTCTCACATGATGGAAAATAAATATTGCAAATGAAATATTTCCTTTGATGTAGCTAGTTAACTAAAATGTATATCTTTAGCAATCTTTTTGATATCTTCTTCCATATGATCATACATTAAACATCCTAATGAAATGTTTGTCAAAATGAAGAAATTTAAATAGAATACTGAGAAAGGGTCCACTTTGCTAGATCCAAAATAGGCATAGAGGCAAATAAAAAGTCATCACTCCCATCAAGCTCTTCTCAGTGGCGGGGGTGGAAGGGATTAGGAGAATGGTTTTGTGATTGACTATTACATAACTAGCCAGTAGTAAGCGCCCTCTAATAACTTTTGAAGAGGTACACATCAAAGGCTGCAGTAAAAGTATACGTTCTGTGTAAAAAATATTCAAATTTGTTCTAAAGATGGGTAGAGCTGACCGGGCACGGTGGCTCACGTCTGTAATCCCAGCACTTTGGGAGGCCGAGGCAGGTGGATCATGAGGTCAGGAATTGGAGACCAACCTGGCCAGCATACTGAAACCCCATCTCTACCAAAAATACAAAAAATTAGCTGGGTGTGGTGGTGGGGCACCTGTAATCCCAGCTACTCAGGAGGCTGAGGCAGGAGAATTGCTTGAACCCAGGAGGTGGAGGTTGCAGTGAGCTGAGATCACGCCATTGCACTACAGCCCAGGTGACAGTGTGAAATTCCGTCTTAAAAAAAAAAAAAAGATGGGTAGAGCTTTGCGATAAAGAAAAGAAAGGTATTCAAGACCAATATAATTATAAAAAATAAAGACATGGTTGTGGGAAACCATATGCCTCTGTTAAAGAAACATGAAGTTGGCCAGTTTAAGCATGAGGTTATTGTTAGCGATGAGCTTGTAAAGATTGGGGTTGATTCTAGAAGGCTGAAAATTTGGACTTAATTCTGTATAAAATGAGAATCTCTTGTTTTTCACATCTCCTTTATTTATTTTTTTGAGACGGAGCCTTGCTCTGTCGCCAGGCTGGAGTGCAGTGGAGCGATCTCGGCTCACTGCAACCTCCGCCTCCCTGGTTCAAGTGATTACCCTGCCTCAGTCTCCTGAGTAGCTGGGTTTACAGGTGTGTGCCACCATGCCTGGCTAATTTTTTGTATTTTAGTAAAAACGAGGTTTCACCATGTTGGTCAAGATGGTCTCGATCTCCTGACCTCGTGATCTGCCTGCCTCAGTCTCCCAAAGTGCTGGAATTACAAGCATGAGCCACTGCGCCGGGCCCACATTTCCTTTAAAAGGTAAATTCAGAAAAAAGCCTGAAGCAAGCCATACTAGTGTGTGAAACTTGAAGATGCAGCCTCTGTGGAAACACAGGCAGTTAAAGAGACAAATCAGGCATCAGAACGAGTCTCGGATATGGCAGGAATGTTGTAATTATCAGGCCAGGATTTACCATGACTAAGATTAATATGCTAAGGGCTTAATGAATAAAGTACACAGCATGCAAGGAAGATGGCCAATGTAAGCAGAGAGATGGAAAACTATTAAAGAACCAACACTGTAGCAGAAATGAAGAATGGCTTTGATGGGTTTATTAGTAGATTGGACATGGTTGAAGGAAGAATCTCTGAACTTGAGGATACGTCAATAGAAACCTCCAAAATGGAAAAGCACACAGAAGAAAGTTGTTAAAAATGAAACAGAATATCCAAGAGCTGTGGGACAAATACAAAAGGTATAACATATGTGTAATAAAAATAACCTAAGGGGAAGAGTGAGAGAAAGGGACAGAAGAAATATTTAAAGCAAGAAAGACTGGGAATTTACCCAAACTGATGTTAGACACCAAATCACAGACCCAGAAAGCTCAACAAAAATCAAGTAGGATAAATTTTAAAACGAACAAAACCACAGTAGGCAAATTACTTTCAATCTCAGAAAACCAAAGGTAAAGAAAAAATCTTGAAAAGACACAAAGAAAAAACACCTTACCCTAAGAGCAAAGTAAGAATTTTACATCCAATTTCTCCTCAGAAACCATGCAAGCAAGAAGAGAATAGAGTGAAATATTTAAAGTTTTAGAGAAAAATGCCACAAGCCTACACTCTACCCTATAAAATTATCCTTCTAATATAAAGGAGAAATAAAGACTTTCTCAGATAAAGAAAAATTAAGAGAATTTATTGCCAGTAGACATGCCTTACAAGAAATATTAAAAGGAGTTTTCAGAGAGAATGAAAATGAAATATCACAGTGTTTTCACTTATAAGTGGGAGATAAACATTAAGTACACATAGACACAAAGACAGGAAAAATAGACAGTGGGGCCTATTTGAAGGGGAAGAAAGGAGAAGAGTGAGGACTGAAAAACTACTTATGAGATACTATGCTCACCACCTGGGTGATAAAATCATTTGTACATCAAACCCTAACAACCCACAATGTATCCATATAACAAACCTGCATGTGTGCCCCGTGAACCTAAAGTAAGAGTTGAGAAAAGACAAGATAAAAAAAAAAAAAAAGAGAACGATATAGGCCAAAAAATCAGATCTACATTTTTTTAAAAAAAGGGAGATCAGAGAAGAAATAAATCAAGGTAAAATAAAGCCTTTTATTTTTATTATTCTTAACTGATCTAATAGAGAACAGTTTGTTCAAAATAATAGCGTCAAGGTATTCAATTATGAGGCATATGCATATAAATGCTTATGTATAAGTATAATAAATGACAATAATAATATAAGAGATGGGATGGAGAAACGATAATTATTTTGTTATTATAAGGTACTTGTACTACCTATGAAGTGGTATAGTGTTACTTGAAAGTGGAGTTGGATGAGTTGCAAATGTGTATTGCAAACTTTAGGGCAACTACTAATTTAAGTTAAAAAAAAAGAAATGCAGCTTACATACTAAGAAAGTAGAGGAAATGGAATCATAAAATATGCAGTTAAAATCACAAAGGACAGAAAAAGAGTGTAAGACAAAATAAGAAGCAAAGAACAAGGGGCACAGATGAAAATCAATATCAAATATGGTAGATATTAATTCAACTAATATCTGTAACTAATATCAATAATCACTTTAAACACTAATGGTCTAAATAAATCAATTAAAAGATAGAGATTGTCAGAGTGGATAAAAAAAGAAGACCCAATTATAAGTAGTCTAAAAGAAACCCACTTCAAATATAAAGATGCATATAGATTAAAAGTAAAGGGCCAGAGAAAGATATACCAGGATAACAATAATAAAAAGAAACCAGGAGTAGCTATATTAATTTCAGGTACAGCAGACTTAAAAGTAAGGAAAATTATCAGGGATAAAGAGGGGTAATACATAATGATAAAGCACTCAATTTCCCAAGAAGACACAACAATTTGTAAAGTGTATATGCCTAGCAACAAAGCATCAAAATATGTGAGGTAAAATCTGATAGCTGTAGGAAGAAATAGATGAATCCACTATTATAGTGGGAGAATTCAACACCTCTCTATCAGAAATGAATAGAGTCTTCTCAGACTCATATAGAATACTCACCTAAACACTCACATAGAACACTCATCCTGGGCCATAAAACACATCTTAACAAATTTAAAAGAACAGAAATCAGACAAAGTATGCTGAGACCACAGTGTAATTAAACTAGAAATCAATAACAGAAAGAAAACTGGAGACCTCCCAAATACTTGAAGATTAAACAACACACTTTATCACATGGAACAAAAAAGAAACCTCAAGAGAAAATTTTAGATTTTTTGAAATAAATTAAAATTAAAATATAGCTTATCAACATTTGTGAGATTTCACAAAAGCAAGGCTTAAAGGAAAATTTATTGCATTGAATGCATATATTAGAAAAAATATATAAAATCAATAATCTAAGCTTCCATATTAGGAAACTGAAAAAAGAATAGCAAATTTATTCCAAGGCAAGCAGAAGAAAAGAAGTAATAAAAATTGGAGCACAAAATAATAAAATTGAAAACAGAAAATCAATAGAGAAAATCAACAAACCAAAAGCTGGTTCTTTGGAAAGATAAATAAAATTAATTATTCTCTATCCAGGCAAACAAAAAAAAAGGAAAGAAGATGCAAATTACTAATATCAGAAATGAAAGGGAAGACATTACTACAGATCTCATGGATATTAAAAGGGTAATAAAAAGGAATATTATAAATGACTCCATGCCCACAAATTTGATAACCTAGAAGAAATGGACCAATTTCCATTTCATCTCAACAGTGAGAAACTAGAATCTTTATCCCTCTAAGATCAGGAACAAGGCAAGGATGTCTCCTGTCATCACTTCTTTTCAACACTGTACTGGAAGTTAAATTACTAGAATTTAAATAAATTATAGAACGGGCAAAATACCTGGACACCTCCCCAAAGAAGATACACAGATGGCAAATAAGTATAAGAAAAGATAGTCATTATCATGTGTCATTAAGGAATATCATTATATACCAACTGAAATGGCCAAAATACAGAACACTGGATACCACCAAATGCCAGCAATGGGTGTGGAGCAACAGGAACTCTCATTTATTGCTGATGGGAATGCAAAATGATACAGGCACTTTGGAATACAGTTTGACAGTTTTTTACAAAACTAAACGTACTCTTATCATATAATCTAGCAATTGTGTTCTTATATATTTACCCAATTGACTTGAAAACTCACCTCTGCACAAACACCTGCACAAAAATGTTTACAGCAGCTGTTCACATAATTGCCAAAACTTGGAGGCAGCTAAGATGTTGGATAAATACACTGTGGTACCTCTAACAATGAAATAATATTTAGCACTAAAAAACAATGACCTATCACACCATGAAAAGACATGCAGAAACCTTAAATGCATATTACTAAGTGAAAGAAGCCAATCTTAAAAGGCTGTATGACTCCAACAATCTGACATTCTGGAAGAGAGAAAACTCTGGAGACAGATAGTAAAAGGATCAGTGGCTTACGGAGGTTGTAGGGAGGGAGGGATGAAGAGGCAGAGCACAGGAGATTTTTAGGGCAGTGAAACTACTCTGTATGATACTATTATGGTGGATATATGTCATTATAGATTTGTTAAACCCATAGAACATACAGCATCAGGAATGAAACCTAATGTAAACTATGGACTTTGGGTGCTAATGACGTATCCATGTAGGTTCATTAATAGTAATAAATGCACCATTTATTGGATGTTGGATGATGCAGGATGTTGACAGTGGGGAAGGGTGTGCATGTGTAGCCGAAGGCAGTATATAGGAAATTTCTGTGACTTCCTATCAATTTTTCTATAAATCTAAAACTGCTCTAAAATATAAAGCCTATTTTTTTAAAAAGTAAATGGCACCACCAGCTCCTCAGCTTCTTAAGTCAAAAACCTGAGAATCATCCATGATGACTACTGATTTTCCCCTACCCCATATATCCAACCCACTAACGAGTTCTATTAATTCTAGCTCCAAAATACATCTTGAATCCATAGGCTTCTATTCATATCCATGGCCACCATCCTTGTCCAAGCAACCATAATATCTTTACCGAAGTGCTTCACACTTACAGGTTCTCTCCATCTGCTGTGCTTACCCCCATCTGCAAGGAAGTCCAAGTAATAAAAATAAAACAAGTATTTTAGTTCCTTAATAAAAAGCTGTCATTAGCTTTTCAATGCACTTAAGAAGATCTCATAAATTCTTAACAAGGCCCATTCTTTTCTGTTCCAACCTCATTTTAGCCACTCTCATCCCTCACTACACAGCAGCCACATTTTTTTCCATTTCTTCAATACATGCCAGTTATATCCATGACTCAAACTCACCAAAAATGTTTTTTTTTTTCCATCTGCTTATTTGCCTGGCCAAATCACACTCATCCTTAAGAATTCACACTAATTATCATTTCTTTAGAAAGACTTTTCATGACCCACACACATTCTAAATTAGACTGTCCTATTCTATTCTTTCTCTCATGGGACCCTTTTCATTTTCTTCATGGCACTTATAACTAATTGTATGCATATATGAGTAACTGTTTTATAATGTCTATCTCCCCAAGTCCAGTTTACTTTCCAAAAGGACAAGGACTGTGTCCATTTTCTTGGCCTCTACATATGATAAGTTGTGGGTTCTCAACTCTGGCTGCGCATTAGAAGAATTTGAAAAATACTGATGTTCAAGCTTTTCCCTAAATTGACTCATTCAGAATCTTTGAAGCATGTGTCTGAGCATTTGTCTAGTTTAGTTAGTGGGGTTGTTTTTTGTTTGTTTGTTTTTGGTTTTTTTGAGACAGGGTCTCACTCTGTCACCCAAGATGGAATGCAGTGGCAACCACTGCCTCCTGGGTTCAAGTAATTCTCCCACCTCAGCCTCCCCAGTAGCTGGGAATACAAGTACACACCACCACGCCCAGCTAATTTTTGTGTTTTTAGTAGACATGGGGTTTCACCACGTTGGCCAGGCTGGTCTCAAACTCCTGACCTCAGGTGATCTGCCTGCCTCGGCGTCCCAAAGTGTTGGGATTACGGGCGAGAGCCACTGCGTCTGGCCTAGTTTAGTTTTGTTTTTTAAAGCTGATGTGCAGCCAGGGCTGAGAACCCTAACTATTGCTTATCTCCATAACTGGCATAGAGTAGACAATCTATCGTGACCTGAATAACTGATATAAAACCACAGGTCTACAGAGAGATTAAAATTTCTTATTCAGAGGTAAGGAAAAAGAGCAATGAAAATAAAGGATGAGATAGATGGGGAAACATTCCATAGAGTAGAATCAAAAGGCATTGATACTGGATTAATTAAGAGGAATGTAAGAGAATGTGGAGTCATCGAAAAGCTTGGGTTTGGAACCAAGTCAGAGAAGGTAGAAAGAGGAATATGAATATCTGTTTTGAAGTTATTAGGATTGAGCTTCCCTTAAAACATTCAGGTTGAGAGGCCCAGTGTATTGTTGTAAGAGTGGGTCTGAAACTTAAAAAAGAGGTCGTAGCTAGCAACTGGAGTGTTTTCTAAATAAAAATAGCTAAAGGTGTGAAAAGTGGATGGGGTTACTGAGGGAGAGTGTAGACTGAGAGAAGAGCCAAGGGGAAAGTCTTAGGAGTGTGCACATTAAAGAAATGAGTGGGAGAAGAGAAGCCCATGAAGGGCACTCAAAAGAGCAAACAGTGAGGGAGGAGAAGCAGGACACAAGGGAGAAGACCATTTCATGAAGGAGGTCAGAAATGTCAGATGCTACGAAGAGGTGGAACAGCATGAGGACGGAGAATGCACACCTGGAATGGTAATCAGAAGGTGACGGGTGACCTCTGCAGCAGCAGATTGTGTTCTTGTGGCTGATATTATACTGTAATTCAATGAATGTGAGAAAAGAAAGGGGATTTCTATTCAACCCTACTGCATTTTGAAAGACTTTGCAAGAAAGATTCCATTTAAAGAACTTTCTGGGACATCTTCCTCACTAAACAATTCTCTCTTTACATGTAAATATCAGGTCACTATTTTACTGATCCTTGAAAAAAACAAACTAAAATTGCTTGTTTTCTTGCTTAGGCAATTTCTCTAGGCTTGCTGCTTTCTCTAAACTCTATTAACGCCCTACCCCTACCCCTAGTCCACCCTCTACCTCCAATATGGCTTCATTGATCTCCTTTATCTGCAACCTCTCAAGACTGATTCCTGCTCTTCCATTTGAGTCACAATCTTGCTAAGTTTATGAATAATTAGGTAATTCTGATAAATGTTGATGTGGAGAGAGATATATATATGTATATGTATATTGGAAGTACACTATTCTGTGGAGTTAGGATGCCTGGTGTTTGAGCAGTATCGGGAAGGAAGAGAAGGAGTTTGGTGTATAAGGTGTGGCAAGGCATTCTCAGAAAACAACAAGAGTGCAAAGTAACGGAACCTTTAAATAACTTTGGAACTAAAGAACTATAAATAGTCCCATATGACATCACAATATACCAGACATACAGAAATTACTGAAGAAGACTGAGAAGAAATGACCAGAGAAGGAGAAAAAGATGACCATAATGTCACAAAGGCCAAAGGAGGTTTCGAGAACTGAAGTGTGATGAGCAGTGTGCAGATCTCAGAGAGGTCCCACATGTTTATACTTAGGAGATTCCTGGTGGCCTTACCAAGAGTTATTTTCAGTAGAGTAGTAGAAGTGGATATCAAATCCCATAGTGATTTCTAGACTTCACTATGACTCCCTTATGCACCATTTCTACGTATTCTGAGCTGGCTTATTAGGCATACTAACAATGACTGTGTGCCCTAAGAAAAATAGAAGAAAATCACAAAATATGTTTTTATGACCACCATCCTCCTACAAACCTTCTATTATATACTCTTTTCCTCTGGATACCTAGTGTTTTCACTTACTTGGATTCTTCTACAGGTGATTTGACTTCCAAATGATTTCATAGTTTGAGTTTAAAAGATAGCCTCCAAGATAATTTGGTGCTGAAAGAAAAACCTCCAGAATTACAGAACTAGACAAGTGAACGAAAATTTTCTTTTGTTAAAGAAAATGTAATAATATAATTGGGCATTTGTTAAACTTTATTTCTAGTGTTATATGGGATTCTGCAAAAAACTGATTTCCCACCAGTCTTTGAAGAAGGAAGAAGCCATTTTAGGTTTCATCAAGTATGGTTGAATGCCTCAGGGGGAAATGCTATATTGCCCTTATCTGACTGGCCACAATCTTGTATCCAGATGTTAAAGATTTTCAGAACACTGAGCCCTTATATAGTCTTCTTCTATAAACTTGTGGCTTCTTACAGGAAAATTATTAAAGTATCTATTAGATATAGATTATACCTGCCATTTTGTGATTATTAATTGAGCTAAGTGATTAGAATTTTTTTCACTTTTCTGTATGTTATCCTTCAATAAAATTGTATATTTTTAGATTATCTTTTGTTTTCCTATTTTGTTCTGATCTTGATAGTAGAAGGCCCAGAAAATTCAACTATTTGATAGTAGAAAGCCCAGAAAATATAACTATTCTTCACAACCCAGTTATCTTTTATCACCACTCAAACTTTAAGTCTCTCTGGTGGTAACATAATTTGGTCACAAAGTAATTAGAGCAAAAATAATTTGGTCAATACAAATTTTGATCGAAAAACCAATCTGTAAAATGAGCAAAAGCTCTACTCTCTGGATTTTTGGGTGTACTATTGGGTTGCTTGTATATGTCTTTATTTTTTCCATTTTTCAAAATTTGAGAAAATAGTTCTTCCTTTGTACTTTCGAATACATAATTTACTTTCAGTCTATCATTACTGTAGTATTTAAAATAAGGACAGTATAGCAACTTAAGTTTATCCACAGCAGAAGATGGTTGGATCAAGCAACTATTGATCCATTTGCTTTTTAGTCAAATTGCTTATGACCAAATAATTTTCTGCCAAATTAATTAATAATATCTCTCTTTTAACTATTCTTTGGTATACTCGTTCTCAAACTACTGCACTACTTTTCTGAAGACTTCTGATTTCCTTGCCTATAATATTTTCAACCATGCCCTGTGGAGCCCCTATTCCGTCTATATGAAACAATCTCCCTCTGCCTCAAACTTTTCAATAAATGTATTTTTATTATAAATGAACTTCCTGCTCCTCTAGAAAACCACTTCCCTTGCTGCCATACTGAGCAAAGCATTTTAGTATTCCTTTGTATCACAGTCACCACAGAAAGGTTTTCCTTAACTCAGTTCCCCATTGCCACTTTCAATGTGGTACTCATCTACTTTTTCCTTTTTTTTTTAAGGCATAGTCTTACTCTTTTGCCCAGGCTGGAGTGCAATGGTGCAATCTTGGCTCACTGCCACCTCCGCCTCCCGGGTTCAAATGATTCTCCTGCCTCAGCCTCCCGAGTAGCTGGGATTATAGGCACCTGCTACCACACCTGGCTAATTTTAGTATTTTTAGTAGAGACGGGGTTTTGCCAAGTTGGCCAGGCTGGTCTCGAACTCCTGACCTTGGGTGATCCACCCACCTCGGCCTCCCAAATTGCTGGGATTACAAGCGTGAGCCACCATGCCCAGCTTCATCTACTTTTTTGTAATCTGAATATTTCATGTTTTTCCCTATTGTAGTTATCATAAACTGACTTGCTGGTTATTCCCCCATATTCACAATAGCCTTTGGCACATGGTCCAGTCTTCCTTTTTACTGCATGTTCCTGGATAATTTTAGGTTATTTCATATACAGATGGCAACCCATCCCAATATTATAGCCTCATAGTTCTTTGATGCCTTCATGCCCACTGACCTTCACATAAATGGAATGGTGACCACACCTCATACATCCCCATCATCCAGACTGCTCTGTGTAATTATATAACCTTAAAGATCAATATCTCACCCTCTTACCACAACTTTCTGGTCTGTTAGTTATCTCATATTCTTATTCTTGTTACCCATAAGTTCATTCCCTGGAGATCTCAAGTCAATTGATTCTTCCAACCTTTCCTAATCTATTGTCTCCTTTTCACCCTCACTTAGTTCCTTGCTCATCTGAGTTCCATTGTTGATTATGTTAATCACGCAAGGCTCTAACATCAATCATCTTGCCATACCCACTGGGCTATATCCCAAACAAGAATCATTTCAACTATGCAGGAGAGCTTAGTGGTTATGAGCATGTGTTCTGGAGGCAGATTAACAAAATCCAAATTCCCACCTCCACCTTTTATTACCTTTGTAATTTTAGCCTGCATTACATAACCTCACTGTATCTGTTTTCCCCTCCATAGTAATGGAACTACCTTATAAGGTTGATAAAGATTAAAGGTACTAAATCTTTAGTACCTTTCAGCTGTTCAAAAGCTAAGGCACTTTGAACAGTGGTTGACACAAAGTAAGTACTCAACAAATGCTAGCTTTTTTTTCCTAAGCGATAGTGTCATGTAGTCATTGTACATGTGGCTCTGTTCTAGACCATCAAATACTAACACTGATATTGGGCTACTTATTAATCTCTTTGTGTCTCATTGATAATTGGAAGTAATAGTCTATCTCATAGGATATGTGAGGATTAAAATAAATAATTTATGTAAAGCACTTATAAGAGTACTTGGCTCACAGTAAGCATTCAATAAATATTAGCTGTTATTACTACTATCATTCTGCATGCCTACAATATCAGGTTGTTGATAACTGCTGGAATAAATTACATAACCAGGCAGACTGCTATTTGTGGATTTCAAATCTAGCTGGCCCCCAGTACCACTAAACATTCCACCCTCTCTCATTCTTGTAAGGATTACTCTGGAAGATCAACCAGAATATTGAGGTATTCAAACATTAATTACTTTAACATCTGACCTTTCCCACAAAAGCATCCTTACATGATCCTACATTAATTTTATTCCTTCTTGACCCAGAAGTTCAGGTCTTCTTCCACTTGTTTAAGCCTACAACGTAATGATCTTCACTGCATCCTCTTTCACCTTTTCGGGGTCCATGTTTATTTGGTTATTTTTTTCTCTTCTGTATTTTCAGGCCTTCTCCCTCAAGTAGCTCTGACGAACATGTACAAGCTTCTACCATTCTAAAACTCTCCTCTAACCTTGCTTCCTTGCCAACCCTACAAATCTAGTTAGTGGGAAGTACATATTTCCCATTCCTCATGTTTTTATGGGCTTCTCTCTGCCCTTCAGTATGTCAAGGAAGAAGGAGTGGGTTTGCAGTTTGTGCATCAGGAAAGGAGTTGATTCAACCTAATTTAGCCCCTTCCCCGCACCTCTTGAAAGCCAGCCTATTTATGGGAAGCAAATATCCTTTGCTCTCACTTCCTTTCAGATTTACAGGGATAGGCCTAGTTTTCCTCCGCTGTCCCTGACAGGGGGTAGATTTAATGATGGAACTAAATAGAAGCAAGCTCATTATTGACTCAGATGTAAACTTCCAATTCAGCTTTCATTACTAATTTTGAGATAGAGGTATGTTTTTATCTCCAACTATCTGTCTTTTTTATTTTTCTCTCCACTGGTTCTGAAATCAGGCAGGAAAAAGGGGATTTATGTATTGGGCTCTAACACCTGTCTTTCCCATCTTAGCCAAGTTTCCACCCTGATTATTCCATAACAGCACTTTGGCAAATATCATGTCTCACTTTTGCCATTAACTATATTAATGTCTCAGATGGTACTGAATATACCAGTAAATGAATCTTCCGTTTTATCATTTGGGGTGTAGCAAGCTCAGTTTTTAACTGTCATGAGTATTCATTAAGTAAAAGAAACATTGCTAATTAGATCAAGAATGAGATGTCGAAGGCATTTGTATTTTTATAAACATCCCTTCGTCTCATAAAATGATTACAAACCAATGTGTAACAGGATGTTGAACAGGATTTCTGTTGTTTCAGAATTTCAGCTGGTATTTCAAAGATGAAAATACTAAGTAGATGACAAGTACCCACTTATTCCTCTCTTCATTGTTCTTTTTCTGGCATGACAAATAGATTGCCTAAGAAGTGTCCATAAGGACCCATGAAGCCTTGCTTCACTTCCTGTGAGAGGGCCTTGCATCTGAATTGTCTCTTCCACCTCCTGATCTCTGAAGAAACTGAGGCACTAATTCCCACAAAGTATTAAAGGCTAATAATGTTGAATATGTTGTCTAGAAGTTGCTTTCAAGTGAACAGAACTCTTAAAATACAATTTCACTCATAATCCAGGAAAATATTCTTAAAGTAGTCCCTTTCTCAGCTCCCTTGAAACCATCCATAAACGGGAAGCGTGGTTTTGAAGACAGCCAGAGCTAAGTTTGAAATTTAGTTTCATCCTATATCTATTGTGTAACTTGGTTTAATTTGGGGCACACAGAGTCTAAAAAATATTAGCTTTCCCCTTTGCCTTTTCTTGGTATATAAGATTTGTCCTTCAAAAAAAAACCACAAAAAATATATTTGGGCAAATATAGACATAAGTTACTAAAAAATTATTGTAGCTTTAAAAATAATTTTGTTTTACTTACAATCTTGTTTCATTAAAAAAAGAGTGAATAATTGGAATTAAAATAAAAGCTGCCTGTCTTGTTTTGTATCTAAAATTATTTTAAATCAGAATTAGGACATGTACATAAAACATTCATTTATTAGTTAATCGATATTACTTGTGAGCCTACTTTGGTATGAGAAACTGGAGATATCAAAATGGCATGATTGTTCTCCTTTATGAATTCACCTACATTAGAGGGAGGTAGCTATAACCATAAAACCAATAGCAAGTGCTTTATTAAGACATAGAAGGGGGAAAAGGGAATAATTCTGCCTTGAAAAAGCAAGGAAAACTCAAAAATTTTAATACTCAAATAATAGCAAACGAGGTTGATTTTGGTATAGATATATAAACAAAAAAATAGGTAAAATAAATTGAATAATTTCAGTGATGTGAGTTTAAGACCAATACAGATGATCGTAAGTTAACTTATGTACATAGAACCTAAATATAAATAATTAACATTATTTAATTATGTATTATAAATACAACAAAATTATATTATTTTAAGGGATTCACATTTATTTAGTGGGATGTTAAAACAGAAATTATATGCATACATATGTTTACATGAATTAATTTAAAAGTTAATGGAAAATATTGCTGAATAAACTTGAGAAAAAACTCTGAAATTCAAGTCATTAAGGGAATGACTAATTAGGCATGCTTTTCCTTATGTAAGCACCTTGTAGATGTCACTTTTCTGTAAACTAAGAAAAAAATTTTTTTGACAAGTTTTTCAGCATAATACTAGCTACTGAGATATGCAGCTTATTTATTTTACACTCAGAGATATTCACAAATTAAAATTTAAAGAAAGATTCTTTTCCCTTTCTTCTCCACATCTTCATTTTCTCATCTTTTATTTTACTGTCTCTTGTGATACTCTATGAATAACATAATTCATTGCTGAGTAAAATATTTCTAACTGTCAAAAGATACAGTAGATAGAGACAGCAATTGACAAGATTATTCGTTTTACAGAAAACCTGTCTGACATTTTAGACTAAAATACTTAAAATCATATCACACCAAAATGAAATCAATTTTATATTTTTTAAATAAAAAATTGGAATTCCTCTTTTTTTGTTTTGTAATTGTAACAAATACACAATATAATAAGCAAACTTTCTGTGTATTTTAAAATATTTACATTTTGCATAAAATCCAAAATTTATAGATTATTTCATGTGTTGGACTATACTTTGATCTCAGAACTTAAATACTTATGATCTTAACAGTGACCTTAATGACCACATCAGTCACATTAGTCAATGTTTGAGTATCTTAACCATTGACTCAGTTAAGAGCTCATTTTAGGAAAACATTTGGGAGTATAATCTCTCTCCTTAAGTCTCTAGTTTTAATATAAAGGGCATATTGTATTTCATGATAGAGTGCACAGAGTAGGGAGGGTAATAAAGAGAAAGATCAAAGGAAAAAGACGATGGATTAGACTAGAGCCTGAAATTTTAAAATCTGGCTGCCAGATACTCAACAGAAAGATTATGAAGTTTTTCAATCTAAAAGAGTGGATTAAATATCAGAGACACTGGGATATCTATATAAAGTTATTCTTCTAATCTCACTGAAGAGCTAGGATAAATCATAACCTGACAAACCTTACAAACTGATTATTTATCAGTTATACATAATAGCATCTAACTCATGACTGGGCTCAATCCAAAATATTTCTGAAGTGTCCTCAAAATAGAAAAATAGCCATAATAGTAAGAGAAATAAAAATTTAAATCTACAAAACTATTACAGCCCCATTTCTTTCATTAGATTTAGTTAAAGAAATGACCTAACTGCTTGTGTTTCTAAGATTTGGATTTTATTATATTATAAATTTAATTAGTGATTAAAAAAGGAACCACCTAAAGCTTAATCTCTTCTAACCAATGAAGAAAATGACAGAATTGATTGTAATTAACTTGACAATAACTGTAGGATTTTTTTGGTTTTTTGTTTGTTTGTTTTGAGACAGGGTCTTGCTTTGTTGCCCAGGCTGGAGTACAGTGGCGCGATCATGGCTCACTGCAGCCTCGACCTCCTGGGCTTAATTAAGCAAGCCTCCCACTCAGCCTCCCAAGTAGCTGGGACTACAGGCATGCACCACCTTGCCTGGATAATTTTTTTTTTGTAGAGATGGTGTTTTGCCATGTTGCCCAGGCAGGTCTTGAACTCCTGGTCTTAAGTGATCTGCCTGCCTTGGCCTCCCAAAGTGTTGGGTATTACAGGCGTGAGACACTGTGCTGGGCCAATAGGAGTTTTATATAAAACCAATAAAAATAAGCAAATATTAATTAACTTCCACTTGCCTTGTATAAATTGTTTGCATACAATACAATTTAAAATATGGTGTTCTGGGGTAAGTGGAGGAACATTTTACACTGAGGTAAGAAATTGGAGCTACATTTGTTATGTACTTTGTCCTAATTCTTTTCTGGCTTTTGAATGTTTTATTAAGACTGTATTTGAAATTTTATATATGTTTGTATTTGTGTGTGTATATATGCATATACATACATAACATGTATACATGTATGTACATATATACATATGTACAAATAAAAATGTATACATATACATATATATATACATATACAAAATATATTCATTCTTTTTAATACCCAATAACTATCTCTACCCATACCTAATAAGTTAATTAAAAAAAGGCACCGAATCTACTAAATGAAAATAAACTGATCCTGAGTTTGATGTCCAAATTTTGTTTTCAATTTAAAAAAAGAGAAAGAACTAAAGAAAATTCGGTGCTTCAGCTTTAAAGAAAGATAGGCCTAAAATGATAAGGTTTACTTAATTGTCTGAAGGCTGGATTTGAAATCTGGTGTGCCGATGATTATGTATAGCACATTGAAACAAAAGTTAAAACTTATTTGAGCAAATTTAACAAGAGCAGCAGGGTTTTCACATAGTACATGAATGGAGTCCACTCAGAGGTGAAGTAACAGTGAAACTAAGGAAGCTTAAGCTTTGGGGCCCCTTGCTTTCATAGGCCCCTTCCAAGGCACAGGGTAGGACCCTGGCAATTTGTTCACGTGGTCATGCTTTTTGTAAAATTGGCAAAAGTCAGATATCAGTGAATGCCACTGTCTCTTTATACTCTGACATCCTCTATCACACTTCCCCGTGGGTTGGGTGGTATGAGAGTGGCTGTGGGCATGTTCAGATCAGGCTATGAAAAAGATGAGGTGGGTACATGTTTAATCTAGGTTTAGTTAATATATTTATGTGGGTTTTCTGTCACTTCCACATATACTTAATATTTGTTAGCAATCCCAAAACAGAAATACCTCCCAGGAATATTCCTACCACCCACCGTGTAGATAGGAGGCACTGTGAATGAAGGAGCAGGGCCAGGGGCTTCATTGCAATAGGACATCCTAAAGTGCCTCATCATGGAAGTCTGTGAGAAGTGGGGGAGAAGCGAGGTTTAAAATGCACACAGCCGAAAGCTAGCCTGTGAAAAATTTTTCCAACTTTCAGATGTGTAAATCATAAATGGGGAATCCAATTCTCATAATTTCATATACAAAATGGAAGACTCTCCTTTCAAAAATATATTCAACATAATGCATTATACAACACTTTTATAGTAATGAAAATTTAGATCAATGTTGTCAGAACAAAAGCGTAAATAATCCACCTCTTCTCACTTCAGAAAGTATAACAATATTATTGTCAAAAAAGAAGCAATCAAAGAGTATGAAGTCAAAACATAGAAAACAAATGCCATAGAGCTGTTTCAGGCAGTTAATTAAAGCACTATGCTATATTTTTAGATTTTAAGATGTTGGGTATTATCAGGCCATTAAAATTTGAAATGTGCTTGAAATGATTTCCTTTCTCATTATAAAAAATATTGCCAGGTGTGGTGGCTCATGCCTGTAATCTCAGCACTTTGGGAGGCTGAGGTGGGAGGATCACTTGAGGCCAGGAGTTTGAGAGCAGCCTGGGCAACACAGCAAGACCCTATGTCTACAAAAAATGTAAACAAACCTAGCCAGGTGTGATGGCACCTGCCTGTAGTCTCAGCTACTTGAGGCTGGGGTGGGAGAGCACTTGAGCCCACAAATTCAAGCTATGATCACGCCACTGCACTCCAGCCTGAGTGACAGAGCGAGACTCTGTATCTAAAGAAAACAGGAATAATGAACTTATCCTCTTTTATTTGAAACTTTGCAAACTTTATCCTTAAAGGTGTATTCCCAAAATTGTGTAAGCTTCAGGCCCATAACACATGGATCTGTCCCCAGTCACACATAAGGGGGAGGTTTATAATGTGTTTTTCTAAGGAATTTATTCTAAAATGCTGCACACTTAAAAGGAAAAAATATATAAGGGAAAGAGCTAAGGCCCTTTTCTACCTAAGTGGCTCTCTTTTAATTAATTTTTATTTATTCTTGCCTCTTTCGGAAATTGTTGCCTCTTTCTTAGATGTGAGGTAGTTAAAAGATGGCAAGAGGAGAAGAGCAGAAAAGGAATTCATTTGAAAACACAACAAGATTTTTTTAAAACCACTTCACTCTGTCTCTTCAAAGAGAACTGACAATGGATAATAATGCCATCCCTTTCATATATTACAGGATAATAAAAACTACAATGTTAAAGAGGGAGGAAATAAAATGTAAGAGTTAATAGGTAATTCATTCTCCATGCTAGTTCAGTCCTTGGCCTTTCTGCACAGAGACTGCCAATAGTAACAAATTATGTGATGATTCTGTGATGTGAGCTGTTCACTTGGGATTAAGAACAAATGTCCAGACTTGAGGACCTGCCTCTTAAACTATGGATCCAAAGATCGTGGGTCAGATCTCTATGTAATCTTGAAAGAATAAACCTGCCAAGTGTCCAAAGGGAAAAAAAGGAGTCCCAAACAACATTTTAGTCACTAGAAAGATAATTTCTGCTTTTATAGAATATTCTGAAAATAGATATAATAAATTGCTTTGAGCAATTCACTAGAAGTTACCACAGATATCTAAATTACATTCTGGCTTTCCTTATGCTTCTATATACAGGCCTTAGTTTTTATCTTTGTACGTGAACTCACTCAGAATTGATGTTTCTTGCAAGTACTAACCCATTTCAGAGAAAGAGAAAAAGAGAGAATTCAATGAAAAACCAGCGCATATCCTTTAAAGAAGGATGGCTGGACAGTCATAAAGGTAGGATACAGTTCCTTCCATGTAAGGTTTATTTAGGTGAACCAGGTGTAGACCACAGATGTAGATGACCAACTCAGATTTTTATTGTGACCATGGTTTACTGAGGATGCCCCAGCTTTACAGAATGTATTCAAACTAGTTGTGTGACCTTGCGCAGGTTGCTTTATCTTCTAGTCTTAATTTCTTTAATCGGTTAAGAGAGAAGGCTGGAAAGATCATCCTAAAGATCCCATGCTGCTCTAGCACATTCCGACGAGTGGCATCTCTGTCAGTGTGAGTTCCTATTGTTAAATTTTTCTGCATGAAAACATTCATACAAACTACTGGGAAGTTAGCACAAGCAAATATAAGATCCTTCATGTAAAACGTATGAATCTACCTCCCAAACCATACATCCATAACTCTATCTTATTACCAGACCTTTCCAACTCCTGAAAAAGTTTGCTAAATAAGTGGCAGGGAATGTACGAATTAAGAATTGGTTTTGGAGAATGCTATGTTAATAATTGATACTAAATAGCAGTGACTCTAAGCAAAATGACACAACTGATACATTTCTTCTGCATGTCCTCTTAATATTCTTTTTAGTGCCATAAATACCTACTTTCCTCCCCAGACATTCCATGAATGCATTACACCCTTCAGCATCCCTGGATCTCTTTCTTACCAATTTTATGTCCATTTGGGTCTTTATACTCTAGGCATTGCCTCAGGTCTCTGAACGTAGTTTTCTTTCCCATTCTTATCAGAAGCTGTTCACAATCTATCAATTTTCACTAAGATATACCATTAAGGACAACCTGAAAGCTAATATGTCTCCTTTCTAAATATCATCTAAATTAGTTATCTAAATTTAATAGGAGAAAGAAATACATCTTTAACGGTAAAGTAACAGTCAAATTCAACGTATTAGTGAAAAGCTTGTAACATGTTTCTCCTCTTCTGTGAGAGGTAGAGGGGAGGCTTCTGAATTTCCACAATATGGCAAATCACCAGAAGTCACCTACCTCATATATATATATATATATATATATATAGAGAGAGAGAGAGAGAGAGAGAGAGAGAGAGAGAGAGAGAGAATCTTATGACAAATTTCTCTAGGATATAAAGTCAGACTGTATCAGTATGCTCATATTGAGGAGCAAAGGCAGATCAGACTCAATAGGCAGAGTGAAGTCAGATTGTAAAGAATTTTGAATGCTTACGCTGAAAAATATGGATTTTATCCTATGGATAACAGGGAATCTTTGGAGGCTTACAAACTGCAAAGATAAATGAAATAAAAATGCTCTTTTAGAAAGATTTATCTGATGGTGGTAAATATATTGGGTTAAAGGGCAAAAGACTTAAAAAGAAAATCATTTTAGAGACTATTACAATTTCTCAGGGTTCAGGAAATAAACGTGAAGGGACTGATTTGAAAGACACCTGGAATGATGAACTGAAAGACGATAGCAAAAACAGAAGAAGAGTCAACTACTTCAAAACCCTGGATAACTGGGGATAGTTTAGAATCGTGGATCGTTTAATGTAAAGTCTGATTTGGAAAATAGAAAAAAAACACACACAGAAAAAAAAGCCCAAAAAAAGTTCACAAGGAACATGTGAATGCTCAAAATCAGGCTGCATCAAACCACAAAGATCATAAATGTAATATTCAGTGCAGTGGAGATAAGGGTACTATTGGCAACCGTAAGTATCAAGGCATACATCCTTTTGCCTGTATATCATGGAAATACAAAAGAGGGAAAAAAGGTCCAACTAAGAAACTATAAAGGAACAAAATCAATGTTTTTCAAGTCAGAAAAGTGGTTATGAGATAAGGTCTAAGAGGTCCAAATATGTGCTCCAGAAAGTCATTACAGGTAATCTTAACATTACTCGAGTTTCCCTATCACTCCAAAGATACTTTCCAAATATACCAAACATACAAAGACATATGGCACATAGATACACATACCCACACAAATGTAATGTGCAATGCAATACCCACACATTAGGCAATGGTATAGCCTCTCCAAAGGTACTTTCCAAATATACCAAATATACAAAGACATATGACACATAGATACACATACCCACACATATGCACACATGTTGGCAGGTGCACACGGTAAGGCTGCCATTTTTCTAGGACTTCATCATCTCAAAATAAAAGTGAATAATCACGTATTGAGCACTTGATATGCATAAGATCTCTCCACTTATGATACTTAAAAGATAGAGTCGAAAGTAATAAGTGATTTGGAAGAATTAAAGTTTTTTTTTTTTTTTTTTTTGAGTCAGAGTCTTGCTCTGCCACCCAGGCTGGAGTGCAGTGGCGTGATCTCGGCTCACTGCAACCTCTGCCTCCCAGGTTCAAGCGATTCTCCTGCCTCAGCCTCCGAGTAGATGGGATTACAGGCGCCCGCCACCACATCCAACTAATTTTTTTATACTTTCAATAGAGACGGGGTTTCACCATGTTGGCCAGGCTGGTTTCGAACTACTGACCTCAAGTGATCTGCCCTCCTTGGCCTCCCCAAGTGCTGGGTTACAGGCGTGAGCCACTGCACCTGGCCAAAATTTTCCTAATTTAAATATTTTTCACCTTATAAGATTTGTATCCTGGAAATTAAAATAATTTTTTTAAAAAAGATTTGTCTTATAAAACTGTTTTTCATATCAACAGACTATCAATTAATTATGGGTATGTCAAGTTAATTTTTTTTTTTTTTTTTGAGATGGAGTCTCGCTCTGTTGCCCAGGCTGGAGTGCAATGGTGCGATCTCGGCTCACTGCAAGCTCCGCCTCCCAGGTTCACACCATTCTCCTGCCTCAGCCTCCCGAGTAGCTGGGACTACAGGCGCTCGCCACCATGCCTGGCTAATTTTTTGTATTTTTTGTAGAGACGGGGTTTCACTGTGTTAGCCAGGATTATCTCGATTTCCTGACCTCGTGATCCGCCCACCTCGGCCTCCCAAAGTGCTGGAATTACAGGCGTGAGCCACCGCGCCCGGCCAAGTTTAATTTTTAAAATTAAGACAGTCTTTCTCTATACAAATATGATTTAATATGATTTGGGAAAGAAGTAGCTGAAACCATTTTGGCTTCCTCAAAAATACAATTCAAAGTAAAGTTTTATCAGTATTAATCACAGTATAGGGTCTTTTTAAATCATAAATAACTTAAAATAGTTTTTTCAGTAGTATTTTCACTGCTTTAGTGATGAGTGAGGAAAAACATCAAAAATCTATCGTATAAATTATGACATGAAAATTATTTCCATTATATACGTGTAACAATTGTAATTAAAGTAAATTTGTTTCTACTTTAGCTTTAATTTCAATATGTGTAAACCCTTAAATGCCACACCAAATAAAATATGCATAGTTATACTGAGTTATATGTATATTTTATGTTTATTTACCTTTTTTATTATCACTTTAAAATGAAAAACAGGGTAACATTTTCACTAATAAGATAACTATTGCCGTGTATAATTCTATATAATAACCAATATTTCCAAAGTAACCTTTTATAATTTGGATCTTGAATTTTACATTTGTGTCTGTAATTTTTCTAATCTCCAGGAAGATTCTCAAAAATTCTGGCAATATTTTACAGGCATCTTTTAATAAATCCAACAATAGGCCTTTGCATATATCCACCAGTAGGTGGAGCAGACAACATAATTTATTACCCAAGAACAAGGGCAAGGGAATGAAAGTCAGTTTATTTGGAATAAAACAAATCTGCAAATGAGATTTTCTTCAAAGGAAATATGTCTTATATGTGTTAGATTTAGTTTGACTAGTTACTGAATCAAAATAAATAACTTTATTAAATAATCAATCTTTAGAGAAAGATAAATTAAATTTACAAATGGAAGCAATATTTGCATTTTACTTTATCCAAATCAACCAAAATTAGTCTTCCTTTCATAAAACTTTTACAGGGACAAAGATTTCTTGATGTGTTCATTTAATAAGGGTGCTAATCCCAACCCTGTTTTACAGGTGATGGGGTGCATAACAAATAGTATTTTCTGGGAAATATAATTGACTAATTCTATTATGTCTGTAGCAACAAATTAACCTTATTACTACTAGTAAATGGTGATTGATTATTTATGCAAATAAGGTACCATATTCAGCTTTCTGATTGAAATAAACATATACAAAAGGTGTTTTAATATGACTTGAACTTTTTAATTAATAAAACCCTGAGGGGTCTATTAATTCACTCATTGCAATATTAGTTATTTACTTGTGTAATTTCTATTAGCACTAACATATTTGCTTGAATAAAGATGAGATAATTAATACCATCAAAAATTAGTGATAGCTTTTGGAACTATTTTAAGGTATACATTGGATTTGTACTAAAAATAGGCTTAAACCTGACTTTAAAACTTTGCAATCAGCATATGAGTATATGAGTATATCAGCATAATCATCGTAAAATTATTAACACATTAAAAACACATAATCTTATATCATCTATATCTGAATTCACAAATACAATTTTGGCTTACAAAATTATCTTTTTTGAAGCACTGTCAAAATTAATGTTTTATTTCTAACTCATCTAAAGTAAGCTATTAGAACAATAAAAATTAATGTAAAAATTACTATTCTATAAACCATACTAACATCATTCCTAATCACCAATCACCAATATAAATCATCAATATAAATAATGTCCCTCTCTTTGCTAAAAATCCTATTAGATTTATTCCTTTTAAGCAGATCAATAAAGCTTTTCCTATCCTGGTATACTTTTTATAAAATTATTCAAACTTGAATATTTGGAGAATTTTCAAATATCTGCAAGCATTGAACGTTAAAATTGATACAAATCTTTTAAAATGAACAGTATCAATTCTTATTTGGCTTTTATTTGTACTTAAAGGTCTATAAATATAATTTGAAATCAAAATCTTAAAGCAAGCAGTGAAATTAATCTTAAAACAAGCAATGAAATTAATTTGTAAACAACTAAGTAAAGAATATTTTAAAATCTGCAGCTTAATTTCTCCCCAATAGCCAAGACATGCTGTAAAAATTACTAACAACACTCAGATTGAAATGTGTGTCTTTTGTTCTCTGAATCTTCCTTAGGTTCAGGAAGGAAGGTTATGTTATTTTTTATTAAAATAAAATAGCAAATCAGCAAAATCGTAAGTATAAATGGTTGTTAATTTCAGTGAGATGGCCTGTATAAGCAGTAGTGAAAAGTTGACAATTTCCATCTACAAAAAAATTGACATTAGACTGAAATTAGGCTCAGCGCTTTTTGTGGTTAAAGATTACATAGTATATATTTATATATACTAAAGTCCTAGCACAGTACTATTAGATGGCAGGCACTCAAAAATATTATTGGAAGTGATTAACTGATAAGTTTAAGTTAAGATTCATGTTTATTATATTTATTAAATCTTAGTGTTGCATACTTTTGTTTAGATGGAGACAGTTTGTATTAATAGTTCTGACTTGTAGCATGTTTTAAAATTCAACTTTTTAATATCATGATGAAAAATACTGATTAAAAGCTAAGTAAAGCAAATCTGTTGGGATATAAGGAAGAGAACATATGAACTTTCCAGTATCATTCTGTCAGTAAAACTAATCCCTTGAACAAAATGAACAGATGAGTCTAAGATGACACTGCTATTCTATTTTACCACCACACACACAAAAAGTTTGCCTTGGGAACAAAAGTGGCTCCATAGGTTCAAAGGGTTGTCTTTTCATCTCTAGTTACCTGTGATCAAATATTAAGATCACTATGATGAAGTTTACCAACCAGCCAGGTCCAAATTAAAATCCCTGATATTTTTGTAACATTTATCTCCAAGGGAAGCGATTTGAGAATACAATTTCACCTGTAATGTCCTCAGGTCTGTGAAGTCAAGTGTCAAATGGAGGTGGGGGACACCAGTATAGAAATTTCTAACTAATTTTTTATTAATAACTAAAGGAAAGCCAAGAAAGGAAATGAGGAAATGAATGCTTCCAATTGGTAAGATTAATGGAAGAAAATTAAGAAAACCTTAGGTTTATCTGTGGTTAAATTCTAATAATATGATTGTTACCATTTACTGAATGCCCTCGAAGGGTCTGGCACTGCTTTAAATACATTACATTTAATCCTCATCACATTCTTCCAAGGTGGGTTTCATTATCCCACAAATGCAGACGGAAGCAGAGGCTTAGAAAACTGAAGGTAATCTCCTAATATATTACCCTTAGTGGGAGAGCTGGGATGTCAACTCAGCTCTGTCTGATGACAATACTTGGGTTCTTTCAACCTTGCCATAGTGCCTCAAAAATAATTATTTTATTGGATGCCAAGGAGTTTTGGAGACTAGGGATCACTAAAGTAAAGTTTACATACATTGATATTATCAGCAGCTTATATGGTATAAAGAAGGAGAAAAATGCATTGACAGCTTGTATTTGTTAATACAAATATACTTAAAACACAATGGTAATACCTGAAAATCCATTAAGGTCTATGATTCAAGTGTTTTAGTCAGGTTTGTGAAAATTCTTTTTTTTTTTTTTTTTTTTTTTGAGACGGAGTCTCGCTCTGTCGCCCAGGCTGGAGTGCAGTGGCGGGATCTCGGCTCACTGCAAGCTCCGCCTCCCGGGTTCACGCCATTCTCCTGCCTCAGCCTCCCAAGTAGCTGGGACTACAGGCGCCCGCCACTACGCCCGGCTAATTTTTTTGTATTTTTAGTAGAGACGGGGTTTCACCGTTTTAGCCGGGATGGTCTCGATCTCTTGACCTCGTGATCCGCCCGCCTCGGCCTCCCAAAGTGCTGGGATTACAGGCGTGAGCCACCGCGCCCGGCCGAAAATTCTTTGTCAAACCAGGTGCTTAATTTTAAAAATGAAATGAAATGAAATGAAATTAGTTAAAGAAATAATGCATAGAAAGTCTCTATAATACTGTTTGGCACATGGTAAGCACTCCATAGATATTTGCTGTCAGATTATTTTTATCAGTAAAAAAAACTGAGTCTTCATGGACTTTCTAAATCATTTCACTAGATACTCAGTATCTCAACAACCTTGAAAAAAACAGAATTAACAAATGTTCAGTTAAATATGATTTCACTATTTTAGGCCAGGCATGGTGGCTCACACCTGTAATCCCAGCACTTTGGGAGGCCCAGGCGGGGGGATCACTTGAGGTCAGGAGATCAAGACCAGCCTGACCAACACGGTGAAACCTCATCTCTATTAAAATACAAAAATTAGCCTGGCATGGTGGTGGATGCCTGTAATCTCAGCTACTCTGGAGGCTGAGGCAGGAGAATTGCTTGAACCCAGGAGGTGTAGGTTGCAGTGAGCCAAGATCACGCCACTGTACTCCAGCCTGGGCAACAGGGTGAGACTCTTTTTTGCTCCCTCTTAAAAAAAAAAAGAATGATTTCACTATTTTAAAAATTGCTTTCTGTATTACAATACCCATCATAAGTATACATAGCACAACTAGAACTCATATTAAGAAAGATTCAGAGTATAAAGATGGTTCAGAGTTATTAAAATTAACAACTGTATTGTAAAAAATAAAATATCAGATTTAAAGAAATAAGGATATTAATAGTACTCAGTTTAATGAAAGTTGAAATTACTAATAACTAAAGTTAAAAATTTTCTGCTAAAAGGAATTTTTGATTTGAAATTCTATATAAAAATGTAGCACCTCAATTATACAACTAAAATTTTACTACTATAGATTTTATAATGAAAAGTTAAAATATTTTGACTTTTAATTTTTAAAAGTATCTTTTAATTATTGCCTAAGTATTTAAAGTCTAGAGACCTCAGAGTGCCGAGTGCCATATCTATTTCTACTAGCTTTGTATCTGTAACTTAGCTACGTAACACCTCTGAGTTTGTTTCCTTACCTGTCAAATGAAGATAACTCAGCTACACAAATCCAAGTAAATATGAAGATAGTCACCATGATTAAAAAGTATTGGTATTTAGACTACCAAGCACAGGCTAGAGATGCGGGAGATCTACACTCCAAATGTAGACGGCCAGCCCAGGATTTAATATATATATATATATATATTTTAATTTGGATGCCTCTAAGGATGACATTTGGTCTTGGGGCCCACCCTTCACCACTGGGACTTGACTTGCCCCTACCTGGAGACATTCAACTATGTGACTCTGGCCAGAACTACAACACTGAACTTGAAGGTCTATGAGAAAAAAATAAAAACCCGGAAATTGCTAGTTTCCTGACTAGATCCCCAGTAACAAAACATATCTCACTCCCCAAACTCATGCTTTTTTAAAACCGTATTTCTTTTTGAGACTATTCCACATGACATGTATTCTTTCCTAGTAACCAGGACAAAATCCAGGGTATTGACATTTTAGCAAGCATTGTAAAATAAATGTCTAAGTATTCCAAATTTCGTGCTTATACTTCTATAAGAAGATGTAATTCCTGAAGCAATTTTGTTAAAAGCTTTACCTGAAAACTTCCATCAAAATTTAGAAACGGTTGAAAAATGGTTTTAATCTCAACGTTAGCTCAATTAAAAGAGAAAACATGAAAGCAACCTCAGCCTAATAACTTGTTAGTTCTTGATCAATTCACAACACAACAATAAGCCACTCAGAATGAGTTTTGAAAGCGAGGTTATGCCCTTCGAGTTGTGTTATCACCGTGGCAGATCACACTGCTGACTTGGACCTTTCTGCCAGCATCGCAGCGGCTGCCTCTATGAAGCCGCTGTCACAGACGAGTCATGGTGCCTGCGCGCACCTACACAGAAGCACGAAATTGAACTCGAAGTAGTGTCTTTGTGATATCTTTTCAACAAGTCATGTCCCATTCAGCCTGCTAGTTTATCTTTGTCAGGCTAGGGGCCCAAGTGGCTTACAGGAGCTGTCAGGGACAGGTAAACCAACCTGCTTTGTGCTGAGGAGGTAATGCATCTTTCGGGCTTGGTAATCTCTTTTCTTCTCTTCCCTTTCGAGGTTAGCCTTCTTCTCTTCTCTTTCTTTCATTTCTGCAAACTCCTCCAGTGCCTTCCTGCATCAAAACCATCTGCAGTTATTTATGATACTATGTGTTAACATTTTAATTCTTTCACTGATGATAAATCAGTTTTTTTGAGGGGCAACCATCATCCATATCCATCCAAATCAGTGGTGTAATCTATCTTACCTGCATTTTCTACATGAATCTTTGCAATATTTAGAAAGCATTTATGTGACTTTTCAGTGATTAAGTTTTTGAGATCAAATGAGTATATTTATAATTAATTCAAAGCTGAGAAAATACATCAAATGCAAAGTAAGTGTCTTACTAAATTATCAGGGTATTTTTGCTTTAAGATTAACTTTTTTGGACATACTTAAATATCCCAAGAAAGCATCTGTGCTACTGTTTTCCCTTACATTTTGGGTTTGTATTTTCAAATCTCTAATCATTTATTTTGCCTACTAACTAATGGCCTAATTTTTAAAATGTGACAGGTTTTATACATACACTTAATTTATTGTAGGTTTACTTCAGTTGACACTTCAAATAATACCAATAAGATTACATATATTATCTTGCACTTCAAAGGTTGACATTTTGTCCAATTACACAGATAATTCGAATAAAAGCTAAATTAGGTGAGAAAGTGCAAGTCTTTTCTAAGTATAATAAATTCTATTAAAATAATGAAACTTTTCATTATTTATGTGTATCTAAGAAATATAAACAAAAAATAAGCTTTTAAGTATACTATGTGAAAACATCTGCTAAACAGATTATGATATCAAATATGGAGAAAAATCCTTTATTTTCAAGGAAAAATTTAACTATTTGTGTTAAAATAATGTTTTGAAATTGTACTATACTTTTTTAAAAAAGTAGGTAAGTAACTTAGTGTCTAGTTCTGTAAGTAAAGTTTTAAATAAATCATCTGAGCATTTTTCTCAAAGGTATCTGAGGAAAGCAGAGGAAAAAAATTCAAAAAATAAAAGATTCTCCTTTCTACTTCAATGTCTAGAAATATTTTTGTTGCAATTTTCTGTTAAAGGCCACTAATACAATACTTCATACAAGGTTACTTATGAAACACACTGACGTTTAAAAATCACCAAGCTATGCTATTGCAGCTGAGCAATTTTTTTCAACGTAAGATTAAATTGCAAAATAAATGAATTACTTGGAGTGGCATGGCCCCCATTTTGCCACCTTCTCTTGAAAATTGCTTATTAATATGAAAAAAGGAGTCAGAAAATAGCCTGTTTTACTTTATGCATAGTATTTTGGGGGCTTCTGCGCCCACAGAGCCAGGCTAGCTGCACATTTAGATTGTGTTGGCAAGCTGGTACAATGACCTCTCTGACCTGCATCTCAAGGCTATTATTAATCGCTAAGTAACCTGGTAAAGCCAAACAAATTTGTTTCCATTGAAAGGATCTCTATCTGTGTCTGAGAATTTGTTCTGTACCAAACAAACCTCATTAACTGTGTCCATTTTTGACAAAGAACCAGGAGTTAGAGGGATTGGTGACCTTTCTTTGTCCTTAAAGTACAAATTTCAAGGCAGTTACATATGACTAAATAAGAACTTTTGCTGGGAAAAATAACAATCACATGTTACATTAAAAAGCAAATACATTATTAATTTTAATCTTTACTATTGATATTATGAAAAAAATAAAAATTAACCAGAGAACTACCACTATAAAGATAATTACTCAGAAATGCATGTATCCAATTTCATATTATGCTAAATATAAGTACAGTAATTTTCTAAGCAATCATAAAAATAAAAAATCTATAAAGAAGTTTCTGCTCTATAAATAATTTAATAAATATGAAAAGGTCTTATATAAGAAGAAAGGCCTAATATAATTGAAAACATATATGAACGGGTAAGGTACAAAGATGTACATAGAACTTGGATACAAAATCAAAAGTGTAAGTTATTTTAAGTAGTAAAAACAGTTCATCTTCAGAATATGGAAATGTAAAATAAAAACAGTATGTATACAGTGGCATGGCACAGTGAACAAAAACTGCGAGATAATGGAAAAGAAAGTTACTTTCCAGCATATAAAGAAAACACTTAGGAAACACTCAAGTGTGTAATCTCAAAACACAAAAGTAGTTAATTTAATAAATTCATCCAATTATTGAAAAAAGTCAATTCTTAGGTTCCAAATTGATTTCTTGTAATATTTGAGTGTGTGTGGATATACTGAACAAGACAGTAATATTTATGTCAAACATTCTTTGTTAAATGATGAAGTAGGAATTGCTAAATAAATTATTCTTGATATATACATTTTTGTTATAGCAGTAGGGTGAAGATATTTCTCAGTGTGCAGGATGCAATAAAAATTATGATCTCATTAAAAATAAAAGGATGGAAACCATTCTAACTAGGATTCCCTACAAAATTATAAAAATTACCTATATTTTTAATCTGGAGATTTTTTCAATGCAGTACTTCCAAGACATTTAGATAGGTTGTTTTTCTGATTTTACATTTCAGATGTATTTTCTCATTTCTATCCTCAAAAAAAAATCCTGTGATATATATGGCATAGCTTTTACTAATTACTCTATTTTGCAAATACAGAAACACATAAAGAGATTAAATGACCTACTGTGATTAACAAATAAGTTAATGGCAGAAATGGAATTAGAATCTCTGTGTTTGCATATTTTCTAACTCCAGACCAGGCTGTCATCTTCCTGACACAAGAAATATTATGCCAAATATATTTTTATTAAATTAGCCATGCATATTTCCTTTATCTTATAATCCTGTCTTCTACCATATAAAGAAACTTGAATAAGTTCCAAGACTCTCTGCCCTGTTTTCATATCTATAAAACATTTTCTGATATAGTTTTAAAATAAAGATAAAAATTACTGAAACTTTTGCAAAGCTTTACATATTTGAATGTATTTTGCCAATGATATTCATAGGGATAATAAAGTATTTACATATTCTAATAATGATAGCAATAATAATAATAGCCACAATATAGTGGAGTGATTAAGAGCATAGACTCTGTTTTTGTTTTGTTTTATTTTGTCTTTTTGAGATTGAGTCTTGCTCTGTCACCCACGCTGGAGTGCAGTGGCACAATCTCAGCTCACTGCAACCTCTGCCTCCTGGGTTCAAGCAATTCTCCTGCCTCAACCTCCCAAGTAGCTGGGATTATAGGCACATGCCACCACGCCCAGCTAATTTTTGTATTTTTAGTAGAGATAGTGTTTCGCCATGTTGGCCAGGCTGGTCTCAAACTCCTGACCTCAGGTAATCCACCAGCCTTGGCTTCCCCAAGTGTTGGGATTGCAGGCGTGAGCCATCGCACCCGGCCAAGAGCATAGACTCTCAAATGGCACCTGGTTATAACAGCTCTGCTGTGCTCCTTACTAGCTGTTTACCCTCTGGGCTGCAATATCCTCATTTGTAAAATGTAAATATATTAATATTAGTATCTTTTCCATTAAACTATTGTGAGGATGAGATAAGTTAATCAATGTAAAGTACTCAAAATAGTGGCTGGTACACAGTAAGGCGCTATGTAAGTGTTAGCTATTTATTGAACATTTACTATGAGCCAAGTATTAGGCTACATGCTTTATCTACTCAACTGGATATGCTTTCTCTAATTCCCTTGGTGGTCTCCTCCTTTCTCTCTCTGGATGAGAGTGCACTTTGTGGAATGAAATTACACAATATAGAGCATGGAATATGAGTTCCTAAGAGGCATGGGGTAAACCCTGATAACTGGAAAATAGGAGACAGAAAAGAACCATGCAAATAAATTTCTCCTTTCCCTGTCCTCCACCTACTACTCTGAGGGGTGGTTTCTCCTTGCAAACCTGAAGACAACCTGTGTGGCTAAAGACAGCAAGCATGGCCAGGTGCAGTGGCTCACGCCTATAATCCCAGCACTTTGGGAGGCCAAGGCGGGTGGATCACCTGAGGTCACGAGTTCAAGATCAGCCTGGCTAACGTAGTGAAATCCCATCTCTACTAAAAATACAAAAAATTAGCCTGGTGTGGTGGTGTGCACCTGTAATCCCAGCTACTCAGGAGGCTCAGGCAGGAGAATCGCTTGAACCTGGGAGGCGGAGGTTGCAGTGAGCCGGATCGCACCACTGCACTCCAGGCTGGGTGACAGAGCGAGACTCTATCTCAAAAAAAAAAAAAAAAGACAACAAGCATATCTGCTGAACTATGTTGCATCACTATGGGGCTCTTTGTGAAGCAGTGGCCAGGACTGCAGGAGCTCATAATGCCTCATTCCTCCCTACAGAACCAAACCCAAAGTTCCAGCTGCCAGGAGTGCTGTCTGCTGACTGTTCATAACTATATCTCACTGGAGAAAATCAGCTGCCCTGCCCCAGGTAGGTTTTGTTATCCTGCCCCCAGCCTGGATTCAATCAATGACGGGATTGACAGAGTATATAGGCCCAGAGCCTTTGTCTCAGTTTGGGACCAATATAAAGGGCCATCCAAACAGCAGAGCTGAGACCTCCTGGTACAATTCAACTTCTCTCTCAACCTCCCTCCTCCCTTCCCTTAAAGATGTTGCTCCCCAATAAATCTCATGCACCAAATCACTGTCTGAGAGTTGTTTCCATCTATGACACTTCCATCTATGACCCCCTTTTCTAACCATCATTGAGCTGGTATTGAGCCACCCAAAGTATCAGCACTTTAATCCTCTATTTATGTTCTGCTTTCAAGAGGTTCCTGGCTAAGACATAGATATCATCTCATTTAATACTTTCATAGTCCTGTGGGGCAGATATTATTACACTCAGTTAACAGATGAGGAAATGATACTCACAGAGATTAAATCTCTGCCCAAACTCCTACATCCAGAAAGTGACAGAGTTAGAATTTGAATCTGGGTTTGACTCCAAAATCTTTGCCTTTAACCACAATACTATACTCATGTTGCCTAAATTCAGTATTGTATTTAGCTATCAATAGGACTTTTTTTTCTGAAGAGGTAGCTTTGTATTACATATATTAGTTTTCCAAAGCACGCAAATGGAAGAAGCTGCTCTGTTTTAGAATGATTTCAATGAACTGTCACTACTCTTTCATCACCAGATCGTAAGATCATAACCAGGTAGCTCTGTGTGGCCATGAAATACACAGACCTTTGCATTTGCCACCACAAATGTCTTATTTTCCTTAAAATATGTTTTCCATTTGCTATTTTCTGAGCAAGTAAATAATTCTAATGTACAACATTAATGTATAAAAGAGACTGAAGCTGAAAGATGCTTAGAAGCTATTTGGCACAATACAACTAACACACAATACAAACCTACAAGGCCTTTCAGCATTGGTCCCTGCTTCTCTCTCCCTCTCACTTCATGTTGCTCTCTCCCAGGATCACTATGCTTCAGTCACAATGGCTGTATTTCATTTCCTAGCAAACCATTTATTTCTACCTCAAGATCTTCACTTAAATTGTATTTACTTTCTGATGTGGATTTCCTCTACAGCAACCTGAATTCTCCTTTTACTGTTCTTTTCACTCATAAACATCATAATGTTGTTTTTCTTCCGTATAACTTAATAAAATTTACAATCATACATTTATGGATATATTTGTTTAATATATGTCTTCCCTACTAGACTGCAAACTGTAAAAATAAAGAGTATGTCTATGTTGCCCATGTCTATTTGAATGAATAAGCAAACATTTTGAAAAGACTACTGTCTCCATATAAGTGTGTAGGTTTATGTCTATGAATGATGATAAGAACTAGAGAGAAGTGACTGCAAAAACAAGTATATAATCCTGCTCAATCCCGAGCCCAAATGAAAGGTAATGATTACTTCCTATCATGTAATAATTCATGTTTTCTTGCATTGCAGATTTTCTTTTCCTTGTTACATTTTTTCTTTTTAAACTGTTTCTTGATTTTGTCTAATGTCTGTACCAAAGGAGAAAAATAATATATTTCTATAAAATATTTTTGAGGAAAAAGAGCACTCTGCTCAAAATTATATTATTTCCACAAGTGATATAAGATAAAAAATCTAAACTCATAATCCTAATAAATATATTAATATATAATATGTATGTTATGTAACATATAAATGACTCAATTATATACAGTTCAATATTTGCTCAGTATACTCATTAAATGCTTTGTTCACCATAATAAAAATTATTAATAAGATGGTCACATTCTTTTTGCTTTTCTTGTTCATTTCAAACTATAATACTAAAAACAGAATCTTTATAATTTTTATAGTCTCTTCTTTTTAAGTCAAGAACAAAAAACACAAAACCTCCATCGTTTCCTGTAAGAAGGCTTCATAGATCCCCTCAACAAAAATTAATCTTTAGTTGCTCCCACTGTAATACTGATTATGAATCCTTTATTTCTCTTTAATATGTCCATTACCTTCTGCAACACATTATAGTTGTAGGTATGCATGCATGACTTGCTAACTCTCCCTCCTGAATGCTAAGGTCCTGCTATAGGCTGAATATTCGAGTTCCCCCAAATTCACATGTTGAAGCCTAAATCCTAAATGTGATGGCATTTGGAGGTGGGGCCTTTGGGAGGTAATTCAATTATGGAGGTGGATCCCCCATTGAATGGGATTAGTGCCATGGGATTTAAAACAGACATGAGAAAGATGCTCTCCCTCTGTGAGGACACAAGGAGAAGTTAACTGCCTGCAAACAAAGAAGAGTGCCCTTACCAGATGGATATGTTGGCACCTGTCTTGGATTTTCCAGTCTCCAGAACTGTGAGAAACAAATTTCTCTTGTTTAGTCACTCTCTGGAATTCTGCTACAGCAGCCCAAACTGACTAAGACCGGTCCTGAAGGTCAAGAATAATGTTTATTCATTGATGTGCCCCTCCCAAAACACTTGGTGTAATACCTAGTACGAACTTGGTGCCAGCATCCTCTTTAACTATTTCTCAGTTGACTAGTATATTTCATCACTCCTGATGGTTTAATTAGGAGAGAGAAGAAACTACATTGTGAAAGTCCTCTGTTGGGAAGCGGGGGTAGAACCAGAACTCCAGCTCTTTGCCTAGGTTAGTGGGTCTCAAAGTGTGGTCCCTGGACCAGCAGCATCAACTTCACTTTGGAACTAATAAAAATGCACTTTCTCAGACCCCACCTCAGACTGGCTTAATTAAACATTCTGGAGGTGGAACCCTGAGGTGGTCTATGATATACTACAAAGAAGACACAATATGTACTTCACAATAATTCCACAAAAATCATAATTTTGACAAAGAAACAAATAATTACATCCAGACTGCGTTAAAAACACAAATTCCTAAAGCTGCAGAGTCAACTGCTAATAAAAAATACTACATAGATTTCTTAAATAAAAACAAAATGCCATCATCTGCACCATCTTTAAGAAAAAATAAAATTCTAACGAAATGGATTTAAACAACTTTTTACTGTCCTTATTCTGTTTTCATGGCAAGTAAAGTCAGTGTGTGCTTCTGTTGTAAGATGCCTTCAAAATAAAAACAGTCATGGGTGTGGTGGCACACACCTGTAATACCAGCTATTCCGGAGGCTGAGGCAGGAGCTTCACTTGCACCCAGGAGCTCAAGACAAGCCTGAGCAACATAGTAAGACCCTGTCTCCAAAAAATTAAACAAATTAAAATAGTCAAATGGCATTAGTTTCTGCTGTGGTGTATTTGGCATAAAAGTGTTTTAGTTAAATTTATTGAATGTATTTACATTTCATCTCTAACAATTGTCTGCTCTGAATATGTTCACATTAATTTAACCAAATAAGTAAGCCATAAAAGAAAAAAGAGAATGCTAAGTCTAAAATACAATAAAAATACTAACCATAAAAAAGTCATTTAAATGCTAGGATTCTGGGTTTGACATTTAAAAATATTTTGTGAGTGATAAAACCATGGAATAGATTATCTGGAAGTTATTAAGATACCTAAAATATTCCCATTAGAAACAAAATTTAAGTCAGTCAAACAACTTACACCACTTACTTTATCTACCTTATTTTGCTACTGGTTACCTACTCCCCGGATCTGTATGACAGGTGTTGCAAATTCCATTAGGGCAGCCCTTCACAAAGGGAAAATACGTTTAAAATGAAATATTCTGTAGCACATAGTCATTAACTCAAGCACTCAGGTTGCGCCTGAGTTTCACACCTTATTCTGAAATATAGAGTTGAAACTTTAACATTTTAAAAACATTCAGAAAGGTCCTCTCATTAAAAAATGAAAGGAAAATGTTTAGTTACAAAATCTTTTGTTGCAGTATAGAAGAGTTTCTCTTCAAAAATATCTAAGCTATTTTAAGAGTTAATATCATGTAGAGAATTAACACTCATTTGTTTATTCAAGCAGGTATTCACAAATATGTTTAAGATATTTAGAGAAATAAAGACGTTTAAACCGTAGTACTTGCCTTCAAGTAGGTTACAAACAAAATAGCTGATAATTTATCAGAATGTAGAAAATAAGTCAGTGAAAAAAATACATACGTAGTGCTTAAGTTCAGGGGGCTCACTTCTGATTAGATGGATCAGAAAAGGTTTCATGGAGGTGATGGTATTGGAGTTGGGAACTGAACAACGAGCAAGTTTTCACTAAGTAGAGAGAGCAGGGATACAGAGGAGCAGTGTTGAAATAAGACTGGATCATTCACTAGAAACTCTTGCTCTCTTCGGTAGGCTTTGACCATCAACAGCAAAGGACAGAAATGCACTTTTGAGAAGAAAGGTTTCCTGGCCACACATAAATGGGCTCTCTAAGAGTAATGCTAGTAAATTTATTCTCTATAGACAAGACAGTTTGAGAATGAAAAAAGTATAAAAGATGATAATGGTCAATGTTATAAAATTACAATACCATGACTTTAGTATGATCATACAAAGGGATTGTCCAATTGCTCTATTATTTCATTTACCTGCTTTGCATGATTATAAAAAGCAATAAGACTCCATTCAAAGATCATTCATGAAAATCATTTTTTTTTCTGCTTCTGGCATTTTTGAATCAACTTGGTTGAAAAGAATTTTTGTATAGTATTCTTTCTAAAAATATGCACATATTTCACAGTAAAATTATTTTCTTTTTATCATCTAGAGAGTTGCTGTAAAAGGAAGTAAAATTTTATATATGCGTGATGTCAAATAATTAATAATGACATAACTACAATAATAGCAATAATAATAAAATATATTTATATGGTACATTATTTTCAGGGCTCCAAATGCTTTCAGATATTAATTCAGCCTCACAACATTCTACTAAGGTTGGTAGGGGGCAGATATTATTAACAAGGTCTCTGTTCATCTTTGTGAAATAAAATGACTTTACAGATTGTGACTTTGAGACACAGCATGGGGGCTTTCCTGCATAAAGATAGATGAAGGCATATCATATTCTCTCCATTGCCCATCTTCACAGTGATTCAGCTGTGGAGGAGGAGGATCAACCCACTAAATTTATGTTTTGGGTAGAGTTCAGAATTGAGGTAGCTACAGTTCCCATTTCATATAAAAAGAGTTTCATGATCTTGTTTATTTTGTGTTTACTCAAACATCACACATTGTCTCTCATTTAAAATGTGTTAACCTCACTTTAAAGCAAAAATAATTGCTGCTGCTTTTGCATGCAATCCACTAAACACAGACAAGGGACATCTCTCAACTAATCTTGAGGCTAACATAAAGCAGTAATAACATACCATAGGATGATGTCAACATATTTTAAAGCAGTATGCTACATGTAGTTTCAGAAATTATCTAATGAGTTTTGGGAAACTATTTATTGAGCAATTCTTTTACAGCTGATCTTGGAAATCATTTTTATATGAATGCCACAGGGAATGCCATCCCATTTATTGTTGGATAAGAAACTATTACAAAATAGTGGTGAGACAGAGAGAGAGAGAGAGAGAGAGAAACTGGAGTAATTTTCTTTCTCCATTCTTTTCATTGTCAACTCCAAGAGGGGAAAAGGATAGATTTAGAAGGAAAGGAAATGGAAAAAGCTGTCAAGCATTACAAAGGGGTAATTAAAAAGTGATTTAAAAATAAATGATTCTTTATCAATTTGCTTTTTTTGTAGTAGGTTATCACTACACAATTTCCTATTTATCCTAAAATTTCAGTTTATTTAGGTATACATATGTTCTATGAATTCCCATTCTATGCTAATATTATATCTAAAATACATGTTAACATTCTTATCCAAAGATTCACATTTTTTAGTATTAAAACTGTTAAACAATATGATTCAAGTGTTCATTTTGGGTTTGCTTAATTCTTATGCCAAGAATATACTCTAAAATGTAATCCCAGTGTTTATATTTCACATGTTTCTAGAACCTCTAGGTCATCTTTTACTATGGGATAATGAAAAGGAAGGAAATAAACAGATTATGGTGATCAGATTTATATTTCAGAAAGATCATTAAGGCAGCAGTAGGGAGAACAGACTTATGAGGAGAGCTAGGAAAAGAATTGATAGGGCTTGGCCACCAATAAAGAGAAGAATTTTTAGAATGAAAATCTCATGTTCCTGGCTTGGGTGCCTACATGAAGAATGGTTCAATTTACCATAGAAAGAGGAAGAGGTTTGGGGAAATAATTTTATCTAAACATGCTCAGCTTGAGATGTTGGTGGGATGTCCAAGTGGCAATGATAGCAGGCATTTGAATAGATGGTTAAAACAATCAAGATAGAGGTCTCGGTGGAAGAATACTTGGAGTTATGAATCATCACACAAGTGCTAGCAGAAGTCACAGAAGTGAAAGTGATCATCTATAGAGTGTACAATGAAAAGGTAAATGCATCGAGGAGGGTACACTACACTAATATTTAAGGTCAAATAGAGTACACAAGGAATGCAGAGAAGAAACCATTAGAAATGGAGAAAGGAAACCAAGAGAAAGTGGTATCAGAGAATTAAATTATAAGAGAAGAGAAGAAAGTGGTTTACAGTGCCTTTATGCTTCAAAGAGATAAAATAAGATGAAGGCCAAAATAGTCCACAGGACAGTATTACATATAAATGACTTTTAGCACTAATAACATTTTCTCAATAGAGTTTCATAATAATGTAAACATATCATAAAATGTGACTAAAAAGTTTACATATTATTAATATATCAAGCATCTGCATCTGAGATAAATCTACTCAAAATCGGCAATATGAAAAATAGCATTCTCAATCCCTATCACAGAGTTTTTTTAAAAAAAGAAACTTTCTTTTATCGTCTATCAAAAAATCAGGTAAGAGAAGTGAGAGATAAGAACTTCCAAGTCCATCCGTTCCTCAAAGCTGGACAACCGTAAGGCTAAGTCCATGGACTAACACTATTTTAGTCTTTTACTTTCAAATGAGTAATATTTTAGTACATTCCCCAGGAATTTTTTTTTCCTCTAAAGATCACTACAAAAAAGAAGGATTTGAAATTCAGACTGCTTTTTTGTATTTGAAAACAAACAAACAAACAAAAACTTGGCTGGGCGTGGTGGCTCACATCTGTAATCCCAGCACTTTGGGAGGCCAAGGTGTATAGATAGATCACTTGAGGTCAGGAGTTCGAGATCAGCATGGCCAACATGGTGAAACCCTGTCTCTACTAAAAATACAAAACTAAGCCAGGTGTGGTGGTGCGTGCCTGTAATCCCAGGTACTCTGAGGCTGAGGCAGGAGAATTGCTGGAACCCGGGAGACAGAGGTTGCAGTGAGCCGAGATCACGCCATTGCACTGTAGCCTTGGCGACAGAGTGAGACTCCATCTCAAAAAAAAAAAAAAAATCACTTTACTGAAGACATTGTTCATTGCTTTACTTAGTGTCTCCTACTGAGGACTTATATGTAAAATTTCTTTCAGGATCAGTGCTAGAAAAAACTGTTTCTTGGCATATGCAGTAATGTTTCTCCATTTTGTTAATGGGACATACTTAACTAATCATCTTCCCTGATCAATTATACCATTAGCATCATCATATCTATATTTTCCTTTACTGTGGTCCCCATGTCCTTTGTAAACTGCTTGAAATTCATTGTGGAAAGAGTTAAATTGAAATACCCACATAATGAGCTTTTTCCTTTTGTTAATTCCTTCTTGGGACTGAAGCATTTTTTCCTTTCTGTGTATTTTGTTTTTAAATATTTTGAAATGCCAAATTGTAAAAGGTAGTACATTCTTGTTAAAATATAGCATGTGAAAAGACTGTGATCAAATAGTTAATATCATTCCATATTTTAAAGTGATTACATGGATTATGTCATTAACTAGTAATTATGAATAAATGGCAGACTGTTTTTAAGGCAAAGAATATATTCTACATTTTATGTTGGACACCCTGGCTTGTGTTATTATATAATTTCTACCAAATTAATTACTATAATTATTGTATCTTGATATATAAAATGATTCTACAGAAAATAAGCTACACTTACAGTTAACATTACAGACTAATTTGTTTCTTGAAAACTGAAATGTTGTTTTCTTTAACTCTTTGGGATAGACTTTACTATAAAAGAACCTGTCATCAACATAAAATTAGATAAAGCTAAAATGCTATCATTTACTTGGCTGAGATCGTAATATTATGTTTTTAAAATGAGGTTTACTGAAATGTTATCTTGAGGTAATCATATTTACTCTCCTTATTTACACAATATCTATGGTGCTCTACTCATGTCCTTGAAATAGGGAACAGGGACACCATAGTATGAAAAAGTGGCCTCCCTGCTGGAGTTCATAAATTTTGTTCAGCTTTGGATGAATTCAAAGAATTGCCATGTAAGAAAAGCCTTACAGAGGGAATTTATCTGATTATGGCAGTAATAATTACCCAGCTGTTTACTGCAGATAGAGAAATAATTCATGTAGGCAATAGGCCGTGGTGGCAATGACACTCCGCATTTAGTAAATATGCAAACTGTTCACTTCTAATTAACCAAGCTAGAGGATGCCCTTATTAAATGTATAAACTAAAAGTGCCTTCCTGACAAGTGATGAATTGTTACAATGCACAAACTCTTGCCACAGAATTATTGGAGTGAACTTGGGGCTTAACTTCATTAAGAGATCTTGTGGGATAGTTAAATGAGGATGGACAGCATAACAAGGCTTACCTGACAGCCAATGATATGTTAGAGCTTAATGGAACTGCACCTTTTCTTCTGTCCTACTTAACTGTTCAGATTCACAATAGATAAATCGTGAAACTGCAAAGTTAATTTGAGTTTGAATAATAAAAATAAATGAAATAACATGACAGCCCACTTAGGGAAGCTACCTGACAGTTTACCTATTTATTGAATGAACCTACAAAACAGCCAGTTTTTTTAATGATTCAAATATCTTTCGCATATCAAAAACTGAAAATATGCCACTCTTTAAAATAATTAGTTTAACAAAAATCGTCCTGTGGAATAGCTTTAAAATGAAATACATTTCAAAAAGCAAACAAATGAGTTTTATCAAAGAAAACATAAAAAAATTAATCTTAATATTGGCTCTGAGTTTCACTTGATTTTTAGCAAACAATCAACGATGAAATAGCTCTGTTTTTATTTTATGCTTAACCTTACATTGAGATAACTATTCATTCTTTATCAAACATCTATACTAATATTTGTATAACAATTAAGAAACAGGTAATGTCTATTTTACAAATTTGTTGTGAAAATTGAATGAGATAATAAAGGGCTTAGCACCATGCTTGGTATACCATAAGTGCTCAAAATATGTTAGCAATTTTAATGTGTTTGAATGACATTAGCTCTATTTGATTAAAATATTATTTCCTATTGTTTTATCAGAATATATTTTATTTCATAGTATTATTTCTTCCATTACCTCTGTAGTAACTAAATAAATAAGTTTTAAAAACTAAACTTCTAGTATGTTTCCAGTACTGTTCTTTTATTTCTTATAAGTTGAATTTACAAAATGCAAGACAGTATTAGATAGCCTTCCAACACAGGTACTTTGTAAATGATTTGGTACTGATAATCAAAATGTTAAGATGATTTTAAAATGTACTCCAGGCAACTAGTCAACCCAAAACAGAGCTCACAAAAAGTTAAAGTAACTACATGTATTAACATTTAAACAACTTTATGACATATTTTTGCAGATGGAAAAAGTGAGGTGCAGAGATAGTAAGTAACTTGACTAAGGATACGAAACTATTCATTGGTGTAGGTGAGATTCATGCTGAGGTCTATTGAGACTCTAAGCTTGCCTTTTCATCCTTATTACCCAGACTTTGAGACTATAAAATGTGTGAACTGGCATTTTAGATAATGCCAGAATATTACTGAAAATGTTTGCTTAATTATCCACTTACTATACAACATGAGAGGAAAAATATGTAAAAGAATATTATACATTTTAAGAGAATCAGACTCTTTAACTATTCAAATATTCCTCCAAATTTAGAATAGATAACTTCATTATTGAAGATTTATGTACTAAAAAATAATACATAGCCCCTGCTTTCAAAAATTTATGCAATCATACATTTACAACATACAATCTTATTTTCAATGAACACTATGCATCAAGAACTGTAATGAGTAGGGAAATTGTCAGTTATATATTAATACTGATGATCTTCAAAATAGAAGATAAAACTTCCATATCTCAATGAGAGAATGCAAAAATGAAGGGCCCAAATAAAATAGTTTTAATTGAGAGGAGCCATGTATAAGAATAACAGTTTTTTGTTGTTATTATTATTATTATTATTATTATTATTATTATTATTATTGAGACGGAGTTTTGCTCTTGTTGCCCAGGCTGGAGTGCAATGGCGCGATCTCCGCTGACGGCAACCTCCGCCTCCCGGGTTCGAGCGATTCTCCTGCCTCAGCCTCCCGAGTAGCTGGGATTACAGGCATATGCCACCATGCTTGGCTAACTTTGTATTTTTAGTAGAGATGGGGTTTCTCCATGTTGGTCAGGTTGGTCTCTAACTCCTGACCTCAGGTGATCCGCCCGCCTCAGCCTCCCAAAGTGCTGGGATTACAGGCGTAAGCCACCGCTCCCCGACAGTAGTTTTTTTTTAAGGCTTTAAATGCATGCATAAATTTAAAACAACTTAAGTTTCACAACTTGAAGAAAGAGTAAGACCAAGCAAAAGTAAAGATGATACTCCATTTAAGGAAAGCATAATAATAATAGCCAATATTTATTGAGTGGTTATTGTAGTAATAATGTGTGGATTTCTAGGAAAGACAATGAATATGTGCTCTTTTGCCTATAACCCTTTTCTAAAAGCAGCCAAAATGAAAAAAAAAACACACAAAAATATGGGAAAACAAGGGAAATACGCATGAAAACAAGGAACAGTCACAACCCCCATCATAAACTCAGGAGAATAACTGGAAGCTGAATGAATGAAGAATATCTGCCAGGTTCAATTTAATTTAAAGCCCAAGTACACTGTATCTTCCTTAATCACAAAATCAGTGTAGTATATGGGCAAGTTCAATACTGAACAAGTTTGACGGCCCTAGTGAGAACCCCAGCCAAGAGGGTTTATAAAGACTTGGGGATAAAAGGGATGCAGGACTGAAGAGAGAATTTGCAGCCAAGCAATTTCCCTTTTTATTGATCAGAACTTCTGATTGGGTTGACAACTGATGGCAAATTGGACTGGAGGAGAATGAGGAAAAGTAGCTTGAGAGCTTTTGAATAAGGTCAACTGATGAAACAAAAGCCAGTTTATGAGCAGTAGAACTTCACACTAATCCCACTTCATGAAATCAATATCCACAGTGACAGGCGGTCAAACAGGACTTGGGAGGATAGTGACAAAAGCACAGCTGCCCATTTCTCCAATTTATTCTTCATCCCTCATCAGATGGTTGAATGACTGAGCAAGAAAACAAGCCATCAATATCCAGCCTTCTAGCAGAGTACAAGAATTTTTAGACAATTAGAGATTTTGGTAAGGTATAACATTACTCCAACAAAATATATTACTTTCCTGTATATAAACAATAATCACTTGGACAATGAAAGAAAATATATCATTAACAAATACAACAGAAAAATACAATATTTCTAGAAATAAAATTAACAAATAAAAATACAGCCTATATTAAGACAATCATAAAAATTTACTGATGAACATTTTTTAAATTCCCACACAAATAAGGAGACATTCCTTTACAAGAAGATTAAAATTATGAAAATACAACTTTTTCCTACACTATAAGTTTAATTTAAACTATTTAAAAACATAATCTGGGGCTGGGCGTAGTGGCTCACACCTATAATCCTAGCACTTTGGGAGGCTGAGACGGGCCGATCACTTGAGGTCAGGAGTTTGAGACCAGCCTGGCCAACATGGCAAAACTCTGTCTCTACTAAAAATACAAAAATTAGCCAGGTGTGGTGGTGCAGGCCCGTAATACCAGCTACTCAGGAGGCTGGGGGACCAGACTTCCTTGAGCCCAGGAGGCAGAGGTTGCAGTGAGCTGAGATCTTGCCACTGCATTCTAGCCTGAGTGACAGAGCAAGACTCTATCTCTAAAAATAAATAAATTAATTAAAATAAAAACACAATTTGGTATTTTTGAAACATGTCAAAATGCTTCAAAATTTAGTTGGATAGAGAATTTTAAAAATAAGCCACAATATTTTTTGGAAAAAAAAGTATTTTATAGCTATTTAAGCCATGTGATACTATGTAGGATTACAAAGAAAGAGAAGAATCAGACAGCACAGGTTGACAAGAAATATACTTGAGAACATGTGGGCACTTAGTATATGATAAGATGGCACTTACAGTAAGAGATGAAGCAATAATTTAATAAATGCTTTGGAATAACTTGTTGGTCATTAAAAATTTTTTAGGCCAAATTTCAAATGCACTCCTTGTATTAAATAGATTCCAGAGAGATTCAATATTCAGTGTGACAAAAGTAACTCTAAAATATCAAAAGAAAATATGGATGACTATTCTTAAAATCATGCAAAGAAGAAATTATAAAAGAAATTATTGGTAAATATAACCATATAAAGAACTGAAAGGCCAACATGTTTCAGAATCTCCATAAATATGTTTGCAAGTCAAATGCAAACAAGGAAAGATAATTTCAGCACAGATGATAAAGGATTTGTTTCCTTAACATATATAGGGCTTTTTACAAGTGCACAGGGAAAAAAAATAAACTAATTAGGCAAACAGAACAAATATAAACAGGAAAGTCATTACAGAATACAAATGGCTACTAAAGATATTCAAATTAATAAAATTCAAAAATTAAATTAAAAATTACAATTGTTCTTTATTAGATTAGAAATTATTAACAAAAGTATAAAGAAACAGGAATTTTTGTGCACTGTTGGTAGAAGTACAAATTGATATTTTTCTTATGAAAATTAGACAATTTATTTTTATTTTTATTTATTTATTTTTTTGAGACAGAGTCTCACTCTGTTGCCCAGACTGGAGTGCAGTAGCACAATCTCAGCTCACTGCAACCTCCACTGCCTGGGTTCAGGTGATTCTCCTGCCTCAGCCTCCTGAGTAGCTGGGACTACAGGCATGTGCCACCAAGCCTGGCTAATTTTTGTATTCTTAGTAGAGACGGGGTTTCACCATGTTGGCCAAGCTGGTCTCCAACTCCTGACCTCACCTGATCCACCCACCTCGGCCTCCCAAAAGGCCGAGCCACCACACCCGGCTGACAATATGTTTTAAAATATAAGATATGTTTAAACTTTTACCCAAAACCTCATTTATAGAATTATACAGAAAAGAAGATAACAGTATAAATGCAAATAATTTCTTGCAGATTAATGATATATTAAATGTCCATTAATATAGATAGAACTTATTTAGATACAAGTTATGGCACAAACACCATGGACATACATGTATACTATAGGCACTGAAAATTTTGACATGAAATTTATATGTATTGACATAGAAAATGTAACTTGTCATGGTGGATAAATAATTCCTTCACTCCTGTTTCCTTTCCATGTGGAGGAATGTATAACAGCTAGAAAAGCAGTTTAATTTGATTGGAGGTTAGCTCCGCCCATGTCCCTTCAGAGGACAGGGGTGGCAGCAGACATGCTGAGCTTGGCAGGACCAGAGGCTAATGCAGAGAGGAAGTGTCTGCTTAGTACTGTGGTGATTGCCTGGGAAAATCTATCTAACTCCTGTTATGCAGTATTTGAAAAGCCCGTTATCTGCACATATACTGTATTCCATATTACTAGCTTTAGCAATCATACATGTGATTTTTTGGTCTCTCGTCTGCCCTATTGTTTTGTCTTATTTCCCCATTGGCCTAGATCACAGTTAGGGAAGAATGAGATTTATTAGATAGACTTCCTCAGACCCATTTAGTTCTAAATCAAACAATAATTGTTTGCTTGAGTTCCCACTATGTTTCAAGTACTGTGGTAGGTGCTAGGAGTATAGTGATTTATGAGGAAGGATGGGCAATATGAAAATAACTCCAAAAATTTTACAATGGGATAAATTCAGCGGAGGAAAATTACGGAGAATTACGGAAGTATACAAAAGAAAGATTTAATCTATTTATAGGTTGGGTGGGATGATTGGGGGTTAGGAAAGATTTCTCTGAAGAGGTGAAATTTAAGAGGATATCTGAAGGATAGAAACAAATCTTTTATGGGCCCCCGACTTTGGGAAAGAAACTTCATATGGCTTCACAAAGGGGACCCAACACATGTATTCATGGTATGCATTTCAGCTCACCGAGGAAGTGATCCCAATCCTTTTACTTTTCAGGCTCACTGTAGACCCTTTCATAAGATAAATTGGAATGGTCTCAGTTGATATTTGCTGGCAGGAAAGAATATTAAACACTATAAACGGTAACTCAACATGAATTTGAAGTATTACATGGACTGTGGACTGGAGTTCTGGCCTCAACACCAGGTTTACGGGAGAGGGCTGATGCTAATACGTCCTGGGTCTATATGTGGAAGATTCTCTGGGCCTCCCTACTCCAGACTAAGTCCCTCTTGACCCCATGGACCCAGCCATTCTGACACAGTGTCATCTTTAGGAAAAATGAATGGTACATGAGTGTGCGCAATGACTGGTAACCTCAGAGGCCAGAGTGGAGTGCCAGTATGGCATTGGCAATAATCCAGAACACCAGAGGGACTTCCTCAGCAGGAAAAAAAAAAGTCACGATACCTTGCAGACCAAAGATCAATGGAGATAGTGGGGTAGTGATTAAAACAATGGGCCAGTAGACAGTTTGGAATTACCAGTTTTCTTTCTTTCTGTCTGACAAATGAAGTCCTGAAAGCAGAAGTGGCTAAATAAGTTCCAGAGTCCTTAGACAATTTAAGAGAAGAAAAATTAATTGGAAAAAGATTTATTCTTTGAAGACTTTAAAAATGCTCATTCAAATATACATAGTAAGACAATATACACACACTCACAAAAACACATATTAAAGGTTATTCTCTAAAAGTGCTTGTCTGGTATGATTTTGAAAGAGGTTTTATGTTATTTTACTTGTAAAATGTTTGCTATTTGTATTTTTATTAATTTTCTATATGTTTTAAAGTTTTTATAATATTGTATTATTTTTATCAAAAAAGTTACAGAAAATAATGTGGAGCCGATATAAATAAGTTTCCTAAATATATTTAATAAAATTTTTACTAATTTTTTATTACCTGCAGGATGGCTAATGTTAAATATTACTACTTCAACATGCAAGTTGTTCTTTTTTCCAAAACCATTGCCAATTTGTTTGAATAATGTCACTGAGAAGATGGTAGGAATGGAAAATTCTGGTAGAAAGCATGCTAAAGTCTGTGTAACAGGTACATATTTTAAGTACCCCTCATTTATTTTTCTTTATCAGAAAGTCATTTTCTCTCCCTGCACTACATCTAATTATAGCCACTGGGAGAACAGGTCCTACCATGGAATGAGAAATAGAAGGGATGGAAGAGGAGCTGGAAAAAGTAAAAAGGGTGACAATCCTGCCTCTTCCAACCCCAAGGGACTGTGGAAGGCAGAAGAGAGGGCAGGAGAAGGATCATAATGCATCATCCTGTGCCCTGGACCTGTCAACTCCAGGCCACGTCTTAGAAGCAGAGAGGAATGTTTGGTAGTTTGAGAGGAATGCCAAAGATGGGTGTGTTCCTACCTACTTGGGTTGCTGGGAGAATATCATTTGTATAAGACAGCCTTGAGACAATAAGGGATGGTTCCAGCACAGTAAAGAGTATCAAACAGTGAGGTCAGGTAGAAGGAGTTTAGTACTCTCATGTTTTTCTTGCCTCCCATATCATCTAGAAGGACCAAAGTTCAAACATATCCTTTAAGGGATAAGCCAGATCAAAAGTAAGAGCCAAGGATTGAATCATGAGAACGGCTATGGCAAAAATATAAACAACCTTGAATCAAAGTCTGCAGGGTAACCAACCTTGTGCGAGGAGTCATTTGGAGCACATGGAAGACCTCAGAGATACCGGCAGAGAAAGAAAGAGATGACACAGGGCCTAGTGAGCTAAGGAAAGCCACCAGACCCAAATTAAGTTGACAGTGCTTACATCAAATGCAAGTCTTAGCAGCAGATGCCAGCAGAACTCCTAGGGACAAGAATGATCAATGACATCGCAGCAGACACCAGCCACTGTTACCTACATATAAGTCAGGGTTCCCTTTTAAGCCTTAGAGCCACCAGTAACATAAGCCCCCTCTACATTCATAGGTCATCTTAGAGAGGATCATGGAGAACTCAAGGAATTATGAAAAAGATCCACTTATTTAAAAGATTATCATTAATTACTGTATTAAGCCAAAGTAAATTGATATCTAGTTTTTCCCTCTCCCATGCCAGTGCCAGCAGGAGGAAATGTGATTGAAGAATATACCAAGAATATTAAAGTTAAAGGAATAAAAAGTTGTTATAGTTCATGGTACATCTGAGTGTGATGCCTTATCTATAAATATGTCATGGCTAAACTCACAATCTAGAGTGTATTAGTTTATTTAGATGAATTTTGTGAATCTGGATATATATGTCTTTCTAGTTACATATATACACACTTACACAGATTCAGTGACTATCAATAGTTCTGGCCCAAAATATCTCACAGAACTCCACAATCCAGCAGGCTGCAGCCACATCCTCTCCGCTGGAGTGTGAATCTCATCATTAATGTGTGGGGAGAGGATCCTCCAAACATTTCCTTTCTTGGGTTCTCTTCCTTAGGCCTAGAGGTGCTGACTTCTCCCAGTATTTACTATTTCTGTATTCTCTAGATTTCTCTCTTATAATATACAAATTATAATCCTGTATGTTTTTGTAAATTATGTTTATGTGTAAAAGTCTTAGCCTTTTCTTTTTTAAAAAAAATGTTTATTTATTTAGAGACAAGGCCTTACGATATTGCCCAGGTAAGACTCAAATGATCCTCCCACCTCAGCCTCCCAAGTATCTGGGACTACAGGCATGCACCACTGTGTCCAGCATTAGCCTTTAGTTATCACTGGTAAGATGACTGTTGCAGCTACAGTCATTTTGTGCATATTTCAGAAAAAAGAAAAAAAATGGAAGAAGAACTAGCAGATCTCATTGCTCAAAATGAAGTCATATTGCCATTCTTAGATAAAAGAAGTTTAGAAAAACAATAATAACATGAGTTAAGTTGCAGTGTTGGAATGAACATTGAGTGATCAAATCTATGAAATTTTCCATACTCCACCTCATTGCAGAATCAACATTTGTGTCAGTCACCAATTTTTTAGCTCTCAGTTTCAAATAATTTATTTTTTGCTATACTTGGTAAAACTGGACCTGGATCTGTAACATTTTACCTTTACTAATTTGTATAACATTAGTCTGAAAATAAAGGGTTCTGGAGGGATATGTCAACGCATGACTGGGGAAAGTGTTACCCCTTCCCTCCTCCGGTTCCAATTGTCTGCTTTCTTTCTTCAGTGGCTTGGCTATTAGCTCTATGCAGGAGAACCAGTAGTGCCTAACAGCTAGTGAGTTTTGCTCATACTCCAACAAAGGTAGGTCCTTGCTTATCGATTCCAGCCCATCTGCACCACCATGGGCAGTTTTCTGCTCATCAGGGTCAGACCACTAGCTGCAGAACAGCTCTCGCCCATGACGTCTCAGAGAACCCCACAATCCAGCAGGCTGCAGCCACATCCTCTCCATTGAAGTCTGAATTGCATTGTTTATGGGTTGGGAGAGGCTCTTCCAAACTTTTCCATTCCTTGGGTTCTCTCCCATGGGCCTAGAGGTGGTAACTTCTCCCAATATTTACTATATTTGTATTCTCTAGAGTTCCCTTTTGTTCATTTTAAAAGTTATTCATCTTGTATTACTTAATAAAGCTTCATATTATATTTTCTCAGTTCAAATTACTGGTGTGGATTTTGTCTCCTGACTAGTCCCTGACTGATACAATATCCAACAACTCTCCTTCTTTACTTAAACTTTATATGAAGTGCTTCATTCCTTTCCCAAAGAAGATGGTACCATTGTTGCATCTGTTACTGTATTTAATTTAAAGCCATGTGCAGTCCTGTCCATCAGGTTTGGGTGTAACTCTTAATTATCTGTCAACTAAATTAAAATACAAATTATCTGCCTATAACACACCAGCACTGAATGGTAGAGAAGGAATGGAATAAGAATAACCACAACAAAATGTCCACATTAGGAAAAATAGAAAATGAGAAAGAAATAGTTACTAATTCACAGCAAACAATAAATCCTGCTACACGGGTATAGTGAAAAGTTCCTGTTCAAGAGGTGTTTTCTTGGGTAGACAAACAGAATATTCCATGTCTGTTATCTTCCATGACCACATATGAGGTGGCCACTGCAGAGGACAATATTTCTGGAGAATGCATTGTTCTAGTAGCCCACTAGGGGCCTATTGGTCCAAGTTCAGTAGTTTTATGATTGCCTGAGGGCAGGTCACAGCTGGCCAAGTTGGGATTTCTTTAGTAACAGGAACTTTCAATGATATTGCAGGCTTCTGGCTTCTTTGTTCGTGGTCAGTTTCATGAGCAAGTGACCACAACCAAGAATCTGGTCTAGACAGTTTTCTAGAATTTATGGTCTTAGATGCTGGCTTCTAAGCTCTGTTGCTGTTTTTTTGTTTGTTTTGTTTTGTTTGTTTGTTTGTTTGTTTGGCAGCCAGTACTTGCATTCATCCAAAACAACCAATTTGGGTGGCAGGGCAACAATTCACTAATTGTTAAAATTTTCTAGCTTGGATTTTATTCTTTAAACATAATAAGATTGACTGATTGTTTTCTTCTTCTTCTTTCTTCTTCTTCTTCTTCCTACTTCTCACTCATGGTGTCTTGTTTTCCTAACTCCCTGGTACCTTTGCTGTGCTGGCCATTGCATTTGAAAAATACTTTGTAGGAATACTCTTAGTACTAGAATGACAGCATCTTCCCTGGTAGAGGCTTTTCAAATGTTTCCGTCAGGTTCCTGGGTCACTATCAGTCTGAGACCTTCTAAGTTCAAGTACAAGACTTTAAGTTACCTAAACCACCTGGATAACTAGCAGTGTGCTTGCAAATCTCATATTAAGCTAGTTTACTTCCATTATTACTCACTCTAAGGTTATGGCTTTTGGGGATCCTGGCTGAAAGAAGAGGTGGAAGTTAATCAGAGTTCTTACCTTTGGTTGCCATGACTTGGATTTTTTTTTTTCCTCCTGCTCCCGCAATGCAGCCAAAAGCACAGCTCTTTCTCAGTTAGTCAGGTATTCTTTTAGATAGGCACATGACCTCAGGGCAAAAGCAGTTTTGAGGTAGACTCATATCTGAATTCTCATCTTCTCCTGTGCCTTGTCTAGTAAATTATTTACTGTATTGATAGCTCTTTAATGCTTAGATGTCAGCAGGGGGAGAGGAGAGTTGTTTTGAATTGCTCAGCCATTATTAGACAAAACAACATTCCTAATCTGATCTTTGTCTTGGACTCACATACTTGTGAAGTCCTGAGGTTTATCTCTAGCTAAAGCCCTACATTTCCTAGCCACTGCTTATGACCCCATTAGTTTGGGGCATAGCAGTTGTGTTTTTCAACATTTTAAGATGCCAAATTACAGGACTCTTATTAAACGGACACACATTGTACATGTTGAGCATCTCTGTTAGCAAAGCAGTTATTAACTTCTGTCTCTGCTCACAGATTGGCAACCTCTAGTCCAAGTTAATCTGTTCCTCACAGAAATTTGCTCAAAGGGTCAAAGAGGAGGCAGCACACACCAATATTCTTAAAAGCGCCTATCATTTCTATTAATGTCAAACCCGCAAATGATAATGATCTGCATCACATGGTAGAGAAGATGGGATTTGTAAAAAAAAAAATTACATAGGATTTACATAATTACTTATTATTATTATTTTGAGATAGAGTATCACTCTGTCACCCAGGCTAGGGCAGTGGTGTGATATCAGAACACCGCAACCTCTGCCTCCTGGGTTCAAGCAATTCTCCTGCCTCAACCTCCCAAGTAGCTGGGACTACAGGAGCCCACCACCTCGCCAGCTAATTTTTTTGAATTTTTAGTTGAAATGGGGTTTCTCCATGTTGTCCAGGCTGGTTTTGAACTCCTGACCTCAGGTGATCCATCTCTTTCAGCCTTCCAAAGTGTTAGGATTACAGGTGTGAGCCACCGTGCCTGGCCAAATTAGTGTTTTCCAATCTAGCACCAAACTATCTCCAATAACCAAATTCCCATTTTAAGTTCTGTTTCTTTTAATATCCTTCTAATGTCTCATTGGCCATGACTAAGTCACATGGTAACACTAAAAACAAGGAAATCTATGAAAGTGAGTTTTTAGTTTTCTAGCCTCAATAGCAGAGAAGGCAATTTATAAAGAGGTTAGGATGGGTCTTAATGTGTGCCTAGTTATTTATGGTATATGCTTCAACTGAAATATGACCAATAGAACTTGTAATAATTCAAAACATAAAGAGGCAGTGTGGTCTGGCTTTAAAAAAGACTGAGTTCCAACCTCTAGATCCGCCATTATTTTGGTGTGTGACCTTACCCTTTACTTAAACCCTGAATTTTATTTTTCATCTCTGAGGTATAAGAAGACACATCCCAAAAGGGGGTTTGTGTGGATAGACGAGATAACATATAAAACACCATGCACACGATAGGTGCTAAATAAATGACTTGCTGTGATTGCCCTCCATTTACTGAGCTGGTCCTTGTTTACAATGTCTAAATTTGTTCACCTGTATGTTTGGCTTGATAATCATGACATTTCTGATTATAATATACCAGATTGAGCTCTCTCTTATTGTTATCTACCAAGAACACATATGTATCCTATACCTACATATAGAAATGTTTAATGTCTGTAATTAAAGTGTTTCTTTTGTTTGTGTTTATACCATTTCAGTAACTACTCAGTTATAATGTTATTTGCCTACCCTGTACATGTGTCTAAAGAGGAATATTTTATCAGCAAGCATCTACTCAATCCCAATAGTCTAGATATATTCCAGATTATTATCATTTGCATTTCTATTTTCCACTTAATATTAATTGTGACTTTAAAATTAAGTTGGTGAAAATTCTGAAGAGTCGATATGTGATTGCAAAAGGAGGGCAAATACAAACACCACCCTGTAGATTTTTACCCTAAGTTGCTGCTTTGATTTTTAGGTGCTGCACATGTTAGCAGTCTGAAAGGACATACTGACTTCTTTCACGTTTCTATTCTTTATTAATTAAAGCACAATTGGAAACATGCTGCCTAGATAGTTTAATATATTAACAGACTTCAACTCCAGAAAACTAAAAATCTTGAGTATTGTGTTTCCCAGATGCAGAAGTGATCTCAATTTTTTTTAGGTTTGTCATTAGCATATTGCATTTGTTGGTTCTGTATATTTTTCTGCCAGAGCAAGATTATTTAAAAAGTATGATGGTGAGTATATTGGAGCTGCCAGTTAGTCATTATAAGGATGAGAGATTATGTTCAAATCTTTTGAATTGAGTTTCCTAGAAACTCGACGCATATTCATAAACATCACTTTTAAAGTTTTTTTGCTTCATCCTTGAAAACAAATGCAAATTAGCAGACTACAAAGACAGCATTTAACACAAATATTGATATAAATATTTTGAAACAGCAAGCTGTTAGTTAGCTGTTAGTTCTGGATTCTGATGATCATCACTGGGAACAAACACTGACAGTATAACAGCGGAAATACAACAAAGAGAACGAAACTGAGAATTTTAAGATCTAAGTGAATTTCTCATAGTACAACTAGAAGTTGTTCACATAAAATAACAGCAATAGGCATAGAACAGTTTTTTTTTTTTTTGCATGACAAGCTAAGTGTATGAATGTATGGATTTCAGAATAATCAAGGAAACTAAGCACACAGCCCAGTTGATGCCAATATGACAGAGCTGCCTAGGGATCTTGAAAGCACTGGAGATTTTTCTCATAAATGTGATATTTCATCAGCACTACACAGATCATGAAAAGGCTGATAATGCATTTTAATAGACCTTACCTATTAGCATTTTGGCAAGCATGTCAATGAATCTAAGAACTCTTTAATATAAGATTAAAATTGGAATAATGTTCATATTAATGATAAATCCATTAGTCATTCTTCTCCAAAATTCTGAAAGGTCAATTTAGTAATTTGTAAAGGTGTTGCCACTTCTGAGATAACGTTCCCTATCTTTGGGAATTCAAAACAACCTTTATGCTTCAGGAGTAAAAAAGATATTTCAATATCATCTGTTAATACGGTGAAGATTTTTTAAAATTTGATGATAGCCTTTTAACTTCTGATTTTAAACATATAATGTAATGTGTGTGTGTATACATCTTGATTTACATATATTATCATATCCATCTTGGTCACGGTAGGGGATAATTTTATATCATATATTTATGGTACAAAATCCCTTATGCCATATATTAATCTCATTTAAATGTTTCTTGCACTTTTAAGGGATTCAACATACTTTAGTTTCATCATAAATAAATACATAGATTTTTGTATTTTTAAAAGATACTTATTACCATATTAAGCTAATTTTCTCAGACTTAAAGGGATACTAGAAATCCTCTAATTCCTCATCAAATGCAGAAATCCTTTCTACCTATGTCCTGACATTTTAGATAAATCCTTCTGTCAGAGTACAAGTCAGACTATTATTGAATAGCTCTCATTATTAGAAACACGTTTTCCGGCTGGGCGCGGTGGCTCACGCCTGTAATCCCAGCACTTTGGGAGGCCGAGGCGGGCGGATCATGAGGTCAGGAGATCGAGACCATCCTGGCTAACACGGTGAAACCCCGTCTCTACTAAAAAAATACAAAAAATTAGCCGGGCGTGCTGGCGGGAACCTGTAGTCCCAGCTACTCGGAGGCTGAGGCAGGAGAATGGCGTGAACCTGGGAGGCGGAGCTTGCAGTGAGCCAAGATTGTGCCACTGCACTCCAGCCTGGGCAACAGAGCAAGACTCTGTCTCAAAAAAAAAAAAAAGAAACACGTTTTCCACGTTCAACTCAAATCTATCTATTTGTCCTGAATTTTTTCCTTTTCAGAAATATAGTGCATGATATTTTGCTTGTTTGTTTTTCTGAGATGGAGTTTCACTCTTGTTGCCCAGGCTGGAGTGCACTAGCACATTCTCGGCTCACTGCAACCTCTGCCTCCCGGGTTCAAGACATTCTCCTGCATCAACTTCCTGAGTAGCTGGGATTACACGCGCCTGCCACCACGCTTGGCTAATTTTTTTAATTTTTAGTAGAGATGGGGTTTCACCATGTTGGCCAGTCTGGTCTCGAACTACTGACCTCAAGTAATTCACTTGCCACAGCCTCCCAAAGTGCTGGGATTATAGGCGTGAGCCACCGTGCCCAGCCGATGGTTCTCAAAAATGTGAAGGTCAATATCATGTCTTCCTTTAGGCTTCTATCTTCCAATCTGGGCCATGTCTTTGTGATTTCCAATCCCCATAAAATTCCTGGTTGCTTTCTGCTGGATGCAAATTTTTTTCATCAATATTCATCAGAAATAACAATGTTCATCCAGAATTTAACACTGAACACCACATGCAGTCCAACTGAGAAACTTTTATTCTCTAAGATCTTTCATTTCATTCATTTTGTAAACATGAAGTAGCGTAATATATTGGAAAGAGCACTATTCTTGAGGTCATAAGGTCTGCAATCCCATCGCAGTTTTGCTACAATTTTAAAATTTAACCTTGGACTTCAAAAGCACAATGACTACACACTTTCGTTTGTTTCTTTAACACATACACACAGAGAATGCCAGCATCCAAGCATCGATTTCTTAGGTGAGGGATCAAAGATGTGCTTTCTGAAAAAACTGAGAGAAAAAGCCTAGGCCTCAGAGTACAGTGACTTGTAGGTACGAAGCACAGGTCCATCTCTCCCCCTTCACTCAAAGGCAGATGGAGAATCTATTCCCTCCATAGATCATTATAAATTTCTTCTTTGGAGAAACTCAATACTTCTTAAAGAAAGACCTGGTGTTTGCGGGTGCCCTAATGAGTCATCTCTTCATTGCATCACTTTAAAAGCAAACAAAGCCTATCAGTCAACAACATCTGCTTATGTATGTATATATTCAAACCATCATTTAAATTTCTCATGCTCATGTATAAACAAACAGCTCAAGATCACCAGTTGTGTGAGGCAAGACTCCAACATAAAAGGGAAGATGAAAATAATCACTAGGAAAAAAAAAACATCCTGAAGGAAATTGATAGCACACACACTGGAATAAAACTTAACCTTAACCTGAATTATTATCTATGCTAATTATTTTCCATTTGCCACACCTTCACTCCATTCTACATACTCCTCTGCCCTACACTGTGACCGAGAAAGATGAACTCTGCAGATTGTATCACCGTGGCTGGTTTCCAGTGGGTTTAGTCTTAAAGAGAATTAGAGTGCAGGAGAAAGAAGAAATTAGGGGTATTTCTTCATTTCTGTCTCCAGTGGTGCCAAACACCTCTGGCAATAGCTGCATTGCCCTGCAAGTCTAGCTCATGGCCAAGGTTCGGGGAGTGAACGTCTTGGCTCTGACTGTTCCATTCATGCTATTTCTTGCCCTTAGTACTTCAACTCTGCCAGTAGGAACACCTTCCGAGTGCTGCTGGTCTCTGGATGCCAAAACATCCCCTGCTGAGCCCTCTGTAACTCTATTTGAGCCACCTGAGGTCGATTCTGCTTTCTGAAAAGACCCTATTTGCTCTAGTATTTTTAGAGAAATATGAGATTTTTATTAATAAAATAGTATGCTATGAAAAAATGATCAGAATGCTAGAAATATTTCATGAAAGTTAAAAATTGCTAAAATAAAAATGTCAGTAGGAGGGTAGGAAGGAAGTCTCTCACAAAAACAGAATGGAAGGAAAAGGCCTGGGGCTGGAGGAGGGGGCAGAAAATTTAAGAGACTGAGTGCATTACTTCTGGAGGTCCAACATCCTACCAATAAGAACCTCATGAAGGATAAAGAAAAGAAAATAGAATGAGGAAATTATGTAAGACATAATATAAGAACATATTGTAGGCCAGGTGCGGTGGCTCACGCCTGTAATCCCAGCGCTTTGGGAGGCCAAGGTGGGTGGATCAACTGAGGTTGGGAGTTCGAGACCAGCCTGACCAACATGGAGAAACCCTGTCTCCACTAAAAATACAAAATTAGCCAGGCGTGGTGGCACATGCCTATAATCCCAGCTACTCAGGAGGCTGAGGCAGGAGAATCACTTGAATCCAGGAGGCAGAGGTTGCAGTGAGCCGAGATCGTACCATTGCACTCCAGCCCAGGCAACAAGAGCGAAACTCCGTAAAAAAAAAAAAACAAAAGAACATATTGTAGAACTTAAGGGTCCACTGACTGCTCAGTACACTGAATGTAAAATGCCCATAAAATTAATAATTCTGAGAAATTATAAAAACTTCAGAGAAAAAGGAAACTATAAAAAAAACTAGTTGCTCTAAAAATGTACTGCTGGATCTACCAACATGTTACTTCCAAGAACATATCTACCTCAAGTCCCTTCCAGCCAGTAACTGAGAATGGTAGGGTACTAAGGCACGACCATTCTGTCAAGGCAACAGGCTCCTTCCTGGGGAAATTTTAGCTTCAGGACAACCCATCAGCCTAGTTGAACATTTCTTGGAAACGTATTATAGTCCCAGTCTCTTCCCAATCTTCTTCCTCCCCTCTTTCTACAAGTGTTAGACTTGCATTGTGGACTAACAGTGTTCTTCACTTTCTCCTGTTTATAAGTACTAGCTCTTAATTTCTCTACCTTGTCCTTGATAATAATAGCCACTATTTGTTGAGCGTCAATTATAAGCTCAGTGTTTCATATACTGCATATTTCACAAAAACTCTGCAAAGTAAATATTGGTGCTCCAATATAAAGATGAAGAAATCTGATTTCTGTTAAGATTAAGCAACTAGTTCAAGGTCACATAGCTAGAAAGTGGAAAAACTATGACTCGAATTCATATCTATCTGAATCCAAAGCCAATGTTCTCAATCTCTTATGTCTTATATTTTTTATCTTAAAGCTTTCATGATGTACCCAAGATAAATGAAAACATGAAAATATGTAAACATAAAAACTTGTACGTGAACACAGGGACACAAAGAAGGGAACAGACACCATGGCCTACTTGGCAGTGCGGGGTGGGAAGGGGCTGCGGATTGAAAAACTACCTATTAAGGTACTATGTTTATTACCTGGGTGATGAAATAATATGTACACCAAACCCTGTGACACACAATTTGCCTATATAACAAACCTGTACATGTACCACTGAACCAAAAATAAAAATTAAAAGAAAACACTTGTACATGAATGTTCATGGTAGCACTTTTCATAATATCCAAAAAGTGGAAACATCTCAAATGTCCATCAGCTGATTAACAGGTATAAATATGTGGTTTATTCATACGATGAAATGTTATTTGACAATAACAAGGAATTATGTACTGATATACATATACTACAACATGGATGAACCTTGAAAACACCATGCTAAGTGAAAGAAGTCATAAAAGGTTCAATTTATATGAAATGTCCAGACTGAGCAAATTTATAGAGCCAGAAAGTAGACTAGTGGTTATCTAGAAGTGAGGGGGGACAAGTAGAATGGGGATGACTAATAAAGGGTATAGGGTTGCTTTTTAGTGTAATAAAAGTGTTTTAAATTGATTGTGGTGATGGTTGCAAAACTCTACAAATGTACTAAAATCCATAGTACTTAAATGGGTGTATTATATATTATTTGGATTTTATCTCAAAAAAGCTGTTATAATAAAAACAAAGCAAATAAATATTTCCTTTTAAAAAACTTTCATGATACATAAAAGGTAGAAAATAATATCCATAAAAATCTTTCTAGCCAAACTATATTATACAAAATCAACATACTAAGAAACTAATTCATTTTGATGAATAACAAATTTACATTCAAAACAGAGCTACTGTTATGAGATAGTAACCATCAGCAACTATATTTAAGCATTAAACTTGGGGGAATATATTACACTGATCTTAAGTTTCTGTCAAGAGTTGTTTTTTTTTAAAGTCACTTCTCTGACTCCAAGCTAATAATGTTTTATTAATGCTACCAATCTGTAACTCTGTAGTTAGTTTCTCATTTCATTACATAATTTTCTTATTCATAACCTGGGGCAGTTTTTGCATATCAGTCTAGAGGTTACAAAAGAACATGTCTACCAAGCGCAAACTCAGCCTTAAATTAATCAATCCCATTTATCTTTGTAATAGGTCCACTCTTGGTTAAAAAATGCGTTTTTGCATATGTACCACACAATTTTTTTTACTATTAACTATGAAATAGATAAACTATTTCTATTAGCAAAAGAGCAGATAAATTAAAGTTAAGGCCAATGTTGTCTGGTATCCTACACAATTCAAATGCAAAACATATTCTGATGTAAAATATTCTGCTACTTTTCTTCTTTAAATGATTTAACCCCCAAAGATAGAGGATTGGACTAGATCTTTCATATTCTCTTTGAAACTCAGACATAAATCTTAATTGTTGCTGGTATAAGTAATTAGGATAAGTCATAATTGCCTCAAGACAACATTAAAGATTGAAATATAATATTAAAAGACCTGACATAAAAATATTGCCCTAAGTCAAGGTAAAGTAACTTTTATCCTAGGCAAAATGCTGAAAATCAACATGGTTTTTGAAATACAATATGTGCATCACTGAGTGTGAAAGACAAGACTGCCTCTAAAATGGTCTCCAATGATCCCCACTCTGGTATTCATTCCATTGCATAATTTCCTCCCTTTGAGTGTGGGAGGGGCCAATTTCTTGCTTTAAATGAACAGAATAGCAAAAGCGATGGGATGTCACTTCTGATTTTTGGTTATGAGACAAATGTAGCTTCCATCTTGGGTGCTCTCTTGTGTTCTCCAGTCACTTGCCTGAGAGAAGCCAATTTTCATGTTGTAAGCTGCCTGATGGTAAGATCCATATGGCAACAATCTGAGGGACACCATCAGCCAACAGCCAGAAGAATTAAGGCCTATGTGAGTGAGCTTGGAAGTGAATCTTTCCCAGGGTGGAGCTTTCACATGAGGCAGCAGCCCTGGCTGACAGGTTGACTACAACCTCAAAAGAGACTTCAAGCCTACACACACAGCAAAGCCCCTCCCAGATTCCTGATTAAGAAAACTATGAGATAAAAAATATTTATAGTTTCAAACTGCTTTGAGTATAATTTCCTACACAGTAAATGGCAATTATATAGTCCTGATCCCAGTGATTTTCACTGAAAAACAGAATAAGGAAATGTGAAAAAGCAAGCTGCCTGATGGTGAACATCTGAAAGAGACTGCAAATCCAGTATATTTAAAATATTTAAAGCTGGTGTGAGTTTGTCATAGATGGCTCTTATTTTGAAGTATGTTCCTTCAATGCCTTGTTTGTTGAAGATTTTTATCATGAAGGGATGCTGAATTTTATTGAAAGCCTTTTTTTTTTGCATATGCTGAGACAATCATCTGTTTTTTGTTTTTAGTTCTGTTTATGTAATGAATCACATTTATTGATTTCTGTATGTTGAACCTACCTTGCATCCCAGGGATAAAGCCCACTTGATCATGGTGGATTTCCTTTTTAATGTGCTGCTGGATATGGTTTGCTATTATTTTGTTGGGGATTTTTGCATCTATGTTCATCAAGGATATCGGCCTGAAGTTTTTTTTTTTGTTGTTGCATCTCTGCCAGGTTTAGGTATCAAGATGATGCTGCCTTCATAGAATGAGATAGTTTGGGAATAGTTTTTGTAGGAATGGTACCAGCTCTTCTTTATACATCTGATCAAATTCGGCAATAAATCTGTCTGGTTTGGGGCTTTTTCTGGTTGGTAGGCTTCTTATTATTGATTCAACTTTGGAACTCATTATTGGTCTGTTCAGGGATTAAATTTCTTCATGGTTCAATCTTGGGAGGTTGTATGTTTCTAGGAATTTATCCATTTCTTCTAGGATTTTTACCTTATGTGCATAGAGGTATTCATAGTAGTCTCTGGGTTTTCTGTATTTCTGTGGGGTCAGTAGTATCATAATATTCCCTTTGTAATTTCTGATTTTATTTATTTGTATCTTCTCTCTTTTTCTCGTTATTAGTCTAGCTAGTGGTCTATCTTATTAACTCTTCCAAAAAGCCAACTCATGAATTCGTTGATCTTTTGTATCATGTTTTGTTTCAACTTCCTTCATTTCAGCTCTAATTTTGGTTATTTCTTGTCTTCTGCTATCTTTGGGGTTGATGTGTTCTTGTTTCTCTAGTTCCTCCAGGTGCAATCTGAGGTTATTAATTTGGGATATTTCTGACTTTTTGATGTGGGCATTTAGCATTATGAAATTCTCCCTTGACACTGCTTTAACTGTGTCCCAGCGATTTTGGTATGTTGTATCTTTGTTCTCATCAGTTTCAAAGAATTCCTTGATTCCAGCCTTAATTTCATTGTTTACACAAAGGTCACTCAAGAGCAAGTTGTTTAATTCCCATGTAATTGTACGTTTTTGAGGAATTTTCTTAACAAGGATTTCTATTTTTATGGTCCTGTAGTCTGAAAGTGTGGTTAGCAGGATTACAGGTTTTTTGATTTTGCTAAGGATTGTTTTAGGGCTGATTGTGAGGTCAATTTTAGAGTATGTACCATGTGCAGATGAGAAGAATGCATATTCTGTTGTTTTGGGGTGGAAAGTACTGTAGATAGATGTCTATTAGGTCATTTAGTCAAGTGTCAAGTTCAGGTCCTGAATATCTTTGTTAGTTTTCTGCCTCAACGTTCTGTCTAATACTGTCAGTGGGATGTTGATGTCTCCCAGTATTATTGTGTGGAAATCTAAGTCTCTTCATAGGCAAATGCACAGCCAAAATCATAATGAATGGGCAAAAGCTGAAAGCAATTCCCCTTGAGAAATAGAACACGATAAGGATGCCCTCTCTCACCACTCCTACTCAACATAGTACTGGAAGTCCTTGTCAGAGCAATCAGGCAAAAGAAAGAAATGAAAGGCATCCAAATAGGAAGAGAGGAACTCAAACTATCCCTGATTGCAGATGATATGATTCTACACCAAGAAAATCCCACAGTCTCTATCTAAAAGCTCTTTGACCTGATAACAACTTCAGCAAAGTTTCAGGGTACAAAATCAATATATAAAAACCAGTAGCATTGCTATACACCAACAACATCCAAGCCGAGAGCCAAATCAAGAAGGCATGCCATTAACAATAGCCACAAAAACAATGAAATACAGGGCCAGGCATGGTGGCTCACATCTGTAATCCCAGCACTTTGGGAGGCTGAGGTGGGCCGATTACGAGGTCAGGAGTTCAAGACAAGCCGGACCAATACGGTGAAACCCTGTCTCTACGAAAAATACAAAAATTAGCTGGGCATGGTAGCACGTGCTTGTAGTCCCAGCTATTTGGGAGTCTGAGGCAGGAGAATGGCTTGAACCCGGGAGGCGGAGTTTGCAGTGAGCCAAGATTGTGCCATTGCACTCCAGCCTGGGTGAAAGAGCAAGACTCCATCTCAAAAAAAAAAAAGAAAGAAAGAAAGAAAGGAAGAAAGAAATACATAATAAATAGAAATATAGCTAACCAGGGAGGTGACAGATCTCTACAGTGAGAATTACAAAAGACTGCTCAAAGAAATCAGAGACAATGCAACCAAATGGAAAAACATTCCATGCTCACGGATAGTGTATTAGTCCATTTTCACACTGCTATAAAGTACTTCCTGAGACTGGGTAATTTATAAAGGAAAGGGGTTTAATTTACTCACAGTTCTGCATGACTGTGGAAGCCTTAGGAAACTTACAATCATGGCAAAAGAGAAAGCAGGCACATCTTACATGGCAGCAGGCAAGAGCAAGAACGTGTGAGAGCACAGAAAAAACTACCATTTATAAAACCATCAGGTCTTGTGAGAATTCACTCACTATCACAAAACAGCATGGGGGAACGGCCCCCAGAATCCCATCACTTCCCTTCCTCAACACATGGGGATTACAGGTCCCTTCCTCAACATGTGGGGATTATGATTTGAGATAAGATTTGGGTGTGGACACAGAGCCAAACCATACCACATAGAAGAAATCAATATTGTTAAAATGGCCACACTGCCCAAAGCAATTTACAGGCTCAATGCTATTCCTATCAAACTATGTATGAAATTCTTCACAGAATTAGAAAAAAACTACTACAATTCCTATGGAGGCAAAAAAAGAGCTCAGTCAAGGCAATTCTAAATAAAAAGAACAAAGCTAGCAGCATCATGTTACTCAAATTCAAACTATACTACAAGACTACAGAAACCAAAACAGCATGGTAGTGCTACAAAAACAGACACATATGCCAATGGAACTGAATAGAGAGTCCAGAAATAACGCTGCACACCTACAACCATCAACAAAAAGAAGCAATGGGGAAAGGATTCCCTGTTCAATAAATGGTGCTGGAATAACTGGCTATCCATTTGCAGAAGATTGAAACTGAACCTCTTCCTTACACCATACATAAAAATCAACTCAAGATGGATTAAAGACTTAAATGTAAAACCTAAAACTATAAAAACCCTGGAAGATAACCTAGGACATACCATTCTGGATAAGATGCTGGCAAAGTTTTCATGAAGAAGACAACAAAACCATTTGCAACAAAAATTAAAAATCACAAATAGGCCGGGCACGGTGGCTCACGCCTATAATCCCAGCACTTTGGGAGGCTGAGGCAGGTGGATCACAAGGTCAAGAAATCAAGGCCATCTTGGCCAACATGGTGAAACCCCATCTCTCCTAAAAATACAAAAATTAGTTGGGCATAGTGGCACACACCTGTAATCCCAGCTACTTGGGAGGCTGAGGCAGGAGAATTGCTTGAACCTGGGAGGCACAGGTTGCAGTGAACCAAGATTGCTCCACTGCACTCCAGCCTGGTGATGGAGCGAGACTCCATCTCCAAAAAAAAAAAAAAAAAAAAAAAAAAAAGACAACTAGAATCTAATTGAGATAAAGAGCTTCTGCACAGCAAAATTTAAAAAGAACTGTGAACACAGTAAAGAGACAACCTACAGAATAGGAGGAAATATTTGCATCTATGCATCTGACAAAGTTCTAATATCCAGAATTTATAAGGAACTTAAACAAATCAACAAGGAAAAAACAAACAATCCCAATGAAAAGTGGGCAAAGGACATGAACAGACACTTATCAAAAGAAGATATTCATGTGGCCAACATGAATATGAAAAAATGCTCAACATCACTAATTGTTAGAGAAATGAAAATCACAACCACAATTAGATACTATCTCACACCAATCAGAATTGCTATTTTAAAAAAGTCAAAAAATAACAGATGTTGGCAAGGTCGCAAAAAAAGGCAACACTTATACACTGCTGGTGGGAATGTAAATTAGTTGAGCCTTTTTGGAAATCTGTTTGGTGATTTCTCAAATAACTCAAAGCAGAATTACCACTCAACCGAGCAATCCCATTATTGGGTATATACCCAAAGGAATACAAACCATTCTGCCATAAAGACATGTGCTCATGTCTGTTCGTCTCAGTACCATTCACAATAGCAAAGACATGGAATCAACCTAGATGCCCATCAGTGGTATACTGGATAAAGAAAATGTGGTACATATATACCATGGAAAACTACCCACACATTTAAAAAAAAAATGAGATCATGTCCTTTGAAGCAACATGGATGGAGGTGGAGGCCATTATCCTAAGAGAACTAACGCAGGAACAGAAAATCAAATACCACAAGTTCTCACTTGTAAGTGGGAAATAAACATTGAGTACATATGGACACAAAGAAGGGAACAACAGACTTCAGAGACCACTTAAAGGTAGAGGGAAGGGCCGGGCGCGGTGGCTCACGCCTGTAATCCCAGCACTTTGGGAGGCCGAGGCGGGTGGATCATGAGGTCAGGAGATCGAGACCATCCTGGCTAACAAGGTGAAACCCCGTCTCTACTAAAAATACAAAAAATTAGCCGGGCGCGGTGGCGGGCGCCTGTAGTCCCAGCTACTGGGGAGGCTGAGGCAGGAGAATGGCGTGAACCCGGGAAGCGGAGCTTGCAGTGAGCCGAGATTGCGCCACTGCAGTCCGCAGTCCGGCCTGGGCGACAGAGCGAGACTCCGTCTCAAAAAAAAAAAAAAAAAAAAAAAAAAAAAAAGGTAGAGGGAAGGAGGAGAGTTAGGATAAAAAAACCTACCCGTTGGGTGCTATACTTATCATCTGGGTGGCGAAAAAATCTGTACACCCAACCACTGTGACATGCAATTTGCCTATACAGCAAAGGTGCACATGTACCCTGAACCTAAAAGAGTTTTAAAAATACACAAGAAACAACAACAACAAAAAATGTTTAAAGAGAAACTAGAGAATAGCAACATGAAATAAAGAGGGAGAGAGGATTTTATTAAAAGAGCCCCACCCCCAAAAAATTTTAAACATATATTCATTGAAAATAAAAACTCAGTAAATGAGTTTAACAGCAGACAATAACAAACTAAAGAGAAAATTCATGAATTGGAAAATAGGTACAAATTACTCCTAGCACAAATATAAATAAAAACATAAAAAAGATGTTATAAGTCAAGGTGACTAGAAAGAAAAGTTAAAATATGCATCTAATAGGAGCTGTTGAAAAACAAACTAGAGATTAGAGACAAGTCAATAGCAGTATGGCTGAGAATTTTCCTAAACATGAATTCCTAAACAAGAAAATATGAGTCATAAAATTAAGGCAGCTCATCAGATAGAAAACAGTCCATATTTTTTAAATTCTTAGATACATTGTGATAAAATAACATGACATTACAAAAGTAAAGAAAAAAATGTAAAGATACTAGAGAGCTGTCTTCCAAAGACAGCTTGACCAACATCACACTTTGTACGTCAGTGACAATTTAGGATAAAAAGTAATGAAATATGCCAGGCATGGTGGATCACGCCTGTAATCCCAGCACTTTGGGAGGCCAAGGCCAGCGGATCACCTGAGGTCAGGAGCTCAAGACCAGCCTGACCAACATGGCGAAACCCCGTCTCTACTAAAAACACAAAAGCTAGCCGGGCATGGTGGTGGGTGCCTGTATTCCCCATTACTCGGGAGGCTGAGGCAGGGAGAATTGATTGAACCTGGGGGTTAGAGGTTGCAGTGAGCTGAGATCGCACCACTGTACCCCAGCCTGGGCGACAGAGTGAGACTCCATTTCAAAAAAAAAAAAAAGGCCGAGCGCAATGGCTCACGCCTGTAATCCCAGCACTTTGGGAGGCTGAGGCGGGTGTATCACTGAGTTTAGGAGTTTGAGACCATCCTGGCCAACATGGTGAAGCCCCGTTTCTACTAAAAATACAAAAATTAGCCAGATATGGTGTGGGCGCTTGTAATACTAGCTACTCAGGAGGCTGAGGCAGAAGAATCACTTGAACACGGGAGATGGAAGTTGTAGTGAGCCGAGATGTCGCCACTCCAGCCTGGGCAACAGAGTGAGACTCCATCTCAAAAAAAAAAAAGTAATGAAATAATATGTTCAAATACCTGAAAAAAAAATTTGTCATCTCAGAATTTTATAACCATATAACTATCATTCGATAGAACATATGGGATAAAGCTAATTTAAGATGCATAAAACTGAGAAAGTTACTACTCACAGACCCAGCTGAAAAAATGCCAAAGGATTACCTTCAGCAAGTAAAAACTGAACCCACTAGGAAATAGTGAAATTTTAAAAGTAACAGTGAGCAATAAAACTAGCAAAAGATGTTGACAAATCTAAATAAGCATTGGCTCTTAACTATTCTAAAAATGCTATCCTGGAACAAATTTAAAAATAAAGTAAAAACCAAAGTAATTTTCTTCCATTAAAAAATGAGATACATAGAGGGTCATATTTAATGTATTCTATGCTTTATTGTTTAAAGGAGAAAGAAGGTAAATATACAGTATGTTAAAATTTGAGAGTTATCAGTAGAAGAAAGAATTTGGATTATATACCTTCCAAATGGGTGGGAAAAGAACAGGGAAACTGATGTAGCAACAACAACAAAAAAGATGATTCAAGAAAAAGCATGGGTAATTTAAAAAATTAGAATAAAGCTTAGACATTAGTGGTGACCCATATATATCAATTCTGTGTTAAGTTCAAGTAATCAATAAAATATGGCAATTAAATAAACAAAATCTATGTGTACAAATAGAATTTGCAAACATGTTAAGTTAGTTAAAAAAGGTTTAATTATAGAACACTTAAACATGTGACAAGATAGCATTTATGTAAAATTTTAAATACACAAAGCATTATTACGTTATTTTTGTATAAATAGTAGTCAAAATAGAAAACATTATCTGCATATATATATATATATATACACCAAATTTTAGTGATTGCCTCTAAGTATTTGTAATATTAAGTTTTATACATTTCTGTATTATTTATAATTTCCAAAAAGAAAAGGATGATAGAACTAAAGTCACAATTGAAAAATACAGTCATCATAGAAATGAAGTTTCCATTGGAAAGAGCAAAAAGAACAGATAATGCTGAAAGCACAGAAAAGCACATTGAGAGCAGATTTAAGAAAAGTGACCAAGATGAAACGGAAACGAAAGAGTATAAAGAAAATAATAGATGTTGAAAATCAGATAATGCGAGCACCAATAAAAGCCATAATACCAGGCAAATCTAAGAAATAAACATGAAATAAAAATAGTATAGGCCAGGTGTGATGGCTCACACCTCTAGTCACAGCACTTTGGGAGGCCGAGGCAGGTGAATCACCTGAGGTCAGGAGTTCAAGACCAGCCTGTCCAACATGGCGAAACCCCGTCTCTACTAAAAATACAAAAAATTAGCCAGGCATGGTGGTTGGCGCCTGTAATCCCAGCAACTTGGGAGATTGAGGCAGGAGAATCGCTTGAACCTGGGAGGTGGAGGTTGCAGTGAGCCGAGATCACGACATTGCACTCCAGCCTGGGCAACAAGAGCAAAACTTCATGTCAAAAGAAAAAAATAAATAAATAAAACAAAAAATAATAAAAATGTATATATATATACACACACACATATATACACACATATATATACACACACACACACACATATACACACACATATCTATATGTGAATAGGCCAGGTGCGGCGGCTCATGCCTGTAATCCCAGCACTTTGGGAGGCCAAGGCAACGAATCACTTGAGGTCAGGAGTTTGAGACCAGCCTGGCCAACATGGTGAAACCCCATCTCCACAAAAAATACAAAAACTAGCTAGGCGTGGTGGTGTGCGCCTACAGTCCCAGCTACTCGGCAGGCTAAGACACAAGAATCACTTCAACCCAGGAGGCGGAGGTTGTAATAAGCTGAGATCACACCACTGCACTCCAGCCTGGATGACAGAGCAAGAACCTGTCTCAAAAAATAAATAAATAATATAAATAATACAGAAAACACAAAGATATAATTGAAAAAGAATTTCATGATATTTAAAAATGTATGTATAGTCTGGGTGCGGTGCCTCATAACCGTAATCCCAGCACTTTGGGAGACTGAGGCGGGTGGATCACTTGAGGTCAGAAGTTCCAGACCAGCCTGGCCAACATGGTGAAACCCCATCTCTACTAAAAATACAAAAAAAAAAAAAAAGAAAAAGAAAAAATTAGCCATGGCGGCGCATGCCTGTAGCCTCTGCTAATTGGCAGGTTGAGGCAGGAGATTCGCTTGAGCCTGGGAGGCGGAGGGTGCAGTGAGCAGAGATCGCACCATTGCACTCCAGCCTGAGCAACAGAGCAAGACTTCATCTCAAAAAAAAGAAAAAAGAAAAAAAAATGTATGTATAAACTGACAGGTCACATTATGTCTAAGGATAAAAATATGTAAAACTATGGGTGTGTATTCAATCAAAATCTATTCAATAGATTTTTGTCAAAACATAAATACTGAAAATACTTTCAAGAAAATAAGATATCTATCAGAACTAAAAATAGGCTTAAATCTTCCAAATTATTAGATTTAAAGCATATATACATAGGCCATACATATGCTGAAAGCCTAACCATGAAAACCTATAGCAAGAAAATAATAGAACTAAGACAACACACATGTACAATATCAATAAGTGAATATCACTTACTTTTAAAAGAAAATGAATCAATTCTTCCCAAATTGGTCTACAGATTTAATTAAATTCCTAACAAAATTCCAGCCAAGTGTTTTGTAGACATATATAACCTTATTCTAAAATATATATGGAAAAGCAAAAGGCTGAGAATAAATGAAAACAACCTTGAAAAAAAATAGAGTGAAAGGAATCCCCCTGCCCAACGTTAAGGTTTATTATATAGTTACAGTAGATAAGATAGTGTGTTTTGTCAGTGGGATAGACACATAGACAAAAAGGACAGAAGGGAAAGTCCAAAAATAGACCCACATAATGATACCTACCTTGTTTTTGACAAGGTGCAAAAGCAATTCAATGAAGGAAAGATAGCCTCTTCAAAGAATGGTGCTAGAACAATTAGATATCCATTGTCACAAATGAACTAAAAATGAATCACAAACAAATGTAGAATGGACGACAATAAAACTTTTAGAAAAAAAAGGAGAAAATCTTTGGGATCTAGGGACAGACAAAGCCATCTTAGACTAGACTCCAAAATAATGATTCATAGAAGGAAATATTCAAAAACTGGATGCCGTTAAAATTAAAAAGTTATGTTCTGTGAAAAGATCATACTAAGAGAATGAAAAGACAAGCTACACATTGAAAGAAAATATTTTCAAACCACATATTTGACAAAAATATGTATCCAGAATACATTTTTAAAAACTCCCAAAATCTCAACCATAAAAATATAATCTAATTAGAAAATGGGCAAAACACATGAAAAGACAGTTCTCAAAAAAGTATATGCAAATGGCAAATAAACACATGAAAAGGTATTAAACTTTCTTAGTCATTAGGGAAATGCAATTACAACCTCATGAATGTATCAGTACATACCTATCAGAGTGGCTAAAATTTTTAAACATAAAAATAATAAATACTGGTGAAGACACAGAGAAACTGGAACACTCATACATTCCTGGTGGGAATGTAAAATGGTACAGCTGCTCAGGAAAACAGTTTTACAGTTCCCTGTAGAACTAAATATGCAATTACCATAGGCCCCAATACTTGCACCCTTGGGTATTTATTCCAAAAAAATAGAAATGTGTGCTCACATAAAATCTGTACACAAATGTTTGTAGTAGCTTCATTCATAAAAGCTCCAAAATAGAAACAACCCAAACATCCTTCAATGGGTAAATGGTTAATCAAACATTCACAAGACAACTCTGCAATCAAAAGGAAATATCAATACATGCAACAACTTGAGCACATTTTTAGGGAACAATGCTGGGTGGAAAAAAAGTCAATCATAAAGATTTGACATAACAGTATCACTCCATTTATATAATATTCTTGAAATGACAAAATTATAGAAACGGCAAACAGATGAATGGTTGGCAGAAGTTAGGGATGGTGTGAGGGGAGTGTGGTAGAATAGAAGTGAATGTGGTTATAAAAGGGCAACATAAGGGATATTTAGGGAGATGGAACTGTTCTGTGTGTTGGCTGTGGTGGGAGATACATGAAACTGCACGTCATAAACTAGCATAGACCTAACTACACACAGACACACACACACACAAAGTAAATTTGGGAAAACCCGAATAAGACTGATGGCTTGTATCAAGGTCAACATCCTGGCTGTGATATTGTACTCTAGTTCTGCAAGATGTTGGTATTGAGTTAACATAGAATTTCTTTGTTTTTTTTTTTTTTTATAACTGCATGTGAATTTACAATTGTCTCAAAGGCAAAGGCTAACTTTTTTTTTTAAAAGGAAAGAAAATGGCCCTCTGATTTGGAGGACAGAGAAATCCCAGCCACATTCTGACACTAAATCTAATTTTTTTTTTTGGTGGGAGGGGGATGGAGCCTCACTCTGTTGCCCAGGCTGGAGTGCAGTGGCACAACCTCAGCTCACTGCAAACTCCGCCTCCCAGATTCAAATGATTCTCCTGCCTCAGCCTCCCGAGCAGCTGGGATTACAGGCAGGCACCACCATGCCCAGCTAATTTTTGTATTTTTAGTAGAGACAGGGTTTTACTATGTTAGCCAGGCTGTTCTCAAACTCCCAAGGTGATCTGCCCGCCTCAGCCTCCCAAAATGCTGAGATTACAGGTGTGAGCCACTGTGCCCAGCCTGATTTTTGTACTTTTACAAAAATTTAGAGACAGGGTTTCACCATGCTGGCCAGGCTGGTCTTGAAATCCTGACCTCAGGTGATCTGCCCTCCTTGGCCTCCCAAAATGCTGAGATTACAGGCGTGAGCCACCACTCCTGGTCTCTTAATCAAATTTGTTAATTTGAAAGTAAGAAAAAAAAATGGTGAAGAGTCACTAAGAAAATGCATATAAAACTTAGCAAGGTATTAATCTTGATTTCACAAAAGGTTGAATAAAGGGCAAATAAAATAAATAACACAAAGAAGAATACTATAGACAAGAAGATTTAAGTCATGAATATCTATTAACCATTACCTTAGCATCAAACTTCATAAAGCAATCTTCCATTATAGGAAATATAAATATAAGCATGATAAAACATATTTTAAAGATTTTTGTTGTTCAAATTTACCTCAGCCCTTGAGAAATAAATGTTTTCTGTTTTTTTAAAAAAAGTTATAGAAAATCTAAAAATCTTAACTATTAAAGAAGAAACTTTGAGCTCTATATTATAAAAAAGATAATATATTTTATTTTCAAAGTCCGTGCATTTTTCAAATTCACCATATATTAGGTCACAAAGAGATTCCCAATAAAGTTTAAACAGTAGAAATAGAACAGATGCCATTTTCTGATCATAATGTAATAAATTTGGAAATATTATTGAAATAAAAGAAGAAATGAGACTTCCGCTTTCAGCAGGATTGCAAATTAGCTGTTCTCAAGAATCTTCTTGCTGTAATACAATTAGATCCTGGAAAAGATGAACACATAAATTGTAATGCATTTCTGGATTCCAAGAAAGTGATGAAAATCTTGCAAGGACAATGAAAACAAAATGAGCAAAACAATGAGGCCAGTCTCGGCGACTCACGCCTATAATCCCAGCACTTTGGGAGGCCGAGGCAGTCGGATCACCTGAGGTCAGGAGTTCAACACCAGCCTCTACTAAAAATACAAAAAATTAGCATGGTGGCACATGCCTGTGGTCCCAGCTACGCAGGAGGCTGAGGCAGGAGAATCACTTGAACCCAGGAGGCAGAGGTTGCAGTGAGCTGAGATCCTGCCACTGCACTCCAGCCTGGGTGACAGAGCAAGACTGTCTCAAACAAAAGAATACAAAAACAACAACAAAAAAACAAAGAGGAGTCACCTGCAAGTAAATTTCAAAGTCAGGTAACCTTGGGGCAGACACTTTCATATGATGAGTTCGGAAGATTTGATGGCATAGGAGTGGGAAAGAAATCTGAGTCTCTCATATTAAGCCAATACTTTCTAAGGGGACTAGAGTGGTTCTAGATCAGTAGCATCTCATAGCTTAAGGAAGATAGACATGACTACTCTCTAGAGGAAAACTGTGCCAATTTATGCCTTTAGGGTTGGTATAGATGAAGTCCAGCTACTGTGAACTCAAAATGTTTGTAATGGTAAATACATCGAGAAAAAAATCAGGAAATATGATACAAACAACCAGAACAATATTACAATTATCAGATGCAGAATATAAATATTTGATTATTTCAATATTTTAAAATAAAATCTTACAAGAAACAACATAAAATTATATTAGAATGATTAGGCAAATTTTAAAAAGGACCAAATAGTACTTTTGGGGAGGAGCCAAGATGGCTGAATAGGAACAGCTCTGGTCTACAGCTCCCAGCGTGAGCGGAGCGACGCAGAAGACGGGTGATTTCTGCATTTCCATCTGAGGTACCGGGTTCATCTCACTAGGGAGTGCCAGACAGTGGGCGCAGGCCAGTGGGTGCGCGCACTGTGCGCGAGCCGAAGCAGGGCGAGGCATTGCCTCACCTGGGAAGCTCAAGGGGTCAGGGAGTTCCCTTTCGGAGTCAAAGAAAGGGGTGACGGACGCACCTGGAAAATCGGGTCACTCCCACCCGAATATTGCGCTTTTCAGACCAGCTTAAAAAACGGTGCACCACGAGACTATATCCCACACCTGGCTCGGAGGGTCCTACGCCCACGGAATCTCGCTGATTGCTAGCACAGCAGTCTGAGATCAAACTGCAAGGCGGCAGCAAGGCTAGCAGAGGGGCGCCCGCCATTGCCCAGGCTTGCTTAGGTAAACAAAGCAGCCAGGAAGCTCGAACTGGGTGGAGCCCACCACAGCTCAAGGAGGCCTGCCTGCCTCTGTAGGCTCCACCTCTGGGGGCAGGGCACAGACAAACAAAAAGACAGCAGTAACCTCTGCAGACTTAAATGTCCCTGTCTGACAGCTTTGAAGAGAGCAGTGGTTCTCCCAGCAGGCAGCTGGAGATCTGAGAACGGGCAGACTGCCTCCTCAAGTGGGTCCCTGACTCCTGACCCCCGAGCAGCCTAACTGGGAGGCACCCCCCAGCAGGGGCACACTGACACCTCACACGGCAGGGTATTCCAACAGACCTGCAGCTGAGGGTCCTGTCTGTTAGAAGGAAAAATAACAAACAGAAAGGACATCCACACCGAAAACCCATCTGTACATCACCATCATCAAAGACCAAAAGTAGATAAAACCACAAAGATGGGGAAAAAACAGAACAGAAAAACTGGAAACTCTAAAACGCAGAGCGCCTCTCCTCCTCCAAAGGAACGCAGTTCCTCACCAGCAATGGAACAAAGCTGGATGGAGAATGATTTTGACGAGCTGAGAGAAGAAGGCTTCAGACGATCAAATTACTCTGAGCTACGGGAGGACATTCAAACCAAAGGCAAAGAAGTTGAAAACTTTGAAAAAAATTTAGAAGAATGTATAACTAGAATAACCAATACAGAGAAGTGCTTAAAGGAGCTGATGGAGCTGAAAACCAAGGCTCGAGAACTACGTGAAGAATGCAGAAGCCTCAGGAGCCGATGCGATCAACTGGAAGAAAGGGTATCAGCAATGGAAGATGAAATGAATGAAATGAAGTGAGAAGGGAAGTTTAGAGAAAAAAGAATAAAAAGAAATGAGCAAAGCCTCCAAGAAATATGGGACTATGTGAAAAGACCAAATCTACGTCTGATTGGTGTACCTGAAAGTGATGCGGAGAATGGAACCAAGTTGGAAAACACTCTGCAGGATATTATCCAGGAGAACTTCCCCAACCTAGCAAGGCAGGCCAACGTTCAGATTCAGGAAATACAGAGAACGCCACAAAGATACTCCTCGAGAAGAGCAACTCCAAGACACATAATTGTCAGATTCACCAAAGTTGAAATGAAGGAAAAAATGTTAAGGGCAACCAGAGAGAAAGGTCGGGTTACCCTCAAAGGGAAGCCCATCAGACTAACAGCGGATCTCTCGGCAGAAACCCTACAAGCCAGAAGAGAGTGGGGGCCAATATTCAACATTCTTAAAGAAAAGAATTTTCAACCCAGAATTTCATATCCAGCCAAACTAAGCTTCATAAGTGAAGGAGAAATAAAATCCTTTACACACAAGCAAATGCTGAGAGATTTTGTCACCACCAGGCCTGCCCTAAAAGAGCTCCTGAAGGAAGCGCTAAACATGGAAAGGAACAACCGGTACCAGCCGCTGCAAAATCATGCCAAAATGTAAAGACCATCAAGACTAGGAAGAAACTGCATCAACTAACGAGCAAAATCACCAGCTAACATCATAATGACAGGATCAAATTCACACATAACAATATTAACTTTAAATGTAAATGGACTAAATTCTCCAATTAAAAGACACAGACTGGCAAGTTGGATAAAGAGTCAAGACCCATCAGTGTGCTGTATTCAGGAAACCCATCTCACGTGAAGAGACATACATAGGCTCAAAATAAAAGGATGGAGGAAGATCTACCAAGCCAATGGAAAACAAAAAAAGGCAGGGGTTGCAATCCTAGTCTCTGATAAAACAGACTTTAAACCAACAAAGATCAAAAGAGACAAAGAAGGCCATTACATAATGGTAAAGGGATCAATTCAACAAGAGGAGCTAACTATCCTAAATATATATGCACCCAATACAGGAGCACCCAGATTCATAAAGCAAGTCCTGAGTGACCTACAAAGAGACTTAGACTCCCACACATTAATAATGGGAGACTTTAACACCCCACTGTCAACATTAGACAGATCAACGAGACAGACAGTCAACAAGGATACCCAGGAATTGAACTCAGCTCTGCACCAAGCGGACCTAATAGACATCTACAGAACTCTCCACCCCAAATCAACAGAATATACATTTTTTTCAGCACCACACCACACCTATTCCAAAATTGACCACATACTTGGAAGTAAAGCTCTCCTCAGCAAATGTAAAAGAACAGAAATTATAACAAACTATCTCTCAGACCACAGTGCAATCAAACTAGAACTCAGGATTAAGAATCTCACTCAAAGCCGCTCAACTACATGGAAACTGAACAACCTGCTCCTGAATGACTACTGGGTACATAACGAAATGAAGGCAGAAATAAAGATGTTCTTTGAAACCAACGAGAACAAAGACACAACATACCAGAATCTCTGGGACGCATTCAAAGCAGTGTGTAGAGGGAAATTTATAGCACTAAATGCCCACAAGAGAAAGCAGGAAAGATCCAAAATTGACACCGTAACATCACAATTAAAAGAACTAGAAAAGCAAGAGCAAACACATTCAAAAGCTAGCAGAAGGCAAGAAATAACTAAAATCAGAGCAGAACTGAAGGAAATAAAGACACAAAAAACCCTTCAAAAAATCAATGAATCCAGGAGCTGGTTTTTTGAAAGGATCAACAAAATTGATAGACCGCTAGCAAGACTAATAAAGAAAAAAAGAGAGAAGAATCAAATAGACACAATAAAAAATGATAAAGGGGATATCACCACCGATCCCACAGAAATACAAACTACCATCAGAGAATACTACAAACACCTCTACGCAAATAAACTAGAAAATCTAGAAGAAATGGATACATTCCTCGACACATACACTCTCCCAAGACTAAACCAGGAAGAAGCTGAATCTCTGAATAGACCAATAACAGGAGCTGAAATTGTGGCAATAATCAACAGTTTACCAACCAAAAAGAGTCCAGGACCAGATGGATTCACAGCCGAATTCTACCAGAGGTACAAGGAGGAACTGGTACCATTCCTTCTGAAACTATTCCAATCAATAGAAAAAGAGGGAATCCTCCCTAACTCATTTTATGAGGCCAGCATCATTCTGATACCAAAGCCGGGCAGAGACACAACCAAAAAAGAGAATTTTAGACCAATATCCTTGATGAACATTGATGCAAAAATCCTCAATAAAATACTGGCAAACCGAATCCAGCAGCACATCAAAAAGCTTATCCACCATGATCAAGTGGGCTTCATCCCTGGGATGCAAGGCTGGTTCAATATACGCAAATCAATAAATGTAATCCAGCATATAAACAGAGCCAAAGACAAAAACCACATGATTATCTCAATAGATGCAGAAAAAGCCTTTGACAAAATTCAACAACCTTCATGCTAAAAACTCTCAAGAAATTAGGTATTGATGGGACGTATTTCAAAATAATAAGAGCTATCTATGACAAACCCACAGCCAATATCATACTGAATGGGCAAAAACTGGAAGCATTCCCTTTGAAAACTGGCACAAGACAGGGATGCCCTCTCTCACCGCTCCTATTTAACATAGTGTTGGAAGTTCTGGCCAGGGCAATCAGGCAGGAGAAGGAAATAAAGGGTATTCAATTAGGAAAAGAGGAAGTCAAATTGTCCCTGTTTGCAGACGACATGATTGTTTATCTAGAAAACCCCATCGTCTCAGCCCAAAATCTCCTTAAGCTGATAAGCAACTTCAGCAAAGTCTCAGGATACAAAATCAATGTACAAAAATCACAAGCATTCTTATACACCAACAACAGACAAACAGAGAGCCAAATCATGAGTGAACTCCCATTCACAATTGCTTCAAAGAGAATAAAATACCTAGGAATCCAACTTACAAGGGATGTGAAGGACCTCTTCAAGGAGAACTACAAACCACTGCTCAAGGAAATAAAAGAGGATACAAACAAATGGAAGAACATTCCATGCTCATGGGTAGGAAGAATCAATATCGTGAAAATGGCCATACTGCCCAAGGTAATTTACAGATTCAATGCCATCCCCATCAAGCTACCAATGACTTTCTTCACAGAATTGGAAAAAACTACTTTAAAGTTCATATGGAACCAAAAAAGAGCCCGCATCGCCAAGTCAATCCTAAGCCAAAAGAACAAAGCTGGAGGCATCACACTACCTGACTTCAAACTATACTACAAGGCTACAGTAACCAAAACAGCATGGTACTGGTACCAAAACAGAGATATAGATCAATGGAACAGAACAGAGCCCTCAGAAATAACGCCGCATACCTACAACTATCTGATCTTTGACAAACCTGAGAAAAACAAGCAATGGGGAAAGGATTCCCTGTTTAATAAATGGTGCTGGGAAAACTGGCTAGCCATATGTAGAAAGCTGAAACTGGATCCCTTCCTTACACCTTATACAAAAATCAATTCAAGATGGATTAAAGATTTAAACGTTAGACCTAAAACCATAAAAACCCTAGAAGAAAACCTAGGCATTACCATTCAGGACATAGGCGTGGGCAAGGACTTCATGTCCAAAACACCAAAAGCAATGGCAGCAAAAGCCAAAATTGACAAATGGGATCTAATTAAACTAAAGAGCTTCTGCACAGCAAAAGAAACTACCATCAGAGTGAACAGGCAACCTACAACATGGGAGAAAATTTTCGCAACCTACTCATCTGACAAAGGGCTAATATCCAGAATCTACAATGAACTCAAACAAATTTACAAGAAAAAAACATACAACCCCATCAAAAAGTGGGCAAAGGACATGAACAGACACTTCTCAAAAGAAGACATTTATGCAGCCAAAAAACACATGAAGAAATGCTCATCATCACTGGCCATCAGAGAAATGCAAATCAAAACCACTATGAGATATCATCTCACACCAGTTAGAATGGTGATCATTAAAAAGTCAGGAAACAACAGGTGCTGGAGAGGATGTGGAGAAATAGGAACACTTTTACACTGTTGGTGGGACTGTAAACTAGTTCAACCATTGTGGAAGTCAGTGTGGCAATTCCTCAGGGATCTAGAACTAGAAATACCATTTGACCCAGCCATCCCATTACTGGGTGTATACCCAAAGGACTATAAATCATGCTGCTATAAAGACACATGCACACGTACGTTTATTGCGGCATTATTCACAATAGCAAAGACTTGGAACCAACCCAAATGTCCCACAATGATAGACTGGATTAAGAAAATGTGGCACATATACACCATGGAATACTATGCAGCCATAAAAAATGATGAGTTCATGTCCTTTGTAGGGACATGGATGAAATTGGAAACCATCATTCTCAGTAAACTATCGCAAGAACAAAAAACCAAACACCGCATATTCTCACTCATAGGTGGGAATTGAACAATGAGATCACATGGACACAGGAAGGGGAATATCACACTCTGGGGACTGTGGTGGGGTGGGGGGAGGGGGGAGGGATAGCATTGGGAGATATACCTAATGCTAGATGATGAGTTAGTGGGTGCAGCGCACCAGCATGGCACATGTATACATATGTAACTAACCTGCACAATGTGCACATGTACCCTAAAACTTAAAGTATAATAAAAAAAAATAATTAAAAAAAAAAAAAATAAAAAATAAAATAAAATAAAAATAAAAATAAAAAGGACCAAATAGTACTTTTTAGAAATGAAAAATACAGTCATCAAAATTAACTCTATGGATTGGCAAAAGAAAGAGAATTAGCAAGATAGAAGCTGTATCTGAAGAAACTATCCAGAGTAAAGTTTAAAAATATAAGCTGGTGGAAAATATTAAAGATTAAATGTAAGGTAGATATTGGAGGATAGAATGAGAGTGCTTAATATATGCAAAGTCAGAGTTCTGAAAAACTAAAGTAAAGGCTGGGCCCGGTGGCTCACGCCTATAGTCCCAGTACTTTGGTAGGCCAAGGTGGGTAGATAACCCGAGGTCAGGAGTTTGAGACCAGCCTGACCAATATGGTGAAACCCTGTCTCTACTAAAATTATAAAAATTAGCTGGGTGTGGTGGCGCACACCTGTCAGCCCAGCTACTCGGAGGCTGAGGCAGGAGAATCGCTTGAACCTGGGAGGCGGAGATTGCAGTGAGCGGAGATTGTGCCATTGCACTGCAGCCTGGGCGAAAAGAGCAAAACTCTGTCTCAAAAAAAAAAAAAGAAAAAGAAAAACTGCAGTGAAATGAAGCTCACAACAGGCTTCTGTGATGGTACAGGGGTTGACTAGGATCAAAAATGGAGAAGGAAGCAATGAAAAAAGCAGATGATAAATGCAAAAAGTGAGTGAAATGCAGAGTTAAAATGAGAATGCAACTGAAATTTGCCATCAGGACAAGAAATAGAGAGAAAAGCTACTTCAGAACCAGGAGATATTGAAAGGGAAGGTGCACTGGATCTCAGTTTGAAGGACTGATTAAACTATATTTATTTTGAATATTAGAGGATAGAGTGATCTCTGAAAGTCAGAGATTTTTGAGAACATTGTCTTATACTTGCCTGTTAATAGTTCTCAGAATTTAGAATAATTTCCGGCACACAAAAAGACATCGTGTGGTGGCTCACACCTATAATCCCAGCACTTTGGGAAGCCAAGGTGGCCAGATCACCTGAGGCCAGGAGTTCGAGACCAGCCTGGCCAACATGGCGAAACCCCATCTCTATTAAAAATATGAAAATTAGCCGGGCGTGGTGGCACACACCTGTAGTCCCAGCTACTCGGGAAGCTGAGGCAGGAGAATCACTTGAACCAGGGAGGCAGAGATTGCAGTAAGCCGACATTGCACCACTGCACTCCAGCCTGGGAGACAGAGCGAGACTCTGTCTCAAAAAAAAAAAAAAAAAAAAAAGACATAATAAATGCTATCTGATTTGTGATGATTATATTGTACTTTTGCTCTACTAAGCTTTAAGCTCTATAAAGGCTAGCTCGAATCTACCGTGTTAATCATTGTATCCACAACATTTAACCTAGTACCTGACCCACATGGTAGTTGTTAAATAAGTATTAAATCATGACTTATTAAGACAGAAAAAAGCAATATTCTTAAAATTGCAGCTGCTTGACAAAGTGAAAATTATAATGGAGTTTCATCTAATCTCATTCATTCTTTCATTCGGTAAGCTTTTAGTCAGCAAATATTACCTTGGACTTACTATATATCAGTAACTGTGCTAGGCACTGAGGTTTCAAAGATAATTAAGACAGGGTGTTCAAGTGTCAGCTCCTTTCCCCCACCGATTTCATAATATAAAGGTAAAGACAAACACATAAGTAATTATAATACCATAAGACAGAAGGCATAAGGTAGCTTTGTTTGAGAGTCTCCGGGCATGCAGATGAGGAGTGCCCCAACTCTATCAACATTTAAGCAGCAACATAAAGAATGATGAGCAGTTGACATGGCAGATGAGGGATTAAGAGAATGGCACGTGCAAAGGCTTGGAAGTCTAAGGAAACATGATGCTTCTAAAATTGATAAGACATTCAGAATGGGTGAGCATTTGAAGATGGGGCTGTCGACCTATGTGACAGTCTAAAATATGTGACATGCTAAAAGCAACAGGGAGAGTTGGATGGATTTGAAGCAGAGAAAAATGACTTAAAAGAGATCTCTCTTAACACTGTTTTGAAGAATGGCAAAACCAAAAGAAAAGAGAACTGTTAAAATGTTCTCACTTAATTAAGAGTCCAGGCAAGAGATGATAGAAGCCTATATTTAAAGAGTAGGTGTTTTGGTAGAAAGAAGCCTCCAGAAATTTCTGTGTTAAATAGTGGGGAGGGGAATTATAACCAGTTTTTTAAAAAATATTTTTGTTTATTTATTTTTTTTAGAGAAAGAGTCTCACTCTGTTGCCCCAGCTGGAATGCAGTAATACAATCACACTCCTGGGCTCAAGTGATCCTCAGACTCCTGGGCTCAAGTGATCCTCCTGCTGCAGCCTCCCAAGTAGTTGGGACTACAGGCATGCACCGCTGTGCCTGGCCCTCCGGTTTTAAAAGTTAAGAGGTAAGTTCAATTTTCAATGAAGCTGAAGATGAGGCACAGAAGGGCCATGATTCTAATATGTATGATGTTTTTTAAGTTCACAATAACTAATCATAGTTTATATATAAAAGGAAACAGAAAAAGCAGAAACATAAAGCAAGATGAGAGAAGTTAGAAAGAGTTAAATGGTTACAATAATGAAAGTAAACATTTTTATTGCTCAATTAAAATACAAAAACTTAGCTCGGGTAAGAAAACAAAATCTATTCATTTGCCTTTAAGAGAATACCTAAAACAAAATAATACAGTCATGGGTTGCTTAACTAATGACAGAGATACAGTCTGAGAAATGCATCCTTAGGCAATTTCATCATCGTGCATACATCATAGAGTGTATTTACATAAACCTAGATAGTATAGCCTACTACACACCTAGGTATAGCTTCTGGCTCCGAGGCTACAAACCTGTACAGCATGATGCTGTACCGAATACTATATGTAATTGTAATACAACTGTAACTATTTGTGTATTGAAACATATCTAAACATAAAAAGGTACAGTAAAAGTATAGTATTATAATCTTACAGGACCACTGTCATAAATGTCGTACGTCATTGACCAAAACATCATTATGTGGTATGTGACTGTATATAAAAGGTGAAAAACTAAATAATTTTCCTGAGGTAATAATTGTACCAAATATATTTTCTGACTATAACACAATAAACCTAGAAATACATCTGTTTTATGTTTAAACTACAAGAAAAAGCCAAGCCACTGGAGATTGAAAAATGAATTTCAAAGAGAATATAAAAAATGCAATTAGAATATGAGAACATTATATATAAAAATATATTAAATGTGGACAATATTATACATGGAAACGAATCGTAGACTAAATGTTTTAATTACTAAAAAAGCAGTAAAGAGAGTAATGAATTCAAGAACTGTAAGAAACTCCATATTAACTAGTAGTAGTATTAAATAACACAATGTTTACAATAGCAAAAATTTAGAACAACTGTATCTCCAACAATAAAAAATATTTAAAAGCTATCATGCAGCTGGACACGTTGGCTCACGCCTGTAATCCCAGCACTTTGGGAGGCTGAGGCAGGTGGATCACTTGAGGTCAGGAGTTCAAGACCAGCCTGGCCAACATGGTGAAATCCCATCTCTACTAAAAATACAAAAATTATCCAGACATGGTGGCAGGCACCTGTAATTCCAGCTACTCAGAGGCTGTGGCAGGAGAATCGCTTGAACCCAGGAGGCAGAGGTTGCAGTGAGTCAAGATTGTGCCACTGCATTCCAGACTGGGCAACAGGGCGTGACTCCGTCTCAAAAAATTAAAAAACAAAAAGTTAATAGTGTTTATTTCTGAGTGATGAAATTATAGATGACTTTTTATTTAGTTTCTTTTACATTATCTGTATTTTCAGTTTTTCTACAAGGGGCATGTATTATCTGTGAAACAAAGAAATTACGCGTCTTTTAAAGATGAAAGCAAAACATTTAATTAGGAAACAAAAATAAGTTAAAAGAAAAAATCTGAGAGATGTTTCTCTAAAAAATATAGATAAGCCTAACAATTTTGAGAACAAAAGAGAGAAGTATTTAAATAAGCAAATTAAATAATGAGAAATGGACTAAAACAACTAAAGTACATATTGTAATTAAAATATCATAAATAACATTAGATATATTTAAATGTCAGTGAACTAATAATTATCTGGAAATAAAGAAAATGGACTCTAATAAATTTATAAAAACGTGAATTAAGGTTTGGAAATGTTAATGATTGACCTTCCCCAAAAGGCTCTGGGTCCAGGGAGTTTTATAAAGTATTTATTTTAAACTTCCAAAGACTAGTAATCCCCATATCAAAAAATCTACTTAATTCATTTAATAAATATGGCAAAAATCTGACACTAGGATCTGACAATTGCAATATAAGAAAGAAAATTACATAGTCCCCTGTTATTCACAGAGAATGTGTTCCAAGGCTCTTTGTGGCTGCCTGAAACTGCAGATAATATTGAACCCTATAAATAATATGTTTCCTCCCATACATACATACCTATGATAAAGTTTAATTTATAAATTAGGCACAGTAAGAGATTAGCATCAATAACAAAAAATAAAATAGAACAAGTATAACAATATACTATAATAAAGATCATACAAATGGGTGTTCTCGCTCACTCTTTCTCTTGTTCTCTCTCAAAATATCTTATTGTACTGTACTGTGAATAACTGAAAGTGCAGAAAGCAAAATCATGGATAAGAGGGACCACTGTATAACCAATCACATATACAGAAGAGGACGTAAGTATCCTATATAAAATACTCATATAATTTAGTGAAAATTCAAAAGAATAATTAACAATGGCCTGGTTAGATGTATTCCTAAAATAAATGATGGTTTGATATTAGTACATCTATTAATAGAATATAGCTCTATGCATGTTAGTATATTAAAAAAGAAAAAACATCCTATATAATTATTTCAATAGATGACAGAAAAGCATTTGTTAAAGTCAACTTCCATTCCTGGTTTAAGAAACTCTAAGAGAGCTAGAAATAATAGAATGGCTCTGTAATATACTAAAGAATACCACTCTAAAATAAAATTACAACACTGATATACCAGACTCTCTACTGACTAGAGATATTCCTATTAAAATCAGGAGGAAAATAAGAATTACTGGAAATATCTGTCAAATAGAAGATTCAGACCTTTCCCAAACCACCTCTTTACCTATTTGCCTCCTTGACTTTCTCCTATTCAGGGCTCAGACAAGAGTGAAGCAAGTAAGGCCCCTGAAGTGCAGAATTGAAGGACATACTCACTCTTGGGGTTATGAAAGTTCAAGGTTGATAATCGTGTGACCCTGAGAGTGAGCACCTCCCTCCCTTAAAAGTCTCACTTGTCTCACCCTAGTTCCAGCCCTGCACGTATTTCTTCTCCTTGCAAACTCTACTAGCTCTTCCTCCTGACAAGCTAAAGTCAGCCAGTCTTTAGAATTTTATACGTTTCAAGAAGAAATTAAACAGCAGTCCCCTATGATTCACGTGTTTCTGAATTTTCCTACTTCTCCAATCGACTAAATCCTATTGAAGCCTTCCCCCCTTAACTGCTCTCTTTCTAAAGAAATCAAATTAACAAATTTCTCTATAGGTAATCCTCAAAGACCAGATCCCTTTATATTCACAACATATGTGAGAAAGTTAGTAGTTGGGAAATTAGTTTTCATATATATCTTATATATTATTTTAGGGTCTCAGACAAAACTTTTATTTTAATAATTTATTGCCAATTACTTGTTCTCTTTAGTTCAAAGACTTTAAAGAGTAAAATAAGGGGCTGGGCGCAGTGGCTCATGCCTGTAATCCCAACACTTTGGGAGGCCGAGGTGGGCAGATCACCTGAGGTCAGGAGTTCAAGACCAGCCTGGCCAACATGACGAAATCCCCATCTCTATTAAAAATATAAAAATTAGCTGGGCGTGGTGGCATGCAACTGTAATCCCAGCTACTCGAGAGGCTGAGGCACAAGAATCACTTGAACCCCAGAAGCAGAGGTTGCAGTGAGCCGAGATCGTGCCACTGCACTCCAGCCTGCGTGACAGAGGAAGACTCCGTCTCAAAAAAAAAATAAAAGAGTAAAATAAGATGATATATGATATATGTAGAAAATATTTTGAAGTGAGACTGTTCTATAAATACCAACTATTATTAATTAGTATTTCTTTTTTATCAAAATGTACTATATGCATATGGTCATTTATATGTTATTAGAATGGGGCATATCACAGGAGGAAAAAACTATTTTCAAAATAATATGGAAACTTAACATATAGAACTTTGGAAAAGCTGGCTGAGTAATATTACGATGCCTTTACTTTGCAGAATTCTACATATCCCATATCCTAAATCTATGTCCTATCCTCCTATGTGTTTAAACAAATCAAAACTGACAGTGAACAGACCTTTTTAATATGTTTCATGATATTTTATTCTAGGAGAGGCAAGTTCTTGCTATGGAACATGTTTCTCAAATGCATCTGAGGCTTTTTGTATTTAATGTTGCATCTCTAGATCGTTTTACAGATAAATTCATCTCATCATGAAACAATTTTCCTGAAACTATTTTGTATAGGACCAAGATACTACACACATAAATAAATATACAAGATACTACACACATAAATAACTTGCAGTGAAGGATACAAGATTTTTTTAATATAATAATAATAAATTAAGGTAAATAGAATCATATATATATTTTTTATCAATAAATGTCTGCCTAAACATCACTGACTTTTAGAAAATATTTTTAGCCGGGTGCAGTGGCTCACGCCTGTGATCCAAGCACTTTGGGAGGCCGAGGCGGGCAGATCACAAGGTCAGGAGTTCGAGACCAGCCTGGCCAATATGGTGAAACCCCGTCTCTACTAAAAAATAGAAAAAAATTAGCCGGCTGTGGTGGCGGGCGCCTGTTATCCCACCTACTCGGGAGTCTGAGGCAGGAGAATTGCTTGAACCCAAGAGGAGGAGATTGCAGTGAGCCGAGATTGCGCCACTGCACTCCAGACTGGGCAACAGAGCAAGACTCCATCTAAAACAAAAAAATATTTCTAACTATGGTGTTGATCAACATCTATTGAGTAATCTTTCCAAAGTTTTCCCTAGTGAATGGATGATTGCACTACTTACCTAATTGCATCATTGGTCTCTGAAACGACTTTCAGGTACTCTTTCAAATAATAATAATTAAAGAGGTACTTCCGAACCCTATAGCCTCGCCATCGTCTCTGAATCTATTAAAGTAAATAAAGAGATAAAATATGCCATTAAACACTTTTATTAAAAATGTAATAGCACTTCAAAATTAAGGTAATTATGGCTGATAACTCCTATCAAATAAAGTCTTGGGCTTTTCCACTAATATTGTAGCATATTAGTTGTAAATATAGGTTCTGCTCATAAATTTTTTATGAAATATTATAAAAATAAACATAATTATAGGCTATTATAATTTATTTTAAATTATTTATAATTATCTCACAGAATACTAAACTATTGAAAGATTTATAAAAATTTGCTTTACAAATTCCTACCATTTCCACTTCCTGGGCAAATCAATTTTTTTTTTCATAGCCAACTCACTTTAAGGTTGTATTTGGTCTCATTGAAATATACGTTTAGTTTTTGTATTTTGTCTTATTAATGGGCTTCTTAAATTCAGTGGTATCAAAATATTTAAACAAATTCTTGTATCTTAATTATGACATTTTAATTCTTCCTTAACAATAACAAAAATAGCTAACATTTATTGAGTTCTTATGTGCCAGGCACTATGTAAGGGTTCTTGCTTACATTTATTTAATCTTTAGAATACTCCTATGACATAAATACTCATTACCTCATTTACAGATGTGGAAACAGTTAAAAAGAGAGGTTACACAATTTTCCTATAATTATACAGCTATTAGGATGAATCCAGGAATCAAATTTCAAGTTAGGGCTTCAGAGAGCCCACTCTCGTAACCATTGCAATATAGAACTGGGAACAAAGAGAACTGTGATTTTCAATAAAAGAAAAGTTATATTGAAATTATCTGCTTCTTACATCTTTTACTTCAATGCTGACATTCAAATAATTTTATTTTTACTAGAACATATCATCAAAGTAGGGTGTTTTTTTTTTTTTGGATGAGAGGAATGTTAGGGGTCTGAGAGACCATACCTAAGTCAGCTTCTAGATATCTTATACAACCCCAGGAACCATGAGAATCAGTCACTGTCCTTAAGTCCTATCTTTGCTAATATAAATATCTTTGCTATATTTTCTAATACCCCTATCTGAAAAACTCAAACAAAATAATATATGATATTAATTAGGAAAAGATACCTGAAATTATTTAAAGGATTGGAGGAAAAAGAAATAGCACATATTGAAAAATACTAACTTAGTCTTGCGTAAAGATTTAGCATCATTCCTAAAATTTTCCAACCGTTTAAATATCTGTATGAATGACTCACGTATCATAAATCATTCCCTTTTTGGATATGAAGTCTTCCCGATTTTGGCACAGTTTGCTAGGCTAAGAGAACACACGTCTTCCCTAAACTTTTTTTTTTTTTAATAGGAAAGGGAAATATGGAGACTAAGCACCAGTCCATTGGGTTTCATCCCCAAAGCCTACTTTTTTTTAGCTAAAAAATATTTAGTATAAAATTTGTCTAAGTTGAATATTGGATCAATAAAAAATTAACCGGAAAAATTCTTTACTTAAATTCTGATTATTTTTCTCTGTTTTAAAACATGGCCATTTAAAAGGTCATTTATAATCATTTACAATTTAAGATATTAAACATGGCTGGGCATGGTGGCTCACACCTCTAATCCCAGGACTTTGGGAGGCCAAGGCGGGAAGATCACAAGGTCTGGAGTTCGAGACCAGCCTGGCCAATATGGTAAAAACCTGTCTCTACTAAAAATACAAAACAAAACCCTGTCTCTACTAAAAATACAAAACTGGGCATGGTGGTGTGCGCCTGTAGTCCCAGCTACTTGGGAGGCTGAGGCAGAAGAATCGCTTGAACCGGGGAGGCAGAGGTTGCAGTGAGCCGAGATTGCACCACTGCACTCCAGCCTGGGCGACAGAGCGAGACTCGGTCTCAAAAGAAAAAAAGATATTAAACATGAAGATTATAAGGGAGTGTTTTTGTCAGACTCCCCATATGAGAATTACTAAACTAACTGGAAATATGCAAAACAGCTTGCAAGAACAAGTAAATCAGAGAAAATAACTTTATTTTATTTTATTTATTTATTTATTTATTTTTGAGACAGAGTCTCGCTCTGTCACCAGGCTGGAGTGCAGTGGCGCGATTTCGGTTCACTGTAACCTCCAACTCCCTGGTTCAAGCGATTCTCCTGCCTCAGCTTCATGAGTAGCTGGGATAACAGACACATGCCACCACAGCCAGATAATTTTTGTATTTTTAGTAGAAACGGGGTTTCACCATGTTGGCCAGGATGGTCTCGATCTCTTGACCTCGTGATCTGCCTGCCTTGGCCTCCCAAGGTGCTGGGATTACAGGCGTGAGCCACCGTGCCCAGCCTTTTTTTTTTTTTTTTTTTTTTTTAACAGAGTCTCACTCTGTCACCCAGTCTGGAGTGCAGTGGCATGATCTCGGCCCACTGCAACCTCTGTCTCCTGGGTTCAAACGATTCTCTTGCTTTAGCCTCCAGAGTAGCTTGGACTACAGGCATGTGCCACCATGCCCAGCTAATTTTTGTAATTTTAATAGAGGCAGGGTTTCACCATGTTGGCCAGGCTGGTCTTGAACTCCTAACCTTAAATGATCCTCCCGCCTTGGCCTCCCAAAGTGCTGGGATTACACGTGTGAGCCACCACACCCAGCCAACAATAACTTTAGAAAGTGAAACTAGTAGTATAGCAAACTAATGTAACAAAAGTATTCAAAGTGTCTTTCAAAATACTTCTCAAGTGATCTTATTTGCCAGATCAATTCTTTAAAAAAAAATTCTAAAATTATATACTCAATTTAGAAACTCTCCCTAATTTTACCAATATTATATTATGGCTGAGAAAGAAAAAGAAGGAATTGATAGAACCACTTTCCTAATGAAAAAGAAGAATCAATTGGAATATGTATACATAATATAAATCATACATGCAAATAAGTGCATATTTTCCTAGCTTATCTAATTTGATCATTATAGCATCATTCTGAGGTGGAGATTATTATTAGCCTCATTTGATAGAAGAGGGAATTGATGTTTAGAAAGGTTAACTAATTGCCTAAGGTCATATAGCTGGTTGGATGGCTTCAAATCTTTCAGCATACTTTTACTGCATGTACAGTAACAATTTTATTAATGAAGGGAACACTTGTAAATACATGTACTGACAGGAAATCCGTCATCAGCAATAGAAGTTATTCAAGTTGCATAGGAAAATATTAAGATATCAAACAGTATTAAGGGAGGGGCTACCTATCACATGAAAATGTCATTAAATTATAAATAAAATAAGATTAAGTGTGCCAGAAAACACAAAAGATGCATGTTGGCATACTGAGAGGAAGGAAGAATGATGCGAGTTTATGATTTGGTAATATCAGAGAAATGGATATTCCCATTTCTAGGAAAGAGATGTTAAAGAAAAAAACTGAAATTGGCTGAAAAATTTGTGTTCAAGTAAGAAGAGTTTCCTGTAATTAAAAAAGAAAAAATCCAACAATGTGGGCTCTTTCCTTCTCCAAACCCAGCAACTATTGGAAAGAGCACCAACCATATCTAGAGAGACTACAACTGGTATGCTTTCAGAAAACATTCTAATGTCCTGACACCCTACACATATCTCCAAAGGCTGGCTAAAATTCCTCTCCAAGATAATTCCTTTTATTCAAAATTGGATATTAAAGAATGTAATAAGTAAGCGATGGTTAAGGTAACAAATTAAAACTCATCCACACTAAAGTATAATCAATCAGTCTTTAAGTGGCTTTCTTAGAGATGAGTGGGTAAAAAGATCTGGAGGAAACAGCATTTGAGTGGGTGAAGAAGATGCCATCAGTGAAATGAAGGATCTAAAATTTATTGAGCTCCATGAATGTGCCAGGTATTATGCTAACTGCTTTTATTCTCACAATATCCTTGTGAATAGGGCATGATCTCCATGTTAAAAATGAAGAAACTGAGGTTAAGTAATTTGCTCAGGGTCACATAACCAGTAAAACAGTAAATGGAAAGTCAGGATACAAACCCAGGTTTGTCTTACTCCAAAGCCCGCTCTTTCCACTTGAAACACCTTACATATATATTGTATAAAGAGAAAGAGTATATGCGTGTTCTTTAGTTTAAAATATGGTATTTTCTTATATTATAGGGAGACTAGTTTAACCAATAGCTAATTGATATTGTAAAATACAATATAGATGAGACTGTACTATATTTCCTATTATAGAAACAAATGACGTCTTAAATTTTGCCTATTCTGTTGATATTCCAGTACTAGTAAATATACTTTTAATTTTTTTAAATGTTCTTTCAAGCAGCAAGATGATTTTTATAAGATTTCTTCTTAATTTCAAGGTGAACGGGTTACTACTTCAAAAAAAAAAGAAAAATGATTTGTATTCATGTCCTTCAAAGTAATTAGCAACTTTCAAAAGTGATTGGTATAAAACAATTATTGTCATTGATCAGCTCTGAATAGATAATTTTAAACAAAGTCATTGTGTGCTCAGCAGATTACAGCTTGTTAACGGGCAAGTTCTAAATGACCTCTTAAGCTAGTCAAATCAATGATGCATATTCCTCATTAAGTAACATCAAAATGTAAGTGGTCTTATAAATAATGTTTATTTTAAGCACTAAAACAAATGGCAAAACCTTGATATATTAAAAGCCATCTGCCATAGAAAAGATTTTCCCTCCATTGGGTTTACTTTTATTCCTGAAAATCTATAGTAACCTTAATGCCACTAAAAGAAAAAATGTCTTCTCTCTTAACATGAAAAATGAAGGCATGGGGCCAGGAGCGGTGGCTCATGCCTGTAATCCCTGTGCTTTGGGAGGCTGAGGTGGGTGGATCACGAGGTCAGGAGTTCGAGACCAGCCTGGCCAACATGGTGAATCCCCATCTCAACTAAAAATACACAAAATTAGCTGGGCGTGGTGGCAGGAGCCTGTAATCCCAGCTACTCAGGAGGCTGAGGCAGGACAGTTGCTTGAACCTGGGAGGTGGAGGTTGCAGAGAGCCGAGACTGTGCCACTGCACTCCAGCCTGGGTAACAGAGCAAATCTCCATCTCAAAAAAAAAAAAAAAAAAAAAGAAAAGAAAAGAAAAATGAAGGCATGGAAAACAAATTCCTTGATAATAGCTCACCCAATACTCATGCTCTAAATGTATATGAGAGCACAGAAGTAGAACTCAGTTATTCATAATTATACTTTTATTAGAATGATCAACATTCTAAAAAAGATTGTACAGTGAGCACAGAAATGTGGGTTTACTAAATCTTCAAAGATTAGGAATGTAAAAAGTAGTAATATAACCCAAGTTTTCATTGTAGGTATCATTGCATTGTCACGTCACAACCATTTATATTTATACATAAAATATTATCATATGAAAATACAGTTTCACACATATAGGACGTATATGTGAAAATCTTAACTAGATATTTTTATCAAAAGATTCTGGATAATTATTAAATGTGCAGTTTCCTCTCTTTAATATTCTGTTTCCCCACTCTCACTAGCCTTATACTTCCTTTCTCTACAAATCTATTTAATCATTTCACAATGATATTGGTACTAGAAGTAGAAGGAGGGAGGAAGAAATATACTTTTACATGGGGATGGAACATTAGAATATCTATTCCATCATCAGGTAAAAGCTTGGTGTTGTCCAGATGGCCCCTTCTTTTCTTCCATAGGCTGATATTTTGGGATACCCTTTTTTGTATGAATAAAACTGTTATTCATTCTGTATGCCCAGAACAATAACATAATGTCTAGCATATAAAAGACCTTCCGTATCCTTTTTCTGAATTAACTAACCTATCTATCTCTAACTATGTAATCTCGGGGTCATTATTCTAAATACAAATGCTTACTTCATAGTATTATAAATATGAAAATAGTATGGTAAGTACTTTAAGGGATTGAGACGAATCTTTATATATCTGACACATATTTAATCATTTTTAAGTAAAGCCACCATATAATCTTTTCTAACTTTTTTTGTATTTTAGACACAAGTGGGAAACAAAAGAAAATGGTTACTTGATATATCAAGTTAGATTAATTTTTATAAATTAAAATTTGTATTATATGCGGAGAAAGCTCTAAGGGGAAATAAGCCAATAAAGTGATGTTATTTGGCAAATTTGTTGTTTAAATGACCTCTGTTCTACTGTTTCTCTTGTTACTATTGCTTCTGTTTCCCTAAATGTGAGCATTTCAATCTGAACAAAATTGTTTGGGGGCACTATAATCAAGTTAAATAATTTAAAATAATAAAGAATCAGTTGAAACTGTAGATTCCAGTGGAATTTCACTAAGCGAGTATAGGTGATTGATAAATAACAGGTATGGGGATTTCAGGGTAAAAGGAATTTTACTTGAAACAATTAATTACATCTGTAGTTCTTTAACATTCTGTAAGCTTTTGATTATTACCATTTTTTTCATTCCTCATAGATCTTTGAAACTAAGATAAAAACCTGTGACAGAATTCATTTTATAAGAGAGATCTCTAAGATGCTGCACACCAGCACTTCTTGAAATTTGCATTCATGTGATATTGCTCCAGTTGTTCTAGGGCAGACAAGCAAAGGAAGACTCAAGATGTATGACATGATACAAAGGAGGCTTTTCAAAGGCATTACAAGGAACAAATATTTCCCATAAAGTTTACCATTATTACATTCCAAAGTCTGTGACAGATTATATGTCCCCATTATGTTTAGGTTATTGAAGACTAGTATACTCTAAACATTAATTTAGAAACAGCAGTTGACTTTATCAGTCCTAGCAATAATTTTGTGATTGTTCCTAATGTTTTAAAAATGTTAGAGTCCCTTTTCTTTTCCATTGATGCTTCAGGGCCCAAAACAGGCACGGTAGAGGTATAAATGAAACTAAACACAGACTTTTAAATTTCAAAAATCTGTGTGATCTGCACCTTGGACTTCAACCAGCAAAGAAATGACAAATTCTCTTTGTTATCATTTGTTACATCCTCCTCAAAAATCCATTTAAAATTGGAGCAGGAAGGGTGTTTCATCTAGGCTTATGATGGATGACAAATCCTGATGCTGGCAATAGGAATAAGGGAGGCCACAGCCTGAATATTCTTTTAGATGGTGAGGTTTTTCGTCATGAGCCATCTAATTCTGCCTACAAGGGGAAGCATGTGACACTGCATTGGAATGCCTCAACTTACTCCTTAGTTAATTGTCACTTAATTTAGAATTCCTGCGTGAAATGTACTACCAATAAGGATGCTCATGAATTATCAGGCCACAAGGTCAGTTTTCCAAGTAAACAGGGTATGAGTAATAAAATGTCCCTAAGAGCTGTCTAGGTCAGTATAGTTGTTCTCATCCATATTTTCAGAAAAAGAGGATTGGAAGTAAAGCCAAGATTAAAAGTGACCAGCAATGGCAGAAATGTGAGTGCCAGACCTCCTGGGTTCAATGTCTAACACTTTCATTTACTAGCTGTGCGATTTGGGGCAAGATACCTTTCTGTGATTCCCTTTCCTCATATTTTAAGTTGTAATCTTAATGATACCTATACCTCAGAGAATTAGTTATGATGATTACAGAGAAAAGTTAAAATATTTAAAATACTTAGAATGGTGCCTGGAAAGTAGTAACTGCTATACAATTGTTAATTCATTATTAGTATTTACCAGTGGTTCTGACCTACCAAGATTTGGCAATACATGACATGGCAATCTTTTTCTTGCCTAGCTTCAGAGATCCATTTTGTTTTTCAAAAATTAGCAGCCACAATAATTTACCTACAATTGAACTCTTCGTAGGATACTACAAGACAATGAACATTTCATATCAGAAATTGGTGTCAAAAGTATGAATTGCAACACAGACAACAATATGAAATGGGCATAAAACAAAGTTGAAGTGGACAGATTAGCAATTTGTCTTTTGAATTTACAAACATTAGTGTAAACTTTATTAAAGAAACAACTATGTTTTAGGAGAATTGCAGGGCATTCAGCTGAAAACTGAATTTCACAGTGTTATATCCCATTTAGGAAAAAATAAGTATAATTTTCCCCCCACACTCTGACACACTGTAATCTCACTCTTGGAACATTACTAATCTACTTTCCATCCTCCTTCTCTACAAACCTCAACATATCCATATAATTGCGGCAGGAGTCAGACAAATGCCTTGGCAGATAGAAGGGGTCCAGTGAAACCCCACCTTCAAGCCAAAAACAGCTGGAGGGCTGAAAGACCAGACTGCTGCTTCCAGATAAAATCCGTGACCCAGAGTGAGAACTTCTGTTCTTGTTTGCCTACCCTTTCCCAATTGGTTCTTTCCCAATAATGTTTTTTAACCAGTCAAATATTGCCTTTTCCAATACTACCTACAGCTCCCCTCTCCCCTATCCTGTGCCTATAAAAATCCCAGACTCAGCCACACTAGGGGAGACGACCCAACTTCAGGTGAGAGACCACTTTCAGGCATCTGCTCCACATCATAGGAAGCAATGGTGGGGCCAAACCAGCCCTGGAGCCACAGGCCAGAGCAGGGCAAGGGACCGAACCAGCTGTTAACACTTCACCATCCATCCAGCTGCAGATGGCAGAACTAAAAGAACTAATTAGCATGTTGTAACACCCCTTCTGGGGCTTCGGGGCTGTGGGCACCTCTGCTTGGGCACCACCGTGTTCCCCTTGGGCAACACACCTAGAGTGGCTGCAAGCCCTGCAGGGAGGCTGCCCCTGTGCTGGTGTTGAGAATGGCTGGCCAGACCCTGCACTCACTTGCTCACACACACTCTCCTGCCAGGGACTGAGCATGCAGTCGCAGCAGCCAGCAGCTGGAGCACAAGCCAGGCACAGCCAGGCAGGCTGAGTAGATGAGGCACCTCCTCCTATAATCCCTGCAAAACGACCAAGAAAAATCCTGCATCACAAATCAAAAGAGCATTGATCTAGAAGAGGGTATAAATAAAATAAGAAGTCCTTAGAAAGAGGGAGAACCAAAGAAACAGAATCCACTGAAGTCTGGCCAGAGCTCAGTCTAACTGAAGTTCAGAATCTGGGGAGTTCCCTTTTTTAAATCCTTGCTTCCTCACTGGAAGTCAGTTTGACTACAGTACACTTAGGTATCCCCCAGCTATAGCTATTTATTCTCAGGGAATAAGTTTCAGAATCTGGAGTCATTCTATTGGAAAAATAGAGACTTCAGCAACAAGGTTGAGGCTGAATGTATGTAATCTTGGTCTTGGGTTATTTTCCCCCTGCAAATATAAGAATTGGGTATAAGATATATGTCATTTTGAATGAGAGACTTCTTCCTGGATGGGGTCAGCCAATCAGCAAAAGCCATAAGCAAGAGAAAACACTAAATATTGAAAACTATGAATCAAGGTAATGGGAAAAAGGGACAAGAAATAGACTTTAGGATGGAAAAAACAATTCCACGAACCTCTACTCTTTTGCTACCTGGGGATATTTTTAAATGGGTTTTCCCCACATAAGTAATTCTTACCCTCATCTTTGTAATATTGCCAGGAACCGGACTCTCTAAGCCCAGTATTTGGAGGGCTAAGATGACACCCAAGTGCTCACTATATAGAAAATGGAGGGTGAGTTTTACACAAGGCTGTCAGAAGATATACAGTTGTACATCTAGATGGCAGAGGGAGAGAAATGACTTGTGCAACTGAATCAGCTCATGGCGTTTGCATAAGATATTAACAGCTGTTCAAAGAAAGAGAACTGAAAATAAAAGTTGGGGGCCAAATTTAAATAGGATCCACAATGGAGTAGAAAAGATGCTGGAAGAAAAGCAGAACTCTAATCTGGAGTAAAGTCAAATTGAAGACTAAAAAGGAAATAAAGTGTCACAGAGAAACAGGAGGAACAGGGCCCCAGGAGCTAAGATAAAAATTTACTGAGCAATTTATTGCTATATTAATTGACTGTCACTGGCCTAGCAGCAAATCAGCAACAGGGGTTTTGTAAAGGCATACTGTGGGTTCTGACAGCAGCTTATATCACAGCAAACCTCCTTCAAATCGGTGTGTGTTATGATACTTGAGCAAAATCCTTAATCTCATGAAGTCTTCCATTTACATACGAACTGCACAAACTAAATTTTACCTTACCAAATCCAGTTTATCTACATCATTACAGTATAGTCAGATAATCAAAAAAGGCTTAAAGATCCCCCAGCAAAGGCTTAAATAAGTTGCAACAAACACACTTTGAAACTTAGAAAAAACGTGTTAAAGTAAAGGACTTTTTTTACTCCTTGTTTAGAAAAGAATGGGCCAGCATTCATTGATTTATTCAGGGATATTTATTTAACCACCTACTATAAGCCAAGCATTGAAGATACAAAGATGAAGATAGGATCTGGGCCGCATGAGACTTATAGTGTACAGGGGAGCAGGGGGTGGTGGGGTGGAGACAGGCATGTAAATTAGTAAGGATAATAAAATGTTACAGGTTCTATAACAGAAGTATGTCAATGGTAAAATAGGAACATAAAAAAGGAAAGTGATAAATTCTACAGGGGTAGGGGGATCATAAAGTCTTTAGAGAAAAGGTGACCCTTTAAAAAATAAATGCAGCAAATCAGGATATTAATAAATATTACATAAAAGAAAATCACATACATATAATTTGTTCTTCATTACAAAAGACTGATATCTATTTAGGGATGGATAGGCTATAAATAAATTTGTAAAACTCCTGCCATTTCAGAAATGCTCCACTAGCCTCTTTGACAATTGAATACATTTTAGTTGTCATGGTAGCAATCAATAGCCAAATATATATAACTTACAATAGGCTTTGTTCATAAGGAAAATTAAGACAAAAGTTTTGTTCTTATGTACTGTACATGAAGGTCTTATTCATAATTTGGGTACATATATGTCTGTCTGGATATTATTGGCCATATAGATATTTGGTAGTTATCTGTTACCCTTAGAGATTCTTTCTTTTGAACACTCGCCATTCATGTTTAAATCACTTCTAGTTTTGAACTAAGTTACCAGGTAGCTTATGAAATGAAAAAGCAGAATCGTATTTATTAGAAATAAAACTTCAGCTACTGGTATCCAATTAGGATTGTAATCTTCAGATATACACAACACAAAGGTATCTGGGCCACACACTGGTCTCTTTGGCCACTCACTCTTGAAAGTAGCAGAATTTTAAGAGTGCCATCTTGCAAAAATCCACTTACAAATAAATTGGCTGGAGTCCACTGACAGCTTCAGTTCCAGTCACTGGTCACTTGGATCAACCAATGCTATAAACTTATTGTTGTTGGGGAATCACTTATGGTCTTTCTGCCAGTGAGCCTCATTTCTGATTCCTCAACTCAGGAACATGAAATAGCACATAGTCTACTACCAAGTTAACCCATCTCAAACCTCTGAAGAGTGACTTTGAACTTCTTTGTTAGAGAAATGTCTCTATTATAAATTTCCCATAGTAACATTTATGTGCTCCACATAGCCTCACAGAAATTCCTGAGTGTCATTAGTGGATCGTTCCAACCTCTAGGTAAAGCCTAAGTCTTCGCTCCCCTCACTTTAATCCCTACCGCATTCCCACCCCTATGCTTCTCTCCCAAAATGTTGTTTTGGAGAGAAAAGGCAATAAGGAGGAGGATAGGAGAGGACAGGAGAGGCAGGGAGGGGAGAAGACAGAAGGAGAAGAGAAAGGAAGGGGAAGGGAAAAAGGATCCAGAATTATAAGGGAGAGACTTTATTGGAAAGGAGTATTGCAAGAGGAAGTGGGAGGGTGACTACTGCAATCTGCAGAGGCAGACTACTGCATAGGGAGAACACTTTGACCACGAAATTTATAAGCAAGTTAAGAGGAAGGCAAAAAGAATTTTTCTTTCATAGGAAGGTATAAACAAGGCTAGAAGGAATCTGAGGTGGAGAAGTGGGATAAGAGGGTGGCATGACTGAATAGTAGATCAGAGAATCTTTTATCCTGAAGTCAGTCTATTATTAGGAGAGGATGTTAAGGAGATGCTACATGCAGGCCAATGTTCAGGGACATAGAGGAGGGAGAGAAGTTAAATCACAGGTTGGTTAACAAACATTTTGTTCCAATTAGTCAGTAGGAACAAGCAACTCAGCTAATCATTTGTGAGGTAAAGAATGGAAATTTGGAGGGAATGCATCTAGCCTTGTCATAGGTAAAAAAGTGGGGCATCCCCATATATATCTAACTGATACAAGGGAAGAGTAACTTTTTTCTTTTTCTTTTATAATTATTATTATTATTTTGCAGTAAGCTGTTTCTAAAACAGAAAAGGGTGTGGGGATTTCTTTTTTTTTTTTTTTTTTTCCTGAGACGGAGTCTTGCTCTGTCACCCAGGCTGGAGTGCAGTGGTGGGATCTCGGCTCACTGCCACTTCCGCCTTCTGGGCTCAAGGGATTCTCCTGCCTCAGCCACCCGAGTAGCTGAGACTACAGGTGCCCATGACCATGCCCGGCTAATTTTTGTATTTTTAGTAGACACGTGGTTTCACCATGTTGGCCAGGCTGGCCTCGAACTCCTGACGTCAGGTGATCCACCCTCCGTGGCCTCTCAAAATGCTGGGATTATAGGCGTGAGCCACCATACCCGGCCAGGTGTGGGAATTTCTTAACCTTTGTTGTTTTCCAGGATCACAAGACTCAGGTAAAATTCAACATTGCCCATTGACATTAATCAAAGATAAATTGACATTGGATGATGCTATTGGAAAATTGAGCTTTTAGTATATGTTGGAATAAGTAAAAAACTGCCTTCCAAGGGACTTGTACTGACGTGAATTTCTTACATATGTTTAGTCTAGGTAAAAGAAACCTTAATAAGCCAGACCAGAACTCAATATGAAGGTTTGAGGTAAAATAATACACAAAAGTACGCACCTTTCTAACTCTATCTTCTGTGCTTCTCCCTAGAAGCGCAGAAGGGAGGGAGGATCTCCTTCTACAGTCTCCCCTGGTGATCAGTGGAAATAGCTAAATGGGCATTAACTGCTTTAGGTTCTCAGTCATCTATGACTTTTTATTTTGGAGATACATCTGACATGAAGTAAGAAGAAAAGAATCAATGGTGTTTTAGTCTCAGAGGTTAAGTTTATAGCAAAGCTGTACAAAACCTCTGAAATTCCCAGACGAAAGTATTCCCTTTAAAAGAGAAAAATTGAATTGTTTTCCTATATGAATATTACTGAGAAAGGCAAATAGCCTATTGCAGCTAGATTTTCTGCCTCTGGCTCAAGAAAAGCAGCAGGAAGATCTACTTCTTCCTTTTATATTTTTCCTCAAACTCCAGGAGAACAAGCAGAGAGGAGGATGAAGAAATACTAGAGTGAGCTGGCTAGACTACCAGCACGCTCACCTGAAAAGGAAAGAGCCTCTTTCTAAAGCAAAACACATAGTCAAAATAATGTTAACTTAGCCACTATGGTTCACCCCAGCACTTTCAGAAAGGATTTTACTACCTTGCCTCACTCAAAATAAAATCCATTATTTGCAGAAGAACTAACAGATTAATGAAAAAGAATATAAGGCAACATAGATTTTAAGGACAATAATGAAATTCACTTAAGAAATTTCTCCATTTATAATAGCTTAGCAATTAAATTATTATCATATTGTCTGAAACAAAAGAAATAATATTTTTGTTATGTCCATTCCCAAGATCAGTGCAGAAACCGAGTTCAAGCTCCATAATTGCTAAATTCAGTTTTCTATTAGGAAAATAACACATTAAAAATGAACACAGAACTGATAGAAATAAAACTTCAAAGCTGGAAACTGACTTCATTACTGTTAAATCATATGAATAATTTCTAATTGATTTGTATTGGGCAGGAATCTTATATTTCACAACCATGTTCATCTATTTATCACAATGTATTCTATATGATATATGGAAACTAATACATTGCTTCATTAATATTTAAGTCTTTCTCTAGTTATGGCTCAGAGATATTCAACATTCTAAAACATAAGCATTTATAATTACATGTTTTACATTTTACTCTAATTTTTAATACTGCCAAGATTATTTAGCATAACTAACTTTTTAACTACATACTCTTTCTCTCTTTACCATTAGCATATCAATCAAATTTGCATTATTCTGCTTTGCTCATTTTATTAAAAGCGAATTCAGGGCACAATTGACTTTTCATTTGTTTAACAAGTGAAGAAATATTTACCCTGACAGCCATTGCATTGTAGAGATTCATCATCATAGTATAATATGCTACCTGTGAATCAAGAAAAAAAGATGGCATGCATTTCAGTTACACAAAGACAGTGCAGCCTATTTTTACATATAAAAGATAAGAATCTTTATACATAATACATAATAAGAGTTCTAGCCTTAGAAAAATGAAATCAAATGTTGTATTGAAGAGATAGGCTTCCTAATACATAATGCAAGCTTAACCAGTAAAAATCTATGGTAGTCAAACTAGGAGCTAATGGAGATATATGATCATAAAATGCTCTCTGCTGAGTTTGATAATCAATGGTGCTCTACTGAGAATAGAATAACAAAGCAGAAATATTCACAAGTGCTGGTGACATGTAGTATTGTATGATTTATTCACTGGGGTTCTTTTAGCCAAACCTCACAGAAACATAAAAGGAATTCATATTTCAAGACGTCTGGTTTAATGAAAAATTCAAAGAAATGCTGTCTTCAGTTGAAATCGTTCAAGGATATGGATGCAGTGATGGAGCAAAATTGTGCCTTCCAACCATCTATGCAAAATGTTATGTACTTAGCTGCCTCCTGAGTAATCCTTGGGAATTTTGTTTCATTTAATATTCATTTTAACACCATAAAATCATAAATACAATGATATCATGTTACAGCAAATCCCTTGATATAGTGAAGACTTCCTGAAGTGTTGGTTTCTCTCTAGTAAAGACACATCTACATATTAATATACAAATTTCTGTTACAGTAAGTCATTCAACAATGTAGCTTATTTCAATGAAAATATTCTTTAAATTAAGCTTCCCCATCTGCTCTTTTAATTAAAAATATAAAATTAATATAATTCATGACAGTACAATAAACAATAAAAGCAATGAGATACATATTTTTAACATGGTATACAACTTTATCCATTTTTATTCAACCAAAATTTATTCACTATAACTTGAGCCCAGGTAATAATTGTTATGTTTCAGGCAAAAATCAGAAAAAAGTGCCTTAACTCTTTATAAAGGGGCTTTCTGCCCCATGACAAACAGAAATTCATATAAAAGGGTTTCACTGTAATTAGTGTTGTTTGAATTGCCTGGTCTGATCCAAAGCAAATTGTCTGTGGAGAGCAGCAGGGCTGGATTATTTATCAACAGTCTGAGCAATTAAGAAACAGTTGGCTGCAATATGTTATTTACAAATGAACACAACAACATTTCTTCATTTTAAATTCTCTTTCTTCGTGATTGTAAGCAAGGCGTAATTGGTGTTTGAGGTGATTTAAAATATTTACTTTAATAGTGTACTTCTTGACATCATATTGAAGCAGACATTGCTATTAAACATTTCTATAAAGAAGAAATACGTTGGATATTATATATTTCCAAGAGTTTGGGTTCAGAAAAAGATGTTTCTTGTCTTTATCATATCATTGTTTAGTTAACAGTAGAGTGAATGTGTGAGCTTTTGAGTCACAGACCTGTGTTCAATTCCTGGCTTTGCTTTTAACAGCTGTGTGGCCGTGAACAACTTACTGAAAGTCTCTCAGTCTTGATTTCCATTCTTAGAAAACTGGTCATTATATGCTTCATTGAGTTGTCGTGAAGACTAAAATGAGATCAAGTATCTAAGGTGCTCAGGACATAGCTAATAGTCATTATGAAAGGGATTATCAGTAGTGCTCACATTACACATTTTGTAGTTAAAAGTATGTAATTTAACTATAAGTAAAATTCTAGGCCAGGCATGGTAGCTCATGCCTGTAATCCCAGCACTTTGGGAGGCCGAGGCAGGCGACTCACGAGGTCAGGAGTTCGAGACCAGCCTGGCCAACATGGTGAAACCCCGTCTCTACTAAAACTACAAAAAAGTAGCTGGGCGTAGTGGCAGGCGACTGTAATCCCAGCTACTCAGGAGGCTGAGGCAGGAGAATCTCTTGAACCTGGGAGGCGGAGGTTGCAGTGAGCCAAGATCAAGCCACTGCATTCCAGCCCAGGTGACAGAGTGAGACTCCGTCACAAAAAAAAAAAAAAAAAGAAAAAAAAAAGTAAAATTCCAAAAAGTATAAAAGGCTCAATTTTATTATGAACTAACAGGAAAAAAAGATTCAGATTTTGAAATAAAGAATTCTGAATCCTGTAGTTAAGAGGTGAGAAAGCACTTTGATTCTCACATATCATTCTTAAGTGAACCACTAATTGATACCACATTTATTCTCAATTGTCTAGCCCAGATGCTTTAGAAAGTACTGAAAGAAGCATATGCAACAAAATATTTTATTATTCCACTTACATGAGGTACTAGAATAGTCTAATTCATACAGACAGAAAGTAGAAAGTGGTTACTAGTGACTGGAGGGAAGGGAGAGTTATTATTTAACATGTACAGAGTTTCAATTTGGGAAGATGAAAAAGTTCTGGAGATGAACAGTGGTGATGGTTATGTAACAATGTGAATATACTTAATGCTACTGAATAATACAGTTAAAAATGATTGAAGTGGTAAATTTTATGCTACACATATTTTACCATAATTTTTTTAAAAACTAAAAAAAAAAACACATGTAAATGTGAACCGCATTTCCATAAGCTTTCTAAGAGATACATATAAACACTTCAAACTTTTGTAAAATTTTATCTTTGTTTTTCCATTCTGAAAATGATGATTATTTGTTATATTAACACTAACCCTTTGGGTTACTTGAACACTTAAAATATAACTCATAGAAAGGCTCTAGTTCTTAAAAAATTATTTTCTAGAATTCTGACTTAAAAGTTTTGTTTTTTTCATTCCATGAAATTGGGTGAGGAAAGCATATTGTACCTACGGAATGTTAATAACATATCCAAGAATGACAAGCCATTTTAATGTCTCAGCAGACAAAATTCTTATTTATTAATTACCTATTCCTTTATCATCAAGATATCAAGTCTACTTTAAAGGGGAAGATGAAAGATCTCGGGCGAAAATTAAGTATAAAAGAAGTAGATGGTTTTATTGTAGTGGAAACATGGTGCTCAATTTTAGATGTTCACCAAATATTTGTTGAATAAATGAAGAAAAAGAGGGAGGGGAAAAGAACAGAAAAGATAGGGAGAATTGATGTCTTGCATTTACATCAGATAGGATAGGAAGAATTCCTGGGATTAAAAAATAGCATTTGAACATTATCAGCCATTTGTTAGCTCTATGTGGCCTTTGTCATATTACCTAGCTCAATTTTTAGAAAGCTTCTGAAATTTTTTAGAAGGAATATATTCCTTTTGAAAACATAATTAATTTTCTGACTGGTTGATATCCATATGGATCTTTTAGACAGGGCTCTTATTCAATGGAATTAGACCACAGAGGTTATACTTATTATTTATAACTGACGTCCTTTCTGATTTGTTGTCCATGAACTGTGATGACTGACCCAACTGTATACATGGCTGAGTATTTTGAATGTTATCCTGCCTGTAAGACAAACTTCTGAGAACCCAGTCCCACCACTGGCCATGTTGGTTTTCTATTTTATATTGAGGACTTGATTCTTTCATTTTTACCTATCATTTCCAACTAATCCCTGGGCTTTGTCAAGTCTTCTTTTCCTATGACTGAACAACCTACAGTCTTCATACCTGCTTAATCTTCTGTTTAATCCATTTGGAACAGTTCTTCTAGATTAATTTTGTAAAGTATTGCTTTTATCAACTCCTTTTTTGAATTTTTAAGATCATAGACTTTCAATAGTTTCCAATTGCTTAAAGCAAGGCATCCTAATTGGGCTGATTGATGTAACTAACACACTTGAGTATTTCAGATCACTAGGAGAGAGAGAGATGTATAGTCACAAGCTAAGGCACATGCCACTTAACTTTTTATTTCTCTAGTACGATAATGATTACTGATGAGAGTATATCCCATATTTAGGTTTATTTTTTCTCTATCAAGTGAATTACAACGTGGGTGGGGGACAAATGAGAACTACTCTCTTACAGGTCAAAGTGATAAGCAAAATTCACCACAATCAAGTGCCAGTTGTTTTTTTTCCAATTATCCCTCCCTATTCCTTTCCCTTAAACCTCAATCTGATCAAATTACTGCACGTTTTTTTCTTCTCCCTTTCATATTCATATGACTTTGCTTGTCTGAAATGTCTTACCATTCCTTTTTAGCTGTCCAAATCCTATCTCCCCTGTTTTCCTTATAAGCATTTATTTATAGGAGAAACTACCTTTTCTTCCCTACTACGAGTGCTACCAACTGGAATAAGAAGCTAGCATTCTCCTAACTCCAAAGGGTACTTTCAAACCATTTCAAACCAGTAGGATGAACTTCTTTAAATAAATAAATAAAAGAACCCATTTCTAATCTGAGGTTATTCAACTTTATTACTGTCTATTCCTTTTAGGTGTTCTTATCCTTCCTTAGGCTTCTGAATCACACTATCCTCTATCTCTCCTTGTTGCCCTCCCAACCTGCTCCCGCTATAGGGTATAAAGATTTTGGGCCGGGTGTGGTGGTTTACGCCTGTATTCCCAGCATTTTGGGAGGCTGAGGTGGGCAGATCACTGGAGGTCAGGAGTTTGAGACCAGCCTGGCCAACACGGTGAAACCCCGTCTCTACTAAAAATACAAAAAACAAATTAGCCAGGTGTGGTGGTGAGCACCTGTAATCCCAGCTACTCAGGAGGCTGAGACAGGAGAATTGCTTGAACCTGGGAGGCAGAGGTTGTAGGGAGCAATTGCACCACTGCACTCCAGTCTGGGCAACAGAGTGAGACTCCATCTCAAAAAAAAAAAAAAAAAAAAAGATTTTTAACACCTAGGTTAAAGTCTTACACTTCATTGGAACTTCTGCCACCATCCCAAGACTTTTCATATTCATGTCAACAGCACATTCAATTCCCTAATCTCACAATTACCCACCTTTTCCAGTCCCAATGACCCCACACTTCAGTTTAGCCTTATATTCTCAAAACATGCTCCAGACGTTGTCAACTTTGACTGTTCCACCTACTGTTTTAAGCCCAGACTGCAAATTCTTCTCCGTAAAGCCCTGGAGGCTTAATTTATATTAAAAGACTGTTTCACCCACTCTAAACAAATCTAGTATGGATCTCTTCTTTTCCTCAGTTTTAAAATCCTTCTTCGCATATTTTCATGTACAATATACAATAACTGCATGGTGTTTTTTGTTATACGAACATACCATAAGTTATTTAATCTTTCCTTTATTGTTGAGCATTTTGGTTGAAAACCAAGAAAATATGAGCTTCAAGGATGAAATAATCAACCATTTCAAGTGCAAAACATTTAAAGTAATATGTATTTATAATAATTTTGAGTAATTTATCTAGATGACACGATGAGATCAACTGGCATCATTTGCTAGATTGAAAAATACAAAAGAAATATATGCATTAAAGTGATGAGAATGAAACCTTTAGAAGCCATGCACAATGGATAACAGATCTGATGAGCCTGAGTTTTTGTTATTTTCCATATTAGGGCCATCGACATTTCATAATTTTGAGTATAATCATTAAATTAATTTCTAATCAAGTAATTATGAGTATTTTGTGCATATGCTTTGCCTTGTTTGCTGGCAATTGATAACAATTTGGTCATTATCAACTGTTCTTTTTTTTTTTTTTGAGATGGAGTTTCACTCTTGTTGCCCAGGCTGGAGTGCAATGGCGGGATCTTGGCTCACTGCAACCTCTGCCTCCCAGGTTCAAGCGATTCTCCCGTCTCAGCCTCCCGAGTGGCTGGGATTACAAGCGCGAGCCACTATGCCTGGCCAATTTTTGTATTTTTAATAGAGACAGGGTTTCACTAAGTTGGCCAGGTTGGTCTCGAACTCCTGACCTCAGGTGATCTGCCTGCGCTGGCCTCCCAAACTGCTGGGATTACAGGCATCAGCCACTGCACCTGTCCTGAACAGTTCATTTTTAAAATATCATTTTTTCCATAAAAAAGAATTAAAAGCCAATTATATTCTTTCTCCCAGTTACCAGTAATATTATCTTTAAGATTAGGTGAACCAAATCTAAACTTATATTATAATTATGATAAAAATGTGTTGTTAAAGTTTTAAATTAATATTAGTAACTCAGAGTCTTAAGCTGTCCTGTCTTTGAAGTTTAGACCCTAAGGAAAAAATATATATATGTTTCAGTTTTCTGGTATTACACTAAAAGGTGAAGAATGCTGCCTTATTATCTTATAACTGATTTGGAAGTCCTATAAAGAAAAATATCAAAAATATTGGGCATTTTCTCATCTAAAAATAAACATGTGTTCATCTAATGAAGAGAAATAAAAACATCTGTGAAAGCAACAATGTCAATCTCTTATCACTTTTAAAACTAGTGACTGGTATTTTATACATTTTTGCCAACCATGAAAAGATCAAATTGTTGGCTTTTATCGTAACAACATACAATGGAATTTGATGGTACATGTCATCATTTTTCCCATTTAAAGTTAATAAAACTTTCATTGTTCCTCTTTTAAATAATCATATATGAAAACATTGAAAGAAGTGTTATAATGGTAAGCCATGTATGAATACTGGGAACCTTGATTTCATCAGTATATAATGTTATTTTTATAATTTGAATAATTTCTCTTTTTAATCATAATCAATCTTTGTAAATTAAATAGTTCTACCATAGGCTATTAATACATTTCAACAAAAAATTTAATTAAATTGAGTTTTAATGTGGTTGCCATACATATGTTATTCACTAGATGATCTCAATTTAAAAACGTAACATTGACCTGTCTAGGACTACAGTTATATATAATTATTTTATAACACCTCATATCAAACTAATTATATACTACAATAGCCTTTATACTTCTCTGCTCTCAGACTATGGTGATTCAAAAGTAGCACATCTGATATTAAACATAATGTAAATTGGGTAATGACAAAATATAAAAAAGGAAGGCAAATTTAAAAATATAACAAAATGTATACAAGCCATCCAATTTAGTTTTTACAGATAAATGCAGTCAGGGAACTCTCAAATTGTTAGTGCTCTTAAAAGAAGCAAATGAAAGGATATTTCTACATTTTTGTGGTACTATTGCTTAAAAGAATGACTTATTTTTATTTCCCCATTTATGAAACGAATGGAGTAAGGAAGGGGTAAGGAAAAGCTAACTAGAACACTACACAGCTAAAACAAGATGGGTCCCCAAATAGTAGGACTATTTGATTGTATAATGAAATGAACAGGCCACAGTAAAATTAAACCAAGAGTTCAGCATGCATAAAATGCATGTGCACTGAGCACATGCACCAGGTGACAATAAGTTTGTTACCAATAAAAAGGAGAATCAGAGCACATCCTCAATAATAGGAAAGAATTTTCACAGTTGTGACCCAACAGTTCTGTACCCCTAAGATAGGCAAATTTGGGTTATGTTGCTAGATATAGCAGTATGAAAGTCAGCAGAAAGGCCTAAAATGGAAGTTGAAAAGAAAAACAAAAACAACAGTCATACAGGAAGCAAAAAAGAGGCAAACAAATCACAAAACAAGACTGGAATAGCTCTATTATTGTGGGTTAATGAAGTCACTGCAATGCAGAGCACATGACTCTTTAGGACTTGATAAGCTATTTGATGTCACCATGAGAATTATTTAAAAGCTGGATATAAATATTTGGGTATAGGAGAATTTTGAGGAAAGTTGACTTTCCTCACTAAAGAGATCCCAGAACTTCTATCTTTTCACAGTCCTCTTTCTGCTTGAACTTCACATTTGACAACTCCAAGTTTCCTATAAGTTTTCTCCTCTAATTCCTGTGATATAACATCACTGTTTTCCTGTTTATTCTTATTTTTAATTCCCTTTCCTCTTCCTAAATTCTACCTAATGCATTCCACAAGCCTCAATTCTTAGACACCATTCTGTACTGTTCACATACTTTTTTCATTAGGTAGAAAATCCTGTCATCTTATAACTATGGATCTAGAACTTTTATCTCCAGTGCTGATCTTTAATCTAAGCTCCCATTCAATAGCTTGGTTTAACAAATATTTGTTGAGTTCTAATTTTGATGTGCCAGAGATTTTGCTGAGTTTGCACCATCGCCTTACAAGATACCACCACATGGAGGTGTCCTAACATCATCACAAACTCCAAAAGCTCCAAACATCTTTTTGTAAGCATAACCGAGTAACCCATTCAGAATGTTTCTTATAAACATCCTTGCTTTTGTTATCATTATAACTATCAATCAGCTTTGCTGAGATAAAAATACAACCATTGCAGTAGGTTGCAAAACAACAAAAGTTTATTTCTTACTCACACTACATGTGAGCTAAGGTTCCCTGTAGCTATGTCCCACATATCTCTTCGTCTCAGCCCTAAGGTTGAAGGAGCAAGCTGGATCTAAGGTATGCCATTCTTTTGCCAGAGGAAAAGACCGAGAACACCTCTTTAAAGCTTCAGTTTGGGTGTGGCATATATCCCATCTGCTCACAACACATAGACAAGCCCCACATCGGTGGGATGAGTATGAATCATCCTTTTTATGAAGAAGGGGAGATGGGATGACTAATTTTGAACAAGAATACAATCCACCCTGGCACATACTGATGTTAATCATCATCTACATTGGTCATAGCAAACATCTTCCAACTTGTATCCCTGTGAATCATTTATCCAGTTGGTAAAAATTTCAGTAGGCCTTTTATGTGTCAGTCACAGGGATATTTTTGAGATATAATTAGACTCATCACTGCTACTCAGGAGCTTCCAATCAAATGAGAGAGATGTAAATAAACAAATGTATCAGTGAGAGAAATGCCTACATGACAAGCATTTAAGAAGACAAAATTAATGTTTTCAGTATTCCCAAATTTTACTTTCTACTAAGATTAGGAAAAGTTGATCTTCAAGTAAAGTCTTGAGGGATACGTAGGAAATAAGACCAATGAGAGGCATGTTAGAGTGAAGAAAAGCATTCCAGGCAGAGGGAACAGCATTTGCCAAAAATCTTTGGGTGATAAGGACACTGCATATTTGGGCAATGGCAAGTGGTTGAATACGACTAAAGCATATTTACATAGGTATAGCAAGAAGTGACATTAGATAAGAAGCAATGGTAAGACCATGGAAGACCTCACATGTCATGTTAAAAAGCAAGGACTTTACATTGTATGCTATGGGAAGGAGGACTACAGGCATGGCAGTAAAATGATGCAGTTTAGTTTGGAATCAAGAGGCTTTTAAGAGGGAAAGTAAAAATGATTTGATGACCAATAGAAGGTGAGATAGGGAACAAGAGGTGGTAGAGAGTCTAGGATGACTGTTTCTCAGGGTTCGATTTCTGGTTGAATTGCAGTACTATTTACCTGAAAAAAAGAAATATAGGACGAGCCAATTTGGGCCACCCGAGGGACATCCAGAGAAGATGTTTAGTATTTAGTATGTGGATCTATATAGATATATATGGATCAGGAGCTGAGAACCCTAGGCACATCATTTAGTCTCCCTGAGTACCAATTTCTTCATCTATAAAACAGATACCACCTGCACATTCTTCTTAACAGAACCATTGCTCATGACATAATGAGACAATGATTGTAAAAACTATTTTTAAGTAAAAAATTCCTTTAAAAATATATTAATATAAAATTATTTTATAAAAGTCACACTGAACTCCTTACCAACCTTCTGTTATTCCCCACTGTCTGCATAATCTAGAGCAACTATCTAATTTTTTCTGTATATGTTATGCTCATTCCTAATTTCAAAATTTCATTCATGTTTTCTTCCCAAGGGTTAGCTGAAGTGTCATTTCCTTGACCTTCAGAGCCTATGTTAACTTCTCACCTGAATACTTATTACTTCTATTTGTGTGTGTGTGTGTGTGTGTGTGTGTGTGTGTGTGTTTTGATGGGCAAAGTCTCCTTTAAATTGAATTTCTTTTTAAATTAATTTATTTAATAGATAATACATGCACATTGTTTAAAATTCAAACACTACAAATGAGTTGACATTGAAGTCTCTCTCCCATGCCTGTCCCTCAACTACTCAGTTCTCTTCCCCCCAGGCAGTAATATCATCAGGTTTTTCATGTGTGATCTTTCCAGAGATCCTTCCAGAGTCAAGAAAATTAAATCAGTGGTTTTCAAATCATGCCCTCGTGGCTCAGGCGACAATAGAAAACACAGGGAAAGAAATGAAGCAGTTGCATTTGTCTAGCTTCCAAAATAGTTGCACTGCCTATATTTTATGTGGGTCTATTTTGCATACTATAAGGGAATACTGAGACAGACTAATTCATTTATTTATTATTATTTATTATTATTATGATTTTTTGAGATAGAGTCTCGCTCTGTCGCCCAGGCTGGAGTGCAGTGGTGAGATCTTGGCTCACTGCAAGCTCCACCTCCCGGGTTCACGCCATTCTCCTGCCTCAGCCTCCCGAGTAGCTAGGACTACAGGCACCTGCCACCACGCCCTGCTAATTTTTTGTGTTCTTAGTAGAGACGGGCTATCACCATGTTAACCAGGATGGTCTTGATCTCCTGACCTCGTGATCTGCCCGCCTTGACCTCCCAAAGTCCTGGGATTACAGGTGTGAGCCTCCACACCCGGCCCCAGACTGACTAATTTATAAAGAAAAGAGGTCAATTTGGCTCATCTGTATGTGGTATCAGCATCTGCTCCGCTTCTAGTGAGGCCTCAGGAAGCTTTTACTCATGGTGGAAGGTAAAGGGAGAGCAGGCATGTCACATGGCAAGAGAGGGAGCCGTTCAAGCTGCCAGACTCCTTTAAACAATCAGCTCTCATATGAATTAACACGAGAACTCACTCATTACTGTGGGGAGGGGACCAAGTCTTTCATGAGGGATCCTCCCCCATGACCCAAACACCTCCAACCAGGCCCCACCTCCAACACTGGGTTATATTTCAACATGAGATTTAGAGGGGACTGATATGGTTTGGCTGTGTCCCCACCCAAATCTCATGTTGAATTGTAATAATCCCCATGTGTCAAGGGTGGGGCCAGACAGAGATAATTGAATCATGGGGGCAGTTTTCCTCATACTGTCCTCATAGATAGGGAACAAGTCTCACAAGATCTGATGGTTTTATAGGGGGCTTTTCCTCCTTTTGCTCATTCTCTCTTGCTTGCCACCATGTAAGACATACCTTTCACCTTCCGCCATGATTGTGAGGCCTCTCCAACCATGTGGAACTGTGAGTCCATTAAACTTTTTCTTTATAAATGACCCAGTCTCAGGTATGTTTTTATCAGCAGCATGAAAACAGACTAATACAGGGACAAACATTCAAACTATATCATATCTCTTTTACATACAGGACTAAGAATTTTGCTAAAATTTTAGTTAGAGGAGGTTCTATTACTAAAGTTTTAAAATGACTGTTCTACACCATTCATTTTATAACTTAATCATATACTGTATGACATTGTTATTATTGTATATAACTGTAAGATCAAAAAAATTATGCAGCAGAAATTAAGAAAATGATGATTTAAGCAAACTTAATTTAGGACTAAGTGTGTGACAGTGCAGAGGTTCAAACAGTATCCTCAACTCATGTCCCACTGCCCAACCCAGGAAAACAGCAGATCATTTCATGCACTCTTGCTTCAGAAGATTTACATGTGATTGTCCATTCCTGGCTTTGTTTTTCTAAAACCTAAGCTCCGAGGCAATATGTTGGTGGAAGGTGGGCAGAGCAGTGTGAGGTGTAAAAGAAGTGGTGTGGGCATAGGATGAAAAGAGAGGAGCAAAGATTCCACATGCCTAAGAAAGAACTGAACATTAGCCTTCTGAAAGGAAGCAATGCAGCATTTGGCATTCCTATGGCTTCTGGGAGGTGGCTAAAACTCTAGGGGTAAGCTTCATGACAGCTGTGGAGAAGATGGGCCTCTAAGTGCTAAGGATATCAGCTCTGGTAAAAATTCCCATTCCCTTAATGTGGCTCAGCAGCCATAGAGTCCTCTAAGGATTAATTTGGAAGGTTCAAACACATCATCTTAGACAATGGACATCTTTTGAATGAAGGCTCCATGAAGGCAGGAATCTCTGATACACTGGCACTAGTTAAGTCCCACAGGAACTCCGTGTAAAGGAGAAAAATCCCCAATAAGGGCTGAGATTGAATTGCCTACCAGCTCAATATATAAGGATTTTGAAATCAGGTCAAACTGAGTTTGAACTCTTCTCCACATAACAGTAATAGTAATAACAGCAATAGCAGTGTGTCCTTGAGGAAGTAAGCTAAGCATCAGAATCTTCATCTATAAAATAGTGATAATATTCATAGGGTTGGTGTAATACTTTCCATAGTTGGTGCACACATGAAGAATGTAAAATGCTTAATGCAATGTTCCACTTTCACTAGGCAATCAAGAAATGGGAGCTATTTTAATCTTATTTCATAATTATTTATTAAGATTCCACTATGATTCTGTTTCATGCCTTATGTTAGGCAGTGTGTACACAATGGCAAAAATAAATAAATACATACATACATACATACATACATACATACATATATCAGACCTATTCCCAAGGAGCTTAGAGCTTACCAGATTTAAAAACCATCATGAACCAATCTAAACGAGGAAAAGCTTCATATTTTGATTTTGTTTTCAAAATAAGCAAAAAAAAATTAGATCCAAATCTGGAGAATCATTTGGTGATTATACTGGGTGATGCCATTTTTGATCAAATCCAGTTGAGATGCTAAAGTAACAAAACAAATATTCTTAGGTGGCTTATTATTTGAACTCTTAAAAGTATTTTTTTAATCAGCAACGCCAGCATCATTAAAATAAATACACATTCCAAGGTGACTACTTTGAATACAGTTATTGAAATGTATGAAATCCTATATGCTTGATTAAAAAGACGTCTCAGCCTGGTGCAGTGACTCATGCCTGTAATCCCAGCATTTTTGGAGGCCAAGGCGGGTGGATCATCTGAGGTCAGGAGTTCGAGACCAGCCTGGCCAACATGGTGAAACCCCATCTCTACTAAAAATACAAAAACTAGCCGGGCGTGGGGGGTGGGGGAGGCACCTGTAATCCCAGCTACTTGGGAGGCTGAGGCAGGAGAATCACTTGAACCCAGGAATGTCTTATATGCATAAGTATACTCTACTGTCTTTGTCCATACCATTGACATACAACCTCAATTCTTATAAATAATGGGACTAAAGGTGCTCATTACTCCACAGAATGTCTTAATTTCTTGGTCGTCCTGGTTAAGTAATATGATTCTATCAAAAATTGGTTTGAAGAAGCTCCTAGTGAGAAAACGAAGGACTATTTGAGCACCAAACCATTTAGTGAGAATAGTTGACCATAACCCACCCATTGAATAAAATAGGAATCCATTACTTCATACTCATATAAATACATGAATAAATAAATAAATGGAAGAGAGGAAAATCTCTTATAGCAAAATGCTGGTAAGTAAATGTAGGAGAAACAATGGAATTAGAAAATCACTGTTGAAGATCTATAGTAATAATTGATTCTGGTAAGAATCGTAATTGGATGCTAAACCTAGCATACAAAAGTTTAATGAGGAAGAAGATGTATACATAGCATTTAAATATCCCCTCATGAGAGACAAATAGTAAGTTGACAGTGTAGAAACCCGAGAGACACTACTTTAATCAAAGTTAACAACATTTATTGGACAAACTGATGACATATGCATCATAATATGATGTATTGAGATGTATTTCTGCTAAAAATGCATAACCAGAATCCAACACTGAAGAAACACTAGCAAGCAAAAATTGAGAAATAATCTGAAAAATAACTAGTCTGTACTCTCCAAAAATATTAGGGTTATGAAAAGTGAAGACAGACTAAAAAATTATTCTAGATTAAAGGTGACTAAACAGACACAACAAACACTAACTACAAAGTGAAATCCTAGTTTGTACCCTGGAAAAGATTTTTTGCTATAAATGACATTACTGGTACAATCAGTAAAATATGAATAGTGTCTATACATTAGCAAATAGTTTTGTACAGATGTCAATTTCCTGATTTTAATATTGTAATAAGATTATGTAGGGCTGGGTGCGGTGGCTCACGCCTATAATCCCAGCACTTTGGGAGGCCAAGGCGGGCATATCACAAGGTCAGGAGATTGAGACCATCTGGCTAACACGGCAAAACCCCATCTCTACTAAAAATACAAAAATTAGCCGGGCGTGGTGGCACGTGCCTGTAGTCCCAGCTACTCGGGAGGCTGAGGCAGGAGAATCGCTTGAACCCGGGAGGCAGAGGTTGCAGTGAGCTGAGCTCGCACCCTTGCACCCTGGGACGACAGAGCGAGACTCTGTCTAAAAAAAAAAAAAAAAAAGATTATGTAAACAATATGCATGCAATATATTGAGAGATAAGGGGGCATAACTTCTGTAACTTTGTGTCAAATGAATAAAATAATGTATATAGAGAAAAATGTATACAGAGAAGAGGAAATAATAATGCAAATTTTTTCACTTGATTAAAAAATGTGAGTGGAGAATATATGGAAGTTCTTTGTACTATTTTTGCAACTTTTCTGTAAATCTGAAATTTTTTCAAAATTTAAAACTTTTTTTAAAGTGGCCTGAATGTAAATGATAGCACAATAAATTTTAAAAATCTTATGCCACCTGGGCACAGTGGCTCATGCCTGTAATCCCTGCATTTCGGGAGGCAGAGGCAGGCAGGAGTTGGAGACCAGCCTGGCCAACAGGGAGAAACCCTGTCTATACCAAAAACACAAGAAAATTAGCCGGGCGTGATGGCAGGTCCCTGTAATTCCAGCTACTTGGGAAGTTGAGGCAGGAGAATCGTTTGAATCAGGGAGGCAGAGGTTGCAGTGAGCCAAGATCACACCAGTGCACTCCAGTCTGGACAACAGAGCAAGACTTTGTCTCCAAAAAAAAAAAAGTAAATAAGAATAAATAAATAAATAAAAATCATATGTCAAAATTGGAAAGAAAGAAGAAAAGGAAGGGAGAAAGAAGGTGGAGAAAGAAAACTTGTGTTTAAAAATAGTATTTAAAAGCCATCAATAGGAATTTCACATACAAAAGAAGCACTGATATTTGATTACATTTTTTCCATACCTGTGAGACAAATGGACCCAAATGTGAAATAAAAATTCTGTATTAAAATGGTATAAATTAAGTTTGGATAGAATATGGAATATATACTGTAGCCAATGGAATTCTTTGGTTTTATATGTCTTTAAATAGAAAATATGGGTTTTTCGTATGTATACCAGATAAAAGGTTATTACCAAAATCCCTGGCATTCAAATTGAAAAAGTAAAAGAAGAAAAATCAAATCTCCTCTTCACTGTTTAAGAATATGACATTATGCCCAGGAAGCATCTACAACACTTCCTTCTATCTGACTTCTGCTTCCATTGGCTCACTGTCCAATGTCAGCCATTGTCAAAGATTCTTAAAACGATTGTTTCTACAACCACACTCATTTGTTTCCAGAAGAGCATCTTATGAAGATCATGAAGATGTAACTCTTCAACAATATAGAAGAGTATATATTTAACTATATTAATTTTAGTATATAAGCACAGAGACATAGACAATATGAAGGAAATACAAATTATCCTGATCACCTTTAATATTCTAAAATATCAAGTTGTAGATTCTAGGGTTATGAGTTGAATAGCAGTTTAGATGGATTGATGGTGAATCCAATATCTACACTTAAACCCTGAAAGTCTCTTTTCCCTCTTCAATTTTCTTTCCTATTTATTATAAGTACAGATTTAAAGACATCTGTCTTTGTGTTTCTTTGCTTTCCTCCTAATTTCTATTGTCACTAATTCTAAGAAAGACAAGCTTCAAAATGTAAGAGGTTTCCTGAGTCACTGTATAAAAATTGTATGCCTATGTATCTATCTATCCACACACTACACTCACTCACATATAATAAAATTATCATGTGATTATGCATAAGTGAGAGAAATGTAAAATGGAGCTAATCTGATCTGAAAATCACTCACTCATATTACTCTAAGCAAACTGCCTCGATAGTTTTTGAATAATACTAACAACAGCATCACAAATGAAAAACTACCATTTTTGAGCACCGACTAGGTGCCAATCACAGTTCTGGGTATTTTACGTACAGTGTTTCACTTAATTTTCACAAAAATCTCCCACACATTCTTATCCTCATTTTAAAGACAAGGGACATAAGCAAGGTCCACACAGGTTAAATAACTTGCCCACAGTCATCAAACTTCCGTCATCAGGTCTAAAGCCTGTCCTCTTTCTACAGTTCAATGAGAGTCAAAAGGTAGGTAGAAGACTCAGAGATATTGCATATTTAATGCTTACCACAGTGTCTGGCACCTAGGATATATTCTGTAACTATTAGTTACATCTTCTTCCCAATTTTTCCTTTCCAAAATGTTAAGCAGAAACAGAAATAGAGGCATTTGATTTCAGAGTAATTCAAAGAGTTACTTTTTTAAAATGATGTTTTTAACCAAAATCAAGACAGGAGAAGGGAAAAAAAAAAGTTTGGCCGGGCGTGGTGGCTCACACCTGTAATCCCAGCACTTTGGGAGGCCGAGGCAGGCAGATCATCTGAGGTCAGGAGTTTGAGACCAGCTTGGCCAACATGGTGAAACCCTGTCTCTACTAAAAACACAAAAAAATTAGCCAGGTGTGGTGGCTGGAGCCTGTAATCCCAGCTACTCAGAAAGCTAAGGCAGGAGAATCGCTTGAACCCAGGAGGCAGAGGTTGCGGTGAGACGAAATCGTGCCATTGCACTCCAGCCTGGGGAAGAGAGTGAGACTCCATCTCGGAAAAACAAAAAGACATACTATACTCAGACTGGTGACCAATCAGTATCAATTTTTGTCTTCTACCAGTAAAGGGAGCACAGCATAGTAGAAACAGAAACGTTGTTCATTCTTCTATTCATCTATATAAGTGCTAACTATTTAATATATGCCAGGCACCATGCTTTGAGAGTGCAACACTAATGAGACATAGTCTCTGTCCTTATGGAGATTAGGCAGAGGATCTTGGCAATTACGAGACAACTGTGCCCAATGTAAAAACTTCTATAACAACTGTAAGGTTGCTTTGTATATTAAATGTACCACTATGTGTTCATGGACAAGTGGATGAGACTGAGTTTCCTAGCCTGCCAAATGAGTACGACGGTTACTTTTAATAAGCATCCTAACATACAAATTAAATAATTACACAACATGCCTGGTATATAGCAGGTGTTTAATAAATAATAGCTAGTATAAAAGCACCATGTAATCTTTGTTGCTTTCCAATAATAATTAATCATGCGATATAACCACAAATATATTTAACTTTCCATAAAAAACCATTCTGGAATGATATATCATTTATTAAATTATTTAAACCTTATTTATACCTATGAAACAAAATTTATCAGAAAGTCCTGAAGAGAAGACAAAAGAAGCCTTATTCTTTGCTTTGATCAGTTTAGCGTCCTTATGAGGATATTTTTTGACTGTGTTCTGGGCAAGGCATTAGCCTAAAATGTTGGTGATCCAAAAAGGAAGTGGGCTGCAGTGCCCACTCTCAAAAAGCTCACCATCTACAAAGTACAGATAACCATCAATAAATAAGTATAAATGCATACTGTGAAAAGTACTTCAAGCAAAAATAATATCAGTGTAGTTTGGGTACCAAAAAATGGGTCAATTCTCCATGGAAATATCAGAAAATGCTTTCAAGAATAGGTCTCATACTAAAAATTAAGCCCAATTTTGTCCTTACATAAATACTCATCATCAGTAATTTCCAAACTATATGGAAATATGACTAAAGTGAGTAAGTTACAGCATATTGTACAATTCAAATGCTAACATATGTACATTTTATATTTACCTGCACAGTTAGTTGATATTGCTTTCTGCCTAAGAAACTTCTCCACCATTTTTGAATAATTGTTACAATCCTGTTTAAATGCCTAGGATAAAAAAAATATGCTTATTAGTATCCTTTCATTGAAACAAGGTCAGTTAAATCTTTGTTAAAATACTCTCCTACAATTCAAGAATTCAAATTCAAAGCCAAGTTTATGTGCACTTTTAAACAGTAGAAAGTTATTGTGGGATAGAATTAATCATTTCTAGAAGTGGAAGAAAACGGCATTGGTAACTATTTGTTATTTCTTTGGGGCTTATTATTACACAATACTTAATTTCAATTCTTCTTCAATACTTACTCTTTAACATATTTTTGAATGTTAAGACTATAAAACAGGTCACAGTGACATGTTGAGAAATAATCCAGGCACTATTGATGTAAATCATTATTAGCAATTAGAAATAATTCATGAGGGCCGGGCGCAGTGGCTCATGCCCGTAATCCCAGCACTTTGGGAGGCCAAGGCGGTTGGATCACCTGAGCTTAGGAGTTTGAGACCAGCCTGGCCAACACGGTGAAACCGCCCCTGTCTCTACTAAAAATACAAAAATTAGCCAGGTGTGGTGGCGGTGCGCGCCTGTAGTCCTGGCTATTCTGGAGGCTGAGGCAGGAGAATCACTTGAACCAGGGAGGCAGAGGTTGCAGTGAGCCGAGATCGCGCCACTGCACTCCAACCTGGGTGACAGAGCAAGACTCTGTCTCAAAAAAAAGAGAGAGAAAGAGAGAAAGAGAGAGAGAGAAAGAATTCATGAGGTTAAGAAATAGTTCTCCTCTTCATTCTTTTCCTGTAATCCTCAGTCTATCCAAGCCAACATCATGTTAGTCTGCTGAATTCAAAAATACTCTATTTGCCACCATGTTCCTTAGTTTATATAGTGGCCAAAAGAGAAGTCTTGTCTTCCAGGCGCCGTGGCTCATGCCTGTTATCCCGGCACTTTGGGAAGCCAAGGCGGGCGGATCACCTGAGGTCGGGAGTTCGAGACCAGCCTGACCAACATGGAGAAACCCCGCCTCTACTAAATATACAAAATTATCCAGGCATGGTGGCACATGCCTGTAATCCCAGCTACCCGAGAGGCTGAGGCAGGAGAATCGCTTGAATCTGGGAGGCGGAGGTTGCGGTGAACCGAAATGGTGCCATTGCACTGCAGCCTGGACAACAAGAGCAAAACTCCGTTTCAGAAAAAAAAAAAAAAAAAAAAGAGAGAAGCCTTGTCTTCACACTTTAAGTTTGCATGTCTAGCTCTTACTAGACAGTATAAGGAAGTTTTATATAGGATAATTCCAGGCCTGATGAGTTATTATGGAGTAGGCATATTTTCCTCTACCTTATCCAGGAAAATATTTTTTAAGAATTGATGGGACACTGAGGGAAAGTTTGGGCACTGAAAAAAAAAAAAAAAGTGAGAAAGAGTTAAGATAGGGACAAATTTCTGTCTCTTTTTATAGTCAGAATGACATCATCCATGCGTCATTTTATTTTATCTACCAACATGGTGGAAAAGATTGAAACTGTTTTCTCTTTTTCCCCCTTTCTTACCAGTCAATGAATTTATTGCTATAAATACAAACCCAGTCATTTGTAGATCCTTTGGAATTTGGGAAAAGGAATCTGAGCAAATGTGTTTGTAATATTGAGAATTTTATTTTATTTTTTTGAGGCAGAGTCTCACTCTGTTGCCCAGGCTGGAACGCAGTGGCACCTTCTCAGCTCACTGCAAACTTCGCCTTCCGGGTTCAAGGGATTCTCCTGCCTGGACCTCCTAAGTACCTGGGATTACAGATGTGCACCACCATGCCCGGCTAATTTTTGTATTTTTAGTAGAGACTGGGTTTCACCTTGTTGGCCAGGCTGATCTCAAACTCCTGACCTCAAGTGATCCATCTGCCTCAGCCTCCCAAAGTGCTGGGATTACAGGAGTGAGCCACTGCGCCCAGCCAATATTGAGAATTTTAAAAAGCAATACAGTCCATATAATTTAGTTTTGGTAAGAAAAGATCAGAAATACTATGTATTTCTTTTAAAAGAAATACATACAATTTATCAACTACATTATGAGTAAAATAAAAAATTATTTGAAATGAGTACTTCATGAATAAATTACATTTTCTAAGGAATATATTTTTATGATATATCTGAGGTTTCCATGACAAAAGCAATATACCTGATATATGCCCGAACTTGACATCCTCGAAACCAGCTTTGGATTTTAACTGCTGCATCATTCTCCTTTTTTCTAAATGGATCTACAACACTAAAACAAAATGTTTAAAAAGCACTTCATTAGTAACTAATATAATTCTAAAGCAAGTCAACCTGTTAAACTTGATTTTTAATTTCTTCCAAGATGATAATTATAAATTCAAATGTCATTTTAAATAACATTAAAGTATAAATAAATAAGGCATTTCAAAAATCATGAGCTATGTTTTGAAAATTAACCTTTCTCTGAGAAGCCATGTGCTTTCAACAGCTTTGCTTTTTTTATTTTGATAATCACCAATTTTACAACTAATTAATTTGCCAGTGATTTTTATTAGGGAGTAAGTAAGAAATGTGTTATTTTGACATTATTTTTAAAACATAATCATTTGAATTTACTGTTTAAATGCTACTACACATGTATCATGCAAGATGAAAATGCTCACATATTTCACTCATTCATCAGTTAAATGAGTTGTCTCTAAGTTAAATGAACCCATCACAGAATGCCTGTTCCATTAATAGCTAGAATTCTCAGAAAGTCTGTTTAATTAAAGGAGGCAAGGGGAGGGCCATAGGGTTTATATAGAGATAAGAAATTCAAGTCAGTGATCCAGATGTGAGACATGTACAATATAGGGAGAATTCACACAAATCAGTAAGACTACATAAAGTGTAGATTAAGTGTAAAATAAACTGTAAAAACCACACAAAACAATATATAAATAGTTGCATTACCTGATAATGAACGGAAGGCACCATGATAAGATTACTATATGATGCAATAAAATCTGCTGGAAATAATTAAGAGTGTAAGACCACTCTAGACAATTAGGAATAGAAGAAAGGAATGATTCCTTATTGTTGTATATTTGTACTGCATGTAACAAACTACAAAAGAGGTTTGAGTAAGGCCCGCTTGGTGACTCATGCCTGTAATCCCAGCACTCTCGGAGGCCAAGGTGGGCGGATCATCTGAGGTCAGGATTTCGAGACTAGCCTGGCCAACGTGGTGAAACTCCGTTTCTACTAAAAATACAAAAATTAGCCAAGCGTGGTGGCGGGCTCCTGTAATCCCAGCTACTCGGGGGCCGAGACAGAAGAATCGCTTGAACCCGGGAGGCAGAGTTTGCAATGAGCTGAGATAGCGCCATTGCACTCCAGCCTGGGCGACAGAGCAAGACTCTGTCTCAAAATAAAAAAAAAAATTTTAAAAAGAGGCTTGACTAAAGTGAATTCTGGCATCATATTATTGTCCTCCATGTGGGAGGGAGAACAGCTTAAAGTCCTTTTCTCCAGAGAACTTTCCCTGACTTCCCAGACTACAATTAGGCCTTTCCATGTTACACTCTGATAGCTTCATAATATTTGCCACAATCATATTTAAAAATTATTTAACGATGGTCTCTTCCACTAAACTTGAAACATCGAAGGAAGTAGTCTTATCTATTTTGTCCTATACTGTATTCCCCATGGCCTCAGGAGAGATCATTGGTATTACTCCTAACACTCAACTTTGTCTTACCAAAGGTGCTACCTGAGGGAGAAACATGCCTGTTGGCATATTCCATCCCGGTGAGAAATGCCACTCACAGGCTTCCCTCACTAGATCTACTCCCAACATTGAAACCTCTCCCTACTTTAGGATGACATAGTTGCTGAGAGCCCATGAGTGCCTCTATCTTCTTAGTAACTTAACCCCTGGGTGATGATGGGAAAAAGACAGGCAGACATGAAAGGAGCTGTTGAGAGAAATAGAAGGAAATAAATACGTTTTACTAAATAAAACCTTATATGTCAGGCACTGTTTCTAATATTTCACATATCAGTGAATTAACTCATACATAATCCTTTCAATACCCCTCTGAAGAAGAGAATTATTATCCCCATTTGACAGAAGAAGATACCACTGTGGAGAAAGCATAGTCATATGCCCAAGGTCACATCTTTAGTAAGTGTCACAGCTGGCATTTAATCCTTGGTAGTCCTGCTCTAGAGGCTGGTTTTTTTGTTTGTTTGTTGGTTTGTTTGGGTTTTTTTGAAACAGAGTCTTGCTCTGTTGCCCAGGCTGGAGTGCAGTGGTGTGATCTCGGCTCACTGCAATCTCCGCCTCCCGGGTTCAAGTGATTCTTCTGCCTTAGCCTCCGAGTAGCTGGAACTACAGGTGCACGCCACCATGCCTGGTTAATTTTTGTATTTTTAGTAGAGACAGGGTTTCACCATATTGGCCAGGCTGGTCTTGAACTCCTGATCTCGTGATCCACCCACCTCGGCCTCCCAAAGTGCTGGGATTACAGTTGTGAGCCACCGTGCTCAGCTCAGAGGCTGGGTTTTTAACCATCACTGCTTCTAAAGGGGAAGAGAGTAAGAAATGAAAAGAGCAGAAGAAAGGGAAAGTAAAATGGAAGAAAAGGAAAACGCAAAAAAAATTCATGTAATCAATTTCTAAATATAATATGGAGACTTTGTGGGAAAAGGTAGCACCAATCTCCCTAAAACCATAAAATAAACTGAGAGATGAGTATTTGAAATGATACAAACATCTATAGCAACATCCCAAAATTTCAGACTATACCAAGTGTTAGTGTTAAGAATTCATATATATTGCTGCTAGGAAACAGTTTGGACTTTGAACAGATACAGAATAATTTTATTTACATAAGTAAAAACCTCACAAAACTTTAGGGATGTTCACTAAGGATGTATACACATGTAGTAGAATTATAATGAGAATGATAAAACACAAATTTCAAGACAGAAATGAAGGATGGGGGAAATGAGGAGATTAATAGTTGAAGCCAAGGCAAAAGGCCTTGGTTTTCAGAGTTTTATGCATAATATTAAGGAATTCTAGACTCCCTGATTATCAACATTTTGACCATGGAAACACATATCTCCAAAGTTTGATAATCTCTGTAAAGATTTACAGTAAAAGATACTAAATAACAACAATTATTTAAAAAAAAGGTCCAATCATAAGATACAAGTATAGTGCAGTGTCATAGAAGTTAATGGGAAGGCATCAGGATGGGAGATCATGATTAAGCAATGTTAAATACTGTGCAGAAGTCATGGAAAACAAGGTCATTATTCAACTGGTTGCAGGGTTAGAAGGAATTTTTCATTTTTCTTTTAAAATCTTATCCTGACCAGTAACAAGATGGGATAGTGGAACAAAGACACTGTCATTAATGGCCAACATGGAAAAGATACAACAACATAATGTCCAGTAGAGCAGGCAACTCAAAGAAGATAGAATGTGGAAAAAATAAGAATAATTTCATTCAATAAAGCTAATGTGCAATAAAATTCATGATAATAGAATAGAGCTGTTTCTTATGGTTATTTAAACCTTTTACCATTAATATTTAACAAACTATACCAGATTTGTTTTTCATCTTCTTAATATAGTCCATTTAAATTACTGAAAACATTTGTTTCTCCTTTCCCACCAACAATCAACTGGCTACCTTTATAAAAATGGAAGAAAAATATGAGTAAGGCACATAGACACATCTAATGCTTCTTTTGAAGTTACCATATTAGTTATTAATGTATTTGTAGGAACTCACCCTTTATTTATAATTGTCATTAGAAATGCAGAAGAGAAGCAATCAAATTAACTGTTTTGGGTTTATGTTTTTTAATCTCTCCTGCTGACACCAGTCAAGTAGAAAATTAAATAATTTCTTTTTGGGATATTATTATGTGTATATATACAAGCATATGTTATATTAATAAGAATTATACATTGCAATTAAAAGGAAGGAGGCACTAAAAATTAACTAGTAGTTAACTTACTACTAAACTTTAACTTATGTGCTAAAATTTGACTTCTATACATGTTTCTCTGTTGCCCTTTTTTTAACTGCTTAAAAACAAAATTTACAGATGCTGGGTTACCGCTGGGATGCTGAATACTCATACAATATGTCATGAACTGCTAGACATTTTATGTTTAAAATGAAAAATGTGGGTAACACTTTATTTTAATGGTATATTAATTAGTTCCAAATTACAATGAAAATCCTATAGCAGTGAATAAAATATGACATCTACATGAATTTGAAATAAATTTATTATGATCAGTATTATCACAATGAATACTAAATGAATTAATAATGATGAAAGACCAAAAGTATTACCAGTAATGTAATAAAACATCAAGAAATAACTGGAAGTTTCCAGTCACTTCATCATCAACTAGAAATAAGTACTATAACCCTGGATAACAGTATATTCATGTATATCATTAGTGGCCAGAAATGAACTGACAATAAGTAGAAAATGAAAAAAAAATGTGTAGTTAAATATCTTTCCAGTAATATGCAAAAAATATGCATTTTACACATCAACAGACTGTGCTTAGTCTGACCCATGTATATTACCTATGAATAAATACTAGATTAAAAACTCAATACTCTTTCTTTTTCATTATCATATAACTTGTAACTATTTTAGACAGTGGGAATAAAATTCCATTATTAGCTGCCCTGTGCTGTCAGATATGTTGATGTGTAAAATGATTATTGTTTTGCATATAATTTCACTACTACGTCTTAAGGATTTCATGCTCCTTAAAGGCAGAAACTATAGTATACTTAATCTATATTTTGTGTTCTGATTATCACTCATGTGCCTAATAACAGACGCTTGATGATGAGAAATAGGACTATATTTTAGAACTAGAACCTATGTTTTATATTTCATTAGTAGTCCTCAACATTATTATTATTTCACAGCTCAAGGAATAGTGGGTTGCAAATGCATTAGTATTTGATCATATAGTAGAAGTTACCATAGTTGGTCGAATGTTAAATACTGTGCAGAAGTCATGGAAAACAAAGTCATTATAATTTAGAACTAGAACCTATAATATTAGTGCATTCAAAAAGATTTTGTTTCCTAGCTGTGTGCGGTGGCTCACACCTGTAATCCCAGAACTTTGGGGGCCGAGGTGGGCAGATCACCTGAGGTCAGGAGTTCAAGACCAGCCTGGCCAACATGGTGAAACCCTGTCTCTACAAAAATACAAAAATTAGCCAGACATGATGGTGGGTGCCTGTAATCCCAGCTACTTGGGAGGCTAACGCAGGAGAATTGCTTGAACCTGGGAAGCAGAAGTTGCAGTGAGCTGAGGTCGTGCCATTGCACTCCAGCCTGGGCAACAGAGTGAGACTCCATCTAAAAAAAAAAAATTATATATATATATATATATAGAGAGAGAGAGTTTCTTTTTCTTCCTCTTCCTCCTCACTTCTCTTTACCTCATTTCCTGAACAATTAAGTCTCAAGGGCCTTGGAAATGGGCAGGAAAAGTAGGGCACTGTGCTACAAAGGGTGTGGGAGGAGGAAGTCACAGTGGCTCAGCATGAGGCGTCAGAGCCTGTGTGGGGTAAGGTGAGCATCCTCAAGTGGGGGCTGCCTGGGGTAAGATGTCATAGTCTGAGCTTAGCAAGGACAGTGTGTCCCATGGACAGAAGGCCTGGCTTTGGGGTGTAGAGGGAAGATGAAAAAAGAATCTGCACATGAAGGTAGCCAGTATAGAGAATCAGAGCCCAAGAGTGATGAGGGAAACATCCAAGTTGGTGGGGAGGCGATGGTTCAGCATGAGGAGGTAGAGCCCGCACTGGGTCTAAGAGAAGAGGCAGTTGTGGTGACAATAGTTTGGTTACATAAAGAGGATCTGATCAGATAAGTAAATATTCTAAAGATAATGGGAGCCAGGTTTCTCTCTGTCAGAAAAGGTAAGAGAAAAAAACTAGAATGAACGTATTGTGCTGAATCTGAAATAGAGTAGTCAATGTGAACTCATGAATTTTAATATATATGTTCATCAATAGGTAGAGAAATAAGTATAGATGTAAAATGTGTACAGATGTGTACAAACACATATTCCTTTGTTCTTTCCACTGAGAGGTCCAGAGAGCAGCAACATAATAGCAATGTGCATCCACTGAAAGAAACAAAGGCTCTTTGGAAAAATGGATGGTTCTAGGGGCTGGCAGGAAAAGTACAAGATAAGCCTCTGTTATTCATCCGTTTTCACACTGCTATAAAGATACTACACAAGACTGGGTAAGTAAATAAATAAACCTCCTTATCAATAAAGGACGTTTAATTGACTCACAGTTCTGCATGGCTGGGAGCCCTCAGGAAACTTACAATCATGGTGGAAGAAGAAGCACACATGTCTTACATGGCGGCAGGTGAGAAACAGCATGCAAAGCAGGAACTGTCAGACACTTATAAAACCATCAGATCTGGTGAGGACTCACTCACTTTCACAAGAACAGCACGGAGGAAACCGCCCCCATGATCCAATCACCTCCCACCAGATCAGCCCTTCAACACGTAAGGATTAGGGGGATTTCAATTCGAGATGAGATCTGGTGGGGACACAGAGCCAAACCATATCAGTCTGCAACTTTTTGTGTGTCAAGAAAAAGCAAGGAAAAAGCAAGGAAAGCATTAGAACAATGAGGACACAGAAGGAAGACTGAAGTGGCTCTCACTAGCCAAATCCGGGACAATATTAGCATGACTATAAATAAGAGTGACAGATTTTAACCCACTGAATAAAATAGGAAACTATGAGTCTATACTTATTTAAATAAATAAATAAATTTTAAGTTTGATGAGGAATAGGATACATACATAGTTTCAAATGATCTGCTTTTTAAAAATAATTATAAATTACAAAGGAAAAAAGAATATTCCAGTAGAGAAGCCTAGCAGATAACAGCTTTATCAAGTGATCTAAATGAATATTGTCAGTCATGGGACAAGTCAAAATCAGGTAGTATCTGGTAGGATGCATTGAGAAGATCACAGTATCACTTCTGTGATAGTCCTGCCTGGGGTGCATAATCTGAATCTAATCAAGGGGAAAAATCAGACAAACCTAAATTAAGGGAAATTCTAAAAAATTACTGATTTGTAATCTTCAAAAGTGTCAAGGTCATGAATATCAAAGAAAAACTGAGAAAATGTACCATATTAAAGATAACTAAAGAGACAAGACAAACAGGATCCTTTTGCTATAAAGAACGTTATTGGAGCAATTTGGCAAAGCTTGAATGGAGTCTGAAGATTAGATGGTAGAAATGTGCCAATGTTAATTTCTTGATTTTGATGGTTGAATTGTGGTTATATAGAGAATGTCCTTGTGTGTAAAGAATTTGGGGCACAATGGGACATCAGGTTGCAACTTACTCTCATATGATTCAGGAAAAAATACCCTTGTATTATACTTGTTATTTCTCTGTAAATTTGAGATTGTTTCAATAACTTAAATATATATGTGTATGTGTATGCATCTAATAATTTTTAAATTTCAGATACTGTGTTTTTAATCTCTAAACATTTATTTTGCTTCTTTTTAATGTCCCATTAACTCCTTATTATCTTCATATTTTACTTTTAAGTCCTTAAGCATATTTTAAATAGCTATTTAAAAATCCTTGTCTTGATTATTCTGTCATCTTTGTTTTCTGGATCTGTGTCTGTTGATTGATTTTTTTTCCCTCCTGATTGTGGGTCACAATTTGCTACATTTTTATAATACTACCAATTTATGAATAGATGCTAGACGCTATGAATGTTACACTATTGAGAGTTTGAATTTTGTTCAGAGATTGCCTCCAAAAGAAAGCTGGGGTAATTGTCTTGTTAATCTCATTTGCTGATCTTTCTCCTTGAGATCAAATCTTGCATTGCCTACTGTATCAATACCTAAAAATAATTGTTCATATATTTTGTTGAGTCTTCTAGTCCTTCACGGTCAGAGGACAAGTTTTGTACTAGTTAAATCTTCCACGGCCACTTATTTTCTATGTTTAATTTTGTTTTCGAAACAAAATTTTTGCCCTAGGACAAACTTTCTCCATTTATCTACTGTTTATTTCACAAATAAGTACCTGATTAACCGATGCTCAATATAAAATGTTAAATAATACAGAAAAACATAGAGAAAAAAGATTCTATTTCAACCTCACTTTCTTTCAATTTTTAAAATTTAACCACTTATTATGTGTAATTCCAGATCTATCTAATTCCAGTTTTGTATCTCTATGTATTTTTACATTTGTTTTACATAAAAAACACTAAATGTATTATATATTTTCTATAATCTGGGCTTTTCTTATACCTTATTTTGTCTCAGAGATTTTGTTCATGTCATTATGTATAAAATGTTTCACTCTTTTAAACTGCTATTTATTTTCCCTCATATGCTTGTCTTTATTTAGCCATAGTAGTTGCAAATAGATACAAGTTATTTACAGTTTTTATTTTTATTTTTTCCCTATTAGGAATAATACTTTAATGAACGCCCTTGTACATAATCCTGTATATAAAATACTCTTACACACAACTTATGTACACATAAGAGCATTTTTATGAGGCCAATAGAAAAAGTGACAGTTCTGAGTCAAATGACATGCATTTTGATGCTATTAAAAATGGTATTGCCAAAGTCTTAAATTATAATTGTCCATTGCTGTTATGTAAAGACTACTGTATACTGCCCTTGCATCCTGCGAACTTGTTAAGTTCATTTATTACTTCTAAATCCTTTTTTGTATGTGGTATAGAGTTTTTTACACATATAATTATGCTGTCAGTAAATAAAGACAATTTTACTTCTTCCTTTGCAATTTTTATGCCTTTGATTTGCTTATCATTCAACATTTAAAACTAGTAAGAAAAGGATGGACTATTTAATAACTGCTGTTGAGACAACTGTATTCTATAGAAAAAGTTAGGCCTCTATCTCACACAATACATGCACATAAACACAACTGCACATAGACTGAAGGAAAAATATAACAAAACTTTTTAAATATTATAAATAAATTATAAATAATTATAAATATTATAAATAAATATAATCTTAGGTTGGGAAAGACTGTTCCAAGAACAACTCAGATTGCTAAAGTCAGATGAATAAATTTACTAATTTGACTATAAAAGCTTAAAATAAAACTGATAGAATGGTTGATGGCCACGGCAAAAACCTGAAACATTATGGTATTGGCTTTGGGACTGGGGGATGCGTGAGAAGGTGAGGAAGATGCACATGTCATTGAGAGACCATACATGTGGGTCAGAAGAGTGGTGAAAAAATTGATATTAGAAGCTGGAAAAAGAACCTCTATTATGTGAGAGTGGGACAATTATTATAGCAAGACTATTGCCTATGATCACTTGGAAGACTGAAAATGTACAGTGAACTTTTGAACTTGCCTAAGGAGATATCTAGAAAGGACATTAAAGTACCAATCGCATTCTTCCAGCTTAATTTGTTTTACTTCTTCTAGATTAATTTGTCTTAATTAAATATAAGGTAAATCACAGTAACATAATGCTTATTTAATTTTTAATTAAATGAAAATTATTGTAGAATTGCTCATTGTTGTCTCTATTATTTCTTTTGCTCTTCTTCCTCTATCTTGAGATCTTTGTTCCAATTTAATTTTTACTTGATTACGGCAAGTACTTTCTTGAGTACATTTCGTCAGGTAGGGTACATAGATGACATAACTAGGAGTCTTTACATGTCTGAAAATGTCTTTCTTTCATCCCAATCCCCAAATGAATCTTTGATAGAATTCTTATCTGTGGTCTTGAATCATTAGTAATTATTGTTTTTGTGTCTTTTGGGTTCCTGTGTTGAGCAGAAAGGGCATTCATTTCCTTGGCAAATAACTATTTTTATTTTCTGTCCAGAATAGAATCTTATGAGATTATTTTTCCTGTATTCTTGGAAGTTCACCAGATAATATCTAAGAAGTAGGTGTTAAAGGAAATTCTATATAGGACTCAGATAATCCTTTCTATTCTAAGCCATACTCTTTCTTCAGTTTAGAAGTTTTCTTCTAGGGTATTTCTTTATTATTATTCTATCTCTTCCCCACTCCCAGTCAGAATTCTGCAGTAACTATTATTCACATAACAAGTCCTCTGGGTATGTCCTCCATATTATTAATCTTATTACTCATGATTTCTATTCACATGTGTTTATGGATATTTCCTTTATTTGCCTTCCTAACATATTTATATTTCAGTAGTGACTATTCTAGTTTTTAATTCATCTATTACATTTTTAAATGGAAAATTATTATTTTTAAAAATTGGTTACAGTATTTTTTTCCTCTAGTTTTATTTCTGTAAAAGTTCACATTACATTTTTATTGAAGTTTGTATCTATTTCATCCATTAGTTCTAACTCCATAGTAGCCATCTGTTCTGGTTTCTTAGCTTAATCTCCTTCCTCCAAACTAACATTTCCTTAAATGTCTTGTGAAGTTTATCTGCCTATTTAATAGATATTCAGTTGTTTGATACATATACAGGGCTTTCTGCTCAGGTTACTTGGGCAGTGATAAACTGATAAGACAGTAAAAGGTACTTTCAATTTTCTTTTTCCCCATCAATGAGCCAGCAGTGAACATGTTGGCAAATAGGGATCTGTCTTTCAGGGCATGGTAAATAGACAGAATTATTGTGCAGTTTTGTTTTGCTTTTGAATTAAATGGAACCATCTCTATTGTATTCCAGCAGCACATCTAATGTTGGCTGTTGGTTTTAGAAACATATTCTTTATTATTAAAACACTTATTTCTTTCATAAACATATTTTAAAACAAACACTGCAGAACTTTATCTGACTGAAGTTTGGACAGGTATATACCTATGGAAAATTACTGAGTTGTACACTTCACACAGTTTATATACTTAATGTATATAATACAGCAATAAAAATTTTTACGTTTTTAATGAAAAAAGAAAAATATTTAGGAATAGCCAAAAAATTTTTCAATTACCTTTTCGATATTCACTGAGTCGATCATATGTATTTTATACTTTACCCTTCTGTTGTGATTTCCTATTATAATTATGAATTTATTGGGTACTTACTAATATACCAGATGATCATTTAATCTTCTTAGTTAACATATCAATAGGCATTATTATCCCTGTTACAGATGAGAAAACTAATATCTAAAGAGTTTAAGTAAGGTAAGAATATAAGTTTAAAAGTTTACATTTAAGCCTAAAGTAATACAGAGTTAGGATTTGAACTGTTGCACTTTGGCAAAAATCTTCCTTGTGTATTTGGAAGAAGTTTTGCTAAGTTTTATTGGTCAGAATTGAGTACACCTGTAAGAAAAAATTCAGTAATTAATTAGAATCAGGGGAAGGGACTCACATCTATTCAACTAAGCTGCTATTTATTTAGGCTAATAGGACTAAGAGAATTTTTCAAATTCAAGGACACTGAACAAAATTATTAGACTAAGGATACAGGAGGAACTACAGTCAATTTACTATGTCAGAGTCAGAAACAAATTTATTCCGTTTATAGGAATAATAGATCCTGAAATCAGGACAACTTAAGGAACATTATACCTCAGGTTGCTACAGGGTAATGAAGTACGTGCAAATCACCAATCTTGAACCATAGAGTAATGTACCCCTGCTTTCTTTTTCTCAACCTGATCTTAGAAAGGCAGGTTAGGGCTTATGTATTTGATGAACTTAATTCCCGGCAGAAACTTAATAATTTAAAGATCCCCCTCTCCCAGGTATAAATGTGGACTGAAACGGATCAAACGTCACTAGATCTTTGATCTTCTTTATATTTGGCAAGTAATATAGATGGTCTGAAACTCACATTCCTTCGTTGTAACCCAGGAATAAGAAAAATAACCTTATAAGATTATTGTAAACATCAAATAAAATAATGTTTGTGAAAGCAGTGCTCAGCATGTAGTAGATATTCAATAACATTTATTTCTCTATTTCTTTTTCTCTATCCCCATGCACTCCTCAAGCCCCCTTTCAGATAGTAAGAGATGTGGACATTTGACAGTTGGTCTATATAGCATGTCTCTAGAGAACTTCTTGCCCTCTTCCTCAGCCACTGGTTTCTCTGTATTCTCCAATATACTTTTCCCTTCAGCGAAGCCAATTAAAAAAGATTTTACATATATCTGGCTGATTTCTTCTTACATATTGTTAAAAAACTTATGTGTTTTAAAAATTTTTAAGTGTTATTTACTTGTTTCATTGACACAAGCAGATTTGATTTAAATTTTGTTCAGCAAAAACTGGCACCAAAAAGTTAAAAGATGGAAGTGGAGGAAGAAAGTAGAAATGGGAAAAATAAAAGCAAAATGCTTTATCCAACTTAAAAACAAGTCAAAGGGGCTGGGCCCAGTGGCTCACGCCTGTAATCCCAGCACTTTGGGAGGCCGAGGTGGGCAGATGGCTTGAGCCCAGGAGTTCAAGACCAGCCTGACCAACATAGCGAAAACTCGTCTTCACTAAAAATGCAAAAAAGAAAAAAAAATTAGCTGGGTGTGGTGGCAGGTGCCTGTAATCCCAGCTACTCAGGAGTCTGAAGCAGGAGAATCTGCTGAACCTGGGAGGCAGAGGTGCAGTGACCTGAGATCACGCCACTGCACTCCAGCCTGGGCAACAGAGCGAGACTCCCTCTCAAAATGATAATAATAATAATAAGTCAATAATAATAATAATAATTTTGTTCAGTGTCCTTGAATTTGGATAATCCTCTTAGTCCTAACCACTTAGGAATATATTTTCTCAACAAAGTCATCTTTCAACTTCAGCATTATTCTGATGCTAGCCATTAGGAAGAAGCATTTCTGTCCCTACCTTGTTACCAAAACTGAAGACATTGAAAGTCAAAGGTTACTTTTTTATTTATTGTTTTTATAGACAGAAGTCACATCATGTCACTCCTCTGCTGAAAACACCCTTTTTTTTTTTTTTTTTTTGAGACGGAGTCTCATTCTGTCGCCAGGCTGGAGTGCATTGGCACGATCTCGGCTCACTGCAACCTCCACCTCTAGGGTTCAAGTGATTCTCCTGCCTCAGCCTCCCGATTAGCTGGGATTAAAGGCGCCCACCACCCCATGCAGCTAATTTTTGTATTTTTAGTAGAGACGGGGTTTCTCCATGTTGGCCAGGCTGGTCTCGAATTCCTGACCTCGTGATCTGCTCGCCTTGGCCTCCCGAAGTGCTGGGATTACAAGCCTGAGCCACTGCTCCCGGCGTCAGTCCACTCTTTTTAAGGCTTGCAACTTGGAGGCTTCATCTGCATGATAAAATGATAAAAACCAGGTCTCCCCAATCCCGTTATCATAACCCAGACATTCCTCATTTCTTTCTACTGATAATAACTCACTCAACCACTTGCCAATCAGAATTTGAGTCTTGCTCTGTTGCCCAGGCTGGAGTGCAATGGTCCGACCTTGGCTCACTTCAACCTCTGCCTCCTGGGTTCAAGTGATTCTCCTGCCTCAGCCTCTCGAGTAGTTGGGACTACAGGTGCGCACCACCACCCCTGGCTAATTTTTGTATTTTTAGTAGCGACAGGGTTTTGCCATGTTGGACAGGCTGGTCTGGAACTCCTGACCTCAAGTGATCCACCCACCTCAGCCTCCCAAAGTGCTGGGATTATAGGCGTGAGCCACCATGCCTGGCCAGAAAATTTTTAAATCTACCTAAGACCTAAAGGGCCCCCACCTTGTGGAACTAATATAAACCTTACCTGTATTGATGGATGTATTATGTCTCCATAATACATATGTATAAAAGCAAGCTGTACCTGGACTGCCTTGGGCACATGACATCAGGGCTTCCTAAGGCTGTGTCATGGGTGCATCCTTAACCTTGGCAAAATAAACTTTCTAAATTGACTGAAGCCTGTCTCAGATATTTTGGGTTCACCCACACTATAGAAACACAGTGGAAGAGGAACATTCTAACTTATTCCTATTAGAATTTGACAGATTTGATGAAATTTAAATAAGAATATGGGGAAAATGAACAACATGATCAATAAACATATACTGAACTCTTTTCTCCACAAAGTACAGTGTAGTGTATAGTATAAATGACCAATAAGTCACAAAGAAAATCTCATAGTTTGGAAGAACAGAAATGAAGCTAGGAATTACTAGAGAAAGTTAACAACAACAACAACAACAACAACAACAACAACAACAAAAAGGCCAATACTCTGTCAAGTGACAATGGAACTGCCACTGGAAAACTGTAACTGAGACAGTGAAAGAGATCTGACCTAACCAACTCCATCTTGCTTCTAACCTTCAAGCTGTCCTCGTTCATTCCTGACATAGGCTGAACTAACTTTGCCAGGAACTTAGTTTATAGTTTAAAACAAAGATGATAATAGGCCTTTCCCAAGGCAAACCCCCTTCTTGCCTGGGGACTAGACTGCCTTTGTTGGAATAACAAATTAGTTAAAAGATTAGAAATTATGGTTTGGGAGTCACGCAGCTGGAGGCTATAAGATTCTGACCCTCCCTAAATGGCTCCTGGGGATAATATCAGTATTGTAAAACCTAAGATCAGTGCTAGAGATATTTTGCAGATGCTGCACTTGATGGATCAGCTGGCACCACCCAGATTGATAAACTGGCTCTGACCTTGTGGCCCCCACCCCAGAATTGACTCAGTGCAAGAAGACAGGTTCCACCCTCTATGATTTCATCTCTGACCCAACCAATCAGCCCTCCTGACTCACTGGCCTCACACTAACCCATCAAATCATACTTAAAAACTCTGATCCCCTAATGCTCAGGGAGACAGATTTCAGTAACAATAAAACTCTGGTCTCCCACACAACCGGGTCTGTGTGAATTATTCTTTCTTTATTGCAATTGCCGTCTTGATAAATTGGCTCTGTCTAGGCAACAGGCAAGGTGAACCCACTGGGAAGTTACAACAACTGCCTACTATCTTTTGTTCACCTTATGTCCAGGACAAAATTTTCAGTCTCTTTGATGGGCTGGCCAAAACATAAACACACACCAAACATTCCCTGTGGGAGCAACTTTCCAGAGTATTATGTCAGTCGGGCAACCCACACTCCTCCTATTCTTTGTAGTTCAAAATCTCCTCCTGTATTTGCTGCTCACTTCTTGGAGTTCCAGATCCTTCCTCTTTGTTAGGCAGAGGAGCTTCTCGTTTCCACATTGGACTTCCAGGCCTCACAGGACTCAGATACTAACCTAAACACTTAGGAATGTATTTTCTCAACCAAGTCATCTTTCAGCTTCAGCGTTATTCTGATGCTAGCCATTAGGAAGAAGCCTTTTTGTCCGTACCTTGTTACGAAAACAGAAGACATTGAAAGAAACCAAGGAGACTTTAAATTGTTTCCCACAACTCTGTTCCCTACATGTTAACGGATTTGGGACAGTACACTCAAGCCATTTGGACCTCTGGATCTTGGTGCTTGTTGCAATTTAATTAAATCAGCTTAATGGGAAGAAAATTTTGTTTAGTGACAGTGAACAGCGGAGGTTTTAGAGTTAGATTAGTTGGCTCTGATAATTCATAATTGACCTCAAGACATCCGCCTGCCCTGGCCTCCCAACGTGCTGGGATTACAGGCCTGAGCCACTGTGCCTGGCCAATTAATTGTTTGTTTGGCACTTCATCAGGCTTTTCTAGAACATTGTTCTATAGCTCTAAAAATATAGATTATCTAATAAATAGATAATTTCTACATTAACTTATAACATTGTGATAACCAAGTGAAATATCATATGTAGTTGTTCCTGGTGCAATCCCTCATATATAATCAGTCCTCAAAAAATACTGGTTGTTTCCCTTTCTGTCCATGTTACTCTATTGTTGTTATTATTTATTTATTTATTTATTTATTTATTTATTTATTTGAGACAGAGTCTTGCTCTGTCGCCCAGGCTGGAGTGCAGTATTGCGATCTCGGCTCACTACAACCTCTGCCTCCTGGGTTCAACTGATTCTCTTGCCTCAGCTTCCAGAGTAGCTGGGACTACAGGCGTGCACCACCATGCCTGGCTGATTTTTGTAATTTTAGGAGAGACAGGGTTTTGCCATGTTGGCCAGTCTGGTCTGGAACTTCTGCCCTCAAGTGATCCATCTGCCTCTGCCTCCCAAAGTGCTGGGATTACAGGCATGAGCCACTGAGCCCAGCTAGTATTGTAATTATTTTTTAAAAGCCTATATTCCATACAAGGATGTGAACATCATGATGGATGGGGCTTATTTCATTTATATATGTCATAAATACAGCACCTGCCACATACTCTAAATAAATAGATAATTTCTATGTTTAGCTATTGTTAGTATGTTTACTTAAACCAGGGCTACAGATTTATTGAAAAATTCATTAATGTGAGTCTTCAACAATTATTGTGTTACTATTATTTGTATGGGGCTATCATAGACGTTGGAGACAAAAATAATGGTGAGCAAAATAAGAGACACTGTCTCTGCTACTAGTTTAAGAGGGGAGATAGATATTATCTCATAAAAGAATGTAAAATTGAATTGTGATCAGTGCTGTAAGAGAGGTACGTTGTGAAATAATGATGTAGTAGGTGAGATAAACGTTAGAATAAAAGCAGCTCAGCAAGACCCTATCTCATTGACATATTTTCCATTGGTCTGTCATGTCACTGTATTCCATAATAGTCTAATTCACTTTTTTGCAGTTTCTTTTAAGTTACAAAAACTCCTGGGGCAATGCTTCTTTAAAATGAAACTCTTCCTGGGCAAGAAGTTTGGCTGTAGGGAGATGAAGAAGACTGCTAGTGGTTTTCTTACCCGTTATCTATTAATTAATATATTGGTACTAGTTACCGTGTCAGAATGGTTTAGACACTTTCATTTTATTTTATTTTATTTATATTTATTTATTTATTTATTGAGACAGGGTCTTAATTTGTCACCCAGGCTGGAGTGCAGTGGTACAATGTCGGGTCACTGCAACCTCTGCCTCCCAGGTTCAAGCGATTCTCCTGCCTCAGCCTCCGGACTAGCTGGGATGACAGGCATGTGCCACCATGCCCGGCTAGTTTTTGTATTTTTAATAGAGACGGGGTTTCACCATGTTGTCCTGGTTGGTCTAGAACTCCTGGCCTCAGGTGATTCGCCCCCCTCGGCCTCCCAAAGTGCTGGGATTACAGGCGTGAGCCACCACACCCGGCAGATACGTTCATTTTAAAAAGGCGAATGAGTCATAGAACAATTGAGTTTAGTGATGTTTGTAAAATAACGGAGGCTCAAATCCCTAGGTAGATGGGACACAATCTGAGTTCATTGGGCTAGTGAGTCAGGGTGACCCCCAGTCAGGGTATTGAACATAGGTTTCATCAAATTGCAGAGTGGTGATGTCGAAGAAAAAAAGCACTTTACAATTTTATCTATGCTGGGAGTTTCCTTAAATCATCTCACACTGAATATCTACGGCCCCTCTCTATTTAGAATTTCGTTGTATGGTAACAGAAACTCCCAATTATGTTTGCAGCCCATTAAGGGAAGAATTGGGTACTACTTAATGAATTAGGGTAATCGTTAAATCGTTAATTGGAAACTCCCGCTGAGGAACAACTGGTATAAAGTCACGCCCGCCCTTTACGCGATCCTTCTCTTCCTGACTTACCTGTTCCTAAAGTAGTACTGATTTCCTACAGTCGACGACCTAGCTTGCAGCCGGGCTAACGTGGCCATGGTCTCTTGGCCTTGGGTTTACAACTGGTGTTACTACCGGTCTCCATGGTAACTGGGCTAAACCATAGCTCACTCCCGGGGTTCGACTTTTTGTTCACTCCTCTTTTCTCTCATGCTGCTTTGACTTTAAGAGCACTAAAAAGAGAATTAAGAAATTTCTGTGTAGCACAAAAGTTTAATTTATTTGTCTCTGTCTCTACTGCGAGTAGGAAGAGGGGATTATAGGAAGGGGAAAGCAGTAAACGCGGAGAACTAATGGTTGCTCCGGGCATCCGGTTTCCGCCGCCTGTCGGCTTCCGGAAGCTCATCTCAAAATGCTGAACTGCTCTTTGGAAGTCGCCGGTGCTGTTGTAGTTGGAGTCTGTTCACGGGCCTGAGCTTCGAGGCCAGGCTCCCGGGTGTCGTTAATGTTCGGGGCCGCCGGGCGCCAACCGATCGGAGCTCCAGCAGCCGGGAACAGCTGGTGAGGCTGGCGGCCCTGGGGAGGGGGAGGTCAGGGAAGGGTGTGATTGCCCGAGGCCGCTCCGCTGGACCTGGAATGGAGGCGGGAGGGAGCTGTGATGGATGATCTGAAGACATCTAGGCCTTGCTCTCACTCATTCCTGGGATGCACGCAGTTTGAGGGAGCTCTTGGGTGTGTGCCAAAGATTTGTGAAAGAATACAGTAAATGTTTTCTGATTGCTTGTTTAACAATATTTTAGAAGTCAAGCTTCCTGTACTCCAGGAGCAATTCATCTCCTCATTGATTGTTGACAACACTAGGGACAGGAAGAATTTATCTTAATCCGGGCCTTATTCCCCACTCCTCTTTCAATATTTACCAGATTATACCAAGTCTTTTGGAAGATAAATTCCAGAAATCTAGAGTTCTGGAAGTTCAATCGTGGAAAACACATCACCCTCTCACCCCCTTTTTTAAAGAGAGAGGGTAACCTACCTGTTTCCACCCTCTTGAACATTCTATTCAAGTTAAAGTGAGATATGTATGGGGGCTTTCCAAGAACCTATAACTGTCAGGATTAAGTTTGGGGCTTGACTATGTCTATGGTATCATGTTAGAATAATATATTGCTTTGACTTTTCAAAGTATTTCCACAAATTAATACACTTTATCCTATGACAGCCTTGTGATAGCAGAATATCACAAGCACAGAAAATTCAAGTACCGTGTCCAAAGTTGCCCTGTACATTTTAATCCTAGAGCTAGAATCCTGATTTGGGGATTTCTAGTTGAACACTCTGTATTATCTGTCCTGTTTTTCTCCCAAGCCCTTTTCCTCCAAACATAACATAAGACAACCAGTGACACAAACAAGCAATTTCCCATTGAAAATCCTCAAACATAAAGTTCTGACCAACAGGTGAAAGAAATGTGGCTAAATGGTGCGTGTTCATTCCTAGATTCTGCAAAAATTAGAACATGAGGAATTCTAGTAGTCTGTGATCTCAGATAATTGCTTTTCCATCACCTATCACTGAAAAGTTAAAAGAATACCTTATCCAAAATATTTCTAGTTGGACCTGATCATCCTGTAGTTAATTTTATAGTGAATATAGATTTGATTATACTATTTGTAAATTATTACATTTTCCAGTGAGAAAAGTAGGGAGCATTTTTTAAATGAACCAGTTTTTAATGGTATAACTAGCATAGAATGAAATGCACAATTTTTACAGGCTTAATTTTATTAGTTTTGGCAATTGCATATACTTATGTAAACACCACACAAAACAAGATAATGGATTTGTCCATCACCCCACAGTTCCCTCTCAAGGATACCTGTCTTAATGTTTCACTGTTCATTATCTTGGTTAAGTCAGGGAGACAAAATGTCCTATGTAGATTGGTCTGCTCTTCCTAGGGTGCTATTGATTTGTAGGGTAGGTGACTACATCAGAATGTGATTGATTCTCTCAACTTCTTTTACCTTTAAAATCATGGTTAGGTACTGAGAGAAACCTCCTTCAATTCTCTTTAAAGGCTCGCTTGTCATACAACTCACCATTTCTTATGGCACCAGAGTATAACAAAGTGGTAGCACTTAGTATTTTTGAATGAAATTCTAAAGTCATTCCTGTTCTGTCAGAATGAATATGTTCCAGAAAACTGGATCTTTATTTTCTAGTCTATCTGTATGACTATCTGTATGACTATCTGGAATGTAAAAATTCCAGATTTCTTAATGGAATTTTCTTCTTCATTAATTGAACAGATATTTACTATATAAGTATGTTTGATCCCAGTAATAAATTCCAGTCCCACTGGGAATACTGCTACTAAGCAGTTAATTAGGTGCCAGGTTTTACAAATATGTGTCATCTCATGTAAATCTTTTGAGGTAGGTGTATCATTCTTTGCATTTTAGATAAGGTGACACAGAAGCAAAGATGGTTTAAGTAACTGGCCTAAGTATCATATTTGCAGGATGATTCCAGTATACCCCCCCAAAATTCTTAACCACTTTTATATGTTGCCTATGTGTCTGAATGAGATATAATATCTCAAGGAATATGTAACCTAGCAGTTAGATGCCCAAATTTGTTAACCAGTCTGGATTTTCTGACTTATTTAGCTCCCATCTTGACTTTTTCAACTTCTCCAGTGTGGACGTTGCTGTTTCAATTTTTAGGCACCAAATGGGTAAATGTGGATAATTTCTGTATTCAACTATGGTATTCTTTTTTTTTTTTTTTTAACTTTATTATGTGGCTTTGCTTAAAAAAAAGCCATTAAAATAAACTATATTGACTCTGGACTTTTGTTTCTGCATTTTCATTCCTATTAGGTATTTTGATTTTATTGAAATCCAGAAAACTGCATAGTAAATGGTGTGCATTTTTTTGAATTGCTTGTTTTTTGGAGTTTGTTAGTCTTGAACTTAGTTGCATACTGGCAGGTTTGAGTCAGGTTTTTGTTTCAACAATTAAGAATCAAAGCAATAAACAGTATGATTTTGTTCAAGTAATTCATTAAATTTGTTATAGCTTCTTAGCATCCATATTTATGTCAAGCTGGAAGCCTTTACGTTGTCTTTGATAATTTTTCCTTAACTTCACATTTACTTAGCTAAAAGCCTAGAGTGTCTGGCTTGTTAATGTAGCAGAAAATTTGGAATATGGATTGTCTAAAAGTTTTAGTCATTATGTTTTTCTTTTGTTTTTTGTTCAGTCATTTAGTCATTCATTGGTTTGCTCATCTGGCAGATTATTTTTTAAAATCTGTTATGTGTCAAGCAGTATGCTTCTAATTAATATTCAGTTGTCTTCATTCTCATTCCTGTTATAGGAATTCAGGTTATATGTTCAGTAAATTTTTATTGAACAGTTACTGTATGTTAATATAAACATTAAATAAGACTCATTTCCTACTTACTGTTTGCCTAATGCATTTGAATATATGCATATTGACAAGAGCTATAATGAATTACTTATTAGATTCTAAATTTTTTGTTTTGTTTTAAACTGACTTTATTTCCTATAGGCAGCTTTTTAATAGTTTACATTTTGAAAGCAATTAGAATGTAAGGAAAAGTTTGAATGACTCATGAAGTCATTAAATGAAGTAGCAAAAAAATCAGAAGCATGGTCTTCAGATTTAATAATAAATGAGCTTGCCTTATTAAATCACTAATTTGGAAACTAGGGTTAGACTTTTTTTTTCTTAAAGCCATTCACGGTTTGATTTTGAGCAAACCATGGTAAAGAGGAAAGAAAACTTCCTGAAAGTTCCTATGGTAACAAAGGTGACAAAGTAGAAGCTGCCAGGAGCACCCGTGATTGAATACAAGTTAGTGGAGCTTTTGCTTCCTTTCCAGTTTTAACGGGGAAGGATTATTTAATCTTTTTAACTTTACATATGTATATTTTTAAGGTGGAAATAGGTCAGATACATAGCATTAATTTTTTTTAATTTGGGATTTAAAATTTTTTTTTAGCTCCATAGAGTCTTCAAGGAGTCCATGAACTTACTGAAATTGTATGCAGCAATTTATATATGTCTGCTAGCCTTCCTTTTCCCGACATTCAGAGTGCTTCATGACCTCAGAAAGATTGAAGGCCTTTAACTATAATACCCTCAAGATTCCCAGTATGGTTATATCTTAAAAGCAGAATTATTTGGGATCTTTTGGTGACCAGTTTCTCTTATTTGTGGGTAGAGGTCGTTGAAACATGAAATAACTTACCTTGAACATTAAGTACCCACTCATCCTCAGAAAAATCTTTTCAAGGTAGAAATTATGCAGATTTTTATGATGAATAAACAGAATCAGAAGATAGGTAATTTGTCCAATGTCCTATAGCTAATGAATATAACTGGAATTAGCTACCAAATTCATAGCCTTGATTTCTAAGCTCATGTTCTCTGTAGTTTTCTCCCAGCCTTTTTTTTTTCCCTAGAGAATGGTGTTTCCTATTTATTGCCTAATATTAATGTAAAGTTGTAATTAATCATTTACATGTTTCAGAATAAGATAATTCTTCCCTATCCCACCCTACCTTTTTCAAAAAGAGAGAAAAAATTTACTTTTGATTAATAATTTAAATAGGTGAGTCAAGGATTTTCTAAACTAGCATAAGTGTCGACATTTAGTGTTAGGGTTATTGATAATTTTCCTAAGATAATGCCTGCCCACTCCCTCACATATATATAAAAGGAGAAAATTGAAGACATAGTCTCTTAATAGATTCCTAGGTTGAGATAAGGACTTATTTGATGAATAATATTCCCATTGAGGAGGGAAATATATAAATTCCCATAAGCAGCAGAAATCTTAAGATAATTCTTAGGGATCGTATGGTGTTAAATTAGTCATAAAGTCATTAGTCATTTAGCCTTGATGTGGCATCTTGAAGGCTCACCATTTGCATGTTTAGTCACTCATTTTCATAGTCTACACTATTATGCATTACTTTTAATCTGCTTGGTTCAGCTGTTTGCTGCATACTTTTAGGACCAACCAACATTTTCTATCTTAAATAAAAGCTAATATGATAATGGAGGCGTATAAGTACAAGACTATCTTTGTGTTAAGTTTGTGAGTAGTTTATAACATTCAGCAGCATAGTCCTTGACTATGTACTGTGTGTTAGTACAGTGTTTTTGTACACACTGAATTTTTATTTATACAGAAACTAATACATTAATGATTATTTATTCCCTTACATTTTTGTAAGCCAATTAAGCAGATGTACTTAACACCAGGTAACTTACTTTTAGCACTGCATTCCCAAAATTACTTAACTTTGAAGAACTGATAATCCATGTTTTAGAGAAGTAAAGATGAGAGTTTTACCCAGTACTAGGTGATAAACAATATTTACTTTCCTCTTCCTTAATTAGATACCTAATAGCTATAATCAGTTATCCTTGAGTTCTATCCGGAAGGTTTTTTTTTGAGACAGAGTCTCTCTGTCATCCAAACTGGAGTGCAGTGGCGTGATCTTGACTCACTGCAACCTCTGCCTCCTGGGTTGGAGCAATTCTCCTGCCTCAGCCTCCCGGGTAGCTGGGATTACAGGTGTGCACCACCACGGCCAGCTAATTTTTGTATTTTTTAGTAGAGATGGAGTTTCGCCATGTTGGCCAGGCTGGTCTTGAATGCCTGACCTCAGGTGATCCACCCACTTCGACCTCCCAGAATGCTGGGATTACAGGCATGATCACTGCTTCCGGCCAGTTTTTGTTTTTAATATGAACTTGGGTTTATTTAGTAGACACACATGCATATCCTCTTGTTACACAGTTTTTATCAGCATCTAGGCAAGGAAATTATTCCCTGACTAACTTTTCTATATATACTTTATTTTTCACTATTAGGAATAGCAATTATTGGTAACAGAGGCTTCAAAAAGCAATAGTCATTGTAAAAATAGTTGACTGTTTATTTCTCGGGGAATCTGTTTTTGGGGCTTTCTTCACTCTTGCTATTCCCACTTATATTAATATATTGCTAACTGACATTTAAGAGCTCATGGGCCATCAATCAACTCCCAGTTCTTAGGGTAGATTAAGCAATAAGTTAGGACTAAAGCATCTTCCTGATTCTTCTTCCTTGAACCAGAAATATTTGAAAGAAAAACACTAAACTCTGTTTTCTACATTGATTGGTCTTATTCTTAAACGGATTCCACTTTTAGGAAGGCCTTTTTCTGAATTTATTAGAGCCTGAATTTATTAGAATAGATCAGGAACCCAAGGATAATAGTTCACTCATTTACTGGGTATTTGGTAGAGGAAGCGAAACAAACAAACTTGACCTTTGGCCTAACATTTTTAAATAAAGCTTGCATATCAAATCTTGGATTGATCATACATTTTATATTGCTCAGCATAATCCAATACCACCCGAAAAAACAAAGTACTCATCTGCCCAAATCATTTCCTTTCATAAAATCCAACTTTATGTAGATGTTGGGGCCATAATTTTGTTTTGGGGTATTCTGTTCATTCGGACTATTTTAATAAAACTATTGATGAACTATTGTTATCTTAGATATTACCCAATATTAACTGTTCCCAGAAGATTTCATTTCCAAATGAGTTCCAAATGAAGAAAAATGGCTCTTACAATTATGAATATAAAAATCTCAAATTAGTTAAGTGGTACATTCACTGAATTTAGTATAATTCAAACTTTAAAACTGGTTGTTCAGTAAGTACAGATTTGTATAGAAAAGTGCTATATTTCCAGGTTTCCCCTTTAATAGGAAATTCTTATTTAAGAAACTATCTCTAGGATAAAGTGTTTTAATACATTGGTCTTCTGATGCATCAGTGTAAACTGCCAAGGCAAAGGAAATAAAAGAGCTGTTGGTCATGTGATGGTCTCTTAGGATCACTTTGTTTTTGATGGGCCAGTAGGAGACAAGAGTCTCTCTGCCTCCCGGGCTGGAGTACAGTGGCATGATCTTGGCTCACTACAGCCTCCGCCTCCTGGTTCAAGTGATTCTCCTGCCTCAGCCTCCTGAGTAGCTGAGATTACAGGCATCTGCCACTGTGCATGGCTAATTTTTGTATATTTAGTAGAGACGGGGTTTCAGCTTGTTGGCCAAGCTGGTCTTGAACTCCTGGTCTCAAGTGATCCTGCCGCCTCAGCCTCCCAAAGTGCTGGGATTACAGGCGTGAGACACTGTGCCCTGCCGATGCCAGTTTTAACTGAGGGATGTTAGTGAAGCAGCTTGACGTTAATTGACTATAATATTACTGGCTCATTAGCATGGGTTTTGGTTGGTATTGACTTGGAGGAGAGTGTAGTTATTTGAAACTGAAGGGGAAAAAGATAATTTGAACTCTGAGTAGGACTTGTTAAGTCTGTATTTTTTCTGGGTTTTTATAGGATTTTTTCAAAAAAGCTTTTAAAAGTAATATGTAGTTGATTCATATTTGAGTGACATCATGGAATAAATTGGATTCTGCTAATTACAGTGTTTTTTAAAATATGGTTTTTGTTTGTTTGTTTTTTCTTTTGTTTTTTGAGATGGAGTTTTGCTCTTTTCGCCCAGGCTGGAGTGCAATGTTGCGATCTCAGCTCACTGCAACCTCCGCCTCCTGGGTTCAAGTGATTCTTCTGCCTCAGCCTCCCGAGTCGCTAGGATTACAGGCACCCACCAGCACGCCAGCCTAATTTTTGTATTCTTAGTAGGGATGGGGTTTCACCATGTTGGCCAAGCTGGTCTCAAATTCCTGACCTCAGGTGATCTGCCCGCCTTAGCCTCCCAAAGTGCTGGGATTACAGGCGTGAGCCACCGCCCCCAGCCTAAAAATAAGTTTTATTTTCTCTTGAGAGAAGCAACATAAAGTCAAATAAGGCTGACACAGTTTTCATGAGATTCTAGGGAAATTTTGCATATATAACTGCTAATATTACTAAGAATGAAATTTCTATTACTAAGAAATTTCATTCTTAGTAATATTAGCAGTTATATTTTATTAAACTCTATTGGTTACAGCAATACTTTTTAAACAAAATTAATTGAAGAGTATCAGATTACAATGGATTGAATCAGATGTGTTAACCTCTTTCTAATGTTAGTACTATAAATGTTCTGTGCTGCAGTAAAGCACTAAATTGTAATATCCAAACTAAACTGACTTTAATTTGATATTATATTCATACATCGAGTTAATTTCATGTTTTATTATTTTGAACTGGCCATTCACCCATTGATAAGAAAACTGTCTTCCAAGAGTAAGTTACTCCAGAACCAGATAATAGAGAGAGAGGATATTGATTTTAATACATGTTAAAGTGTATTTTTTTCAAGTGAATGTTTTTTAAGGTGCAATATTATATTCAGAGACAATAGGTCTTTCAGACTATATTTCTTTTAATTAAATAATGTCACAGGAAAAGAACAAAATATTCATTGTTTTAAGGGAAAAGGGCATTTGATAACATAGATAATAGAAAAAAGATTCACTTGGCTTATCAGTGTAGTCAAAGTTGTAGCCTCTGTTTTGTTTGGCCGAATGCTAATTCCTATGTGATACACAGTTCTTTTAATCAAATTCAATGTTCTAAATCCTGATTTGTGGGGCTGGGCGTGGTGGCTCACGCCTATAATTCCAGCACTGAGAAGCGTGGCGGGTGGATCACTTGAAGTCAGGAGTTTGAGATCAGCCTGGCCAACACAGTGAAACCCTGTCTCTACTAAAAAATACAAAAATTAGCCGGGCATGGTGGCGTGCGCCTGTAATCCCAGCTACTCGGGAGGTTAAGGCAGGAGAATCACTTGAACCCGGGAGGCAGAAGTTGCAGTGAGCCGAGATCATGCCACTGCACTTCAGCCTGGGTAACAGAGCGAGACTCCGTCTCAAACAAACAAAAAAACCCTGAGTTGTATATAGTACCCTTAGAAAGGAAAAATCAAATCTCAGTGGCCCTCCAGAGTTTATTTAAAATAGATATTTGAATCACCACATTTTTAAAAAAGCTGTATGCATTAGATTTTTTGTTTATATTAAATACATTCAGAATGCCCATGGAAATAATTCTAGAAAATACAAATTCACATTAACCAAACCGCAATGCCATGTTACTTAGTTGCTCACAGTGTACATTTTACTAACCAGTACAGGGTTGGTTCTTTGAGCTCAGTTTACTTTCACCAGCTATGCCACCCTGTCCCTTGTGTTGATTCAGGTCTTTCACTTCTTTTTTCTATTCAAAACCATGTAATAGCTACCTACGAGTCATTTGGGTTTTACATAGATGTATATTAAATCTGTCTTGAGGATTACAGTAATACTACCTGGTGCTAAATTAATCATAAACAAAAATACAAACTGGCCACTGGGATCGTGTAGCTGATCTTGGCTGTAGTTTGGTGAACATTGGAGCTCTGGAACCTGATTGCTGGAGTTTGAATCCTGTCTCCACTACTTAGACGCATCACATTGTGACAGAGATCTTTCGGCCTTTGTGTATTTCATCTCCCACCTCATAGGGTTGTTGTGTGAGAATGAAATGAAATAATATATGTAAAACACTTAGAAATGAGCCTGGCAAATAGTAAATGCGCAAATGTTAGAAGCTGTTTGTATGCATCACATTATAAATGGCAAATCCAGTTGAATCACAATGTGTGTTGTTTTTAGGTTATTAAAATGAAACGACAAAAGTTGAAAGCTGTTATAAGGAACTTGCAAAAGCCTGAAATTATTGACTGTTGGAGACTATACATGATTGTAGAGACTATATAGACTATGGGTCAGCAAACTATAACCAGCTATAACCTGATTCTATAAATAAAACTTTATTAGAACACAGCCATACCCATTTATTTATGTATTGCTTGTGGCTATTTTTGCATTATAGTGGCAAGTTGAGTAGTTTTGGGAGACCCAATGGCCTGCAAAGCCTAGAATATTTACTAGCAGGCCAGTTACATAAAAGCCTACTCCTGCTGTAGGCTCTAGAAGCTCTGTATGACTGTTGAGAATATTTCAATCCCTAGGTGCCTCTAGATCTCGATTTTAGAAATGATTGCCTGTGGTCTTCATAAGACGGGTGCAAATCTGAATTGCCTGTGATGTTTAAAAAATAAAACCAGATACCTTGGCTGTATGTCACCCCAACTAATTTAAAATCTTTGGGAATTGGGTTTTAAAAGGACAGGTATAATTTATAAAAATTCCCAAAGAATGCTTATGCTTATTCTTGCTGACTACTGGATAATTTTCATACTGGTAATATAGTTTAATGCTCTTAAAAAAGGAAAGCCTAAGAGATTGCTTCAGAATGAAGTAATGATGGGCCCTTTGAAACCAGTGAGGCTCCAATTTGAATGCGAATGTAGTTTGTGCTTCACTGGGTTAAGAGATTAGTGTGGCCTAAATAAATGCATGGTGTTGGTTAAACTTTCACGTATATTACTAATCCTGAAACTACCTGTCTGTCTTTCTAACTGCCTCTTATATGACAGTGACTGGTTAGGGCACGTGGTGAATAGAAGATTTCATGTTTCTTTTTTTACTTAGAGATTAGTGGGCGAAGAGGGGACTGAGAAAGTTCTTTCTGTATCTGCTGTAGGAAAACTGGCTCTAGAAAAGGGGTAGGAGTGGGCCAGCGGATAGGGATTTAAACAGAACTTTTCCATAATTATACAGAAAAATATAAAAATACTGGGATCTTTCATTGCTCATAAGCTTATTCTATCTTGGAAGTAATTCCTATGTTTAATAAAAGAACTTATATAAGAAGAGGCCTAAAATGAATCAATATTTAAAACTGTAATATCTTGGATAGGAAAATTAGCTTTGAAACATTTTGTAATCATTAATTTTTGTCGAATTTAGAATGAATTGTCTGTTATAGAAAATGAGGTTACTGTGGTTAAGACTGACTATTTTCTTTTTTCTTTCTCTAAAAAATGAAGGCATTTCAGTAGAACCATGGAGGAGCTGGTTCATGACCTTGTCTCAGCATTGGAAGAGAGCTCAGAGCAAGCTCGAGGTGGATTTGCTGAAACAGGAGACCATTCTCGAAGTATATCTTGCCCTCTGAAACGCCAGGCAAGGAAAAGGAGAGGGAGAAAACGGAGGTCGTATAATGTGCATCACCCGTGGGAGACTGGTCACTGCTTAAGTGAAGGCTCTGATTCTAGTTTAGAAGAACCAAGCAAGGACTATAGAGAGAATCACAATAATAATAAAAAAGATCACAGTGACTCTGATGACCAAATGTTAGTAGCAAAGCGCAGGCCGTCATCAAACTTAAATAATAATGTTCGAGGGAAAAGACCTCTATGGCATGAGTCTGATTTTGCTGTGGACAATGTTGGGAATAGAACTCTGCGCAGGAGGAGAAAGGTAAAACGCATGGCAGTAGATCTCCCACAGGACATCTCTAACAAACGGACAATGACCCAGCCACCTGAGGGTTGTAGAGATCAGGACATGGACAGTGATAGAGCCTACCAGTATCAAGAATTTACCAAGAACAAAGTCAAAAAAAGAAAGTTGAAAATAATCAGACAAGGACCAAAAATCCAAGATGAAGGAGTAGTTTTAGAAAGTGAGGAAACGAACCAGACCAATAAGGACAAAATGGAATGTGAAGAGCAAAAAGTCTCAGATGAGCTCATGAGTGAAAGGTGACTTTTATATTCTCTAAATATAAAAATATTTATCTCCAGTGTTTGTGGTTGAATGTTTTATATTTTAATTAATTCTATTTTAAAATAATTATAAATTGTAATAATGATAGTGATATTACTGTTTAGCTATGGTTATATTTCCTTATACTTTATGATGTTTAGCACAAAGCAAAATTGCTTGTTTGATTTACACAAAGTCTTTTGATTGTATTATAATGACTCAATTTTCAGCTACAAGGAGGAAAGGAAATGGATTTTCAGTGGAAAAGAATGTGCTTTTGAATAACAGCACGTTTGTAACTCAGAATTGGATATATAATTATATGTTTAATTATAGACCTTTAGCTTTTGGTACTTTATAGAGTGTCACAATTCATTAATCTATCCTGATTCTTGAACATCAAAAGTTTATACCACTTCGACATGTCTGTGGCTTGACATAAAAAATCTGGAGCTTTCTAGGAATTCTGATCACTTATGAATTTTAAAACCCAATTTATAGTCTAGAAACACCTGGTTTTGTCATTAGAAAAATAGGAAAAACAATGGTCCTGTGGTAGTAAATCTAATCTGTCAATAATTGTTAAGTACTATTTTGACAGCATCAAAAGGTAAGTGATCATTTTTCTTTTATACTGAAATGATGAAGTGATGCTACTTGCAAGAAATGAGAATGTATTAACACTTTTTCCTTTTAGGCATGGGTCCGCAAAACCGAATGCTGAACTATGAGCCAGAAAAAAACAGTCTGTAAATATGGCCTGAGAAAGAGTAATTGATTTTTAATTTATAGGGCTGCTATCTTTTTTTTTTTTTCGAGATAGAGACTCACTCTGTTTCCCAGGCTGGAGTGCAAGGGTGTGATCTCAGCTCATTGCAACCTCCACTTCCTGGGTTCAGGTGATTCTCCTGCCTCAGCCTCCGGAGTAGCTGGGATTACCTGTGTGCACCACCATGCCTGGCGAATTTTTTTTGTATTTTTAGTAGAGACGGGGTTTCACCATGTTGGCCAGGCTGGTCTTCAACCCCTGACCTCAAGTGATCCACCCACCTTGGCCTCCCAAGGGCTGGGATCATTTTAATCATGTGAATTGTGGTGAGCTATCAATCTTTTATTTGGTTTTTATTTTTTATTTTGTTTTTTTGGGGTTTTTTTGCTTGTAAATGAGTGGGACCTGGTAAAAGTTTATGGAATTATCCTTTTATTAGACATGGTGTGCTAGTCATATAATTTTTCTAAAGAAGTAAAAATTACTTACATTAAAAAATTGTGGCTGAGCATGGCGGCTCATGCCTTTACTCCCAGCACTTTGGTAGGCTGAGGCTGGTGGATCACCTGAGGTCAGGAGTTTGAGACCAGCCAGACCAGTATGGTGAAACCCCGTCTCTAGCAAAAATAGAAAAATTAGCCGAGTGTGGTGATGTGCGCCGAGTCCCAGCTACTCAGGAGGCTGAGGCAGGAGAATTGCTTGAACCTGGGAGGCGGAGATTACAGACATCCAAGATCGTGCCACTGCGACAGAGCAAGACTCTATCTCAAAAAAAAAAAAAAAAAAAAGTTTCCAGAGGGCTTTGAAAAGTTTATGGTATCTGTTTTTCTTGCAAGAAAATTGTCATTCTTATATGGAAATAAGTATTATTTGTATTAGGCCATTGTGACTTAAGACCATTCAACCTTACTTGAAAGTAATTGTCTGACTCAATTACCGGGAGGGAGAGTATGTGGCAGCTGATATAACATACTCAATTCTGGATTATTTACAATTAGATTACCTGCTTTTTGGATTCATTGTGCAAGCTCCCCCCCTTTTTTTTAGTTCTCCTTTTATTGATCTGCTTTTTTATAGGACATGTAACTGGTAATGGATATGAGATCAAACTCTCATTTTTCATTTCTTTTCATTGTAAAAAGTATTTGAGTATCTACTAGGCATGAACAGGCTACCTAGCAGTCCACAAACAGCCCAGGTACACGTTTTCAGAGTATGTTTTTACTCTTGAATAAATGTTAAAAAATATATTTTCTCTGATTTGAAACTTATTTATAAACTATTTTCTGTTGTCACTTAAAAGTTAGGTGCAAATTCCTTCTGTGCAAAGATTGCTAAATATTTAAGGTATTTTGGTAACAAGTATAAGCGTTTTCAAGACTACTTCCAAAGCTTTCCTACTACAAAAAGCTTTATATTTCCTTGGGGTTGATTTATAAATAAGAGAAACTTCAGTGTGGGGGGCTGTGTGTGTGTGTCAGATTTAACAAACATTGATGATTAACTACAATTTACTCTTCACTGGTGGCACCTGGACTAATAATGGAGACTCTGTTCTCAACAGCTGCATAGTCTGGGATAGCCAGGCAAGCAAATGATGAAAATGAAATGTGCTGAGTGGAAAGTATTAGTGAGGGAAGACTTGCTAAGGGAACTGTGCTTTAAAGCAAGTAGTAAGACTTGTTCAGGAATTGAGGAAGTCAAGAGAAGAGAGGGAAATGGCATTCATAGGTAGAGAGGGAGCAGCTTGTGCAAAGGCATGAATTGTGAAATGAAAATACATACTTTGTTTTTACCGGCAATAAAGTGGGATCAGAATTACAGCAAAAAGCATTTCTCAGAGGTCTATCTGCTATGGTAAATAGTTTGGATTTTATCATCTTATAGTCAATGGGATCAGTGAAGAATTTTTAACAGTGAAGAAACTCAAGTTGATTTACATTTTTTCAAGATAGTGTGATCTTTATAGCTGTATTTTGGTATTTTGTTTATCTTTGACCTCCAATCCATGCTTAAGTGGGAAGTGAATTACGATATGATAGCAGAGAGAACTAAGTATTTGAGAGTATTTGAGACCAATTTTAAGAGTTAGAATCGATGGGAGGTTGACTGACTATTTGGGAGGATGAATGAGAAAGAGGACTCTACGGAAAATATAGGAATTGAACAAATTGGGGCAAGTGATTGATATTAGTGTACATATATTTGTTCATCCAGCATATGTGGAATATATTCTCATCCAAATACCGTGTTATAAAATTCACTCTAAAAAGGTGAATCTCCAAGGAAAGGGTGTCTTTGGAGATAAGCCGTAATGACTGTCAGCTGCTGAAAATAAAAGGCTTGTTTCTATTTAAGTTCTTGTTCTGATTTATTGAACATAGAAACACGTACATAATGTACACGGAACAACTCTAGATACCAATGAGGTGAAATGTAAATCAAGAAACATGTTGTATACATGCATGCCAACATACCTCAAAGTAGGACAAGGATCATTAAGGACTCAGAGCTGGAAGAGAGGGAATTCTGATTTCCTTATATCTTCAAGAGCTTGGACAGGTGGAGAGGGAAGAGAGTGGAGATAGGCATACCACTGGGAAAAGAACATAAACAAAAGGACCAGAGATGGGAATAAGAAGAATTTAGATGGAGGCCCATCCATAGAAAGTCTTGAAATCTAAATTTAATTCAACAAGTTTTGAAGTAATTTTAAATTTTTAAATAGAAGACTGTTCTATAATGTACACGTGTGTGTATGTGTGTGTGCATAGTTTATCAACTACTTTCTTTGGAATAGATGTAAATTTACAGAAAAGTTGTAAAGATAGTTCAGAGAGTTCATGTAAATCACATTCCCATATATCCCAAATCCACTTTCTCCTGTTGTTAATATTGTACATTACTATGGTTAATCTCTCACAATTAATGAAACAAAATTGATATATTTGTAAGTAAAGTTCATAGTTTATTAGAATTTCCTTTGCTGTTATTTAATGTCCTTTTTTGGTTTCAGAATATCACATTACTTTTAGTCAACTTGTTTTATTTTGAAAAGATGAACCTGGCTGTATGTAGAATAGATTAGAGAGGGGTAAATCTGAATTCAGATTAGAAGATCATGGTCTAGAAAAAATAGCACATCAATTCATAATGCTTTGTCTGCAAATCTGAACTCTGAAAAGCTATGAAAAACTAATTCACTTGTGGCCAAATTTAATTTGACCTGTACTTAATGTGGATATTCATTCATTTAATTGAAGAAATATATTAATCTGTTTTATGGAGTACTATCCCAGACTCCTCCGAGGCATTTTAGAATATACCTTGCTAAAATTTGAGTAATTCAGAATTTTAAATACATTTTGCCTCAAGGGTTTCAGAAAAGGAACTGTGACCTGAGGTGTATATGAGACCCTTCATTTGAGTTGTGTTAATGGGGGGCACACAGGAAAGAGGAAAGTATCAATAGTAGTTTAGACAGCGAAATGTCAGAAAGATAGTTTCTGAGGTGATTTTAACACTCTCACATTATAGTGCATAGAAGAGCATATATATTTGTAAATAAGAAAATTTGGTTGTGATGCTCTTAGAAAATATTTTTTCATTACCAATTGTACAATATAGGGAGCTTTGTACATGCACTTAATTTGGAAGAAAGCTAGAGAGAGGTCTAAATTCAGAACTCCTTGGAAGAATGTGCCTCTTAAGAAATTCCTATATTCTTCATTAATATTTATTTTTTAAGAAATCGAACAGAAACAAATTATATTCAGAAAATGTATGTGAATTTAGATCTCATCTATAATTTTAATCCTAAACTTCTCAATTTAAATATTTTAAAACAAGTTAGGATGCCTTATTAAAAAATAAGATTATGGAATTCTACATATTAATGGAAAAAGTATTTTAATTAAAAAAAGGGATGATTTCCTGATTGGTTAAAATTAAGAATTACAGTAAAAATAAAATACATGAGAATTTTTAAAGAACATCACTAAATTTTCTTTAAAAGCTAAGCCTCTCATTATATTATATGACTTTGTTCTCCTGGTATTTTAAACTAGACTGTCATATAAGCATTACTTCTATTAGAATAGTAACAGTTTGTTTATGTTATTCAAATATCTGCTATTTGTTTTATTTGTATGTTAGATTTGACTCTGGAGCTTCTGTGGGAATATATGTACACACTCCCTCCTTAATATTTGTAATATTATTTTTTTTTTTTTTTTGCTTAAAAGTGACCTTAACTTCGATATAATGGATTATCACCGTTTTAAACTTTTTATTCCTTGCAAACTAATAGAGTTGTTGTGAATTCTTAAGTAATGTCTTCTCCAGAATATTTGTAAATGTGGTTATGAAAAGTAATCTCATCCTAGTCCTTTGTATTTCATGTGCTGAGGAAAGGCTTAGCCTGCTTTTGATTGAGACTTTTCCCATTTTATTGAGCAGTGGTGTTCCAGGCTCAAGCTGAATTGCATGACGTAAGAAAGGAGCAGTGAGCATTTGATGAAAGTACATGATAAAATGCATCAATTGTGTCAGCATCTCGTTGCAGTCACATCTGGCTTACTGTCAGGGTCCCATTAGATTCCTGTGGTTTTATGTGCCAAAAATAATATGCTCTGTAGTGAATGGAACCAGGATATTAGCAGTTTGATTAAAAAAAAAATCATCTTATTTTCTTTCAGATCTTTGTCAGGCTTAAGTTCCATCTCTGAGCTGCCATGTCTCTTTAAAATTTTACGACTGAGAGATCAATTGTTCTTTTGATCTGTTTCTTTCTTTTTCCTTATTACAGTGATTCCAGCAGTCTCAGCAGCACTGATGCTGGATTGTTTACCAATGATGAGGGAAGACAAGGTACTGAAATGATATTTTTTTCTCTCTTTGGAAAAACTTCTTCATTCTAAAGTGGAGCTTATTACTGGTTATTTCATAAGTTGATGACTGCAATCCATTTACCTTACACATATTACTTAGTGAACTAGGATTTAGTATCGTAGCTGGTTTTTTATATGCTATGGAGGGTGTCCTGTCTTCATGACCTAAGTAATTGATTATCTCCAAAAGCTAGTATGTGGAGCTAATAATATTAAGGAAGGATTATCTTGTTTGAGAAAGCTCTAGGTACCTTTTTGATTTTCTCTCTTTTAGCAAGTTTGAAAGAAACTGGTTCTCATTCTCTAATTCCAGATGTACTTAAAACTGTTTAAGCATTCATAAAGGTGGATTTCCAAGTCATTTGTCATTTTTATTCAGCTGTGACATTTATTCATTCTATCCAGTTTGTAAGTAATTAGATGATTTTTATGAATTCAATATTGTAAACCATTAAACAGAAATGTCTTGCAACTTATATGTTTTCCATCTTTGAAACTTCCAGAAGCTTCAGTCTGTAACATGGCAGTATTTTGAAGCTATGAAAAATTTAAAAAAACCTTAATAAGGGAGCAGGATTAATCCTTAATAGGATTAATTTCATTTAGTCACACCTGCTCATGATTGTTTCCCTTTTACGCTCCATACAAATCATACATACAGATACCTATCACAAATGTTTTCTTCCTTTCTTAAGAATACATTAGAGGAAGACAGTAAGTTCCAAGTGAAAAACACTAATATAAATTTTAAATTATAAATTTAGTTAATGATGTTATAAGAAAAGGACAAAGTAGCCTCCTATACTTTTTTTCTTAGTCTGTTCATCCTTTTGGCAGTACAAAAAACATAAGTGATCATTCTTTTTTGCCTGCTTGTAAACTATTTGTCCTAAATGAATAGGTACATAACTGTTTGAAAGACCATGGACTTTAAAGTTGATACTTTGCTGAAATATGTTAGAATGCTGGGGCTAAATGCAAGGGTAACCATCCTGATAATATACTTAAATTCTCATTAAAATACAGATCTTTTCTCAGGATTGTATTATAAATGCTGATATTGGTTATGAAATAAAATGAAATGAAAAAAAGTAAAAAAAAACTTTGACAAGCCTGTCAATCTTTGATAAGTATGGAAAGGCTTAGAATGATATGCCAGCATTTATTGTGAACTTACTATGTTTCACGTTGCTAAGTGTTTTCCTTGCATTTAAGTTTTTAATTAATTCTTAAAATCCCTTTGAGATTCCCAAGTTTTTAAAATGAAGAAACTGACTCTAATAGAGTTGAAGTAACTTTCCTGATGTTACAGACACTAGAATTCTAATTGGTCTGTCTGATTTCAGAGCAAGTTCTTAATCAATGACTATTTGATTTCCCTATTGAAGAATAAAGTTGTGTATTACATCAAAAATAAAATAACTTTATTTTTCTGTAATAGTGTTGGAATTCAGATATATGGTAGTCAGTTTCAAGTGAGGCCCTGTTTTTTCTTATGCTTAAACCTGATCTGTGTAATTTTAATGTAAAGCTCAGTAAAAGTCCTGATATCTAAGTGCTGTTAATTGTGTGTTTTGAAAAATTTTTTTAATTAATTCCCCAGTAGAAACGAGCTGATGACTCTAATTTTTGAAATGCCTTTAATTTTCCATTGTGACTTAGTTGAAATATAGCTATTTCTCATAAAATAATTTTCAACTGAAGCTTAAGAGTATTTTTAGTTTTCCTTTAAAGATGTCTGTTGTAAGAGATTTTAGAAATCAGAAATATCTTTCTGTAAAGGGAAAAGTTTATGACAATTACAACGACCCTCTTAGAAACCAGAATTAGTGGTGGCTTCTCATAATCAAGGGAAGGAGACTTTAATGAATCGCAGATCATCTTAAAAATGCTGTTTGTTTCTTTCTGTTTTTCTTTTCTTTTCTCTATCTTTTTTTTTTAACACAAGGTCTCGCCCTGTGGTCCAGGCTGGAGGGCTGGTGGTGCAATCATAGCTCACTGTAACCCCAAACTGCTGGGCTCAAGGGATCCTCCTGCCTCAGACTCCCGAGTAGCTAGGACTACAGGTGCATGTCATCATGCCCGGCTAATTTTTAATCTTTTTGTAGAGACAGGGTCTCGCTTTCTTGCCCAGGTTGGTCTGGAACTCCTAACCTCAAATGATCCTCCCACTTTGGCCTCTCAAAGCACTGGGATTACACACATGAGCCACCATGACTGGCCTGTGTCTCTTTCTTTTAAAAGCCATCTGTCTTCTGTGTTTTTGTCTCACAGACAAAAAATGTTTTGTTGGGCAAAAACATCTCGATTATTTAATATAGTTTCTTCATAAACTCTAAGGTATTGTCACTTTTCATTTAAAATCAACTTTTTCAAAACTATTTCTTAATGAGCTTAATTGGATTAATTTCATTTAGTCACATCTGTTCATGATTGTTTCCCCTTTTACACTCCATACAAATCATGAAATTAAGCTAATTATATACCTATATCTGCTGCAAAGAAAGGGTTCCACAGTTTTAATACTTTTTAATTCCCAGGAGCAGATTAAGGTTTGTTTTTTCTTAACGTGGAAGGGGTAGTAACTTAAATGGATTTTCTAATAGTTTTTGCCAAAGGATTAACCAGTTTATTATTGTTTTTCACATTTTAAAATTGGTTCTAAAACATAATATTTTGTGTTTTTGTTGCTGGCAGTTCTTAGAGTCTTAAGATAACATTTCTTAAGTGAAGCTGTGGTATAAAATAAAAAGTTTTCCTTATAGATTGTATATGCAGTTGTCAAATAAAACATAGGATCCCCAATTACATTTAAATTGTAGGTAAATAACACATAATTTTTTAGTACAGGTATGTCCCATGCAGTACTTAGACATATTTCCACCAAAAATTTAGTGCAAGTATATAATACTTATATTAAAAGTTAGTCATTGATCTCAAATTCAAATTTAACTGCCATCTTGTATTTTTATTACCTGACAAGACTAATTGTGTAACTGGATGATAAAACTGAGTCTTTGGTGGGGGGGGGTTTCTTGTATTTGCACAGGTGATGATGAACAGAGTGACTGGTTCTACGAAAAGGAATCAGGTGGAGCATGTGGTATCACTGGAGTTGTGCCCTGGTGGGAAAAGGAAGATCCTACTGAGCTAGACAAAAATGTACCAGATCCTGTCTTTGAAAGTATCTTAACTGGTTCTTTTCCCCTTATGTCACACCCAAGCAGAAGAGGTCAGTAGCACTGGCTCCCTGGTAGATATAATGGGTTTAAGGTCAGTCTAGGAATATTCATTCAAGGAGGATAAGATAAAGTGGAAATTAGAGAATGTAAACACAAGATGCTGTAAAGAAACATATTGGCCACTAATATAGCTACTACATTTATCATGCTTTCAAATTATTAGAAAAATTGACTTGCTTTCTTGCTAGGCTCATTGAGAAAATGTTGAAATGATAAGAATGTTAATTCGGAAAAAAGAAAATGGGTATTTATTACTCTAGTGATTGAACACTGGTTAGTTAAGTGCTGACTGCCTTAGTACTTTGCTAGGCATTGCTTCAGTTTTTTTAAGTGTGAGTTTTGCATTTTCCCAAATAATATTCGTGGCATTCACCGCCACCACCAACTTACTTTTCTTTCTCTATTGATAGGATCCTCTTCTTCTTCTATGCTTCAGTGATCATAGAAAACTTCTAAATTGAGTACTTTGATTTTACAGGTTTCCAAGCTAGACTCAGTCGCCTTCATGGAATGTCTTCAAAGAATATTAAAAAATCTGGAGGGACTCCAACTTCAATGGTAGGCATACTTTTTCTGTGTAATTGTCATGTTTGGAAATGTTTCCATTTCTATGGAATAAAAAGCCACATCCTCATCCTTTATTCATATTCTAATGTTAAACTTAAAAATAATCCATTTTTTTGTAGGCTACAAACTGGACCAGTGAGATTCCCCTATAAACCAAATCTTCTAATGCTAATAAATTAGTTACGTTTTGAACATCTGGGGAATGACATTCGAGGGAACCTGGCTCCTGTCCTCTTCCCTGGAGGAATATCATTGAAGTGAGAGCCTCTTTGATGAAAAGATGGGGCTGTTTTTGCTGGAGGACTGGTATTCTTCCTTTTAGTCAGAAGTGAACCTGACTGGGGAGGCTTTCTAGGGATTTAGGTTGGCCCAGGGTGGATAGAAACTACTGTAAATTATATATTTTTCTCTTTTATGGTTTTTTTTTTACATTGAATCCATTTATGTATACTTGCTTTGCCAAAATGCTAACAAAGCTAGAAAATTTTAAACTTCCAGATCGACAAGTATTCCTTAATGTTTATATTGTGACTGATTAAGAATTAATTTTTACATATCTGACTGTTGTAAATAAAAATCATGATGCATTGACATTTATGGTTCATTTTTAGAGAAGTCTTATATAACCAGCATTATTTAAAATATTTGCATTTTACTCAGGGTATTTTAACAAGGGCTAAGATGAGTAGTAGGTAAGGTTGATAATCTTTGCTGGAGTTTGTATTTTGTTCAGCTTCCTTTCTACTTGGGTAATCTGCTTGTATTGCAAACTCATTGTATTTTATAGTATAGCTTTCATTGTACTGCAAAAATCATCCTCGTTTTAAATTAGCCACAGTGATAACTAGTCTGCACTAGTAGAATCATTTACCTTTTAAATTATCTGCTTTGTCTGATACCTGAAACACATCAAAATTATTATTTTGGTTTAGAGCTTAATGAAACATGTGAAAGCTGGTATTTTTAACAAATGCTGTGTGATTCTGAATCATATTGTCATGTTTAAAAGTGAGAGCTGCTTGTACATCTTTAGAATGGCAGACCATATGTGTCACTGTGAGTGTCAGAAATACTTGCATGAGCTCATTTTCACCAACTGGGGGGAAAATGTAATGTTTCTATTGATGGTATAATTTAGACACTATAATAAGTTCAGCCATTTGAGTTCTTCAAAATGGTTATATTAAAATGATATTTTTATTAAGCTTCAATAATGAAAAACAATGTGATTTAATATGTGTATTTTTATATTATTGTATGGATTAATTGTTAATTCAGCATTTAATGGCTAACTTAAATATGATTGGAAAAGAAACTTCAAGTTGCCATTGCTTTTACCTAAAGTTTTTAAAGTCTGAAAGATTTCAGCAAATGCATTAAACAGGAATGTGTGACATCTTCTTTTAGATTGCTTGTCTAATTTGGAGAGATTAAAAATGGTAAAATGCAACTTTGAGTCTCTTTACCTTTGCATATTTAAAGGTACAATAGTGTGGTGTTGGTAATTGTAAGTAAGCTTTTCTGTGCTATGTCTTTGGAGTGAAAATTCATGTTTTTTTTCTGAATTACATAAATGCTTTTGTTTTATTTTGTATAATGACTGTCTTTTAGATCTGAATAAGTCACTTTAAAACCTTGGCCTATGAACTTTGCCTTATCAATCATGAATCTAGATGAATGCTATCTAGTTCTTGGTTCAGTTTTACCTATTTTTATTTTTGGTTCACTGCTTGCTTGAGCATAGCTGGGATTTGTAGCCCATTTTCTAGGCTTATTGCAATCTCACTGTGGTATTTTATAGAAGCTATTACAACTGATAGGCTAGCTTCATGGTATTGATGATACATGGCTTAACCATACTAAAAGCTGCTTTCCCTCTCTAAATTGTAAAAAGGTGATGAAGTTTCACTTGATGGAGACATACTATATATGTGTGTTTATCATGGAACTAGTGCATTAGGCCATAAGCTGTTTTTCTGGTCTATGTTTTTTGTATTTAAAACTTTACTGAAGACAATGGACTCCTTCGGGTTTTCTTTCTTTCAACCCTGAATTGTCCTTGTTTGAATTTTTAAGTACTGTAATTTTTTTTTTTCAATAAAATCTCTGACTTGGGCAAGAAAGGTAAGAGTTCCAATTTGTGCTGCTATTTCTCTGATTTCATTTGCTAAGTTTTCATTGTTGTTGTTGTTGCTTATGCTGTTTATATTATGTATAACTATAATATCTAGTTTTAAAAATCATAATCTCACAAAACAGTCATCTTTACACAGTATCCATGACATCTGGTAATAAGAAGTGAAATTTAATTGCCTTAAACTTTCACACTGGAAAGCCAGATTGTTTTTAAGAGAGATTAATTTTCTGAGCAAAGTAAAACACATGGAGCTGCAACCCATTAAACAGAAGGCCAACAAAAGGTTTCTTAAGCAGATGAATGATGACTGCATAAATATAATGATGTAGTATCTTTGAAGGAAATGACAGAGGAAGAATCTTTTACTGAAATATCAATGTAAACATTTTTTGGGGGAAAGTTTTCAGTTGTATTATAGTTGATTCTGACTATTTGCCATAACTGTATTCTATACACTTGCTGAAAACATTGAATTAGGGAATACTGAATCATGGCTCCTAAGGGAAAGACAGGGTTAGGTTCCTGGAAGCCTCTGGTCACAACATTTTCACCAACTGATCAATAGATAACCTTGTTTTGTTTATGTTTGTGTTTAGAGACATTTAATATATATTGTTGACTTACTAACATCGAACTCATGGCCAATAGCACTATAACTTACGGCTGAACAAAGCTTATCAAGTCTTTTCTCTATAAGGCACATCCCAGCCTTCTTGCACTTAGGAGCACTAGACGGCATTTCTCAGCACTATACAAGGGGCTATTTAAAACAGAATAATCACCCACAAAAAGCACAACAATTCAAAAAAAAATCTGGTACTAATTTAGACTACAAAAGGGACATATGTTTACAGTATGATAGTTTAAACGAGTAGGAAGAAAGTCACCTGACTGACCTCTGGTAGGAATGCACGTGTATGTCGGGCAACTCAACATTTTTCACTGCTCTGTACATGTTACTGAATGACTACAAAAGTCAGAAATTGTGAGTATTGATTTTGGGGTTAACAAATAAATTTTAGCAGGCAGGCCGACTTAAAAATATGGAATCCACAATGGGAACGAGATTGACTGTATTTAGTTTTATAGAGAGCAAAGTGATATTGCAGAAAATTTATAGATTTTGAAGTCAGACCTTTGTGAATCCACACTCTGATTCTTCTTTTTAGTTGTAGTTAGATTTTGAACCTCCTTCCCTCCTTTTGTTTAATACCAACAATACTTACTTTTGCATAAGTGTCGTCAGGTTTTTAAATGAGATTGTGTATGCATAATGGGCCCAGCACCATCTCTGGTGCATAATATATATTAAATAAATGATTGTTACTATTATTAGATATATTAAACACAATAGCTGGGACTTAGAGAACATTTGTATCATGAGTCAAAGTGCAGAATTGTGGACCTTAAACTTTTCTGGTATTTCTTTTTTTTTGAGATGGGTCTTGCTCTGTTGCCCAGGCTGGAGTGCAGTGGCACAATCAAGGCTCACTGCAGCCGTGACCTCCCAGGCTCAAGCAATGCTCCCACCCCAGCCTCCTGAGTAGCAGGGTCTACAGGCGTGCACCAACATGTCTGGCTAATTTTTATATTTTTAGTAGAGATGGGGTTTTGCCATGTTGTCCAGGCTGGTATCAAACTCCTGGGCTCAAGCCTCTCAGAGTGTTGGGATTACAGGCGTGAAGCACCGCAACTGGCTTGTTCATATTTTATATAAAATTTGCCTTTACATTTAATATTTAAAGCACTTTATATGGCATTCTTTTATGTTTCTTTTATACCTCTTTTATATTTGAACTGGCCTCTTTCTTTAATATGGTCTGTGAATCATAGTTTCAAATAAATTTTAGGTTGACAGCCACTCCACTAAATCTCAAAACTTAATTGCAAACTGAGAAACTGCTCTAAACTCTTCTCCTGACCACAGAGCACATAGGCCTTCTCCCTCCATCATTTAAGCTAAATGAATAGCTTAAATGATGGAGGGAGAAGGCCTAATAGCTATTCCTGAACCTATACTGTTCAGGAGATTTGGGTCCTGATCTATTTAACCTATCTGATTTTTTAAATTAATTATGCTCATGTGCATGCAAACAGAGTCCTGAGATTTTTGTGTTGAGAGGAATTACTGTTGCCATCGTAGTAAAGTACCAGTTTGTTAAAACCCAGCTAACTAGCATCTCTTATTCCCCACTTTTAGGAGAATGAAGCAAATGGTCATTAATTTCAAGGGATATGTGGAGGCTATTATCCAGGAGATTCAGCCCGAATCTCTTATATTTCCATAGTTTGTGCATTAAACTCAATTCAGAATAATATTTCTCAGAATAATGATGCCAGAATCAGGTGTGGGATATAGGACCTATAAAGTGAATCCAAGTAACCTTATGTAAGCATACATTCCAGATAGCCAAGATATATCCTATTCCTATGCATCCTAAAAAATCAGTATTTTTTGTAGGTCAGAGCTTTTTAAAATTCTTTTTTGATTTGAATTAATGGTCTTACAACAGGTGTTACATTGGTCTACTGAAAATCCGCATTCAAATTGTGTAGTCTTTTGAAAGATCAGGAAATAAATGACTCAGCTTAAAACACAGTTGTTGAAGGCCAACATAAATATTACATAGAAATTTTACACAATTGTGATAGGAATTTGTTGAAAAGCTTTATAATTGCCTCAGTCCACTTTTCTGTACAGTTGGAATAAGAATACATTGGTGCTGGTATTGGTGGTTATTCTGCCAAAGAAAATGAATCTGATTTAATTGACTATTTATACATGTTTATCAAGTTCAGAAATCTGAAAAAAATGTGAACATTAGCTCTTAATCCAATTTATCATGCTGTACAAATAAGCATACTGTTTGCATTCACTATACAAAAACCCTGAACACAATAATTTGTATCTGTTTAGAATCTTGAGTCAATTCATTCTATAGGAGAAAAAGAATATTGTATTTTCTTCTGTGAAGTCATAGAAAACCAGGATGACATGAGTGGCATTTTGTTAATGACAATCATACTGTAATGATTTACTCTGTATGTCTTGCTCAACTTTTGTTAGGAAACTAGAGTAGGAATATTTAGTCTACTTTATAGCCTTTTACAGCAGAAGGGCCATTTATTTTATTTTATTTTATTTTATTTTGAGACAGAGCCTTGCTCTGTTGCCAAGGCTGGAGTGCAGTGGCAGATCTCAGCTCATTGCAACCTTTGTCTCCCAGGGTCAGGCGATTCTCCTGCCTCAGCCTCCCCAGTAGCTGGGACTACAGGTGCCTGCCACCACGCCAGCTAATTTTTGTATTTTTAGTAGAGCCAGGATTTCGCCATGTTGGCTAGGCTGGTCTCGAACTCCTAACCTCAGGTGATCCACTGGCCTCGGCCTCCCAAAGTGCTGGGATTACAGGCATGATCCATCACACTAGGCCAGAAGGGCCATTTAAAATGCAGTTAATTTACATAAGGGCGCTTGATAGTCTAAGAGAAAGGAAAACTTTTATGATAGAAAGCAAATCTAAAATGATTTTAAAAAATACAGCCTATGTCCTCAACTGTAATTTGACCATGACTGATTATCTAACATTTTTTGAGTGGAATTCACTAGTGCAATGCTTTATTTTAACCCCTGTGAACTGATACATGTTTGTATCCATAAGACATTTTGGGATACTTTGGAGAATACAAGAAGAAAGTGTTTTTAAACTGTTATATTTTAAATATATGTCATGTATATTCTGATCTATTACTATATATTAATTTTATCTTATTTCAAAATCAGTTTAAGATCCAGATTTCACATTAGACACTGATACTTTTTTTTTTTTTTTGAGATGGAGTCTGTCACCCAGGTTGGAGTGCAGTGGTGTGATCTTGGCTCACTGCAACCTCTGCCTCCCGGGTTCAAGTGATTCTCCTGCTTCAGCCTCCCTAGTAACTGAGACTACATTTGTGTGCCACTGTGCACTGCTAATTTTTGTATTTTTAATAGAGATGGAGTTTCACCATGTTGGCCAGGCTGATCTCAAACTCCTGACCTCAGGTGATCCTTCCACCTCGCCCTCCCAAAGTACTAGGATTACAGTCGTGAGCCACTGTGCCCGGCCAGAAACTGACACTTTTTTAAATAACTTATTTTGAGATAACTTGATTCTGTATCTTAGAAAGGTACAACTTAATAGAATTATAATAAATATTTCTTTTACAAAAGACATTTTAATACAGTCTCTTTGATTCAAAATTCTCTATTTTGGGCCAGGCACGGTGGCTCACACCTATAATCACAGCACTTTGGGAGGCCAAGGCAGATGGATCACTTAAGGTCAGGAGTTCAAGACCAGCCTGGCCAACATGGTGAAGCCCCGTCTCTACTAAAAATACAAAAATTAGCAGGGCATGGTGATATGTGCCTGTAATCCCAGCTACTAGGGAGGCAGAAGCAGGAGAATCACTTAAACTCAGGAAGTGGAGGTTGCAGTGAGCGGAGATCATGCCACTGGACTCCAGTCTGGGCAACAGAGTGAGACTCCATCTCAAAAAAAGTAAAAATAAATAAATAAATAAATAAATTCTCTATTTTGATGTCATTTACAACTGTAGATTCGATATCATAAAAATTTAATATCCATAGTTATTTGAAAATATGACTTGAATAATTTTTCATTCAGTTCTATTAAATGATGTCTGTCTTGATATTTTTATTGTATTATGCTTTATTAAAAGAGCAGATATTTACAAATTTAAATAGTGCCAATACAGTAGTATATTTGTTCATTTAATTAACAGTATTTTAATGTGTATTATATTCTCCATATTTAGTCTTGAAAACCCTTTAGGAAAAACTATATAAACAGGTGTTCAATCTTGGTATTTTAATGTTACCAAAATTGACAACATATTTTTCCATATATTTAAAATATTGGTTCTTGCTTCTCTGATAACTTAGTCTTCGAATTGGCTTGACTTCATAGACTTCATTGTCATTTGGGTTTGTGATGCTTCAGAAATATGGAACCTTGCAAAGTGAATGTTAGTATTTTGGTAATTAGACACAATGATGCTTACTTACTATGTGCCAGACACTTTTCTACAGGCTATTTATATATATTTTTTCATTAATCTTATTAACATATCTATAATATACATTAATGTTTACAACTTAAACAGTTTATTACATGTTCTTCCTTTGACAAGCCAAAATTAATACGATTTGGAAGTTATATTTCTGTCATGTTGCTAATATTAATAAATATAAATAAATTCTCTTCATAAAGTAGTCTTCATTTCTTGGTCACAAAATGCCTGGTTACAAAGTGTGAGTTATTTTTGAAATACTCACAAGCATTCTTTGTATCTTGAATGGCAAGCACAATCAAGATGTGTGCCATAATAAAAATGATAATGAAATGTTTTACTGCTTCTATCAGATTAATCACTGGAACCCAGTCCTCCATTTTCACCCTTTCTTCCCTTTGTATGTTTCTCAGGTAGTCTATAGTACCTTTTTGCTGATCTAATTCTAGCACCTTCTGGTCTGCTTGCTTGCTCTGTTTCAGCTTGTTCTCCCTGCCTGACCTCCATGGTCCCTCATTATCTCTCCAACCTGTTTTACAATGTGCCTCATAGCTGTCACATTGCTATTTTAGTTCAGCTGTGATTATATCCTCTGTATTTCTTATATTCCTTTCCCCTCCTTTCTCATGTAACTTAGCAAAACTCTGGGAAAGCCTTTTAAAGGAGGTTGATCTTTTTAGCTGAGACTTTGAGAATGAGTTAGAGCTTACCAACTGATGGGGAGGGAAATTGGCAGACAGAAAGGCATGGTCAAGGATTAAGTTTGAAAAAGCATGGGGTATTCAGGAAACCATGAATCCAGTATTACTGAGATATAAGATATGCTTGTGTGGAGTGGTGTGTAGCAGGGAGGGTTTGGCTGAAAATGTGGGCATGGGTTAGGTGCTTATGGACGTTGTGGTCCACAGGAATGCATTTGAACCCATGTAATCTCCAAGGGGTTAAGAATTATCAGATTTGTTTTTTAAAAGATTACATGGGCAGCAGTATAGAGAGTACATTAGGTAACTACAAGTTAAGACTATATCAGGAGGCTAAGATCCATGCCTATTCTACAGTAGGTAGGATCCATGGACTAGACTGAACCCTTAAATTTTTACTGGACCTGATATTCTGATCAACTCTTGCATGACATCCACTCGTTTAACAAAGATTTTTGATACTAGGTAATACCAGTATCAGATACTGCTGGGCCTTGGGTGTTAGTGATGAACAAGTTAGATACGATCTCTTGAAGCTTACATTTTAATGAATAAAAATAAACCTGGTGGAGGTTGGGAGGAGAATAAGGAAATAAAAATGGACATGGAGAAAATTAAGCAGGGTAAGTGTTAGAGAATTATAGGATATGAAGTTGATTGGAGAGAATATGATTTGCAGGCTGGAATTTTCAGCCTTGGACAGCCTTGGACAGTCTAGTGCCTTTCTTCTAATTGCCCTTTTAACAACTGGGGAAAGGAGCAAGGGTGTTCATTATTCATTATTGAATGAACATTATTCATACCTGTTCATTCAAGAAGTTGGTGGGATGGGTTTTAGCCATCTCTCCTGATTCCTGATCAGATTGCCCAAAGCTTTTAAATGTCAGTATGGATAGGCCTGCGAATAGCAAAAAAGGCACTTTTGTTTACCAGGTACAGCTTTACTACTAATGCTTCTGAATTTTTTTTTTTGCCTTTATGTTTATTTTTTTAATTGAGACAGTAATAATTATACATATTTATGGGGTAATGTGATATTTTGAAACACGTAAGCAATATGTAATAAATCAGATTAATTACGATGTCCATCACCTCAAACATGTATCGTTTCTTTGTAACTTTTGAATGATTTTTTTTAAAGAAAGTTTACAGATGCTAAATATTTATATAGCATTTTGGATGTTCCCTTTAGATTTCATCATAATGTATGTCCTGAAATTTAATATGTAAGAACTTCGCTACAGAGGTTACCAGTTTACTCTTCTGCTTTCATGGCTACTTAAATATTATGCAGTACAACTAGTCTTTTTATTAGCTTTTTAAAAATGCATGAAATACCATGCTTTCTGCATTTTATTTTTCTCACTTTAGTATTTGCATACAAATTCTTAAGTCATTCCTTTATTAGTAAAGAAATGGCTTATTTTACTGTTTTGTTTTCGAGATATATGTGATCTATGGACTTTTTAATGAATGTCTTTAAAAACATTGAATTTGCAAATGTAAGGTTTTCTAAAAATACGTCTTAGACTGTGATCATCATTTTAAAACTTTTCTTTTTTGTATCCTAACAAACCTTTGAAAATTGTTTTAAAATGCTCTTTCTTTCAAAATTAAGGCTGCTGATTTGTAACCATTTGACTTCACAGATGAAGATGCAACACCTTTTTTTAGTTGTCTTTTAAAATGGTGATGACATTGCCATAGTCCCCATTATTATTATTTTTTAAAAATCAAAATCAGGGAAACAGAAATGCTGCAAACATTTTACTTTCTTGGAAGCTCCTACTCTGTTTTTCTCCCTTTTATGTTTCTGATACAATTATTCTGATGGTCTATAAATTTCGGTTTTCTACTTTCCCTTCAGATATGTCAGATATCTAATATCAGAAAAGTTCAAAATCAATGATGGGTAGAACACTTCCAAATAATATTTAACAAGTACTTTCTATACGGAAGTCACCTGCAAGTCCTCCAACTGAAGGTGAATTTGAAGAACTGAAAATTCATAATGAAATCATCTAGATAGGAGTTTTCTTTACTATAGTTAGAGGATGCCAACCAGTTATTTGTTGACTGTCATCCAGGAAAGGGGATTCTGATAAACCAGAGATGCCAACAGGTACTTATGTATGTTTTAAGCCAATAAAACTTGTAAAATTTTTGTTGTTCAGTCCCAATTATCTGAAACACTGACCAGTACTTAATGGGGGCAATTTGATTATTTTTTTTCCATACCAAAGGAGTAATGACTTGTGCCATTAATCTTCCTCTTAGAACTTCATATTTAAATCTCATATTTGGTCATAGACAGTTTACTACTGAAGTATTCCAGGTCCATACAATTCTGAACTTGCAGGAGTGTTTATCTTTAAGTGACATGTAACTATGTAGTAACATTTAATGGTATCTACTTGGTTTTTTTGAGGTGTTTTAGATTTGAATCGATTTTGAAGTATTCAATCTAGAAACTGTTCTTTAAAAACTAAATGTTTATTACTTAGATTTCATCTCATTTTATCTCATTTACATATATCCTTAATAAATTCTTCTAATTTTTCAATTCACAAAAATACTTTATAAAAATTCACAAAAGTATTTTATATCATTTGTCAGATGAATAAATAAGTATATGTTACATTTGACTCAGAAACTTGATGTCTTGCCTAATTGTGTTTTCAACTATAAAGTTTTTGGTTCAGCTGTAAGCACATGTCATGAAGACTTAGGATGTCTTCATTGTTCAAGGGGCTGGGGATACAAAATTTGTCCTCAAGTACCTTACAGTTTGGTAACTGAAAATTAATTGAGAAAAGGGGAGCAAAGAAAGAGACCTAACATTTGTTAAGGGAAGCATTGATCCTAAGTGGGTTTTGGTCCTTCAGTGTAACATTTGGTTTCATGTGTTATCTTTGTCTGCCTCCACTCTTGCCACATCTAGACAAGTCTGAGCCTTATTTCTTTATCTGTCATAGCAGCCCCTTCTTTTCAATTTCATCTGTCACTACCCTGGTGTAGTATCTCATAGCCTTACATTTTTATAGCCTCCTCCCTGGTCTGTCTTTTGATTTTCCTGCCTGTAATCCATATCACACATAACTGCAAGTAAACATTTCTAAAGTGTGGTTATGCTCATGTCACTCCTGTGCCAAGAAATAGTTTCCATTACCGTCTTAATAAAATTCGGATTTGTTCTTTTCTATTTTCACTCTTCACCTATGACCTATAATACTTCACTCCTTTCCAGATGGTGTTATGTTCTCAGTGCCCCCACTCTTTCTCCAGCCTTCTCATATTCAACCATATCCGTGTATTTTACACCTCTGTTCACAACAGTGTATCCCTCACTTCTTCCTGCTAGATTCGTGTCCTTCAGGTATCAGTTCAATTCTGTACCTTTTTTTCAAAACCTTCCCCAACTCTTCACACTTTTGAGGTCACTCTGTTATCTGAAATGGCATTATATCTTCTGTCTCTGCCACTCATTAATTAATTCACAGATAACCTAGTATTTTATACTGTTAACCATCTGCTTACTTTAACTATGTCTACCCAATGATGGGAGTCCTGTTAGCACATACAGTAGCTCCAACGATGGGAGCTATTAGCACATTGTATGTGTTTAATATTTTTTTAGGCTGGAAGCAGTGGCTCACGCCTGTAATCCCAGCACTTTGGGAGGCTGAGGCAGGTGGATCACGAGATCAGGAGTTTGAGACGAGCCTGGCCAACATGGTGAAACCCCATCTCTACTAAAAATACAAAAAATTAGCCGGGTGTGGTGGCAGGTACCTGTGGCAGGCACCTGTAATCCCAGCTACTTGGGAGGCTGAGGCAGGAGAATTGCTTGAACCCAGGAGGCAGAGGTTGCAGTGAACCAAGACTGCGCCACTGCACTCCATCCAGCCTGGGCAACAGAGCGAGACTCTGTCTCAAAAAAAAAAAAATTTTTTTTAATGTTGATGGTTATTTACCGGGTATGACCTTATGGTTTTTTGTTTTGTTTTGTTTTCGTGACAGAATCTGGCTCTGTGGCCCCGGCTTGAGTGCAATAGTGCGATCTTGGCTTGCTGCAACCTCCAGTTCCCAGGTTCAAGTGATTCTTGTGCCTCAGCCTCCCAAGTAGCTGGGATTACAGGCATGCACCACCACACTTAGCTAATTTTTTTGTATTTTTAGTAGAGTCAGGGTTTCGATATGTTGGCCAGGCTGGTCTTAAACTCTTGATTTCAAGTAATCCTCCCACCTCAGCCTACCAAAGTGCTTGGATTACATATGTGAGCCACTGCGCCCACCGACCCTATGTTTTATAGGCAGTTTTCCGCCACTAGTTATATTGCCAGTGTAACTTTAAGTAACAACATTCTTTCTGAAAAATATTAGTTTCCAAGGTTTTCATTGTTTTAATTTTGCCCTTTTATGTGCTTCATGAAATGATAGCATATACAGTCCCAGTTGACAGCACATTAAAAACATGATTGGATGCCTAGTGTGCAGATGCAGGGCTTGCTAGACCTTTTGGTTGGGGGATCTGTATGTGTTGCTATCCGTAGGGATTTCCCTGTGACAAGTTGCAGAGAGAACGATATGCCTTTGTTATTTGGGGTGGGGATAGAATGGAGTCCACTAGCCAACATTCTTGTTATAAACAAGGACAGGGAGCATTCATTGTGCAGACTTTCACTGAATTTTCCTGATTTTAGTAAAAGGGTATCATGAGCTTTGTAGGAATGACCCCTTTCTAGTTTAACATTTTCATATAATCAGTTTTGAGCTTCTGGTGGGATATAGGGTAGAAGTTGTAATATATGACTGGATGGGCTGAGAAATGGGATCTGGAGATCAACTTTTTAAAAAATAGACTATCCATGAATTGCCTGTTTAAGAGGTATCTAGAGCCTCCAATTTGTGAACTTTTCTGGAGTCTGGTGTTTCAGTCAGCTTGTTTTTTATTGCCACCCTCTCCCCACCCTGTTGCATATAGAAGAAGCTGGGCGGTCAGCCTCGCATCCGTTTGATTTTCATCTTCTGTGATTTTGCCGTTTTTTTTTTTTTTAAGAGACAAGAGTCTCACTCTGTTGCCCAGGCTATAGTGCAGTAGTTCCCGTAGTTCCCTCATAGCTAACTGCAGCCTGGAACTCCTGGGCTCAAGTGATCCTCCTGCCTCAGCCTCCTGAGTAGCTAGTACTATAGACACTGACCACCATGCCCAGCTAATCTTTAATTTTTTTTTTTTTGGTAGGGACAGGGGTCTTGCTATGTTGTCCATGCTGTTCTCGAACTCCTGGCCTTAAGTGATCCTCCCGCCTTAGCCTTAGTGCTGGGATTACGGGTATGAGCCACCACACCTGGCCTGTTGACATATTTTGTCTATTGGTATCTTATTCCTATTCTCTTTGTCCTTGTGGAGTTGTACCTTTTTATTCTATTGATTTTAATTGGGCTTTGGGAGGAAGCTGAAATAAATATATGATCAATGTGTTATGTTTCCTGGGAAGTCCTAGCTAGTGTTCTTTTCTTTTAATTATCATTATTTTAAAATAATAAATACACAGGTTTTAAAATTCAGATAGACAGAAAGTATCCAGTAGGAAGTCCTTCCCTATGCCCAGTCCCTTCCATACTCATCTGTACAAATAGAGCTTCTGTGACTTTAACCTTGCTTTTTACACTTCGAAAAAATGGCGGAGAGATTCTAAATCATACCTATATTTTCATTCGTTTGGCAGTATAATATTTCATTATAGAATATTATTATTTTTCATATCAGCTTTTGTGTTAAACTAATATAAAAGGGCAGAAATATTTGATTACTATTCATTATAATAGCTAACATTTATTGAGTTCTTATTAATTGCCAGGTGTTATTCTAATCTTTTTATGTATATCAAATCATTTAATGTTCACAAAAAGCCTAATTAGGTCAATATTATCTCCTCTCCATCTTATAGACCAGGAAACTGAGGGACAAATGCCTTAAATGACTTGTTCAAGGTCACAGGATTTTAACGCTACCCTGTGGCCAATTTCCCAAGGACTTAACCATCAAGCTATACAGAATTCCTTGTAAGGGTAAAATATATATTTCCAATTAATTTTTTAAAAATTGGATAGACCTAATTGCCTACTAAAATAATATATCTCAGCCAGATATTTTGGTCAATTTAATGAATATACTGGGCAAGTCATTATTCTGAGTTTGGTTTATGAAATTAAATCTTTTGAACTGTAAGTGTGTTTTATTTTTCAATGTTATCATTTTTCATAATGTAAAGATACTCTTCATCCTTCCTTCTATCAATTCTTTCTTCTACCACTTCACCCCACTTAATGTTTTCTCTCCTATTCTTTGGTATCTTTTGATTTAAGTTATGTTAAAAGGTCCTTACTGTGACATGTAGGTTTTTTCTTTCTCAAGTTTATTAAAAAGTAAATTATTCTGTTACCTGTCAGTTTTCTTTTTTATATATATATTTTAAAGGTTAGTGACAACAGTAAATATTTGAATAACACTTAATGTTTTCTAAGGAGCACGTTTATAGGATCCATTTTATGGGTTCACAAACAGATTTTCAAAGAGTTACCTACATTAAGAAGGATCGGCCGGGTGCGGTGGCTCATGCTTGTAATCCCAGCACTTTGGGAGGCTGAGATGCGTGGAACACTTGAAGTCAGGAGTTCGAGACCAGCCTGGCCAGCATGGCAAAACCCTTTCTCTACTAAAAATACAAAAATTAGCCAAGCGTGGTGGTACATGCCTGTAATCCCAGCTACTCGGGAGGCTGAGGCAGGAGAATTTCTTGAACCCAGGAGGCGGAGATTGCAGTGAGCTGAGATCGCAGCATTGCACTCCAGCCCGGGCAACAAAAGTGAGACTCCATCAAAAAAAAAAAGAAAAAAAGAAAATATCACAGTTAGATCTCTGAACTCCAGTTCTGTTGCAAATTAAAATTCTCAGAATAATACGCTTTTTCCATATTTTCAGCTAGAGCTATAGTGATGTTGCTTTTTTGAATGTTACTTTTGAAAACACTGAGACTTGAAATTTACATTACTTGTGAATTTTTCAATGTTGCCTGTCTCAAAATTTGATTGAGTTCCCCTTTTGAGGAAAGATTCAAGGGTTTTTTTACTATTGAATCCTTAGTTTACTCTTTAAAATTATAAATGATATTGAAATAAATAATTTAATTCAAGCCACATATTTGGCATTAGCCCCTTTCATATATACTAATATCAGACCTGTTCCTTCTTCAGTAATCCTTCTTCCTCATATAGCTTCTCAAAACTGTGCTTGCTCAACTTTTGGAATTGACTGTTTTTAGGAAATACCAATTAATCTAACTCATTCCTTGACTGAATGTAATCTCAGAGTCACCCTCTTTCCTTAACATCTTACTGTAATCATATGTTTGTTACTGAAATGCCTTTACTTTCCTTTGGCATGCTCCTTAAAGGTGCCAGCTGTCTAGCTGACTGGATGCGTTTTCTTTCATCCTATTTCTCCCAATGTATAACTCCCAGCTCCACAGTGTAGCACTGTGAAGGACAAGGAGGGCAAAGCAGGCACTTTATATATGGGAAAGGTACCTTTACACACATGTGCACACACAAACACTTTCTTTTTAGATTATCTTATTTCTAATAAGTAATCCTTGATTTCATTTAGGAGGACATAAACTTATTTTTATAACAATTATAATCATGAATTTTTTAAAAAGTGAATTAAGATATGAATATGTATGAAGAAATTAGATGTTCTAACCATGAATATATAGCATCACTGTGTCTTGAGTGAATTACAGACTTTACTCATTTCTGGGCCATTTGTTTTATATATAGATTAAATATAGATAATTACTCATTTGACAGGTTACTTTATTACTTTGATATATCTCAAAGTACCACATGAAGTTACAGTGTGATTATTATAATAATTTGGAATCATTAATAACCAAAATTAGCATTTCATATAAATTAAAATTTAAAAGTTGGAATTTGATTTTGTTTAAAGTCAGTTTTACTTCTGTTGGTTATTTTGATTTAATAATAAAATATACTTTTTTTAAACAGCAGTTGTTAATTATTTTTAAGCTCACATGTTAAATATAAAAATGTTTTGTAACTGTTCTAAATTATACTTAGAAATATTAGCTCCTGTAGATGAATCAATTCATTTTTGCCTCGTGCCTCACATGTGTGAAAAAATTATGAGTTAAATGTGTTTCTTGGGAACAAATATGCATCACATATGATATATTCAGTTTAAAATTTAGTTTTACATTTATGGAGCACTTAGCCACGTACCTAGAGCATCTAGATGTTAAATAATTGTTCTGTATTATTCTAATACTTGTAACAGTATCTTGTTTAGATAGATATTAAATGGTTAAACTGCTTAGAAATTATTTGCATACTCCTTAAGATTCATTACCTGAAGAAACAAAATTAAAAGATTCTAATTAAATATCCTGTTTTAATCTTTAATTTTTATTTTGTTTTGTTTTGCAATAAGGATTCATGCTTCTGGTTGAAAGTGAATTTTACCTGCTTTTTTAGGTTAACGCAGTTCTTTACAAAAGCAGATCTATTCTAGCTATGTAATGCATTTTATTTAATTTTATGGTTTTTACAATACCATATATTACAGATTGCCGAAAACATAGAAAAATTTTAGAGAACATTTTTGGATTTGATGGATTACCACTCTTGAAAGGGAAACAAAACACTAAATATTTCTAATCCCGCATTATTTACCGCATGGGTGGTTAAATGCTACTTTAAGCCTCATAAAATTAAAAGGGAGAAATCTGCCAACTGTAGCAGGAATTGGATTTAGGAAGAGTGGTACAGAGCCAAAATATTGCTACAGAATTAAATGTCAAAAATCTTCTTTAATAGTAGATATATAGTTCACAGTGCTTGGTTATGATTAATACATTTAATCTAAATCACTGAAAGTTGCACTCTCCTTTTCCATAAAATACAATAGGACACAAATCAGTTTTACTGTAGATGGATAACAATTGGAAAATAATGCATCTTCCCGCCCAATAAATTGTCAGTTATACCTTTTAACTAAAATCAATTCATCTTTCCAAAATTTATTGCAATTTCTAATAATAAATCTCCTCAAATGTTTATTCATTTGGTTTTTGATACATTTGTGCCACTTCTGCTATGGTCTAATGTTTTCTCTTTTGATTCATTGTAAATTAGAAAATCTATTTTGAGTCATTTTTCTAGTTAAGAAGTTAAAATCTATAACCTAGCACCTTTTTCACCCTCCTTTGTACATTTTAATACCCTTGAACTTGAACTTAAATACAGTCCTGTAAATTCTTTTCAGAAGGAGGTTAAAAGACTTTTCAATGAAACTTCTTGAGTAAGGGCCAGATTCATAAAACAAGCACTTAAGAGGTTGTTAGATGACTGTTACCATAGATCCATTTTTGAATCAAAAGTCAGGGGTGGGCTGAAATACTTGGGGTTGTACTATCATTCCATGTAAGTAGTACAAAGAAGAGAACCATTTGAATTAGGTTTCAGATATTGATCAGAATGGGAGTCTGCTTTTATTTTCTGTTGATAGCAGTAACCCAAAAGTGGCATTAAAAGGAAGCTATATTCTATCTCTATGTCTTACAGAAATATCTTCTTATTAACCTCCAGGTTAATAAGATTTTTAATCTCTAAATATACATGTTCAGGTTGTTTTTATAATGTACCCTAAGTGATTGAAATCAGTTTGGTTTTCCATGAACACTACATGTACAAAATGTGGTGCTCAGTTTTAAAAATTCGATAAATGATTCATGAACATTTCCCATTCTTTACACTCTTTAATGTTACTTAAATTAGATTTTTTCAATATCATGTGGTGAACACTGGTTCTTGTTATTTTAATTTTGTACTTTCACTGATTCCATAGTGAAGTCATATTGGTATCCATTTTTGTATACCTTCACCTCCTCTGTGCTATTATATAAATTTTAAAAATGAAAGTGAGAAGCCATCTACTTTCCCACCAATTTAATAAAAATGTGTTTGAAATCAACGTGTTTTGAGGCTTGGTGTTAAGCCTATACTTTTTGAGTTATACCAATTAAAATTCTAAAGTAGAAAGTGACATTAACTAATTTGACTCAAACTGGTAACTTATTGGCAAATTGATGTAGTTGCTATAATACAAGATGCCATATGATTAAGTTAGCAGTTAAAAAATATAACTTGTGTAGCCAGAATAGACGGAGTAGAATTAATTATTTGGGCTACGTACATGGCAAGGAAAAGATACATTTTCTAAGGCAAAGATCAGAAATTAATTCCAAGTCTTTCTTGTTCATCAAAAAATAGTTCTTTCTTTAAGTTGTGAACTTGTTCATTTTTTTTGATATACGAAGTCTTTAATATAAAATATATTACTCATTTGGACTTGCCAAATTAATTTCTACATTAACAAATTATAGGTTTTAATACATTTAGCTAGCTGTAAAAACTTTAAAAATAATCTGACTTATGTGTACTTCCTGATTGTTTTTCCCATCACATTAAATATAAAAGTAAATCAGATCATGTTTCTTTAAATAAAAAATGATAAACTAAAATGCTTATGCCTTTCTTTTAAAATACTGATAATAGATTTCGGTGATTTCTTCTAGTTATCTTATAGAATTGGTTAATACAGAGTTCATGTATTGCTAAGGTTTAGGGTTTTCTCTATTACTGTCAATAGTGTAGACTAACAATAACTGTAATGTCACAGTTGTCACCTTTGCATGGTTAGAACTCAGTTTTTTGAAGGACAACAGTTTTATCATACTCACCTTTCAAAAGAGGAAGTTATGATTTGGACAGAATAAGTAACTCACATAATAAGATATTAGCCAGGGTTTAGTTATTTCTGGTCCTTTTGTCTGTCTCCTTCATCTGTCTTGCTAATCTTTCTAGCTGAATGTGAATTCATCCTAGAGACAGAAATTTTGTCAATGCTTTTAACTAGGCTTTTAGGAATTACCAGGGAAATTTTACTATTTTCAAGCAAAACGAATGTTTTTAAACAGGTCCATTAGTCTTACGCACACACACACGTACACACAATTTAAATTAGAAGTCAAAATTCATATATATATGTCCATCATATATATATGCATTTATATATGTCCATTATATATATGCATATGTATATGTTCATCATATATATATGTTCCATTTCAGTCTCTTGGCTGTTGACATAGCCTAGCTATTCTCCCTGTTTAACAGTTAACTTTTCTACTTTCTTTTGTACCACTATCAAGTCTCCTCAAATTCTAATATGATCTTGGTGACCCTTTTGAGTTCTAATTTAAATTGTTTACTGCCTTTCCTTGATTTACAAAATAAAATATAAACTATTTTTCTTGCAATTCTAGGCCTTTGCCACTAGTGCTTCTACTTATCTTTCCATTTTCATACCTGAATTCTCTCTAGCTGATGCAGAATAACCTCTCCCAGATCCATGATTTACTGGCTGTGTGACCTTGGAGAAATCACCCCTTTGAGCTTAATGTTTCTCATCCCTATAATAGGAATAATAAAAGATAAGATGAAATAGTGTAAGTGATAGGACTTTGTAACTGTAAAGGAACTATTATCACTCATTTATCTCAGGAGTCCGAAGTTCAAATGCCTTCTAGTGGCCAGGCAGATAATATACATGTGTGAAGTAGCTTGGTGTTAGGGGATGTATCAGCACACTAGAAAGTGCATTCCCTGGTCGAATATATTTAAATTCAAAACTTCTTTAGATGCTATGATGGCCATAAAAGGGAGAAAAACCATTGATTGGTCAAATACTCCTCCCTTGTGTATATCATCTTCCCTATCTTAGCCTAAGCTGAAAAGATGTATCATTTCTTTCCGACAAAGCATTGCATGTTGCAGGTACTTAATGCAACCTTAAGGTGGTAGAGATAGGTGGGTAAGTGGATGACCTAAATGAGTAAGTGAAGTTTAGTATATAATGTGGGAAATGAGATGGTTGCATTTTGAGCTGTTTTCCTGATCAGCAAGCAGGAGGTTTAAAAAAGACATGGTACAGGGCCGGGCACAGTGGCTCATGCCTGTAATCCCAGCGCTTTGGGAGGCTGAGGCGGGTGGATCACTTGAGGTCAGGCGTTCAAGACCAGCCTGGCCAACATAGTGAAACCCCTGTCTCTACTAAAAACACAAAAATTAGCCAGGTGTGGTAGTGCGTGCCTGTAATCCCAGCTACTAGGAAGGATGAGGCAGGAGAATTGCTTGAACCCAGGGGGCGGAGGTTTCAATGAGCCAAGATCGTGCCACTACACTCCAGCCTGGGTAGCAGAGTGAGACTGTCTCAAAAAAAAAAAAAAAAGACGTTGTACAGACCATAGTTTCTCTTTGGTCTTCTAGTGAAAACTTTCTGGGTTTTCACTAGCAAATACACTACACACAGTTTTGCCTTAACTCCTTTTCAAATAGAGTTGGTTATAGAAGCACTATTATAGTTAATTGAGAATTCAGGCATTTTACTGTAAAGATATTATTTTCCCTGTCTGTTTGTATTGGTGGACTCCAGCAGACTGAATAGAGCAATAAGTTTGAGTCTAGTGCCTATTTCATTCAATTGCTTTTCCTTCTGATCCTTGACAACTGGCTGAAGAAAACCCTAGTGCTTGAGATTTAATGATTCTTTTCCCTGGGATCTGGAAAATGTGTGCTCTTCATTTTCTTATCTTTAGAGATTTAAATATATCTCATCCAATGTGTTAGGAGCCATTTTTAAAACCTAGATTTAGGTACAGTTAACTCTTGGATCTTTTAAAGAATGTAATATAGATTTGGTTAAACAGTAAGATACAAGCCAAAGACCCAAAAGACCGCAGTGTGTCTATACTCTTTGTATTTTTATCATATTTACAAGTGAAATGACCATCTCTGCAGTCTAGGAATTACTTTTCTAGGAGATAGAACTTGAGAGCAGTCTTGGAAAAGTAGTAGTCATTATCCAGGTGAAGAATAGCAGGGTAGCCACTCTGGGCAGAGGGGAGGGCATGAGCAGGCACTTAGGTCATAAAGCAGCATGGTGTCTTCTAGAGGGGAATGTAAGGAAGAGGTGATGGCATGAAGCAGAAAAGGGAGGGATGGGCGGGCCGTGGTCTGCCTGGAGATTGGACAGTTCCATTATAGCAGTCAGGTCCTCTGGGAGATTTTAAGTGACTTGACATGACATATGGGCCCACATTCTTTCACATATAAGAGAAGCCACCTCTAATACTACCAAACAGGAGTGAATTGTTTCTTAGATGTTGAAATGATCGGCCCCACCTGGAAGGCTCACTTTTCACCTCTTTCTGCTGTCATGGCCTGTTCATAATTGCTCAGTTTGCTTCCTTCGATGAAAATGTCCTAAAAAATGTCCTTTTAAAGTTGTTTGCAGCCTAGTTCACGTAAGCAGATGACTGCATAACTGTTATTAGTTACATGCTTAATAAATTGTGTTTAAAATGTTTTATGTGTTCATAGTGGAATAGTGGGATATTTCTTTAACTTGTTCTCTCCATGAAATTGTTATCTCCCTTGGGGAAAGGGGGTAGATTTTTCTTACTGATGTCAGCTGACAATAGTTTATAATGGTTACCTTCTAGAATCCATTATTTTAGGAGGCTATATTCCATTTCAGTTGTTAAATACATTGGTTTGCATGAATGATGATACTGAGTAAGGAATCAAGAACCATAAAGAAAGTATTACTGAGTTTAAGATTTGTGCACTATTTATTTTATTTTTTACTCTATTTCATTTTGAAGGACATTTAATTATATGACTGGAATTTTTCTGAGAATGTCATATACTAGATGATGTCTTATGGTTCAATTAAGTTTTAATAGGTAAAGTGCTTTATTTAAATAATAAAAAAGAAACTTCGACCTTTCTAATGAAGAGATCATCCTGATAGTCATAATAATCATGCTTAAAAACACAGCTGTGTAGTTGAAAAAATTGTTCCCATTGAAATAGCTTCCCAGTAGGTAGATCCTTACTGGTTATTGCATTCTTAGGCACCATGGTTGGACACAGTGCTAGCCAGGTATCAGAATTAGGTAATTGCTACCAGTTCTTAGCAGTTGAGTCTTTCCTATGCTTCTGAGAAAAGCTTTTAAGTTCTCTGCAAGAATTGTAACTCATTTCTTCATTGATCTGTCTTTTCAGTCCCCTGGAAGAATATGAAGGATGGATTATCCAAGGGAGGGAGGGAATTGAAGATAGAGTCTTCACCAACAAGTTAGCACCTCTGATTTCTATATGTCCATATATAATATATATTCCATATACACTAATACCATTATCTCCTAGTCACCTGTCTAGAAAGCTTAAAGTCTTATTCTTGCTGTAAAGGAAACAGTGTTGGGCTGTGGATCCAAAGATAAGTTCAATGCATTCTTTATTTTTGAGGTATTCAACTGAAATACTCAATTCTTAGCTTCATCATTTACTAGTTTTATGCTTTTGGAAAAATTAAGTTTTGAGTCTTTCATAATACCTATTTAATAGGCTGGCTGTGAAGATTTAACTAAATTATGTATTTTAGTCGTCCTACTGAAAATATTTTAGTTCTTTTTTTGTTCCTTACTCCTCCCTAGTCAGTTGACAAATCCAGAAAAATCTTTCTATATTGTTGGTGAAATTTGCATCTCTCCTTTCCATCTGTACTACCTCTGTTTTAGTCCAGTTTCTTATGAGTTCTCAAACTCTAACAGTGACCTTGTGATTAGCACCCCCACAATTTCACACTACTGTTCATACAGAGTATTATTCTTACTGTAATCTTTCTAAAATCTGGTTCTGTTCATTGGCCTGGTTTGGGTTTGCTCAAAAATTTTCATTGGTTCTCCTTTGCCTGCTGGTTTCAAGGCCCTGTGTAATTTTGCCAGTCTCTTTCTATCTTAGGCTTCCATACTTTGAGATTTAATTTTTAAAAATTTAATCTCGGATTTTAAGTAGTCATTTTGTAGGATATGGAAAAGGAAAAGGAGTGTTCAGTGGTACAGTTTGTCTGGGAAACACCAAATTAAAGCCATTTAAGTAAGTTTCTGAAATTTAGGACTTCAGTGCTTTTTAAGTAGAACTTTTGCAGATAAATATGATTTGTAATATTTCCTAAAGGAACTTCTCCCTCCACCCTGCTTTTTGTTTTTAGAACTATCATTTGGAAATGCTGTTGGGAACCTGTTTGTAGTCAGGAAATTTAGTTTTCCATCTCTTTACTGCTTTTAACTAGCTATCTGAGATAAATTGATCCTAGGGTAAGAAAATCATCCAAAGTTGCAGAACTTCCCCCCTGCACCATACACCATCAGTAGTTCCAAGGCTCTTAGTTATACTTCCAGATTATATCACCTCTTCTCCCAGAAGTAACTACTATCAAGAATTTTATGTTAATCATATCCTCGCCTTTATTTATAGCTTTGTGTTTTTTTTATAGTACAGTGTATGCGGCCATGTGCTGCATAACACTGTTTCAGTCAAGAATGAACTGTTTCTACAATGGTGATCCCATGAGATTATAATGGAGTTGAAAAATTCCTGTCACCTCGTGGCATTGTAACCTCACAGTGCAGTACATTAGTCACATGTTTGTGGTGATTCTGGTGTAAACAAATGACTGTGCTCCCAAAGTATACACAATACAAGTATGTACCATACATAATAGTTGATAATGATAATAAACAACTATATTAGTAGGTTTACATGTTTACTATAGTGTACTTTTAATCATCATTTTAGAGTATCCTCCTTCAAAAATGTAACCGTAAAACAGCCTCAGACAGGTCCTTCGAAAGGTATTCCAGAAGACGTTGTTATCACAGGATGGCAGCTCCATGTGTGTTATTGCCCCTGAAGACCTTCCAGTGAGACAAGATGTGGGGGTGAAGACAGTGATATTGATGATTCTCACCTTGTGTAGGACTGGGCTAATGTGTGTGTTTGTGTCTTGTTTTTAACAAAAAGTTTTAAAAGTTAAAAAAAAAAGGTATAAAATAGAAGAAAGCTTATAGAACAAGAATATAAAGGAAGAAAATAGTTTTGTACAGCTGTGCAATGTATGTTTTAAGCTAAGTGTTATTACAAGAGTCAAAAAGTGAAGAATTTTAAAGGTTGATAAAGTTAAAAGTTACAATAAACCAAGGTTAATTTATTATTGAAGAAAGAGGATATTTTAAAATAAATTTAGTGTAGCTTAAGTGTACAATATTTATAAAGTCTACATTAGTGTCTAGAAGTGTTCTAGGCCTTCACTTTCACTCACCTCTCCCTCACTCACTAACCCAGAGCAACTTCCAGTACTGCAAGCTCCATTCATGGTAAGTGCCCTATACAGGTATACCATTTATATCATATTTTTTATTATAGATTTTCTGTATTTAGATATGTCTAGGTACACAAATACCATTGTGTTAGAGTTGCATATATTATTCAATACAGTAACATGCTGTAGAGGTTTGTAGCCTGGAAGCAATAGGCTATACCATATAGCCTAGTTATAATAGGCTATATCATCTGGGTTTGTGTAAGTATACTCTACGATGTTTGTGTGTGACTGTGACATTGCCTAACGATGCCTTTCTCAGAATGTATCCCTGGTGTTAAGCAATGCATGGCTTTAGTGCTACATATTTGTGCAATCTCTAAGCAATCTTGTGAGTCTCTGTATTGTTACAAGTTTCTGGCTATTACAAACATTCCTGCTGTTCTTTTTTTATATTGTTATTATTTTTTGAGAGAGACTCTTGCTCTGTCACCAGGCTGGAGTGCAGTGGCGTGATCTCGGCTAACTACAACCTCTGCCTCCCAGGTTCAAGCGATTCTCCTGCCTCAGCCTACCGAGTAGCTGGAACTACAGGAGTGTGCCACCACACCAGCTAATTTTTGTATTTTTAGTAGAGATGGGGTTTCACCATGTTGGCCAGGATGGTCTCAATCTCTCGACCTCGTGATTTGCCTGCCTCGGCCTCCCAAAGCGCTGGGATTATAGGCGTGAGCCACCGCGCCCGGCACTGCTGTTCTTATTCATGTCACTTGTTTCACTTTTTACCAATTAATATTAGAATATATTAATAATAGATATATTTCTACTATGGAATTCAGCAGTGGAATGAACTATAACTGCAAACATTAACATGAATGAGTCTCATTGAGAGAAAAAAAAAGCAAATTGTAGAAGAAAACATAGTGTAAGATCCCATTCTTATAAATAGTACCCAAACAGACAAAATTAAAGACACTAGTGTTTGAAGTGGATTAACCTTCCTGGTTAATTTAACTTTTGTTTTATTTTTAATAATGCTTTTAATATTATATAAGGTCTATTATGCATTATATTAACATATCTGCCCTCATCTTTCTTTAGTTTATATTTTCCTGGTATTATTTTTTCCACCCTTTTATTTTTTCTACCTTTCTGGGTCCTTTTGTTTTAGTATATCTTTTGTAGACAGCATACGGTTGGATTTTTAAAAATCTAACATGTTATTGTCTACCATATAACTAATGCTTTCAGATTATTGTGATTTCTGATATATGTGGACATGTATTTATATCAACTCCATACTTTTATTTTTCTAACATTTTAAAAGTTTTTTTTCCTTCTAGTATTGACTTGTTGCTCTCTTTTCTTTTTCGTTCTAATTTTCTCCTCCATTTTACTAGTTTGGAAGCTAGGTATCTACCCTGGTTGCTTCCATGCCTCTGATGTCTTTGAAATTTTGCTGTGTGTGTTTAACAGCTTTTAACATCTACTGTTAATATTTAAACCTCTTCTAAATAATACTAGGACTTTAGAACAATAATTTTGTTTTTTGTTTTCTTTGAGATGGAGTCTCACTCTTTCGCCCAAGCTGGAGTGCAATGGTGCAATCTAGGCTCACTGCAACCTCCGCCTCCCGGGTTCAAGCAACTCTCCTGCCTCAGCCTCCCAAGTAGCTGGGATTACGGGTGCCTGCCAACATGCCTGGCTAATTTTTGTGTGTGTGTATATATATATATATATATATTTTTTTTTTTTTTTAGTAGAGGTGAGGTTTCACCATGTTGGCCAGGCTGATTTGAAACTCCTGACCTCAAGTGATCTGCCCGCCTCGGCCTCCCACTAGTATTACAGGTGTGAGCCACCGCGGGAGGCCTCGAACATTAATTTTGACCACACCTCTTTGAACAGAAAATATTGTCTTGATTTCCAGTCTTTTAGTTTTGTCAACCTATAAATTAGACATTATTATTAATGTATAGCATTTATTTAGATCTATAAGATTTACCAGATTCTTTCTCACCTTTCATCTTATATTTCAGTCTTTCTTTGCAGGATCATTTTTCTTCCATTATGCTTAGAAGTTCTTTTGGTGAAAATCTAAAACAGATAATTTCACTTTTTAAATCTGAAACTAGCTTTGTTTTACCTTTTTTAATGAATAATTTTCTTGGTATGTAATTCTGGGTTAAATAATTTTTCTCAACATTTTAAAGATACTCTTGTACTATCTTCTGGCATTCACTCTTGCTCTGAGATATCTGTTCCACTAATGGTAAATAATGTATTTTATTTTTATTCCCTAGCTGCTTTTAAGAAAAAAATACATGTATTTTATATTTTGTAGTTTCCCCACAATATACAGACATAAATTTATTTATCCTGCTTTTTTTTATGTTGTGCTTCCTGTATCTGAGAATTCCTATCTTTAATCAGTTCTTAAAAAAAGATTTCAGCCCTTATCCAAATATAGCTTCTTGTTTATTATTAGTCTTCTATCTTTTTTTTTTTTTTTTTTTTTGAGACAGAGTCTTGCTCTGATGCCCAGTCTGGAGTGCAGTGGCTCAATCTTGGCTCACTGCAACCTCTGCCTCCCAGGTTCATGCAACTCTCCTGCCTCAGCCTCCTGAGTAGCTGGGATTACAGGCACGTGCCACCACCACCCGGCTAATTTTTGTATTTTTAGTAGAGACGGGGTTTCACCATGTTTGCCAGGCTGGTCTCAAACTCCTGACCTCATGATCCACCCACCTCAGCCTCCCAAAGTGCTGGGAATACAGGCATGAGCCACCCCGCCCGACTCAGTCTTCTATCTTTTTAGACAGACATATGTTGCACTTTCTCATTTTATTCTTAATGTCTCTTAGCCCTTTTCTCCTAGTTTTCATTTCATTGTTTTTTTGTGTGTGCCACATTACAGGTAATATCTTCGGTTCTGTGCTCCAGTTATTTAATTCTCTTTTTATCTTCATCTGATCTGCTGTTTAATCTATTCTGTTAGTAGGAATAATCTAATACATGCAGTAATTATTTATGAAGTGCTAGTAGTCTTTGATTTATCCATATTGTTACTATATTTTATCCAAGATGGAGTTTAGGAGACTTAAAATTCTGATAAATGCTTTTGTAATAAGGTTAGCTGTAATACGGATTCTTACAGTGAATGGTGTATTTCAGTAGTTATATTTCTGTTGTAGTGTAAACTCTGCAATCTCAGGTGCTCCTGTTAATCATAGTTAAGTATATTTTATTGTCAAATGTTAAATAGGCATAAGGCACTGATATATAAGAAATCAAATCAGATATTCAAATCATTAAAGCTCTCTCTGTTTACTGACCTGCTGGCTAGTTTTATTGTGAATTGTTTATATACCTGTCACCTTCTTCTGGTCTTTTCATAAGACATAATTTAATCCATTATATTTAGCACCACAATACTTTTATTTTAAAGCATTATCTTTTGAGCATTACTGCAATGTTTTATACCAACTTTAATACTGGATTCTTTGCTTTTTTAAAAGTAAAATTGTGGTGTTGCTTTTCCTGCTAGTCATTTTTTTGGGTTTATTGCCTGAACTTTTTCTGCTTTTATAATTTTTATAATATGATATTATTTGAAAAAATGTAAATAGATTTATCATGTCCAATAATTGTCCATCTTTTTATAATCACTGTTACTATCAAAAACAGTGACATGCTGTTATGATGACTTTAAGGTAATTTTTATGAAAATACCTGGTAAAAATTTTAAAATACTAGGAATTATAAGTTATTATTTATAATAATTATAGGATTTAGGTAGTGTTTTTATTCCAAAGAGCAACAAGGATTGTACAAGTAACTTTTCAACTTTGTCTTTTCTGTGACAGTTAAATAAGAGATGCAGCGGGGAATGGCACAGGAAGAGGGTGACAGAAGTGTATAGACGAAAAGAAGTAGGGGAGAGTGAACAGTTGCATAATCAAGTAATAATTCCCAACCCAATTCAGGCTAGTTGTTTCTATGTTTGAAAGTTGTCTCATATTACTTTTACTTTTTACTTCTTGATTCCTACCTACCAGTGACCACGGGTATTTTTTAGTAGAAGAGAAGAGGATCAAAGAATATAGTACAGGAAATTATAAACTTCTTTTCTTCCCCCCAGACGGAGTCTTGCTCTGTCACCCAGGCTGGAGTGCAGTGGCACAATCTTGGCTCACTGCAACCTCTGCCTCCCAGGTTCAAGCAATTCTCCTGCCTCAGCCTCCCAAGTAGCTGGGATCACAGGCGCCCATTACTGCAGCTGGCTAATTTTTGTATTTTTAGTAGAGATGGGGTTTCACCATGTTGGCCAGGCTGGTCTCGAACTCCTGACCTCGTGATCTGCCCGCCTCAGCCTCCCAAAGTGCTAGAATTACAGGCAAGAGCCACCGCACCTGGCCTAAACTTCTAATATTTCACACTGTTCTCTTGGGAAGCACTCCAGAGCTGGGCAGACCTAGGTTTTCACATGTGTGCACATTCACCTATTCACAAGGACATACTCTCTTACGTACATCCCAGTGAGAAGTTGGGGGAGGTGGGACTCAGCAACTCTGGCTTTGCCTTGCATCGTATATTGGAATGAGCATTGATCTTTGGAGTCAACATGAGACACAGTTTCACCATGCAACTAATTAGCTATAGAAACCGTCTAAATCCTTAACCTCTTTTAGCTTCAACTTCTCTGTCATCTTGCCTTTGTCTTCCAACTTGTCTTTTATTAAGGGCCTTTTCTTGTAAGGTCTTGTGCTAGGCATTAAAGTTTATTTCTAGTTTATCTGTAAAATGGAAGTTTTGAAATCAATAGTTTTTAAGATGCTTACTAACCTTATTAACCTGAGGACCAATGAAAACATATAAAGGGTAAGAACAAGAGACACAGACCGTGAGGCTAGAAATCCTTTCCACCAAGTGTAGAGCGGAGATGCTTAAATTTAATCTCCCAGCGGATCTTGGGGCTGGTGGGAGTGGATCTTGTTAAAATGTCAATTCTGATTTAATAAGTCGTGGGAGGAACTTGAGATTCTGCCTTTCTTTTTTTTTTTTTTTTTTTTTGAGACGGAGTCTCGCTCTGTCGCCCAGGCTGGACTGCGGACTGCAGTGGCGCAATCTCGGCTCACTGCAAGCTCCGCTTCCCGGGTTCAACGCCATTCTCCTGCCTCAGCCTCCCCAGTAGCTGGGACTACAGGCGCCCGCCACCGCGCCCGGCTAATTTTTTGTATTTTTAGTAGAGACGGGGTTTCACCTTGTTAGCCAGGATGGTCTCGATCTCCTGACCTCATGATCCACCCGCCTCGGCCTCCCAAAGTGCTGGGATTACAGGAGATTCTGCCTTTCTAATGGGCTCCCAGAAGATGCTGATGATGCTGGCCTGGGACCCACTCTTAGTAAGTAGCAAAGCTTGAGAAGATAGTTGGGGAAAGGAAAGATTTTAAAGGAGGAGGATGATAAAAGTGAAAGGATTGAGATTACCGAAGGTAATGCTGTACACTAATTATAAAGAAAAATTATAGTAGGAGGTGAGCAGTTCTCTTTGCTGCCATTTTGAGATAACGGGGAAAATTTTCACCATAATCATATATACTTTAGTAAATATAAGCACTTCTTGTTTGATACAGATTTGTTTTTCTAGAAGTAAAATTGTTTACCTATTAGCTTTTATTGATTTGTAAGTTGAAAGGTTAGCTTACTAGAGATCAGCATCATAATTACTAATGTTTCATCCTCTGTACATCATCTCATATACATCTTTTTCCCCATCCTTTGTTTCATCCTTTGTGTCACCATCCATGGAAGGTCGGGGAGTGAGGACACTACCAATCTATTTAAACTCAAGATAGTTTAGATTTATGGTGTGGTATACCAAGTTAAATTTGTGCATCAAAAATATTTAAGGAGATAAATTTTAACTATAGTAAGTTCTTGTGCTTGTCTGTTGAAGTCTCACTTTTTTGTATAATACATTCCTAAGTGAAACGAATTATTTGATTTTTATCCTGAAAATGTGTGTATGTAACAATAAAATTATTGTAGCAAAAATTATGACATATTTTGTACTTTTCTTGGAGTAAATGCAAAATCTTTTGTGTGTTTAATACTTTGAACGTATCTTAATAGCCACATATAACTAGTGGCTACCATATTGGATGGCACAGCTAAAGGCTTTGACCATATAGACAGTCACTGAGATTAAAGGATAGCTTCATTTCTTTTACTTTTCTCATTTCATTTGGTAAGATCACAATAGCCTGTAGTTGTATAATATATAAAAGTAGGACTTTTTTATCAGCAGCAGATAGGTGGTGCCCTGGTTGCAGGCTTTGATGGATTCTCAATGAAAATCCATTTGTCTAGTATTTATAAATATTTTTCAGTAAATATTGTAAAGATTGCCTTATATGTGACATAAAAAGTAAGTATTTTGGTGGTCAGAATTTAGGATTTGGCATTCATCTATAGGTTGTTGGTCAACCCCAATGTTATGTCTGAACATTTGAACTCTTAAAGATTTTTATGTGCTAAGTGCATAGATTTACTGCTGCAGTTTGAACATTTTTAAATTAAAATATATCTTTCATTCTGAATGTATTGATTTACACATCTCTGTGTCAATATTAAGTCAAGCGAATTTTCCAATAAGTTAAAAAGATCTGGCAGGGCAAGTTAAATTTATTAGATTTGTTATTGTTTTTTTTTTCTTGTCTGTGTTTGGGCATCTCTACTTTTTTTTCTTGATTAGTGTGATTACTCTCTTTAATGAATTGCCATTGCAAACCTTCGCTTTCCTTATTAGATTCTTGCCATTCTTTGCCACTGTTTTTTTAAAGCAATGTATTTTAAGTATTCTTACATTATTGTAAGATATATCATTGTTTGGATTTTATTTGTGTTAAAAAACTAAGCTGTATTTCTTTGCATCCTTTTTGTGTGTGTGTTTAGGTGCGTTACACCTTTTAAAAAATCATACTGCAAAGTAAAATTACCTCAGCTCATTGGAAATATTTAACAAGGGTTGAAAAGATTTAGGCATAATTCACCACAGTATCAAAGTGTACATCTGAATGAAGGATTTACCTTTGATGTTATAAGTGAAAACTTTATTTGCATATTTTCACTAACTCAAAATATCAGTTGTCAAGTCTTTGGGATGTACTAGAGTATCGATCATTCTATGTTCACACACTAGGAAGAAAATACTGGCAGTCTTGATTCATCAAGTGATGCTACTCCAAGTTCATTGATATACTCATTGGATTATGATTTTACTTAGCTATTTTAGACTGGCATCAATATATCTGTCATGATATGCCATTAATTCAAACTTGACTTTAAAAGACAAAAGATGTAGTAAGTATGCTTAATATCAAAATACGTGTATTGTGTGAAAAGAGGGACATGAGGGTGTTATTCAGTCAGTAAAACACAGTTTGTAAATGGGTAAAAACTTTGATGTAAGAAAAGAAGGCAGAAAATGGTACCAGAAACCTCAGCCAGGACTTAGTGAACTCATCAATAGGTGGACCAAGCACAGAGGCTGACGCCTGTACTCTCAGCTCTTTAGGATACCGAGGTGGGAGAATTGCTTGAATCCAGGAGTTCAGGACCACCCTGGGCATCATAGTGAGGCCTGTCTCTACAAAAAATTTTAAAAAATTAGTCGGGCCTGGTGGCATGTGCCTGTATTCCCAGCTACTTAGGGAGGCTGAGGTGGGAGGATCCCTTGAACCTGGAGGATCCCTTGGGCCTAGGAGTTCTTTGAGGCTGTAGTGAGCTATGATCATGCCACTGCCCGTCAATCTGGGCAATAGAGCAAGACCCGGTCTTAAAATTTTTAAAAAGTGGCAGAAATATTTCTTTTTAAAACAAAACAAAACAAAACTACCTTTTTGTGTCTTGGTGGTATTACTTGCAATTTAAACTGGTAATCCCCCCCCAGCCATTAAATCAAATTTGCCTGGTACTTTGTGATCCCCGCCCCCCGCCCCACCCCCATGAAGTGGAGTTTGCAGTATAAAATAAAACCAGGCCAGATGCAGTGGCTCATGCCTGTAATCCCAGCACTTTGGGAGTCCAAGGAGGACGGATCACCTGAGGTTGGGAGTTCGAGACCAGCCTGACCAACATGGAGAAACCCCGTCTCTACTAAAAATACAAAATTAGCCAGGGGTGGTGGCGCATTCCTGCAATCCCAGCTACTCGGGTGGCTGAAGCAGGAGAAACGCTTGAACCTGGGAGGCGGAGGTTGCGATGAGCTGAGATCGCACCATTGCACTCCAGCCTGGGCAACAGGAGCAAAATTCCATCTCAAACTAACAATAATAATAATAATAATAAGTAAAACCAGATTTTATATGATACTTTGAACTTTGGCATTGATAACCAATACTTTTATGGGTTTCTTGACTTTGACCTGTTAGTACCTCAGGAATTCCATTCACTATATAACAAAACTGAATTTTTTCTGTAGACAAAATAGCTGCCTGACTTCAATGGATGTATTGAGATAACATTTTATAATAGCTGAAGCTAATACTAATTAAATATTATGCAAAGTTTTTACACAAACATGCTCATTTAACCTCACACTACCATATAACTTGGATACTCTATCTCAGTTTTACAGATTGGGAAATGAAGACATAGGTTAAGTAATTTCCTTAAGGTCACAAAGCTATAGAAAGTGGCAGAGGCCACAATTGAAACTAGGTCTCCATAGAGTCAAAGATCATGCTCTTAAATATTACAGTATACTGCCACCTCTCACAATAAAAGTGTTTTGGTTTTATAATCAGTTGAGTTGTATTATTCTTACTTTTTAAGAAAAGATAACATTTTCAAAATTTGATTGGGGAATTTTCTCCCTTAAATTAGGGTAAGGAAATTTTTAAAGCCTTTTATTATCTTTCCAGTGGTCCTGTACTTATAGACAGATGCGGGTTTCTATTAAATCTTTGCTTAGCTGTTGAATATTTGCTGGTATAAAATAGCACTCTTATGTGAAAATATTTGTGCATTATCCAATTAGCAAATATATTATAAATTGTATTTTTTCAGGCATGATATTAGCAATTAATCTGCTTTGCACATTCCTATTTTAGAGTTTTAAAAAACTATGCAGCAAAAGCAAAACAATGCTAAAAAGCCAAAATATGATCACCAGTGCTTGCAATATATTCAGTCATCTGCTTAATCCTTATCCCCTTCGCATTGTCAATACCCATCTAATTCCACTTTAACAACAGTAATTGGCTGATGGAGTAGAAGATATAGATTTGTTTTCTTGATGACTCCTTGACTTTTTTTCCTCTGGTAATACTAATAGAATTCCAAATCCGTACTGGTGCGATCATGTCATGAGTAGGTCAACAGTCATGTCAAGGTCCTATTGGAAACCTCATAGCCAACATCTTAATTTAGACTTAGCAATCTTTTTCACTTGTATGTGCAATTGTAAGCAATTTTTTCAAGTCTCAGCTCTCCGTTATAGCAGAATTCATTTAGTTCAAAGGGTGATAGTTCTGCATGTGAATTATGTGGCTGAGGCTGGCTACAATGGAGTAAATAGAATGTATAAAAATTTGGGAACCCATTTGCATAGTAATATACGTGTGTTTCTTTTTTGAAGTTACATAGGTTCAACCAAAATTGGAAAACACTTATGCATTTTCTTTTTGCTATCACTGTTACTTTTATGATGTTATAAACTTTGTGGTAATGAAACATGGATGATTTAATAATGTTAAGTTCTAGGAAAATATATTTTAACTTTAAATAGGGCCTTAATCATTGTGTTACTACCAGATAGTGTGTCATCACTGGTTCAATTTAATTCATTACATGTGACAGGAAAAATATGTATTCATAATAGGAAAATGCATTGTTGAATTATAAAACTACTTTGATTTTTTGGGATAGGAGGTACATAATCAGGCAAAAGCATTCCAGATATTGAAGTTTGGATATGTAAGTGTTTGTGTACATATGTGTGTATATATTTACCTATGTTTTAATATATGCCTTTTGTACATTCATTTTCTTTGTTCATAACCTTGATTAATACATATCTACCAACTGTACTATTTTCTGTATATAAAAGGACCCATTGCACTCACGGTGTCTTGGACAGTAATAGATGATAATAACTTGAAGCTATTAGGTTTGGATTTTTAAAAATTTAGAATTTTGGAAAAAACACAAAAAGTAAGTAGGAACAATGGGCTAAAAAATGAAGCTATTAGCTTTTAACACTTACAGAAATGAACTTTTATAGGGACTTAAAGTGAAGGCATTCTGATTACCCTTACATTTTATAATTTCTGCTAATATTTTTCTATTAAATTGAAATCTAGAGCAGGTCTTTACACAGATATTTGTTTGTTTTTTTGTTATCCTCCAAGTACAGAGATTGTATACATCCAGGATCGAGGCTTTATTATCATACTAATAGGTTTCTGGTACTGCCATTTATTTGTTTGGAAGGCCAAAGCAATCAAATTGGAAGCACATAAAGAATCAGTAACAGTTTTCTCATGTCATGATGCATTGATTTTTTACATCAGTTGTATTTTAAATCTGAGCCACTTGGAATTTTGACCAATAAATTCAAACTTTTATATTAAGTATGCTTACCTGGTTTTGTCTTTTTCTTAATGCCATTTGAAACAAAATTGACATAAACCTAGATGATTGGTTTGCTTTTTAAGGTAATGGTTGAGTGTGCTAATCTTAAGAGGATTTTTAACATCATTCCTGTGGCTGTTTCATGTTCTTATGTGATAACTAACAGTTTCCAGCTTTTTCTAGGGCCAAGGAAAAACAAAATAAAGCAATACTTTGTAATGGAAAGAACAGTAAACCATAGGTCAGCTTTGAGATCTAATCCCAGCTTTGCAGAAATCTAGCATTGTGACTTTAGGCAAGACATTTGAGCATTTTGTCTTTATTCCTCATTGATATGACTGAAGGAACCTTAAGCTTTTTATTTTATTATTTTTTGACCTATAAATGATGTTAAGTGGAAAGGTTGCCATAGACCTAAATCACTTCTCAGACCAAGAAAAATCATATAAGTGCCACATTTCCAACCCTGTGTGTGGATTTATCAGGAATTAAAAGTGAAAAAATGATCTTTCATATTTCAGGTACTGAATATATGAGATTGAATTTTATGTTTCCCTTATCTCTGAATTTGATCTCAAATTTTGCCTTTCTGCCTTTCTTTATAGTTTGCTAGATAAGCTTGCTCTTTGGAGCCAAAAAGACCAGGACTCAAATCCGGTTGGACCTGTCGCTTATTATTGACTGAGTGATTTTGTACAGTTTACTTAATCTCTGTACCTTTGTTTCTACTTTTGCAAGTGGGAATAGTAATCTTTACCTGGAAAAGTTTATGGGAGAAGAGAGGTTTAATGAATATAACATATGTAAAGTACTTAGCAACATGACAGTTCCATCACAGGTGCCCAAAAATGTTTTTTCTTTTCCTTCTCTTATTTTAGGTTTATGATTATTCCTTTTATTGTTTGTCTCACTTTGACCAATTGCATGCCAGCTATCCACAGGCAGATAAACCACCCCGTAACTGAACCCAGTTGCTGAATGTCATTCCGCATTGCAAGCCTAAGTGGAAGGGCACTCCCTGGACTTAAACTAGTCTCAGAGCTCTAGGAGATTCCTAGTCAACTCTGAAGTCAGCTTCAAGGCCTCTTTTGGGTAGTTTTGAGTTTATTGGTTTCAATCTAAATTTCCACGGCAGCTTTGGGGCTCGGGCTAGGATAGTCCCAAAGTAGACCATTAAGAAAATAAGCCCATTGCAACTGAATATATAAAAATGTAAAAAAGGCACATTTTGTGTCACTATCCTTCAAAAGACTTTCTTGGTCACTGTATTTCTCTTATTTTTCTATTTACTCAGCATTTGAGAAACCTTCAAAGAAATAATATCTCACTGTTAGGTACTTCTAAGAATAATCGTTATTTATCTTAATATTCAAACAGTGGTTCCTATTTGGTATCCATGTTAAGACTGCACGTTGCTTTTCTTTTTAAAAATCATTTTCTCAGATATCATTTTTGCCAAGCAAACCATTCTCATTCTCTGCAAAATAATTAAGTAAACATATTTAGCAAAGTCTTAATTGAGCTTTTCCTACAGCTTGTTCTGTGAGAATAGAATCAGATCATTAACATTATTTGAACATATTTCTGTAGTATAATTAACGGCCAGGATAGGTTGATTCTGAAAAGGACATCTAGCAGTTCTGACACTGAGAATTAATTCTAAAAGAAAAGATAGATTTGTGCTCCAGCTAGAATTAACCAGTGTTCAAAACATAAGCAGTCACCTTGGACTCCTAATAAGAAAATGACACTCCTTTTCTTAATATCTGACTCGTAAAGTTTAGTTAGACAATTCATCTGCTTGTCAGCTCTGTCTTTTTCTGTTTAATTAAATTTAGAAAGCAGTTGTTATTTTTCTTCAGCCCCTCCAAAGTTCATGTTTGTTGAATTTAATAAAATCACATTTTATGTGTGTTTGTGTTTAAATGGTTCAGATACTTATCAGAGGTCATTCATTCTAGGAGAAAGGGGATGACATTCAACTTAACACCTCTTCCCAATTTTAAAGAATGTCTCTTTAATTAAAGAGTTGAAAACTGTTAGTTGTTTGCAAGGAATGGCTCACATAAAATGCTGTTACTGTATTTTGATTTTTTTTTTCCAAGTGAGCACAATTATTTTAATGCTTCTAATGCAACTTTCCTCATTTTACAACAACAAAGACCCTCTTCAAATGTCTTACATTGGTTAATGCAGAGAAACACTGTGATAGTGGGGTTAATTTTGAGTGCACAAAGAGCCATTGGAGGGTACGGAGAGGGCATCTGTTGGATAAGCTTTCAATATGATGAGAATGATAACAGATCTGCCACTTGTGCAAAAGACAAGTAATCTTTTACGGTATTTGACTTTAAAAAGTGTCATTTTATTTGCTTAAAAAGCATATTGTAGATGAAGGGGTTATGAACTTTTGTGTCGGACTTCCTTTCTTCTTGCACTTCTAATGTTTTGGATTGCAGGACATCTGGATTTTGTCCTAACGTATCTTAAGTAGGTACAAAAATTACATTTGGAAATTACTTTTACAAAGGTGCTTAAACACTCTTTGCTAAGATTTCTTCTTATATTTTCACTATTAACCCTCCCTTCACCCAGAAAAGTAGCTTTTCTCTCTCATATGTGTGGCTATGTATATATCCAGTTATTTGGGAAGTCATATACTCGTCTCAACAACTGGCCTCATCTTAGATCAATTAAATCATAACCTCTGGGGGTGGAACCCAGACATTGTCATTTTAAAAGAGATTTGGTAATTCTACTATGCAGCCAGGGTGAGAGAATTTTAGAAGAATCAGGAATACCTGTGATTGAATTCTGGTTCTTAATGTATTCACTTTGGGGCCTTGGGCAAATTATGCTAGTCTTTAATAAGATTCTGTTTTCTCATTGGGGTTGTTGTGCAGATCAAGGGATTATAGAGCACCTGGTATAATGATTAATGGTTGTTCAGCAAACACAGGGTGCCCACGAAGCCTGAAAACTAGATAATACATTTTTACAGATTGAAGTTATTCTTGATGACAATGTATATATTTGCCTTTGTGTCCAGGCTTTATGGAAACTCTGGACATCATCATATAATATGGTTTTCAGCTTTTGTTTTCTTTTTCTTTCTTTCTTACAGTGACCTGAAATCTGGCTTCACAGTGTAATTGGTCCAGTTCTACTCTCTCGAGTTACACAGAATAAGTTAGATTCCCCCTTTTCACAAGACCTAAATTTAAGTTCTAATTCTTCTACTAGCTATCAATGTATCCTCTCTAAGCCTCAGTCTTTTTGCCTGTAAGATAGGTATCAGGATATTAGACAAATGAAAGGAATAGAGTTGCCACATGATTGTCCCACAAATACTTGCACATTTCTTATATCTTTTTCATGCTAGATCACCTAATTTCTCTCCCTCTCCCTCCCTCCCTCCCTACCTCCCTTCCTTCCTTCCTTCCTTCCTTCTTTCCTTCCTTCCTTCCTTCTTTCTTTCTTTCCTTCCTTCCTTCCTTCCTCCCTTTTCTTTCTTTCTTCTTTTGTCTGTCTGTCTTTCTTTCTGTCTTTCTGTTTCTCAGAATCTCTTGTGGCCCAGGCTGGAGTGCAGTGATGTGATCTTGGCCCACTGCAACCTCCATCTCTTGACCTCCTGGGTTCAAGTGATTCTCGTGCCTCAGCCTTCCAAGTAGCTGGGACTATAGGCATGTGCCACCATGCCCAGCTAATTTTCTTATTTTCTTCTTTTTTGTTTTTTTTTTTTTTTTTGGTTTCGTTTTTGTTCTTCGCTGGGCGAATTTTTGTATTTTTTGTAGAGACGGGGGTTTCGCTGTGTTGGCCAGGCTGGTCTCAAACTGGCCTCAAGTGTAGATCACCTAATTTCTTTCAGTTATTTTTCACCCTTTTCCAAACCCTTGTACCTTTTTAATCGCTCACCTTTAAATATGCTTTTTTTTTTTAATGTCTTTCAAATGTGGCGCCCAGAAGTAAAATACTGTTGAATTTATTGCATATTTTTCTTCATTTGCTCTGGGAACACAAGTTATATTAAAACAGTCTAACAATGCTTCATTTTGGGGGAGGGGAAGAGGGTCTTATTATATCACATTTAGCATTTAGGCTAACATTATACTGAGCACCTGTTTGGGTTTACAACTAAAACTCAATTTACACAAACTTATGTTGAGGTCAGTTTTCCTTTCCTCTAGAACAGTTAGAGAAAGAGAGAGTGTGTGTATGTTAAAATAAATGCCAGTTTAATGTCCCTATTACATTTCTTCTTTTTAGTTGAAGGCTGGATTTCAGCCTGTCAAGACTTTCTTTTGAATCTTGATTTTGTCACCTAACACGGTCTGATATAATTAAACTTGAGAAGTATACATTCTATTTCTTCATTCTGAGACTTTGAAGCGGGATTGATTAAACTGAAGGAGCCAAGAATAGCACCTGGTAGGCTGCCATTGGAAACATCTTTACAGATTTATTCCAATTCATTAATCAGTTTTCTTTGCCTAAGTTTGCTTAAATCTCTATTGTTTCACCTAACTAAACTCTTGGCTAGCCATAGTTTACTTTCACTGTTGCAAATAATACCATTAAAGACTGTCAGATACGCTTTTGAAGTTCTAATACATGACATTTCTTACCATCATCCTTTCAGGATAGTAACCTTTTCAGTAAAATTAAATGACACTTTTTCCAGAATTTATTCTTAGTGAACCTATGCCAGCTCTCAGTGATTAATCGTCTCTGTTCCTAGGTCTTCATAAACTGTTTAATAATATGATGCAGAATTCTACCTTCACTCGCCATCGCTTTGTTGGTTATTAGTTTGTTGGTGTCTTGAAATTTTATAGCTACAAAGGAAATATAATTCCAGGATTATATTTGAATTATCCCTGAATATCTACATGAACCTAGAAATTTGAACTAATTAAAAAAAATGTTCTCTGTCTTGGGCCGCAAGATACTTATAGAAAGATTTATAGTAAAAGCAGCATTTGAGTTGGGAAAGAAAACAGGAACAAACACGAATATCCCTTTTAAATACATATTTTGGGGCCAGGTGTGGTGGCTCAGGCCTGTAATCCCAGCACTTTGGGAGGCCGAGGCGGGCGGATCACTTGCGGTCAGGAATTCAAGACCAGCCTGGTCAACATGGTGAAACCCCATCTCTACTAAAAATACAAAAAATTAGCCAGGCGTGGTGGCGTGCACCTCTAGTCCCAGCTACTCAGGAGACTGAGGCAGGAGAATCGCTGGAACCCAGGAGGCGGAGGTTGCATTCAGCCGAGATTGAGCCACTGCACTCCAGCCTGGGCAACATGAGCGAGACTGTCTCAAAACATATATATGTTTTGGGTTATATTTGTTATCTCATTTATTGATCAAAATATCTTTACAATGTAAATATTGTTACCCATACATTTACTGATTATATTGGGGCCTGGAGAGATTAAATAATTTACTCAAAAATCTGAGGATTTGAAGAGGCTTTGTCACCCCTACCAACCCTCCAAATAGTGAATTTCCATGTTTTCTGTTCATTTTCTGGCTTCAAACATTGCCAAACGTAAATCAGAATCCCATTCTTTTTTGTCTTTAGCATTTTTCATTAGCTCCAGTTTACATTTTGGGCTCTTGGGCTCTTGTCTTCCTTGTGGTATTCTGATGAGTTTGTGCTAGTGTTTTATGTTCATCCTTGGCTTCATTCCATATCGTGTACATATTCTTTTAACCTTTGGCCTTATTTAATTTCATTTAATTATTTATTTTTGAGGCGGAGTTTTGCTCTCGTCGCCCAGTCTGTAGTGCAATGGTGCAGTCTTCGCTCACTGCAACCTCCATCTCCCAGGTTCAAGCAGTTCTCCCGCCTCAGCCTCCCGAGTAGCTGGGATTACAGGTGCATGCCACCACACCTAGCTAATTTTTGTATTTTTACTAGAGGCGGGGTTTCGCCACGTTAGCCGGGCTGGTCTCGAACTGCTGACCTCAGCTGATCTGCCCGCCTCAGCCTCCCAAAGTGCTGTGATTACAGGCGTGAGCCATTGTGCCTGGCTGGGCTTATTTGATTTATTACCTTAAATACTTGCTTCATAAAATGGGTCACACATATCCACCCCACCCTCTGCTTGCTTACTTAATGACAACATTCATTGTTTTTATTTAGAATTTTGAAGAGAGTAACATATCCTTCCTTATGATATAGTTTCTTCTAGTATTTTCAGCCAAGTCAAACGTATTACTTAACTAATTAAAAACATGTGTCCCCAAATATCTGTCTACTCCCATTTCGTCATCTGTACTGGTCTCATATTAATTGTTTTCTTCTGGAGTTCTTTTTTTTTTTAAAGTAAATATCACTATTGTCTTTTTAGTTGTTCATACTATAAACCTTGCTGTCATCCTTTTACTAATGAATATTTTACTAATGTCATTCATTTACTAATGAATATTTTAATTCATTAGTAAATCCTAGTGGATCTATTTGCAGATGTATTCAGAATCACATCCCTTCTTATCACCTTCAGCTCCACCTTCTTGTTCTAGCACCACTACATGTCTTTTCTGATGTTTACAAAAACTATTGGCTTTGCCTTTGCTCTCTACGGTCTGTTGTCAAAACAACAGCTAGAGTGACCATGGTCAAATAAGTTCCATCTCATCATTCCTATACTCAGAACTCTTGAATGGCCTCCTGTCTCACTAAAATAAAATCCTGTACTAGCTTACAAGACAAGACCCTATATCAAAGCCCCTCTCCCCATCTTTCTGAGTTTCTACTTCCTTTCTCTTTGCTCATTTCTGTCTAGCAACACTGGCCTTGCAGTCTTGCCTGCATGCTCCCAAGATAGCTCTTCCCTCAGCCTGTAATGTTGTTCCATTGCGTGCAAGCATGGCTCTCTTCCTCACCTGTTTGAGGCATTCTCTGACTATTTAAAAACTGTAACCCCCTTGCCCCAGTACTCTCAATTTCACTTTTTTGCTTTTTTTCCCCCATAGTACTTATCTGGTCTGTGTGTTTTTATTGTGTGTCTCCTCTCAGTGGAATATAGGCTCCGTGAAAGCAGAGATTCTTATCTATTTTGTTTATAGCTCTGTGCCCATGGCCTTAGCACACTGTGCCTGACACATAGTACTCGGTCAGTGTTTGAGGGAATGCATGCATTCTGTACATTCAGCTTTTAATCCTGCGTTTTAACTTAATATATAAGTATATATTAATAACCATACATTTTAATGGTTGCATAATATTTCATCATGTAGATATAAATATTTTCTTTGTTTAGGTTTTCACTTTTATACTGTTATAAATAATGTTGGGGTTTTTTTGTTGTTGTTTTGTTTTGTTTTTTGAGACGGAGTCTTGCTCTATCGCCCAGGCTGGAGTGCAGTGGCACGATCTCGGCTCACTGCAAGCTCCGCCTCCTGGGTTCACACCATTCTCCTGCCTCAGCCTCCTGAGTAGCTAGGACTGCAGGCGCCCGCCACCGTGCTCGGCTAATTTTTTTGTATTTTTAGTGGAGACGGGGTTTCACCATGTTAGCCAGGATAGTCTCGATCTCCTGACCTTGTGATCCGCCCACCTTGGCCTCCCAAATTGCTGGGATTACAGGCGTGAGCCACCACGCCTGGCCATAAATAATGTTTTGATGAACATTTTGGTGAATGAGATTTTCCTTTCTGAGACACGCACAAGGCATGCACAGGTATAAAATTATTTCCTTAGCATGAGTTACTTCAATAGAATTACTTTGTTGAAAACTGTAAATATTCTTAAATATTTAAAGCCAGAAGGCTTATACCAGTTTATGAACGGTGTCTAGATAACTCTTACAGAAACATCAGACAGTCCTCACCATTACATATGGGCATTTCTCCTGCATTATGTCTGTGTGTTCATAAAGCAAATCAGATATAAGGGAACAAAATTTGCACTGAGAACCAGCTAAGGTAGTGTGCTTGCACGTACTTTACAGTTGCATTGTTTTAGTGGCTTTGTGCTTTATCATAGATGATTTTCAAAATGTATAAGACATTACATTAATGGTAATGCTAATCATGAATTAGAAAAGAAGGGCCAATACTCTTAAGCAAATGGTAGATGTAAGTAAGAGCTATATTTAGGCTGGGTGCGGTGGCTCATGCCTGTAATCCCAGCACTTTGGGAGGCCCAGGCGGGCGGATCACCTGAGGTCGGGAGTTCAAGACCAGTCTGACCAACGTGGAGAAACCCCGTCTCTAGTAAAAATACAAAATTAGCTGGGTGAGGTGGCGCATGCCTGTAATCCCAGCTACTCAGGAGGCTGAGGCACGAGAATCACTTGAACCTAGGAGGTGGAGGTTGCAGTGAGCCAAGATCGCGCCATTGCACTCCAGCCTGGGCAACAAGAGCAAAACTCCGTCTCAAAAAAAAAAAAAAAAAGCCAGAAGTTATATTTGCTGAGTGATGTTTTAGTTGTACACTCATAGCCATAAAAAAACCTTTTACTATTAACTGTTTGCCTGAAAATAACTGTTATTATGAGTCTAAAAGCCTAATTTTCCAACCACAAGTTTCTCATTGAAACAATAGTTTTAATATCATTTTTAAAATTGTGAAGTTTGTTAAGAGTAAAACTGCCACAGTAGCAAAACAGTCTATATTCTATTTTAACTGTCTACTTTTGTATTAAATTCAAAAATGTAATCTCAATATTTCAACTGCATATTTTAACATACTTTTAAGGTAATTTGTACTCATCCTTTAAGTGTTAATTTAAATGTCACTTTTGGATGCATGCTTTCTTGATCTTTCCCAAAGTGATCAAACTGGTTAGAAGAATAATGAAGGAAAGTAAACAAAGGAATGGATATTTTCCATATGTTTCATTAATAATTGGATTGATGAGTTAATTTTTCATATACTGGATGTGATATTCATTCATATCTTTTGCCCATGTATTGATTTGTATGAACTGTATATAAAAAATTAATAATGCTGTGCCTGTCATATTTGTGTGTAATGAATTAATTCAGTATACAAAAAGGAGATCTGTAATAGTGATACATATGCAGTTTTAGACCTAATGATAGAAGAACATCTAAAGATTAAGGAGTTTACCCTTCCCACAGCATAGGATGAATATTCAATTGGTAAGGACAAGTGAGCACAAAAGGAAGTTTTAACTTTTCAATATCTTTATTTTATATCTTTTTTCTGTATTTGAATTGCTTCAGCTGAGGCTGGATAACTGCTAGTCAAGTATCTAAAATTTCTATATTTATAAGAAAGTTGCACTTACAGAATGCTGTGGTAAAAATTGCAAACTATTTGCTTTTTCATCTTATTTTATTGGGGATCTTTTTTTTTTTTTTTTTTTTTTTTTTTGAGACGGAGTTTTGCTCTTGTTGCCCAGGCTGGAGTGCAATGGCATGATCTCGGCTCACCACAACCTCTGCCTCCCAAGTTCAAGCGATTCTCCTGCCTCAGCCTCCCTAGTAGCTGGGATTACAGGCATGTGCCACCACACCTGGCTAATTTTGTATTTTTAGTAGAGATGAGGTTTCTCCATTTTGGTCAGGCTGGTCTCGAACTCCCAACCTCAGGTGACCCACCCGCCTGGGCCTCCCAAACTGCTGGGATTACAGGCATGAGCCACTGCGCCTGGCCTAGAGATCTCTCTTACTGTAGATATTAGGTTGGATCGCACAGAAAAGCATAGAACTTTTTTTTATATACGTTTTATTTATACGTTAAGTTTCAAGCCTTAAATATATTCCTTAGAACACTTGGTTACCTGAAAGTGTGGAGATGTTGATGAATTGTCTTAATAGTTACAAAAAAGAAAAAGAAACCTCACACATCATGGATACTCATTTGCCAGTTTACAGTGTTAAAGTAACCATGTAGCAATGAATCTGTGTGTGAAATGCATGCATATGTATGTTTTCCTAATTCTTTTAAGAGTATAAAATAATACAGTTGTCCATGCCTGTTTTTGCTCATCACTATTATGATAAGTGAAATAAAACTCCTGGAAAGTATTGTTTTTCTTTTCAGGAATTTCCTTAAATTTCGTAAAGAATAATAACTGTTTATTTTAAAAAATTGAATTTCTCTACTTAGGAATTTTTCTGTATTCAGTTACAAATACAAATACAAAGTATTAAGTTTTCTTTTTTTCTCTTAATGTACATTGACTATAAATAAATGCACTTGCCCTTATACATTTGCATGTTTGAAAATCAGTATTTTATATATAGATTTAAGCGTTGGACTAAAGGAATTCCAGGGACTTGAGGTTCTTAGAACATTTAGGGCCTTTTGTATTGCCAGTAGTGAATAATTCAGTGACTAAAATCTCAAATAATAAATCATTAGTCAAATTAGCATTACCTTTTAGAGTTGAATGTAAAATTTGTTGATCAGCCTATTCATGACAACACAGGAGCCCACCAGTTCCTGTTTTTTGTGCTCAGCACTGTTTAAACATTCTGCTTCTTCTTTTTCAACTCTCCTCAATGATGTCTAGTTTGAGAGGCAGAACAAAAGTATTTAATGTAATATTTGTAAAGGAAATAAATGAGATCGCAGTCATTTTTTTTAGACTATGATATCTAAAAACTTAACACTTAGAGCCAGCAGCACGTTTTTGTCTTTCCTAAAGTATGCATTATGGAAATGTATTAATAACTTAATATATGGTTGTACCCAAGTTAGGATTTCACTGATATTTGTTTCTTTCTTGATTTTTCTTAATGAAAGAAGCAGACACTTCTGAAATAGATTGTAGCCATGGGGAATTTCGTGTCCTTGGTTGTTCAACACACATACACCTGCTGTATTATTTGGCCATAAACCAGAAAAAAAGTTGTAGCTGAAATGGAAAAAAATGGGACATTCTGTTGCATTTTGAGTATGTTTTCAAAGAGTTGCTGGAAGGTAAGCCTTGACTCGGTGATGTAATGTGTGGAGTCAAACGGAGTATTTGCCGTGCCGGAGAAAACTAATGGAAACATTCACTTGGGGTAAGACAAATGGTATTAAATGAGAAAACACACCATGAATTGCAAATGGAGCTGAGTTAATTTGTTGCTACAGTAGTGTTGCCCTACTGTTAAATGAAGGCTGTGTAATTATCTTGCTGGCAGAGATAATGTCAAAACCTCATTTCTCCTTACATGCCTCGTTTTTACATGAGGGCTAATTGAGCTGCAAGGTGACAACTGATTATATATGGCTATCATCTGGTCCTCTTGCTCAATTTGCAAATAACGTTACCCTTTTTTACAGTGATGATTTTTATCGGACTTCGAGTAAGATATTAAAGAAACTTTTTGAACTCTTTGAGTAATTCACAACATTCCTTTCTGTCTTCAAATTATTCTGGAATAAATTATCGTTTTTATACATACTTCTTTTTTTTTTTTTTTTTTTTTTTTTTCGAGACGGAGTTTTGCTGTTGTTGCGCAGGCTGGAGTGCAATGCCGCGATCTCAGCTCACCACTATCTCCGCCTCCCGGGTTCAAGTGATTGTCCTGCCCCAGCCTCCTGAGTAGTTGGGATTACAGGCATGCGCCACCACGCCTGGCTAATTTTGTATTTTGAGTAGAGACGGGGTTCCTCCATGTTGGTCAGGCTGGTCTCGAACTCCTTACCTCAGGTGATCCACCCGCCTTGGCTACCCAAAGTGCTGGGATTATAGGCGTGAGCCACTGCGCCCGGCCTACATATACTTCTTTAAAACTTTCTCTTCATTCTTCTGACGTGTCTATATAACTGTAGTTAGAGATAGCAATATTTGTTTTCTTTTTACTTTGTAGAGCATTATAGTTATGTTGGGTCAAAAATTATTTCTCTCCTGTTTTAATTTCTGGAAGTTTAAGCTTTTTTAGGTATTGAAAATAGGATGTCAGCATCAAATAATAGGAAAATGTACCTTATTTCTTTATCAATGTCAATCAAATTCTTACTTAGATTTCTTTCTTGTGGATATATAGGACTGAACTCATTAACCTCTAGGTTTTTTCTGTCTCACTATCATGGTAGGTCTCAGTAGAAAAAAAGATGTTTGTTTACCATAGAACCAGTTTTATTAATTTTGGCTCAGTCCATGAGGAGGCAGCATTTTATATAGTATGATTTTTTATTTATTTGAAGTTTGAAGGGTTGAGCAGTATAACTATTTTTTGTAGTTTTTAAGGTTCCTGAATATATACTAGATGCAATTCATTACTTCAAGGAAAAGACCTAATAGTGGCTGTATAACTACAAGATAAATTGTTGCTCCATTGGAGAATCTTCTGGCTTAATGCAAAATTCTGCAAAGGAATTCAAGCTAGGGATGTTAAGCTAGGCTAGTAGGAACGGATATTACCTTTACTTGTGGGATAGTCTAAATTTGAGAATAAATATCAGACAACTGGGTACTTTGGAGTCCAAGTGTAGTTTGGAGTGAATAGAAACCCCATAGCAACTTAGCAAACTTGTCCAAAGTCATTAACAATAGCAATAACAACAGAAGTTTATTCATAGAACAAAAATAGTGTGTTGCCCAATATTTCATAGTACTGTTAAAGTTTTCAAAGTTTACTACTAGAAAAGAGTAGGAAGAATAGCTGATCTGTACTGTTTTTTTGGGTGCCAAGTGTCTTAGTTAACCTTTACAACAACTGCATGAATTAGAGAGTATTATCCCGTTTTAACAGATGAAGAAACCAAAGTGCAGAGATGTTAAGTGAGTTATTCAGGATCACATTGCTAGTAAGTGACTCATGATACTAAGCAAACCCTGTGGTTTGAACATATGTGTCTATCTCCAGTTTATTAATGATAATATGGAAGCTCAGTGAGCCGAAAACTTGTTTCAGATTAGACCACTGGTAAATGTACAGTGTGGTTCACATCTGGATCTTTTCACTCTAGGTTCATTGTTGTTGCCCTCGTCTTTGTTAATTTCTCTTTCTATCCTTAAAACCAAGCCCCATATTTTCTTGATCAGTGTTTCTCTGTCCTAGTAGTTTTCCAACTGTGTTCCATGAAGCCCTTGATTCCCATAAGTTGCCTCAGGCCTAGTGAAGGTGCCAAGGCATGGGTAAGAGGATAGGAATCCAGCCTGCCATCATAGTAATTCACTTAGCCTTAAGGTTCCAAGCAAGATTTTTATTAGGAAAATTTTCCTGCCGAAAAAGTTACAAAATAATATGCTCTACTCCATGTAACATTATTCCTAGACCTCTGTTTACACCTGTTTATGAAGTTAATAAACCCAATGCTGTGTTTTAAAAAAGGGAGGGGGGCATTCCGTGTTAATTTCAGTAGTATTTCTAAGCCACTTGTCTCCTCCCCAAGCACTGGAGTACTTTTCAGATCATTTGGAATTGCTAAGGTTGATCTTGACTGCTGGGGCACTAGTGTGGTGATAGTTTTCTTGCACTGCGGGGCTTTGGTGGTAGAAAGGAGAAAAGTTGTATGCTCAGGTATGTTCAGAACTTGGCATGCCTGATTGAAGAGAGATATTCTTCCTTGAAATTCCAGTATACCTGCTTGAGAAAACACAAACTAGAACCAGTCCCCAGAGAGAATAATTTTTCTATCCTTAAGGGCTTGCCATTGCCTGTTAGAGATCCTTTGGGTCCGTTCAGAAGCAAGGCAGGTACCTAATCATACCCTGCAGAGGAGAGTGTCTGTGAGCTGTGTACCCCATGTTTCTCCTCTACTTCTTGCACTTGTCAAGGGATGAAAACAGTGGTGATGATCTGGTTTCTGAAAGTCTGTAGGTCACTCAGACTTTCAGTGAGCCAGGCTCTAGATAACCACATTTATCTCAGAGGAAAGTGGGGAAAAGACCATTGGCAGAAGAGGAAATACCGATGTGTGAAGACACCGTTTTGAAAATGAACTTGGCACAAATCAAAGTTTGAAAAGAATAAACAGGATTATTTTGTGCAGTTAAAAAGAGAAGGAGTTTCTACTGAATATGGTGGGCTTGCCTAAAATGCATTAAATACACACACACACCTCGATGACAAACGTCATCATACATCTTCTCGCTGCTTGAAGTGTCACCTATTTTTCAGTTTTTTATTCTCCAAGTGTGATTTTATCTCAGTAACTGCTGTGCGTATGTTTTTAGATAAACCTTTTCTTCAGTTTTAGTGACACCAGAGCTCCTCCTGTCAGCAAAGCAATGGTGTTTATGATTATTTTATTAAGTTTTGTAGCAGATGCAGTTATTGACCCTCATGTTGAGTTGTAATTTTAAATGTCTGGTTTGATTCTGCATTCAAGGAAAAACCAAGTGTATTGCAGAAGTGACTTTGAAAACTGCAGCATTTCAGGAAGGTGTAAATAATGCACAAATAGTATAGAGGTCTTTTCTTTCTTTGTTTTTGTCTGTTTGTTTGTCTGTTTGTTTTCCAGAAGTGAATGGAATTACTCACATTATCAAAACTGTTTATTTTTAAACTTTGAGTATTCCCTTACCTTTTCAAATGAAATTAGGACTAACTGAGCATCCTTCTTCCCTACCCCATTAAATAACACTTACCACTGTCTATGCCAACTTTTAAAGTTAAAATCTTAAAATAGTGCCATCTTACACAGAGAAAGTGAAAAATGAAAACTTTAACTGATTAGTACCTGAAGAAAATATAACCGCCATGGGAGACAGACAGTCATTCTTTGTTGTTAAAACAGGGTTGGGAATGCTACTAACTTCCAGTTGGAAGAGTCCTGGGATGCTGCTAAGCATCCTGTGTACACACCAGTCTCCCACAGCAAAGAATTAACCTGGCCCCAGATGTCAATCATGCAGGGGTTGAGAAATTCTGCTGTAAATGAAGCACCTACAGAATTGGAGGTTCATAATTGTTGGGCCATTATATTCCGAATGTTTGAAGTTTGCATATTCACTTAATGTTTTATTTGATAACCTTAAGGCAAAATGTGTTCAAGAAAGTATATATAGGTGAGAATTGGCTGCTGCATTTTATTATATTTGGAAAGTGTTTGTGCAGAAATGGAAAAACTGGGTTTTTTCATTCATTCAACATGTATTGAGCCCCACTATTTGCAAGACACTGATGAGCAAAGAGGAAAACAAATACCCCTGAGGAGTTAAATGATGAAGAAAGTCAAACAGTGACTTCCAAAACCATTTGCTCAGAGCTGTGATAACATACAAGGAATAGGATACTGTGGGTATAGCGAGGAAGGACAAGTAGCATGCACTCACAAGGTGGATGTAGGCAAGGCTCTTGGAGTACAAGCTTCTTAAGCTGAGCCTTGCAAAACAAACACGAGTAACCAGGAAAATGAGGTGGAGAGGAAGAATAAAAGGCATTCTGGCCGGGCATGGTGGCTCACACCTGTAATCCCAACACTTTGGGAGGCCAAGGCAGTGGCTGAGGTCAGGAGATCGAGACCATCCTGGCCAACATGGTGAAACCCCATCTCCACTAAAAATACAAAAATTAGCCAGGCATGGTGGCGTGTGCCTGTACTCCCAGCTACTTGGGAGGCTGAGGCAGGAGAATCGCTTGAACCAAGCCTAGAATAGCCTGATGTGGGAGAGTGAGGGGTATAGACCTCTCTCTCTCTCTCTCTCTCTCTCTCCCTCTGGATTTTTGTGTCTCTTGATCTCTGTCTCTCTTTCTTGTGTGTGCTAATGGGTTCATAGGCTGTCTCTCTCAAGCATTTTTGGGCTCTCACTTGTTGTGGTGTCTGTCTTTAGCCCAGCTCAATCTCTGGTTTCTCCCTGAACTGGGCTGGGGCTCACTTGCTGTCTCTCAGGCTCACCTGCTCTCTTTCTCATTCATTCTCAACCAGGCTTGGGCTCTCTTGGGATCACCCTCCCTTTTGCTTTCACCTTGCCTGCTTTTCAGTGTTTCTACCCTTCCTT